>NC_000015.10:43276874-43901874 GCF_000001405.40 Homo sapiens
GCCCATTGATGAGGCCGCTTCCTTCCAGCACCATCGTGCAGCTGCTCAGAGCCACCATTAAGGTGTTGGTGAGGGTGACATGGACTCTCAGCGCCTTGCCCACCTCAGCCCTCTCAGACACCTGTGTGGAGAGAAGTCAGCAATCCCATGGGCAACTGGCCTCGCTTCTGCACTCTGGTTCAGTTACCCCCACCCCCAGGTCCCTGGCGACCACCAGGAACTGCGGCTTAGAGCTAATGTGCCACAGTGGCGAGGGAGGAATGTGAGCTGAGAGTACTTGAGATTAACACATATACAGGCCTGCATTAGGTCACAATACTCCAAGGAGCCACCACCAATCAGCAGTTGCCACCAAGCTGAAACCCGTTTCTGTCCCCACCATCTAGTTCAAGATGTCCACAAGATTTAAATGGAAGTGCCAGCTCCAGTGGGTGGCTACTAGGAAGGCTGTGTTAAAAGGATCCTGAGGACAAAGGATCACAATTGATTCATATCTAACACAGGTGTGGGATAAGGAAGTGGTGTCGTGTGTGCCACCCATGTGCCATCAGTGATGTCATCCTGCCCTTACGCTCATCACCGAGGAAACAGTGAGGCCAAGGCTGCATGATGTGTTAATGGCAGAGCCAGGACCTGACCCAGGTGTCCCAGACCCCAGCCTAGGATCTTTCCCCACGCTGCTGTGTCTTCATAAACATCAGCAGGGCATGCACTCGAGTTTTTCCAGGTGTGCTCAGTGCTGTGTCACGGGGCAGCACAGCTGTGGCCTGTGAGTGGGAGGCAGGCATCCTTCCTACTCATTTCTGGAGCCCCTGGGCCTAGAACAGTGCCGGCCAGATGATGGATATCAGTAAGCACGTGTTGAACTGAAATGAGCTCTGACCACCCAGATCGTACTAGGGGCTTGTTCTGGCTGGGCCAGAGACTCAAGGAAAAGGAAGAACACACCTGACTCACCTGGGGTCCAAACAAAAATACCAAGTCCCTTGTACCCTCATAAGGGTGTCAAAGTAGAACAGGTTAAAATAACTGTGGAATCATCTGCAGATCCCTTACTGATGGGGACCAATTAGCAACCTACTTGGCATTTGCCATGTTTGCTTCAGGTACACGGCAGGGCCCTGGCCACAGCCCCAGGCTTATGTCTGCACTTGCAGTTCTGCCCACTGTTTGCCCCAGCACAGAGGCTGCCTGGTGTCAGCTGGCCCGACAGCCTGACAGTGTGCCTGGGTGAAAACCCTGGGGTAGGCCAGCTGATTTATGGTCTGGAGCTGCCCAGTTCTCTATTGGGGTGGGGAGGGGCAGGCTGTTGGAGAAGCCTCCAGGTACAGAGCCAGGTTTGGACTAGGCAGTGGGCAAGTCTTTCTGAGTGGGAGGGGCAGGTGAGAAAACGAGGCTTTCGGGAAGGAAAACCCTGGTAGCAGGAGATGGGGAATGCACCTGCCCTCTTCCATTCACCCTTCCTTTGCCTGAAATTCCTTCTTTGTGTAATGGCCTCACTGGCCACTCAGGCATCTGAACTCAAAATCTGAAGTTCACTTTTCATTTGTTTCCGTCTTTGTCACCTCAATCTTGTCAATACTCACCTTTTGTTTTGTTTTGTTGAGACAAGGTCTCACTCTGTTGTCTAGGCTGGAGTGAAGTGGCATGATCTCAGCTCACTGCAGGCTTGATTTCCCTGGACTCCCACCTCAGCCTCCTGAGTATCTGGGACTAGAGGCATGCACCACCACACCAGCTAACTTTTGAAAAACTTTTAAGTAGAGGCAAGGTCTCGCTATGTTGCCCAGACTGGTCTCGAACTCCTGGGTTCAAGTGATCCTCCCGCCTTGGCCTCCCAAAGCACTGGGATTACAGGCATGAGCCACCATGCTTAGCCAGTGGTCATCGTTTGAATTTGACTTTGTGGAGTCTCTAAATCTGTCTCCTCTACTTCATCTCCTAGTCACTGCCTTTCCCGTCTCTTTGCCTTTGCAAAATGATTTCCTTACTTAAAATGCCTTCACGGCCATCTAATTTCTCTATAGTTTCCTATGCATCCTCTGAAAAATAGCACGTCCTTTGAGAAGCCTTCATGCCCCTCCAACCCCACGCTGGTACAGAGCACTAGACCACACCATACTGTGCTGGAGCCATCGGTGTGGTGAGAGGTGGGAACAGTGTCTTGTTGGCTGCTGCACCCCAGCCCCTGGATTGGGTGAGTCAGAGAGCCTCAGAGCCCCCACCCATGTCCAGACACTACCTCAATAGACAAGTGGGGAGGCTCCAGACAGATATCTTTTAGGACCAGCATGGACCTCCCTGTCTCTTCAACCTCCGCGATGCCAGACACGCGGATGAGCTTTTCGTCCGTTAGCTTGTTTCTGTAATTGCTGTAGGGCAGGAGGAGCGGCCACTGTGTCTCTAAGCACATACAAAAGACACCTTGAGTCCAGGACATGGACCAGAGAGAGGGGGGACATGTAGATGTGAGAGAGGAAAAATTAGAATTTTCACGTGAGAGGTAAAAGTGTGTGTGAGAGACAGACAGACAGCGTCCCACCACGCACACACTGTCCCCAGGGCTCACTGCTCCGTCTCGCCTGGTGGGGTGGCATCAGAGGTGCAGCAGCTGGCAGCTTCACTGCCCAGAATGTGTGTGTGTTGGAGGAAGGGGTCTGTGTGTAATCTGGCTGGGCCCACCCCACTGTGTTCATGGACCCACAGCTCCCCTCCCTGTAGGTGCCTTCTCAGGCCTGCCTCACACTCACCCTTCCCAAAGTCCAGGTTCATCCGCACTGTGTGCCTCCAGAAGGGCTTCTGGGTACCACCCCCATGCAGCAGGGCCTGTGCACAGAAGCGCACCACCAGTCCGATGGGCCCCCGAGGGTGGGTGCTGTCTGGCACCCTCTGGATACGCAGCAGCAGCTGCAGGTCCTGGCCCCACTCGGGTATCCTGGCCAGGTGAAGCTGCAGCTGCGCTGGCTGATCCCTAAGACCCCCAGACTCCAGGAGATCCAGGAAGGGCAAAGAAGCTCTTTGGGGGCCCAGCATTTTCCGAGAAGCCTTCATGAAGACAGCTCTCTCCTCAGGGGATCCTGCAGAAGGGAGAGGTAGGAGAGACATGCATGGGGAGGGGTGGAGAGGACCAGTGACTTTCCTGGGGCAACAAGGCACAGGAATAGCAGCACAGGGAGGCGGCGCGGCTCAGGTGCTGCTTGCTGGGTTCAAATCCTTGCTCTGTCACAGTCCTTTAATCTCTCAGTGTTCTGTTCTGTCATCTGTAACCTGGGGATGATATCTGCTTTCCTTATAAGGGATCCCAAAAACGTCAGGCTGAGTTGCTGGCTGCAAGGACTCAGCACTGTTTTCTACCATCACTATGGCCACCAGCATCACTATCATCATCATCATGAAGCCAGAGGCTTCTCTCCCCTACCAGCATCCCTCCAGCTAAGATATATGCTCGAAACATAAAAAAGAGCTTCGGCCAGGCGCAGTGGCTCACACCTGTAATCCCAGCAATTTGGGAGGTTGAGATGGGTGGATCGCCTGAGGTCAGGAGTTTGAGACCAGACTGGCCAACATAGTGAAACCTCGTCTCTACTAAAATACAAAAATTAGCTGGGCATGGTGATGGGTGCCCGTAATCCCAGCTATTCAGGAGGGTGAGGCAGGAGAATAGCTTGAACCCAGGAGGTGGAGGTTGCAGTGAGCCGAGATTGCGCCATTGCACTCCAGCCTGGGCAACAAGAGTGAAACTCCGCCTAAAAAAAAAACAAAAGAGCTTCATCTCTTGCCCATGGGGGCTACTTAACATGGAGGCTTAATGTGGCTGGCTGCCACTGCTACTACTTGAGACCATCATTACCACAGTTACTACTGTTACTACTTGAGACCATCATTACAAGACTGAACGAAGGGATGAATGTAGAAATGGTAAAAAACAGAAGAAACTGTTTTAAGGAAAGGCTAGCATGCGGAATAAGAAAAGAGAAGGAGAAAAGAAGAGAAGAAGAAAGGGCTCCCTGCTTCTAGTGAGCAAAGGCAGCCGCTGAGTGTCTACCGCCCTTCATATTTATTTGGGTAGCAAGAGCAAGGAGGAGGAGGTAATGACTGGTCAGCTGCTTAATTGAGCACAGGTTCAGATTGTTACTGACAGGCTTCAGTTATGCCTAATCATAAGAAACATTTGTGCCGCCTCCAACAGCTTAACCCAAACTTACCCCCACCTGTGGACTTCTCTGGAGCAGTTGCTGCATTCCACAGGCACTGTTCCCAGTGCTTTCTATGGACACTCATTTAACCTCTCAACAGCCGTCCGAGGGACTGTTATCCCATTTTACAGATGAGGAAATGGAGGCACAGGGGTGGTAAACTGTGTCCAGTCTTACACAGGGCATGGCAGAGCCCTGTTCAGTACTCAGGCAGCCTGACTCCACACATGCGCCCTCCGTGGGGGTGTCCACCCCATCCACAGGCCCAGGGGCCCATCCCCCTGACTCCACCGCTCCCCTTGCCATGGACATAGGGAGACGGTGGTGCCACTCTGGGTGGAGTTAAAATACAGGACATCCAACCACATTTAAATTCCAGATAAACAACAAATTATTTTTAGTATAGTACATCCCATGCACTATTTGGAACATACTTATATATTAAAAATCATACCCAGTGTGAATTTCAGATAAACAGTGAATACTTTTTAGAATAAGTATGTCTCATACAACATTTGGGACATATATTACACAAATAAAATATTTGTTTATCTGGATCTACCTGGAATTCAAATTTAACTGGGCATCCTGTATTTTTATTTGCTGGTAACCCTACCCTAGGGCCACATGCCTGGGATCCAGGAAGGACCCCTAGGAGTTTGCCATGAGGAAGAGGTGATTCGATGGTGATGGTTTCAACTTGGAGCCATCCCAGCTAGGAAGCATCACAAAGAAGCTTAAAGCAGCCCTTTCCCCAAATACCCGCCCAGCACCTTCTGGGTACTTGTAGGAGCTGGTGATGCTCTGGCGCTGGTCTGACCCCACCATCTTAGTGCTGATCTCCTTCCCGATGGAACTGGTGTTGTGGGCCAGGATTTCCTGGGCCTGGCCATCCCCAAGGAGCCAAATGACTTCATCGGCGTTCACCTCGGCATACACAAAAGGGGTGTCATAGGCCAGGTGGACATCCCCTTCCCTGATGGCCTTCACAGAGGCAGGGCCACAGCAGAACAGCCCTGTGGAGGCAACAGGCTACTGATATGGGGGCCAGGGGCAGCTGGTTGTGGCTGTGGGAGGTGGAGATGGGATAGGCAGCGGCACCACTGACTCTCACCCGTGGGATATCTTCCAGTTTACCAAGCACTTTTGTTCCCATTAATTCATCTGACCCTCACAGCCACCCTGTGAAGTGGCAATGCTCATCATCAGCTTTTCCACTTTACAGGTAAGGACACAACTGAGGCTCAGTGACCCATCCAGGTAACCCATCCGGGTGACTCTGTCAATGGTAGAGTTAGATTCCTGATCTGAAGCTGTGTCAGCTGGGACCTCGGGAAGAGGGTGCCGTGGAAAACGCTGCTCCTCCCTGGTCTCCTGCTCCCACGGCCAGTCACCCTAATCTGCCTCCCCACAGAGCCAGAGCCTGTTGCAATGGTCCTCACTCACCACTGCTGGTCTGCTGGGGAGTGGGGTCCAGAACCTGCCACCCGTTGTATCCTGGTGGGAGATCTTTCCGGATCATCCAGCACTCATTCCAGACGTGGAAGTTCCTGCAGGAGGGAGTAAGGAGACAAGGATTCATGTTAGCTGAGGTTTTGCCAGGTACCAGGCACTATACGGAGTGATTTATATCATTGTTTCTTTTTCTTACTTTTTATTAGGAAGTAATTTCATACTAAAAGTCACAAGAATAGTACAGGCTGGGCGCGGTGACTCACGCCTGTAATCCCAGCACTTTGGGAAGCCGAAGTGGGCGGATCACGAGGTCAGGAGATTGAGACCATCCTGGCTAACACAGTGAAACCCTGTCTCTACCAAAAATACAAAAAAGTAGCTGGGCATGGTGGCGGGCACCTGTAGTCCCAGCTACTCGGGAGGCTGAGGCAGGAGAATGGTGTGAACCCAGGAGGCGGAGCTTGCAGTGAGCCAAGATGGCACCGCTGCACTCCAGCCTGGGCCACAGAGTGAGACTCCATCTCAAAAAAACAACAAAAAAGAGTAGTACAAAGAACACCCATCTACCCAATTCATCTGTTGTTAACATTTTGCCCCATATGCTTTCTTTCAGTGTGGACAGGAATAGATATCTACACATACACACTTCAGTGTGTATTTCCTGAGAATAGGGATCTTCTCTTACATAACCCCTGTATAGTTCATAAACCCTAGCACATTGGATATTGATATGATGCCTTTATCTAATTTACTGTCTATATTTTAATGTTGTCAGTTGACCTAATGATGTTGTTTAGAGCATTCTTCTCCCATGTGGTACGCGATGCCGTCTGTGATCACACACTGCATTCAGCTACGCAGAATGTTGTCTCCTTTGATCTTGGAACAGTTCCTTCGCCTTTCTTTCTTTGTTACATTGGGATTTGAAAACAATCTCTCGCTCTCTCTCTTTTTCTTTTTTTTTGTAAATGTAAGGGGTACAAATGTAGTTTTGTTTCATGGAGATATTACCTAGTGGTGAAGTCTGGGCTTTTAATGAAAACAGTCTTTATGTTATTTATCTATTTTTTAAAACCAGAGTGGCCCCCATTTTGGGCTTGTCTGATGTTTCCTCATGATTAGACTCAAGATATGCATTCAAAGACAGAACTGTGCCTAAGTTACATATCCTCAGATACACCACTGCTTCCTGAATCAGAGACAATTCAGACCTCTAGGAGTCTATCTGTGGATCCCAGGCTGAAAAGCCCTCCTTACTGGCATTGATCTCATTTCACCCTAGCAACCCTGTGAAGTAGATGTTATCTTCATTTTACAGACAAGGAAATTGAAGCTCAGAGACGGAGGGGGCTCCTAGGACAGCAGGTAGTTCTTACACAACTCAAGGAATCTTACCTGGAGGCTGGGTGCGGTGGCTCAGGCCTGTAATCCCAGCACTTTGGGAGGCCGAGGCGAGTGGATCATCTGAGGTCAAGAGTTCGAGACCAACATGGTGAAACCCCGTCTCTACTAAAAATACAAAAATTAGCCAGGTGTGGTGGTACGTGCCTGTAGTCCCATCTACTCGGGGGGCTGAGGCAGGAGAATTGCTTGAACCTGGGAGGTGGAGATTGCAGTGAGCTGAGTTCGCACCATTGCACTCCAGCCTGGGCAACAGAGCGAGACTCCATCTCAAAAACAAACAAACCAACACAGCGAGTCTTATCTGGAAACTGGCTGGAAAAAGAGAAACAGGAAACCAGATTTGCGGGTAGAGCTGAGAACAAAGGAACCAGGAAAAGAAGCCAGAGATACACAAATAAAGGGATGCACAGAGATACACACACACACACACGCATGCATATACATGCACAGACACATGCATGCAGACAGGGAGTGGGTTGGGCAGAGGAAGAAGTCAAGAGAGACAAGAAGAGGTCTACAGAAGCAGCCAGTCCAGGCTCTGTCTGACTTCTGGGAAAACTGGATGGTACAAACAGAAACTCAGAGAAGAAAGAGGAAGATGAATAAAGACTTTTGAGGTCAGTGTTCAGAAGACGCCCAGCTAGTCATTTGGTTGAGGCCCCAGAATGTTATCCCATTGTTTTCTACCTCTGAAATGAGTTAAATTTGATGACCTAATTAGCCAGAACAGCCTCCTGGGTTGGGGAATTCTTCTCTTCTCTGAGCATTAGCAGCAATGCTCAGGGCAATCTTGCAATATTTCCTCAAGAGCCAGAGAGAACCAGGTCAGTTTTTCTGCCCTCCCTGGGACAAAGCAGAGATCTGTTCAAGACAGTGCCTCTCACCATATTTTGTCTCGTTTCTGAGTTGACAGCATCTCGGCATTTCGGTCATAGTACGTATCGATGGTCAAGTTCCTATCCACGTTGTGCGCGGAACGGAAATTGGAAACAACACGGGTTGGAACACCTAAGCATCTCATTACTAAAGAGAAAAATATAGAGAATCGCTGAGTTCATTTCAGGCAGAATTATTGGTTTTCCATGCATAATTTGTAACTTTCAAGCTGGAGGAGAGAAAGCCAAGACGCTTACGGAACCACACCAGTAACTCCTTTATTCCCAGAGCCCCACACCCAGTCCCACAGCCCTGCTGCCCCATCAGTGATCAACATCCCACAAGGAGAAAGGAATCATTTGAGGGTCGCTTAAAACAACAGTTAACAATAATCCGACTTATCATTTAGGAGTCTTTCCACTCAGCAGCTTTCCAAGTTAAAGACAGAGGGCCAGGCGCGGTGGCTTACGCCTGTAATCCCAGCACTTTGGGAGGCTGAGGCGGATCACGAGGTCAGGGGTTTGAGACTCAGCCTGGCCAACATGGGGAAACCCCGTCTCTACTAAAAATACAAAAAAAAATTAGCTGGGTGTGGTGGTGCATGCCTGCAGTTCCAGCTACTAGGGAGGCTGAAAATTTAGTTCCGAAATGTTTTTTAACTTTTATTTTAGGTTTGAGGGTACACATGAAGGTTTGTTACGTGGGTAAACACGTGTCACGGGGGGTTGTTGTACAGATTATTTCATCACCCTCCTCCCACCCTAGCTCTGAAATTTGGGATCTGTAATTCTACTTAAAGACAAGAGGTAGGGGGAGGTATGAAAGAAATTCGAGGATGGATAGAGGGACAAGATAGACTTCTAGAGACAGTGGAAACCGTCAGCAGAGATAAGAGGAAATCACAGTCAGCAACCATCTTTAATAAGGCAGCAGCTCCCTCTTGTGGCTTCTCATGATACTGCTACAAAGGCTTTTAAAAGCTGAGTTATGATTTCACAAATCTAGTCACACAGTGTAAACATTACCCCCAACACATACACACAAACACACACACACACACACCCCTGCCTGCCCAGAGCCAGATGAAGTCAAGCCAAGAGCCAGCAAGAGCCAGGTGTGACCCTGAGGGGACGTGGGTACTGACATCAGCCAGCATGGTAAGTTCAGAGAGGTTTATCCCACTATCTCCCTCCTAGGAGGGGCAGACGGTGCCTACTGAGGCTGCCAGGAGGATTACACAGCTTCAAAAAGTAAAAGGAATATTGACAGCGACCAATCCTTTTGTTTTGGTTCACTGAAGAGCCCCCAAGAAGGCTTCCTGTCTGCAGTCACCTGTCCACTCACAGCACAGCTCCTGGGCTTGTCACAGATCCTTAGCAGGCGTGGGAGCTACACCTGGGCTGGAAGTGGCCATAGGAAGCTTGGCAGGGGCAGCTCCCCCAGTGCGCAGTGGCCCTGTAACTCGAGCGCCTGGGAGTGGGGAGAGGCTTGGAAATGGAGCAGGGTGGTGGACCTCGTCCTTCTCCTGCTCATCCCAGGCCTCCTCCATAACACCTACCTAGCACGGCCTGGGGACTTCCCAGCCCAAGGAACAACTGAGAATACTGAGTGCCAGGGTAGCCCTAGCCCCATTTCACACCTGGGCAAAGTGAGGTCACTGGATTCAAACACTCAGATTTAAACCTCCTCTGTGTCTGCAGCACCTGTATATAACTGCCAGCCTCTGCTGCCCCTCTCCAAAAAGTCTCTGCCCTTGTCTTTGGCACCTGTCTCTGTCCTCCCCATTCTCTGCTCCTCCTTTCTCCAACTCAGAGTCACCCTGTTAGTTCAGCAAATGTTCATCGAGCTCCATAATGTAGCAGGACAGGCCTGTCTAACAGATTCTGGCCTTGCAAGGGTGAGACAAGTACTCTCCATCTTTCTCTCATCTTCACAGATGGTCTGCTCAACAACTTTGCACTGAATTGTAAATAATTGATACTGCATAAAACATTGATGTTCTTTAAGGGTAGTCAGCAAGGTGGCAAGTCTATAATGATAACTGCTCAAGGATCTCTCAGTGAAGCATTTGGGGGCTGCTAGCTCTGCCTATGGGTGAGGTCAGCTATCTCACGCCATCTACTTCCACCTGCCCCCCCATGCCAGGCTCACCCTGAGCTGAGATGCCTGAGCAGGTGGCAGAAAGGAGCCATTTGGTTTCTGCTTCGGGACCACAAACTCCTCTATCCAGATGACAGTTTTAACAGTCTGACTGATCCATCAAGGATACTGTGAGATGATTGCCACAGGTCAATCCCCCTCTCACATAAATGCACAGGATCCCTCGAGACTGTATGGTGTGCTAGCTCAGGGCCTGGGTGCCCACCACCCCCAGCTGTGGGGCCATGGGCAAGCTACTGAACCTTTATGAGCCACAGTTAACTTCTCTGATAATGAAGTTAATCACACCCCTAAGTGAGTGATCTTTCGCTCACCGGTGCACATAACAGAGGCGAAGACCCAGCACTGTCCGTACTTCACAGGCTGCCCGCCCCTGGCTGACCACTGCTGTAGGATGGCCACACTGCCCTTCCACTCCAGAGGACTGACCCCTTTGGAGTAGTCCTCGCCCCAGTTCCCCTGCAGCACGCCATTGTCATCGTTGCTGTTGATCTGCAGAGGACAGACAGGTGGGTTTCCACAGCTCCCGGGGAAGCTCAGACTGTCCTCAGACGGCGGGAAGCATCCATCCTTACCATGGCACTCACCACCCTGCACACATACACCACGTCGTTCCGCTGGGAACAGTCTTTGGCCGGGTTCTTTAAGTGATACAGGCTCTTGTTCAGGATCTCAAAGCAGATGTCTATGATGTCCTCTTCAAACTTCCAAGTGATTTTAAGGGAGAAAAAAGAGAAGAGCAAATGTCTAGACTTCTGAAACTTTAAGTCACTAACAGACTTTTGGGGATGGCATGTATATGGGGATGTGGGGGCAGGGGGAGGGCGCTAAATATAAGACAAGTTCCTGCCTTTGAAGAGCTTATAAATCAAATTGGGAATGTATTAGGTTTGAAATTCTGAAACACTAAACTGCGTGGTTCTGATGAAAAATGGAAACAGAATTCGGAGAGTGAGAGACCCCCCTCGGCTGAACAGATGAGAGAAGGCTTTGGTGCCAATGGGCTTTGATGGACTGGGTGGGCAGGAAGAGGAGAGTGGGCATATTTACCTGAGGTCTTTGAGCATGGTGGGTATCAAGGACTTAGACTCCTATCTGGAGGACTTGAAGAAGCAGGGAAGGGATCAGAGCAGAAAAAGTCTAGAGATCAATGTAGGGCCACACGTGCCAGTCTTGAAATCAGGTAGAGGAGCTCAGAGCAGACGCTGCGGGCCCTGGAGGAGCCAGGGTGGGCTCATAATAGACGTGCACAATGTTTGTCACAATGCTTTGGCTGCCAAATGCACAGGTATTTGTCTCAGTTTCAAAGAGGGTCACAGGTCGCCACGGTTGGAGAATGGGGAAAACGTGCTCTCCCTCAGCAAGGCTTCCCCCACCTCTTCCCTTTTGGAGTTTGTGGACAGGACTGAGGTGGCAGTGGGAAGGAGAGAGAAACTACGCCTGCGGGGGTTGAGAGTGGAAACGTTGCCCAGAGCCAAGTTCCCCCTCTCTACGTTGACTGGATATTGGATGTTATTAAAGAATTACTATTCTTTTTTTTTTCCGTTACAATCATGTATTCTGATTAAGTTTTGCAGAAAGAGTCATCATCTTTTACATGACTATATTCTGAAGTACTATTGGATTAAATATGCTGAAGTGTTACTGGATTAAATAATATGGTATCTGTAATTTGCTTAAAAAAAAATTTGCCGGCAGCAGTGGCTGTAATCCCAGTACTTCGAGAGGCCGAGGCAGGTGGATCACCTGAGGTCAGAAGTTCGAGACCAGCCTGGCCAACACGGTGAAACCCCGTCTCTACTAAAAATACAAAAATTAGCCGGGCATTATGGCTCGCACCTGTAGTCCTAGTTACTCAGGAAGCTGAGGTGGGAGAATCACTTGAACCCAGGAGGTTGCAGTGAGCCAAGATCATGCCAC
This sequence comes from Homo sapiens, assembly GCF_000001405.40. Classification (NCBI taxonomy): domain Eukaryota; kingdom Metazoa; phylum Chordata; class Mammalia; order Primates; family Hominidae; genus Homo; species Homo sapiens. The sequence continues at coordinate 43,288,886 of NC_000015.10, forward strand.
TGCACTCCAGCCTGGGCAACACAGTGAGACTCTATCTCAAGAAAAAGAAAAAAATCTAGTGGTGGAGTGGGGAGTGGGGATGGAGGCAGAAGAGTACAGACCAGAGAAGGACAAGCTTTTTCTGTAAAAAACCAAATAGTAAATATTTTAGCCTTTGCAGGCCATAAGGTCTCTGTCTTTTTTTTTTTTATTCTACTTTAAGTTTTGGGGTACACGTGCACAACGTGCAGGTTAGTTACATATGTATACATGTGCCATGTTGGTGTGCTGCACCCATTAACTCGTCATTTAACATTAGGTATATCTCCTAATGCTATCCCTCCCCACTCCCCTAACCCCACAACAGGCCCCAGTGTGTGATGTTCCCCTTCCTGTGTCCATGTGTTCTCATTGTTCAATTCCCACCTATGAGTGAGGACATGTGGTGTTTGGTTTTTTTGTCCTTGTGATAGTTTGCTGAGAATGATGGTTTCCAGCTTCATCCATGTCCCTACAAAGGACATGAACTCATCATTTTTTATGGCTGCATAGTATTCCATGGTGTATATGTGCCACATTTTCTTAATCCAGTCTATCATTGTTGGACATGTGGGTTGGTTCCAAGTCTTTGCTATTGTGAATTGTGCCGCAATAAACATACGTGTGCATGTGTCTTTATAGCAGCATGATTTATAATCCTTTGGGTATTTACCCAGTAATAAGATTGCTGGGTCAAATGGTATTTCTAGTTCTAAATCCCTGAGGAATTGCCACACTGACTTCCACAATGGTTGAACTAGTTTACAGTCCCACCAACAGTGTAAAAGTGTTCCGATTTCTCCACATCCTCTCCAGCACTTGTTGTTTCCTGACTTTTTAATGATCGCCATTCTAACTGGTGTGAGGTGGTATCTCATTGTGGTTTTGATTTGCATTTCTCTGATGGCCAGTGATGATGAGCATTTTTTCATGTGTCTTTTGGCTGCATAAATGTCTTCTTTTGAGAAGTGTCTGTTCATGTCCTTCGCCCACTTTTTGATGGGGTTGTTTGTTTTTTTCTTGTAAATTTGTTTGAGTTCATTGTAGATTCTGGATATTAGCCCTTTATCAGATGAGTAGGTTGTGAAAATTTTCTCCCATTCTGTAGGTTGCCTGCTTACTCTGATGGTAGTTTCTCTTGCTGTGCAGAAGCTCTTTAGTTTAATTAGATCCCATTTGTCGATTTTGGCTTTTGTTGCCATTTCTTTTGGGGTTTTAGACATGAAGTCCTTGCCCATGCCTATGTCCTGAATGGTATTGCCTAGGTTTTCTTCTAGGGTTTTTATGGTTTCAGGTCTAACATTTAAGTCTTTAATCCATCTTGAATTAATTTTTGTATAAGGTGTAAGGAAGGGGTCCAATTTCAGCTTTCTACATATGGCTAGCCAGTTTTCCCAGCACCATTTATTAAATAGGGAATCCTTTCCCCATTTCTTGTTTTTGTCAGGTTTGTCAAAGATCAGATGGTTGTAGATATGCAGCATTCTTTCTGAGGGCTCTGTTCTGTTCCATTGATCTATATCTCTGTTTTGGTACCAGTACCATGCTGTTTTGGTTACTGTAGCCTTGTAGTATAGTTTGAAGTCAGGTAGCGTGATGCCTCCAGCTTTGTTCTTTTGGCTTAGGATTGACTTGGCAATGCAGGCTCTTTTTGGGTTCCATATGAACTTTAAAGTAGCTTTTTCCAATTCTGTGAAGAAAGTCATTGGTAGCTTGATGGGGATGGCATTGAATCTATAAATTACCTTGGGCAGTATGGCCATTTTCACAGTACTGATTCTTCCTACCCATGAGCATGGAATGTTCTTCCATTTGTTTGTATCCTCTTTTATTTCATTGAGCAGTGGTTTGTAGTTCTTCTTGAAGAGGTCCTTCATGTCCCTTGTAAGTTGGATTCATAGGTATTTTATTCTCTTTGAAGCAATTGTGAATGGGAGTTCACTCATGATTTGACTCTGTTTGTCTGTTATTGGTGTATAAGAATGCTTGTGATTTTTGCACATTGATTTTGTATCCTGAGATATTGCTGAAGTTGTCTATCAGCTTAAGGAGATTTTGGGCTGAGACGTTGGGGTTTTCTAGATATACAATCATGTCATCTGCAAACAGGGACACTTTGACTTCCTCTTTTCCTAATTGAATACCCTTTATTTCCTTCTCCTGCCTGATTGCCCTGGCCAGAACTTCCAACACTATGTTAAATAGGAGTGGTGAGAGAGGGCGTCCCTGTCTTGTGCCAGTTTTCAAAGGGAATGCTTCCAGTTTTTGCCCATTCAGTATGATATTGGCTGTGGGTTTGTCATAGGTAGCTCTTATTATTTTGAGATATGTCCCATCAATACCTAATTTATTGAGAGTTTTTAGCATGAAGGTTGTTGAATTTTGTCAAAGGCCTTTTCTGCATCTATTGAGATAATCATGCAGTTTTTGTCGTTGGTTCTGTTTATATGCTGGATTACGTTTATTGATTTGCATGTGTTGAAGCAGGTCTCTGTCTTAATAACTCAATTCTGCCAATGCAGCATGCAAGCAGCCACAGACTACATCTAAATGAATGAACATGGCTATTTGCAATAAAATGCTATTTGTGCACGCTGAAATTTGAATTTCATATAATTTTCACATCACAAAATATTATTCTTTTACAATTCCTTTTCAACAAGTAAAAAACGTGAAAACTATTCTCAGCTCATGGGCTAAACAGGCAGTAGGCCACATTTGGTCTGTGGGCTGTAGTTTGCAAACCCCCGGTGTTGATGAAACAGACTCATGATACATTGATCACTACTGAAGCTGAGAGGTGGGTACAGGGAGATCTATTGTAGTAGCCTGTCTACTTTGATTATGTTTTAAGGTTTTTCATAATAAAATGTTAAAAACTAAAAAGGAAAGACATCCACCCCTTCCTTCCTTGCCCCTCTCACTGGATGTGAAGCTGGCCAAGCCCCTCACACCCTCGCCTGTATTAGTGGCCCTCTATGAGGGCTGTGTAATATAACAGCCTTACATAACAGGGTTGTGTAAGGACCAGCCTTAGGGAGCCCACCCCAGGCCCACATTGGGTAATAGTGTTACCTGCCCGTAGTTCCAGGGCCAGGAGGTGATGAATCTTTCATGACCCTTGTAAACAAAGCCATAATCTCGCATGATATACTCCTGCAGCAGTATTTCACTTGGCAGGTAGACGTCGTCCTCTGAGCAGTTAAGAGTAGTGGAGGGGGCAAAACCCCAAACCAAAAAAACAGAGTATTAAATTAAAAAACAGTAACGACAACGTGTTTCTGGAAAACAGGAGGAACAGTCGATGGGTTGATAGCAACAGAAATTAAGACTAGACCCCCTTAAAGGTCTACTATGTGCTTTTCTAGAAGCCAGAAATACAATGTACACTTTAAAAACCAACGATCTTTTCTTGATTGTAAAAGTGACTGATTGTAGAGTTGGCTTATTGTAGAGATTCAGAAAATACAGATAGATGGGTAGAAGACAATGGAAACTGCTCACTCCCACTACTCAGAGACACCCACCGTTATGTTTTGGTGTATTCTAGCCACTCTCTCTTTCTGTGCATACTTAATACAATTAGGCTCATATTAGGAAATGTTTCAATGTTTTCACTTAACATCACGTCATGAATACTTTCCTCATGCCATTAGAAATTCTTTGTAAAGATGATTTTTGTGAGAGCACACGCTACTACATTGCATAGCTATGTGGCGATTTATTTTCTGGGCTTTTTCCAAAGAACCTCACAGGGCCTTCCCAATGGATCAGGTTAGCAATACAAGCTGTGGGCACATCCTACCTGGACTCCAAGGGTTAAAAAGTAGGATGAAAGTTCCCAGCGGGTAAGTCACACTGTGACCTTGGCCCTGAGAGATCTCTATTTTCAGAGTGTAATGGCCAATAACTGCATTGGCTGGTGTGAAAAGGGAAACTTGGAGAGAGTTGGAGTCAATGGTGAAATCAGAAGCGCTCCAGACATTCCCGGGCTGGACCCGGGTGAGGAAGAATGTGGCTCGGGTCCCCAGCAGCTCTGACGGCTTGGGTCCTGTGTAGGAGAGAATGACCCCACAGTGAGGCTCAAAAAACCTGTATGGTATATGATTCCAGGGGAGTCGGAAGGACCGTCACCTTCTCCCACCACCTGCTAATGCTTTTGGCTTTTACTGCCACCGAGTGTCCTCAGGCAAACCATTTAAGACCCCCAGGCCTCCGTTTTTTAATCTGTTAAAAGGGGATCATAATAGTACCACCTGAAAGTCTTGTCCTGGGGATTAAATGAGCTAATGTGTGTAAAGTTTTAGCACAGTGCTTGTTGTGTATCTACAGGTCGGTTGTTAACTGCCACAACCTCAGTTTGCCGAGTTGACCAAATCTCTCCTTAACAGCACTAACAGGGTCCTGAGCATGAGGGGTCTGGGGCTCCCAGGACAAGAAAGTGGAGGGCAGCTCAGGTGGGAAAGGCAGGGGCCCCGCAGGCAGACTCTGTAAATGCCCTCATTTTGACGGAACCTGCGGGGCCTTGGGACAGGGCAAACTCACCGGTCTCAGCCACAAAGGTGATGTGGTCGTTCTGGGACTGGAAGGGTCGGCTGAAGCTCAGCCGGAGGTAGAAGGGCTGGCCGCGGCGCACAGTGAGCCGCTTGACGCCCATCTCCTGCGTGTGGTGCTCCTTGTTGTTCCTGGAGCTCTGCAGGTCGACAGACTCAAGCCGCAAGGTTGCCACTAGGGGAGAGGAGGGGACAGGTCACGCCCACCTGCAGTCCCCTGGGCTCAGGCATCCCTTGTGGCTTCTCAGTCATTTCTGGGAGGTGCGGCGGGTGGTGGGGCGTGCGGGGGGTAGGTGGGGCGTGCGGGGGGGGAGGTGGGGTGTGCGGGGGGGGCGTGCGGGTGTGTGTGTGCGGGGGCGTGGGGTGTGCTGGGGAGGGTGGGGTGTGCGGGGGGGTGGGGTGTGCTGGGGAGGGTGGGGTGTGCGGGGGTGGGGTGGGGTGTGCGGGGGGCTGTGCGGGGGGAGTGGGGTGTGCGGGGGGATCGGCATGGGGAAGTGTTGATACTGGTGAATTCCATGTCTGGACCTGGAGCCACAATGATCAAGGATTGGGGTCCCCAAAAGGGAAACAATTCCAGATAACCGAAACTTAACCCCTGAAGTGCCGCTGCATGCTCTTAACTATTTGTTGACAATCTTTCTAAAAGTCACCCTTTTATCCTACTGATATAAGAATAAACATACTAGGATTTTGTATGAATTAAGTCAGTGAGCTGACTGGAAGCTGGGACTTCAGCCATAGGGCAAGTCCCTGCTTTGGAATTCTGGACACTCTCTGGGTCACTTGTAACTTACTTCTGACTTCTCAGCCATTTCCAGGTCTATGAGGAGGGCACTGCCTGCTTCCTGTGTGTGCACACCTGGTACATGGTTGTAAAACTCTCATAGCACAGTAGGCAGTGGGCAGGTTCTGGACTGACACAGCCTCAGGTCTATCATCTGGGCTGTGAGACCTCGAGCAAGTCACTTAATATCCCTAGACATCAGTGTCCTCATCTGAAAAATGGAGACAATTGTATTCCTACCTTATAGGGTTCATGTGGGCGTTAAGTGAGGATGCCCATGGAAGGACCTTGGCGTTGTGCCAGGTACAGAGTAAGGAGTCAATATTAGTTACTCTTACTGGTAGGAATCATGCGTTCTTGAATTGCATTTCTTTTGCGACCTTTGCTGGCAATGTTTAGATTGCATTTACTGTCGACAAAAGTTCATCAGGTCTTTCCTCTAGTAGTACATCAGTTTATCTCAGTGGTTCTCAACGGGAAATTCCGTGCCCTGGAGGACATTTGGCAATGTCTGAAGACATTTTTTACTGGGAAGAGAGGCTGCTAAGCAGCATCCTAAAGGAAAAACTCATATTTGCTCCCAGCCAGTTTTTGTGCCATTTGTATTTTGAACTTCCACAGAGGTTCTTAATGTTTTTGCATCTTTCCTACCTATCTTGATCCTTTTTTTTTTTTGGAGACAGGGTCTCACTCTGCAGCCCGGCTGGAGTGCAATGGCATGCTCCTGGCTCACTGCAGCCTCAGCCTTCATTCTGGGCTCAAGTGATCCTCCCATCTCAGCTTCACAAGTATGTTGGACCACAGTTATGGGCTACCATGCCCTACAGTATTTTTTTTGTATTTTGTAGAGACAGCATCTCCCTATGTTGCCCAGGTTGATAGATTCTGATTTTTTGACCCAAATATTTTACTTTTCCATCTCTAGACTGGCTAAACTGTCTTCCAGTCTTCATCTAAGTAATCAGTAATAAGATGTTTCTAAGCATTAGAGCCTAAGTTGGTGGCCAGTTGTGTATCATCAGCTCTTTCTTCCATGTTAACACTGAGCCATTAAGAAATACTCTTTGGGGCTGGGCACCATGGCTCACGCCTGTAATCCCAGCACTTTGGGAGGCCAAGAAGGGTGAATCACTTGAGGTCAGGAGTTCGAGACCAACCTGGCCAACATGGTGAAACCCTGCATCTACTAAAATACAAAAATTAGCCAGGCCTGGTGGTGAGTGCCTGTGATCCCAGCTTCTTGGGAGGCTGAGGCGGGAGAATTGCCTGAGCCCAGGAGGTAGAGGTTGCAGTGAGCCAGGATTGCCCCATTGCACTCCAGCCTGGGTGACAGAGCAACTCCATCTCAAAAAAACATAGAACTAGAAAAAAAACTCTTTGGGCATAGCTGTTCAACTGCTTTAACTACATCTAATCTTTGAATAAAGCTGAAGTCAATGTTAATTTCCTTCACAATCTAAAATCAAATCCAGTTTTCATCTTTTCCATAAATGTGTCAAATGTCTGGCTAAAAACAGAATATGCATAAGGATCCCTTGATCTGTCTCTTAACAACAATCTTTTGTAAGGTAGATTCAACAAAGGTGAATTACTGGATCAATTGGTACAAAGTTGTTAAACCTCTTGATGTGTTGGGGCACTTAAATAGATATGTTATTGGAACCAGAAAATTTAGAGAAAGATCTAAGACAGATCCCTTTTAATCATTCAACAGCAGTTTTTAAACTTCAGTTCCAACTCATTTAGTAGTTTGTGAAATCAATTTAGAGAGAGGTAGCCTGTAATAAGAAAATGGAATGGAATAGAAAACATACAATGCATCACACATAGGAAGAACAAGGACAATTTTATGTGTAGCTAGGTCATGATATAAATCATAGATCATAGTTAAAAGTCAGAAAGCAGCCGGGTGAGGTGGCTCACGCCTGTAATCCCAGCACTTTGGGAGGCCAAGGCGGGCAGATCACGAGGTCAGGAGATTGAGACCATCCTGGCTAACATGGTGAAACCCCTTCTCTACTAAAGATACAAAAAATTAGCCGGGCGTGGTGGCGGGCACCTGTAATCTCAGCTACTCAGGAGGCTGAGGCAGGAGAATGGCGTGAACCCGGGAGGCAGAGGTTGCAGTGAGCCGAGGTCACACCACTGCACTCCAGCCTGGGTGACAGAGCGAGACTCTGTCTCAAAAAAAAAAAAAAAAAAAAAGTCAGAGAGCAGCTGGCCTCAATCTGGTTGGGAACTGGTTGCTTCTCATTTGTTCCTAAGGGGCCTAAAGTTTTCATAGCAGGACCACTGAGCCTTCACAGAAAGCCTCTCCGTCCCATACACAACTCCCACCCTGAATGATCATAGATCCAAAAGAGACAGGGACACACAGGAGGGAACAGGACTCAGGGTAGCCTTTTCCTGGCTGCTGTTTGTAGCTCAAAGCATAGTTCCTAGGGACAGCCAACTCAATTTTCCCCTAAGCCAGACTTCTCTTAGTTTGGGAAAGAAAGGAGAGGGGGAGGAAGGAAGATGTCTTCCTCTCCAGAGGCCCAAGGTTGCAGTGGCATGGAGAAAACTCATTCTCCACTGGACACTCAGGTTTTCTTTTTTATTCCACTCCACTGAAGTGCTTCTCATGTCAAAGAGACAATGACTTAAGAAAACAAAGGGAAGGGTTTTCAAAAGCAGGAAAAGAAAGCCAAGAGGATCAGGAAGAGGCTCAACAAAGCAGAAAATCAAGCAGAATCAGTTAGTAAAAACATGTCAGCACCCACAAGGCCTTCTTGTCTTGGCCACAATACCACTGGAGTTAATGACATGAGTAAGAGGAGAGTTAAGCCCCAGCCACAAGATTCCTGGCACTTATTTGACTAATACAAAGACAAGGGTATAAAAGGATCAAATATATCCTGATGTATTATCAGCCTTTTAAGAAAAAGGAGACAGGCCGGGCACAGTGGCTCACGGCTGTAATCCCAGCACTTTGGGAGGCCGAGGCGGGTGGATCACGAGCTCAGGAGTTCGAGACCAGCTGACCAACATGGTGAAACCCTGTCTCCACTAAAAATACAAAAATTAGCCAGGCATGGTGGCTCATGCTTATAATCCCAGCTACTCAGGAGGCCGAGGCAGGAGAATTGCTTGAACCTGGGAGGCGGAGTTTGCAGTGAGCTGAGATCGTACCATTGCACTCCAGCCTGGGCAACAGAGCGAGACCCTGTCTCAAAAAAGAGAGAAAGAGAGACAGAAAGAGAGAAAGAGAAAGAAAAAGAAAGAAAGAAGGAAGGAAGGAAGGAAAGAAAGAAAGAAAGAGAAAAAGAAAGAAAGAAAGGGACATTGAAACAGCCATCTGCATGTATAGAAAGAAAGAAAGAAAGAAAGAAAGAAAGAAAGAAAGAAAGAAAGAAAAAGAAAGAAAGAAAAAGACATTGAAACAGCCATCTGCATGTGATGAGCTCCGCGATGCAAAGCTCCTGTCCTCTGACACCAAAACCCAAGACAGCCCTGCCCTCACTCACGCCTCCATCTCTCCACTCGGGTCTTGGCTCAGCAGTAACCACTGCACAGGGGCTTTCTTTGGCCACCAAGCATGATGCTTTACTTCCCACCATGTGGTCACTTTCTATCACAACACCCTCTCTGTTTTCTTCAGGGCACTTAATATCTAGAATTGGTTCCACAAAAGCAAGAGACCTCAGCCATCTTCAAATGCAGATTCCCCTGCCTAGAAAGGAGCCTGGTGCCTAACTGCAGATATGCATGGCTAATGTTCGTGGAATACTTACCAATGCCCGGCATTGTTTAGAGCATTTTACATGTCTGAAAGAATTTATGTTCTCACCAACCGCCTGAAATGGAGCTGTTAATATTGTTCCTGACATACAGGAAGGTGCTGGGTGGAGATAGGATCAAACCCAGGGAGGCTGGCTCCAGAGGCCGCCCCCTTAACCTGCACAATCTCCTGCCATCCTGGTGGGTTCTTGGTGACATTTGCTGAATGGATAGACACACATGTGCGTGAGGTTCAAGGAGAATCATCCTGCAGAAGAGCACTGGGGATGGAGGGGATGGGAAGGGGCAGAGCCTGTGAGGGCAGCAGGGCCAGGATGAGGAGGGGCTCGAGCCCGGGCCAAGACGCTGCTGCTTGATTCAGTAGTCATGGGTAGATCTAGCCCTGATGGGTAGATAAAATGTTACACCTTTCTGAGAGCAATTCATCAATATTTATTACAAAATAAAAGAAAACGGCCAGGCGCGGTGGCTCACGCCTGTAATCCCAGCACTTTGGGAGGCCGAGGCGGGCGGATCACAAGGTCGAGATCGAGATCATCCTGGCCAATATGTTGAAACCTTGTCTCTACTAAAAATACAAAAATTAGCTGGGCATGGTGGTGGGTGCCTGTAGTCCCAGCTGCTTGGGAGGCTGAGGCAGAAGAATTGCTTGAACCCGGGAGGCGGAGGTTGCAGTGAGCCAAGATCGGGCCACTGCACTCCAGCCTGGTGGCAGAGCGAGACTCCATCTCAAATAAATAAAATAAAATAAAATAAAAATAAAAGAAAGCCTTAAAACATAAATACCTTTGACCCATGAACTTCTCATCTAGGATTTTTTTCTTAAAAAATAATAATTTGTGTACAAAACTTAAGCATAAAAATGTTCAGTGCAACCCAAATATCTTACAATAGGAGTTGGCTACATAAACTTGATTCCTCTTATCTGATGATTCCAACTTGATTCCAACAAAGAGGGCACCAATAGCAGCCAAAAAAAAAAGGAGCAAAGATTACAGAAAGGTAGTTCACAAGACATTAGAAAGGAAGATTTTTTAAAAAGACTAAAAATTAGTATGTACAAATTATCTTTAGGTGGTGAAATTATTGGAAATTTTCTTTCCTTTAGGTTTTTTGGCTTTTCCCAAGCTTTTTCTTTGAACATGTATTCCTTTTGTATTGAGGGGAAAGTGCTACTTTGATTAAAGGCAGGCTTTTGAGCAGGAGTGGCAGGATCAAAGCTGAACTTTAGGATTAATTCGACTGTGGCATTTAGCCTAGACCAGAGGGGAAGAAGAGAAGGACGGGAAGGGCAGCGAGAGCCCTGTCACAACGATCTAAGCCAAAGGCTCATGAGGACCTAAACACAGGTGTTGGTAAGAGGAAAAGAAGGACCACCCTATGTGTGCAAGGGGCTGGCATCCCTGGGCATATGGCAGGCTAATAAACATTTATTGAAATATTTTGACTTGTAGGGCTTCCTAAGGCCCCAGCTAGGGTGGATGAAAAATGGGGTCGGTTAAAGGAATCAACTGCCAACAAAGTCCCAGGCAGTCAGGTTAGTGGTGAGGTTGGCACGCTCTAGGTGGAGACAACAAAGGGCAAATTCTATCCAGTGCAGCTGGCATGGAGTTGGCACCTGCCACAAAATGCCAGGTGGAAGGTGGACTCAGCTCCTTCCATTCTTCTGTCTTTGTTTTTGCATTTATTCTAGCTTCTTTTCTCTTTCCATTTCTCATTATTGTTGTCCATTTTTAGGACTTTTACAAATACGTTATTCTTTTTCATTTCTTCCCTTCTTACAAAATGTGAAAGAGTATAATCTGTGTGAGAGCATATGAAGAGATTCCTATAGGAGATTACTGCCGTGTTCTGTGCCTCTTTTAGTGTGCAAGAATAAAAATTTCTTATTACTTAAAAGTTCAAGTCCAAACTCCTTAGCCAAGCATTCCAAGCCCTTCACAATGTGGTCCCAACATATCTCTCCAATCTTATCTCCCACTAGCCCATAAATAAACTGCTTCACTTGTACTATGGCCTCCAAACAGACCATACTCATATCTACCTCTGACAGCCCCTGCCCCTTCCCTAATCTCTTTGTGTCTCCATTGTACCCATTCTTCAAACAAAACCCAGCAGCCACTCCTCCACAAAATTCTTCCCAAGCATTTCAGAACATAGGGGATGTTTGCACTTGCAACACTAGTTGAATATCTAGTTAATACTAAGTTTTATGGAACTCCAGGCTTTATGTACATCATCTCCTGCTATTCCTGTAACTACCCAATTCCATATTATCAGCCCCCTGTTACAGATAAGTAGGAAGATGATAGGCAAAGTTAAGTAACTTGGCCAGTGTCACCTACTTAATTAAGTGGCAAAGTTGGCATTTAAACCTAGACAGTTTGACTCTAGAACCTAGTTCTTAACTTCTGGCTGGTGGTACTGGTCTGAAGATTTTCAAATTTTTTTTCCAAGTAAGTGAATATTGTGCTTTCTTCAAATGAAAACATAATGAAAGGCCGGGCGCGGTGGCTCACGCCTGTAATCCCAGCACTTTGGGAGGCTGAGGCGGGTGGATCACGAGGTCAAGAGATCAAGACCATCCTGGCCAACGTAGTGAAACCCTGTCTCTACTAAAAATACAAAAAATTAGCCAGGCGTGGTAGCGGGCGCCTGTAGTCCCAGCTACTCGGGAGGCTGAGGCAGGAGAATGGCGTGAACCCTGGAGGCGGAGCTTGCAGTGAACCGAGATTGCGCCACTGCACTCCATCCAGCCTGGGCAATAGAGCAAGACTCCGTCTCAAAAATATATGTGTATATATATAACTGTTTTAGACTTATTCTAGTTGGTGATAGCCAAGGGGAAAAGATATGCTAAACTCTAGCACTAAAGTACCCTGGAATCTAGCACGTGACAAGCTTCTTGAGCCTTCTCTGTCAAACTCTGTCTTGCATTTAAAAACCATTTATATCTCTATTTTTATTTTGTGTTTGTTTGAGACAGGATCTCACTTTTTCTCCCAGGCCGGAGTGCAGTGGCGCAATCTCAGCTCAATGCAGCTTTGACCCCCCCAGGCTCATGCAGTCCTCCCGCCTCAGCCCTCCAAGTAGCTGGAACTACAGACTTGTGCCACCATACCCGGCTAATTTTTGTATTTTTAGTAGAGACAGTATTTCACTATGTTGGACAGGCTGGTCTCGAACTCCTCAGCTCAAGCGACCCGCTTGCCTTGGCCTCCCAAAGTGCTGGGATTACAGGCCTGTGCCACCACGCCCAGTGTGAGACACAGTGCCTGGCCATTAGAACATGATACATGCTTTAGAACATTATTTTAAGACATACATGGCCGCGTGTGGTGGCTCATGCCTGTAATCCCAGCACTTTGGGAGGCCAAGGTGGGTGGGTCACCTGAGGTCAGGAGTTCAAGACCAGCCTGGCCAACATGGCGAAACCCCACCTCTACTAAAAATACAAAAATTAGCCGTGTATGGTGGCAGGCACCTGTAATCCCAGCTACTCAGGAGGCTGAGGTAGGAGAATCCCTTGAACTCAGGAGGCAGAGGATGCAGTGAGCCGAGATCGCGCCATTGCACTCCAGCCTGGGCTACAAAGGGAGACTCCATCTCAAAAAAAAAAAAAAGAAAAAGAAAAGAAATACATGACCCATGTTTAGTGCCCTCCCTGGCAGGCCGCATGTGTTGGCCAGGCTGGCCCAGCCTGCGGGGGCCTGTTCTTCTCACTCCCAGGAGAGGAGTGGCAGGGTTCTGAAGGGATCGAAAAAGGGGCCTGAACTCAGGGGTGGGGGCAGCAACTCTCAGTGAGGACCTGAGAGTCAGGGGAGAAGCTGGACAAGGGAGAGGTCTAGGGTCTGAGAGGGGTCCTCCCACAGCTTCAGAGTTGGCCATAGAAATAGCCTCCCAAGCACCCAAGGACACCTGGTGGCAGGGGCCAAGCTCTTTTTGGGGCTCCTCAGACTTCCCAAGGCCATTTCAGCCCCCCAGGTTTTAAAGAAAAGGCTGTTCACAGCTTCAGAAAAGAAAACGAATGGCTGTAGGATTTGTGCCCCAAGGTCCAAATGCAGATGGAGAAGTAAGAAGAAGGAGCCGTATTGCACAATGAACTACCAATCATCAATCCAGGCTCTCCTGTCGCTTCCCTACATCCTCTACCCTCTCCAAACTTCTCCCCTCTCTTGACTTAGCACCTCCGAAAAGGTAAGTCGATTCCCAGTACTCACCCTGATCCATCTCCCTCCTTCTCCTGTCGGTCAAGGCCCTTCAACTAGTCACCAGTACGATTCGAGACCTAATTGCCTCTTGAGCATTTACAGTCACCCTACTAGAACCTTCCCTTCCATCCCTGAGTCGGGCGGGGCTGCCACTTCCTCCTCCTCCCACTCCTCCTCTTAAATTTCCCGTTGTTCCAGGTACATCTTGGCTTAAGGAAGGGAGCTTCTGACTTAAGCCTTGTAAAAATGTGCTGAGGGATTTGTTTCTGTGGCCTCCTTTTTGAGCTGAGAAGACTCACAAGTGATGTGAATGGCAAAGCTTGGCTTGAAGCTGTTCCCTTGTGCCTCTGTCACTTCAAGGCCTGGGACCCGATTCGATCTAAGCCAGTTCGGTCTGGCTTCCCCTGACCATATGGGTGTTGGGTAAGAAAGAGCTATGAGGAAGGTCATAGAAAGAGTCATGAAGAAAGATTTGCACAGCCCATCAGGACCCAGGGAGCTTTGCATCTTGAAGAAAAATAAAGCACACTGAAATACTGAATTATTAATGCTGCTGATTAAAAATGAAGTTGACAAAGTTTCCAGTGACAAGGAAAAATGCCCATAATGTGATATTAACTGGAAGGAAAAAGTAGAATAGGAAAACAGTGCAGTTGTTCTCACTCATATGTGGGACCTGAAGAAGTTGAGATCAGAGAAGCAGAGAGCAGAGTCGTGGTGCTTAGAGGCTGGGAAGGGTGGGTGGGAGCAGGGATAGAGGTTGGTTAAGGGATACAAAATTACAGCTAGATAGGAAAACTAGGTTCTAGTGTTCTATAACACTGCAGCGTGACTATATTTAATACGAATTTATTGCATATTTTCGAATAACTGGAAGAGAGGTTTTTGAGTGTTCCCAACACAAAGAAATGATCAATGTTTGAGATGATGGATATTCTGATTACCCTGATTTGATCATTATACATTGTATACATGTATCAAAATACATCAGAATGTCACTCTGTACCTCATAAATATGTACACTATTACATGTTAATTAAAAATAAAATAATTTTTTAAAAAACAGTGTAGTTTAACAGTGTAAAAAATATTATTTATGCAGATAGACCCATTTTTAAAAGATAGAAGAAAATATAACAAACTGTGGCTAAGAGCAGTGAGATTGTGAATGTGCTTTCTTTTTTATATTTTACTGAATTTTTTAAAAATTCCACAGTGGGAGTGTAAGATGTTTTTAATTAGGGAGAAAAAAACACTTTTTTTTAAAGAGAAAGAAAGAAAAAGAATAGGAAGATCATGGCAGGAGATCCAGACATGTGTGTATGTGTTTCCCAGATTCAAAGTTTAAGGAGAGAAGTGTCCATTCAGCACTCCTGGAGGAGGAACTTAGTTTGGTCAAAGAATAAGTGCTGCAGACAGAAAAACTTTAAAGCTATTTACATGTTTACTAATTATTGTCAAACATATAGAAGACCTTCGTAATTCCCTGAGTTAATCTGTGTGATTCATTCGTCACAAATTCCTGCACCTATTGTAACCAAAGCTTTCAGTCACATCCTCTGCCTCTTTTAATACGTTGAGTGTATTCACAAAATGATGGTCAGGCGAACACATTGAACTCACTCATTACCCGGTGTTCAGTGGGCACCCTATGGGCTTTATTTTGTTAAAATTGCTGTACCTTGGCTCAGAAAAATACCTGATTACTGGTGCCAAGAATCTTTTGTAATAGAAATATATGCTCTTTTGAGGAAGGCAGATGTTTTTAAAATAACTTTTTTTTTAAATTTAGAGTTCTAATTCATAAATTAAAGATATTTTGAATTGGTTTTGTTTTTGTTTTTGTTTTTGAAACAGAGTCTTGCTCTGTCACCCAGGCTGGAGTGCAGTGGTACGATCTCTGCTCACTGTACCTCCACCTCCCAGGTTCAACTGACTCTCCTGCCTCAGCCTCTCGAGTAGCTGGGACCACAGGCATGCGCCACCACACCCAGCTAATTTTTCTATTTTTAGTAGAGACGGGGTTTCACCATGTTGACCAGGCTGGTCTTGAACTCCTGACCTCAAGTGATCTGTCCACCTCAGCTTCCCAAAGTGCTGGGGTTACAGGCGTGAGCCACCGCCACTGAAAACAGAATTTTTTTTAATGGTAGAGAAGGGTATACATTTTGGTAAATTTCATTCCTGTTTTTTGTCTGTGCACAAGTGGGTTTTTTCCCTAGCTGCAGTCATACTGTAACTTGAAGACAGGATTTTTTTTAAGTGAGAATTTCCATATAAAACAATTTGCCATCCCACTTAAAAATATAGCTTTATTGATGTAATGAATTTTGCCTTATGAAAATAAGCTTTCACATCTCATATATTATTTATTTATTTCAACCCTTCAGTTTTTATTTGAGGGCTTAGATGGGAAGAGATTTCTCCATGTCAAAAATAAAAGTAACTGCAATATTATTATCCAGGTTAACTGGAGAAATTGCATTTGGTCAATCCTAAGGGCCTCATTATTGGGCTGAGTATCTGAATTTCCACTTCTACTTTCATTCCTTCCTTTCTTCATTCAGTTTACAAGTCTTGAATGACTGTAATGTCAAAGGCACCATATTAAAAGTTTTAAGGCACACAAAGTATGAGCTGATCTTTAACCCCAAGGAGCTTAGACTCTATTGGTGGAGATAAGAAACAGACACAGCCAGGTATGGTGGCTTATGCCTGTAATCCCAGCACTTTGGGAGGCTGAGGCGGACGGATCACTTGAGGCCAGGAGTTCGAGACCAGCCTGGCCAACCTGGCGAAACTCCGACTCTACTAAAAATACGAAAATTAGCCAGGTGTGATGGTGGACGCTTGTAGTCTCAGCTACTTGGGAGACTGAGGCATGAGAATCGCTTGAACCCGGGAGCTGCAGGTTGCAGTGAGCCCAGATCATGCCACTGCACTCCAGCCTGGGTGACAGAGTGATACTCCGTCTCATGACACACACACACACACACACACAAACTCTCACACACACTCACACACACACATACACACACACAGGCATATACACACACACTCTACAAAAGAAACTGCCCTGAGTTCAAAATGACAGAGGAGTTCTAGGGAGGAGCTCCAGAAAGGCATTGTGATCTGTGATGTGCCAGTGGAGAATGAAAAGGATTTTAGAGAAGAGAGATTGAGTGAGAAAGGCATTCCAGGGCAAAGGCACACAGGAGCAAAGTGGGGAAAATGGGGACGGCTAGGACCTCATCTGAAACTGGAACAGGACTGCCTGCAGCAACTCAATTTATAAAGCAAAAACTCATTTTATAAAGCAATTGTTTTCTGTAGGGAGAAAAAGCGTCAGAGGCTTGAGAGATTCAGACATGCAATATCATTGCTGTTTTTCCTACACTGCTTTCAGATATTAGAGTTTTATGGTTATGAGTAATTTGTTTTAAAACCTAAACATCACTGATCAAATTGATTTTTATTACCCCTAGCATTTTCGCACCACCACCCTCCTTTGGTGTCTTACACATTACTGTCATCCCTATCTGGCATTCTAGCTAATCAGCTCTATTGGGCAACTAATTTTTAAATTAAGTTATGATCAATTGATTAAGTTATAATCAGTACCCCTCATGACATTATAAATCATGTTTTTAATTGATCACATTATATGCCATTTGCTGTAAATTTTCCCTATAAGAAAAATGCCTGATATAGACAAGTTTTAAATTTAGTTTCCAGAACAAAAAGGGTCTTGTACTATAGAATCATCTCTGTGTTGATAACAGACCAAGCTCTGCTGGGTTCATGAATCCCCCAGATTTGCTGTTCAGCAACAGGACAGTATGTTCTGAGGATCTTTAACTCTAAAATAAATATAAACATGCTATAATCCTTTCCTGGTTCCACACCCTCATGTGTGTCTACTGGCTTCTCCACTTGAAGATCCAGCAGTCACTTTAAATTCAATACATTCACTCCACCTACCTATCCCCAGTTTATTTTATGTTTTACTCATTCTCGTAAATATTACAAAACTGCATTAGCTGTTTAGAACCTCTATTTGAAGGTTGTGTGGCCAAATGGACAGAGCACAGGTTTCTGAGTTAGAGAACCTGGTTGAATATTCCTCTGACCTTCTGAGCTTTAGTGCTTTAATTTGACCACAAGCAAGTTATTCTCACTGAGTCTCAATTTCCTCTCACGTAAAATGGGGCTAATAGCAAAGCTTACTTCACAGGCTTGCATTTGAGAATCCAACAGATATTTGTGAGAGCACGTAGAAGCCTTAAAGTGGTAAAAAGCCACTTGCATTGGTAATAATGGTAATATATATGATCCTTCAGAATGTGAGATTCATGATGAGCAAAAGAACTTATGTCAAGACGGCCCAGCGCGGTAGCTCACGCCTGTAATCCCAGCACTTTGGGAGGCCAAGGTGGGTGGATCACAAGGTCAGGAGATCGAGACCATCCTGGCTAACATGGTGAAACCCCATCTCTACTAAAAATACAAAAAATTAGCCAGGCATGGTGGTGGGCGCCTGTAGTCCCAGGTACTCGGGAGGCTGAGGCAGAAGAATGGCGTGAACCCAGGAGGCAGAGCTTGCAGTGAGCCGAGATCGCACCTCTGCACTCCAGCCTGGTGACAGAACGAGACTCTGTCTCAAAAAAAAGAGAACTTATGTCAAGACTTGCTGCTAAGCTACCCAAGGAGACATTCATAGCCAGGGAGAATTTGTCATAGTCCAGCGTCCAGCCTCATTCTCATTCATTCTTTTCAGTGCTCTTGGCTTGATTATTCTTAAGGCAGTGAAAACATCATATTTGACTGAAACTGATTGGGTCACACCCCTACTTAAAACGTACCAATAGCTTGCATTGCTCCGGAGTCCAAAATCTTCACAGAGTCCACAGGTTCTGCCACCTTATTTTACCCTAACCATTTCCCCCAGCCACATCGCCTGCAACTCTCCCTCTCACTAGCTTGCTGATCTTTTGCTTTCCCAGTTACCAAATTCCCAAATTAACATCTTTTCCCAAGCCATCCCCTTTCCTGGCCATTCCTTCTGCCCCCTCTTCAAACTCAGCTGAAATGTCACTTCCTCACAGACACTTACCCTAGCTAGCCAAGGTCCCCGTATTTCCTCTCTTGGAGCACTGCAATTCTCCTTCACAAAACTCATCAGACTCTAAATAGTCATTTGCATCATTTTTCTTCCCCACTAGATTCCCTGTCTTCTGTGTGTCACTCAGATGATGCCACCTGAACAGGCGGGGCCACCTACAAAATAAAGCTGACTTTCTAGGCTACCTGAATTACACCACCACTAATTCTTCCCCTATGAAATTAGCTGGAAGTTGAGTCCAGGGTCCCCTCCCCAGAAGTCCTAGATAATCCCCATGGTAGCTTACTTTCCTCCACAAATCAGTTCTGCTTTCACACCAGCTGGTGCCTGCTTGGAGAACAAAAACTCAGGAGCACTCTTCAAGGTTAGGTTGACTGGCTCTACCAGGCTAGATGTCCTTGACCTCAAGCCTGGGAGGATTACAGAGGCCTTCAGCTATATAGCCAGGAGGGTGAGGCAGGAGGGCATAATGAGATCAGCCAAACCCTCCACCTAGGATCAGCTCCTGAGCCCCTGCTGTTGAGCCTTAGGTTCCCATCCAGAAGACCCCTTCCTGGTGGTGAGCCACACCCATCTTGCCCTCACCTGCCCGTCTGACCTCAGTTTGGACCATCCCAGGTCATCAAACTTCTTTTTTTTTTTTTTTGGAGAGGGAGTCTCACTCTGTCGCCCAGGAAGCTCCGCCTCCCAGGTTCACGCCATTCTCCTGCCTCAGCCTTCCGAGTAGCTGGGACTACAGGCGCCTGCCACCACACCCGGCTAATTTTTTTGTATTTGTAGTAGAGACAGGGTTTCACCTTGTTAGCCAGGATGATCTCAATCTCCTGACCTCATAATCCACCCACCTCGGCCTCCCAAAGTGCTGGGATTACAGGCGTGAGCCACGGCGCCCAGCCCAAACTTCTTTTAATAACTAAATAAAGTATATCAAAGAAGAGTAGTCATGATTGATCCCCCAATCCCTTTTTTTTTCTAGGACATTTCTGCCCCTTGAATATGATGGAGGAAGAGTAATGGAAGAGTTCTGCCCAGCTTCTGTACCCAAAACCTGGGGTAGAGGTTAATGCCTAATTCTGCTAACAACAACCCCCCGAGCTTGTCTGGCCAAACATGATCTCATTCTTTCTTTAGATGTGTTTAACCTACCAATTATGTTATAACCAAACTTTGTTAGTTCTTCAGGCTGCACGTAATCTGATTCCCTCTCCTTCTTTCCATCTCTGTCCCACCCTCCAGCTGGCCAGGCCACCATCACCTCACCTGGTCTGTGCCTCACATTGCTGCATTTTGGTCCCATATGATTCATACACCACACAACAGCCAGAATGATCTTTTAAAAAAGCAAAGATTGTCAGATAAGTCACCTGCTTAAACTCTTCCATGTCTTCTTATTCTCCTTAAAATAAGATCCAGAAGGTACAGTGTGACCCCCAAAGCTCTGCATGATCTGGCCCCTGCTTTCCTTTTCCTTATTCTCTCCCTGCCACAGCCATTCATTCATTCAATGTATATCTGCTAAGCCTCTGTGTCAGGTGCTGAGGGTACAGTAGTAAACAAAACTGGTGGGATGTCTGCCCTCGTGGAACTCACATTTTAGTAGTGGGAGACAATCAATGAACAAGAAAATGGATAAATAGACAAGATATGCTCAGATGGAGATAACTGCTTTAAAGAAGAAAGAAGCCAGCAAGGGGATGAGAGAGAGAATACTTGGGGTGGCAAGATGCTGCTTTAGATTGGGTGGTCGAGAAAGGTCTCCCTGGGGTGGTGATATTGATCTGAGGCTAAGTGACAAGAAAAAATAATCTTTTGAAAATGGAGGAAAGGAAAAAGTAAATTCAAAGGCCCTGAGGCAGGAAGTGGGGGTTGATCTGAAAGAGGAAAAGGGCAGCAGTATGAGTGGAATGAGGTTGGTGTCGGAGGAATGAGAGGAGGGAGAAGCAGAGAAGAAGGGAAGGGCCAGATGCCACCAGCTTTGTAAATGATGGTTAGGAATTTGGGGTTTCCTCTGAGTTCTTCTAGTTTCTTGGGCACACCTGTTTTCTCCCAGTCCAAATCCTTCTCATGTGCCTCTCCTTAAGATGTTCTCCCCTGCTTTGTTTTCCTAGCTAACTACTCCTCTTTCTTCAGGGCTCTGGCTGACACGTCCCTTTCTCCTGGAAGACATCCTTGATAAATGCTCCCATAGTCTGC
This sequence comes from Homo sapiens, assembly GCF_000001405.40. Lineage (NCBI taxonomy): Eukaryota > Metazoa > Chordata > Mammalia > Primates > Hominidae > Homo > Homo sapiens. The sequence goes on from NC_000015.10 coordinate 43,309,547, forward strand.
ATGCATTTCATTTATTCATTGCACAAAGATTTAGTTAGTACCTGTCATGTGCCAGGCATTGTTCCAGGCTCTGCAGATAGAATTAAACAGATTTTTATCAAATTAGAAAGGTATGTTTAGGATGACATTATGAGAAATGTGGTTTACGTGGGATACCCTATCCTACCCTGTGGAATTCTTTCTTGGAGAATTCCTTTGGAGAATATCTCAAAGAGATAGCTGTCCTCTGGAGCAGCAGAGGCACAGGTACAATGAGAAGCTGTGGGGCTTTGGGCTAAAAGAGATACATCTTATGAGATGCAGTGGGCCCAGAAAGCGGCAACTTCAAATTGGTCCTCATGCTAATGACAGAGGCTGATGTGGGACCTCACTGCTTATCACAGGGTCAGCACTGTGCATTCTAAAGTTTATTTAGCGACAGAAGTCATTTCCATTAACAGCCCCAGGGAAGACACATGCTTATTAGTGAAGAGTGGTTGTCCCCAAGCCCCTTGGCAACTCAAGTAACAAGTGTCTGGGGGCTACTGTTTCCCAGAGGGTAATTCTGCAACCCAGGGGGTTTCTGGAGTGACTTCTTTCAGAATGTGCTCCTAGGAGTTTAAAGACAAAGACAGTCTTTCATGTATTCATTCAACAAACATTTTGGTTGAGTGTTAATGAGTGTGGCACTCAGCTAGGTTGCTCGAGTGCAGCAGTAAATAACAGACATGATTCCTGCACTCGTAGAGTTTACATTCCACCAACGGAGGAAGACACCTCACAATTAATTATGAAGCTCCAACTCAGCAAGGACAGAATGTTCTGAAGCCACATCTCCAGGGGGCCAGGTTAGTCTAGGGAGGGATGGTAAGCAATGATTTTTGACTTTGTTTTGAAAGATGCCTGGAAATTCTAAGAAGGGGATGATGCTGGGTGACAAGGAGCTTCCTTTGCAGAGGGAAATCTGTACTAATTCTCCAATGGGGAGAGAAACGAGCATGGTTCCCTTAACACTTCTGAGAGAAGGTCAGGGGACCAAAGTGCCTTGTGCAAAGGGGAGCATAGTATGAGATGAAGACATGCCCAAGGTTTCATTTTGGGGTTTTTCCCCTAAGGGTAATGGAAGCCATTAGGGATGTTAAGGTAGGGTTGTGAAATGTCATATCTGTGTTTTAAAAGATCATTCAGACTTTAGTATGTAGAAGGGCTGGGGAGGGAGGCAAGGTGGATGGGGAGAGACTCATTGAGAGATTCCTGCAGTAATCCAGGTGAGAAATGATGGAGACCTGGACCAGGGCAGCGGCATTCGAGATGTTCTCAGTGGAGGATTCTGGAGAAACAGAAGGTGAAATCAACAGGCTGTGGTGATTAATTGGATAGACAGAGTGAGGGAGAAGTTGATATCATGAGTCCTAAGGTTCCTGGCTCCATGCTCTGGGTGATGCTTTTCTCTCAAATAGGAAGCACTAAAATAGGAGTTTTGGGGAGTGGGGAGTCAGATTATGGGTTGAGTTTAAAATATGTGGTTGATTTTGAGAAGCCTGTATCTATTCCTTTTTAAGAGAAAGTCTCTTTCTCTCTGTCACCCAGGCTGGAGTGCAGTGGCAAGATCATGGCTCACTGCAAACCTCAAACTTCTGAGCTCAAGGAACCCTCCCACCTCAGCCTCCTGAGTAACTGAGACAACAAGTGCACACCATCACACCTGGCTAATTTTTTTTTTTTTTCTGTAGAGACAGGATCTCAGTATGTTGGCCAGGCTGGTCTGAAACTCCTGACCTCAAGTGAACCTCCCGCCTCAGCCTCCCAAAGTGCTGGGATTACAGACATGAGCCACAGCACCTGGACTTGCAACTCTTCTTGATTGTGATGGTGGTATATACACAAAGGTACATGTTTGTCAATACCAGCAGAATTATGCACTATTTTTAGTGGATTTTACCTGTATGCAAATTATTCCTTAAGTAAAAGAAAAATAAAAATTTTAAAAACCTGTGTGGGCCAAATAAAACATGCCTATGGGCCAGGTCAGCACACAAACATCTAGCTCTATGGCCTCAGGAATAATTGAGAGAATAGGGCTTTTGAAAAGATGGGGAGGTATGGGACCCAAATCACAAGTGGAGAGATTTGACTCCCATGGAGGAGGGATAAGATCTCTATGGCAATAGAGGAGAGGCAGTACGTGGGTGAAGGAAGGCAGGAAAGTTTGTGGCAGGAACTTGAGAGATTTCTAATCTGATAACTTCTATTTTACCAGTGAAGCAGAAGACCAGGTCATCTGTTGACTATGGGATGGGAATGGAAAGTCAAATATTTGAGACTGATGAAGTTTTGGTATAGTCACAGAGGAGAATATGAGAATGAATTGGCCAGGAAAAGCTAGGCAATATTTCTAGCCTTGCCAAGATTGGTGATTATGCTTATTTTGTAGGATAGAGTTTGGCTACATGTAACAGAAAATAAAAACAAACTAAAAGTGGCTTAAATTAGATCAGTTTATTTCTCTTTCACAGAAAGGAATTATGGAGTTAAGGCTGGCATATGATTACATTAAATCTACTACTTTTTTGTTTCAGCATCTTGGCTCATGGCTTCCATCCTCAAGGTTAGGTCATGGCTCAAGATGGTAACAGGAGCTGCATCAGAAGGTAGAAAAGTGGGGGTCTTCTGCTGAGTTGACTCTATCTTTCTTTTTCATTTTTTATTTTTTTTTTGAGATGGAGTTTTGCTCTTGTCACCTTGGCTGGAGTGCAATGGCACGATCTTGGCTAACTGCAACATCAGCCTCCCTGGTTCAAGCGGTTTTCCTGCCTCAGCCTCCCAGGTAGCTGGGATTACAGGTTCCTGCCACCACACTCAGCCAATTTTTGTGTTTTTAGTAGAGTCAGGGTTTCACCATGTTGGCCAGGCTGGTCTTGAACGCCTGGCCTCAGGTGATCCGCCCACCTCAGCTGGAATTATAGGTGTGAGCCACCATGCCCGGCTGAGTTGACTCTATCTTTAACCTTTCCAGCAGCAGCCCTTAACGTTCTTCCTCACTTGCTAGGACTTAGTCACATGACCACATCTGCAGACAAGGACAGCTGGGAAATGCAATCTTTCATCCCTGGTAGCAGTGTGTCCAACTAGACATGAGTCCTATTATTAAGGATATAATATTGAAATACAGAGCTGGTAATCTCTGCTACAGTGATCTGCCCTGTCCTGTGCTTTTTGTTCTTTAGTGGGGCTCATCTCAGAATATGACTATGGAGAAACCTGGGAGCTGATTTCCCTAGGGGCTGGGGTTTTCTCAGATGAATAGTATAAAAATGCCAATGGGCCGGAGTCTAGAACTGTCATGGGAAAGTAACTGAAATTATGGACCATGGATTCTGAACTGGATTTGGAAAAAGGGAGGACAGGAGGATGCTGGTAGATGGAGAGAAAGAAGCACATACTGATGCGGTGGAAGAAAAATATCTGTGGAAGAATTTGGGTGAGCAAGCTTGTGCAATTGGAGATGGTGAAGAGGAAGAAGTTAGGCTGTGAGGAGATGAGACAATGACTCCGTGAAGCTCAACTGAAGATCAGGGAGTGACACGAATCCACCAAACTTCTTTCCTGTTTCTCTCTCCTCTCCACTTATTTTCAAATTCTATGAGTCTGCATCTGTAGGATTTCAAACTTAGCGTGTTTTGGACACATGTGGCGCCCCATCTCACATCCCCTTTGCCCACCTTTTACTCCACTTATTTCCGTGGCAGCTAAAGTGATTTAACACACACCTTCCTGAAGTGCGAGCTGATAGCCCTGTGTCTCAACTCCATCAGGACTCGCTCATGCTCTGCCCCAGAGCTTCTCTGACCTGCTGGGCACTCACACATGTGCAAATCTAGAAAGGGAAGGAAGTTAATACCCCATGGGGCAATCCTTGACCATGGGGGACCAGGATCTGATAAGTAAATGCTCCCTCTGGCAGCCCTCAGAGTGGATAATTCTGAGGTACATTTTACCTGGCTCCTAGCTGGACTGAGCCTTGGGTAACCATAGCAGTGACCACCTTGGCAACACATTTTTTTTTCTATTGTGCTAACACAGAATGTAAAATTTACCATTTTCACAAGTTTACACGTACATGTCAATAGCATCTGGTACATTCACAGTGTTGTACAACTATCACCACTATCTAGTTCAGAACATTTCCGTCATCCTAAAAAGAAACCCTATATCCATTCAGCTGTCACTCCGCATTCCTCCCTCTCCCAGCCACTGGGAACCACTAATCTGTTTTCTGTATCTATGAATTTGCCTAATCTGAATATTATATATAAATGGAAACATTCGATATGTATCATTTTGTGTCTGGATTCTTTCACTTAGCATAATGTTTTTGATCATCCATGTTGTATCAATACTTCATTCTTTTTTTTTTTTTTTTTTGAGACAGACTCTTGCTCTGTTGCCCAGGCTGGAGTGCAGTGGCCCAATCTCCGCTCACTGCAACCTCTGCCTCCCAGGTTCAAGCAATTTTCCTGCCTCAGCTTCCTGAGCAGCTGGGATTACAGGTGCATGCCAGCACACCCAGCTAATTTTTGTATTTTTAGTAGAGACGGGGTTTCACCATGTTGGCCAGGCTGGGCTTGAAATCCTGACCTCAGGTGATCTGCCTGCCTCAGCCTCCCAAACTGCTGATATTACAGGCGTGAGCCACCAGGCCTGGCCTACTCCATTCCTTTTTATGGCTGAATAGTATTCCCCTGTGGATATAACACATCGTGTTTATCTGTTCATCCACTGATAGACAGTTGGGTTGTTTCCACCTTTTGGCTGCTGCGACTAGTGCTGCCATGAGTCATAACATATTTTTTATGTGGGCTTTTCCTCCTTCCTGGTCAGTGTGGGAAATAGAATGGTGTGGGAGAATCTGGAAGCCATAAGGCCACTGCAGTAGTCCAGGTGGAGATCTGGAGATCTGGACTAAGGCAGCAGAGAGAAGGGGCTAGATTTGAGAGACAGATAGAGATAGAGCTGACAGTGTCCTTTTATTCAGCCATGAGAAGGAATGGAGTACTAATACACACTACAACATGGGTGAACCTGGAAACATTACGCTATGAAATAATCCAGATACAAAAGGGCACATATTGTATGTTTCTATTTGGTGATAATGTGAGGGAGGCAAAAGCCTGATGGACAGGGAAGGAAAATGGGGACAACACTGGAATTTTAGCTTAAAGACAATGTTTTAAATTGTTGCCATTTTAAAAGCGGAAACATTTCCTAATGTTGACAGCTGGTATATCAAGAATTACTATGCTAGTAAAGCCCACATAACCACCTGTGAAGACAGGTGTCTCCAAGTTCCAGAGGCAGAGTCACCCTTAGACTTTGCAGGGTCTCTGCAAAAAAATATTTTTCCGGGGCTCCTGTCTAAATAAAATTTTAAGCCACCCAAAGTCAGCATGTCAGCACCATTCTGGTGCTCAATCTTGCAAGATCCCTCAAGAAGAAACAGCATGTTGCCGAGTGGGAGTGATCTGCTTCCCAGGCTGCCCCTCCTGGAACCTGGTCCTGACCATGGGGCCCAGGGACAACCCCATCAACGTGAGTCCTAGAGTTTCTCAGGGAATCTGATCAACCCCACATGAGGGAACAGGGAAGGGGTGTTGAGAGTCAGAGTGCCCTGGAGAGGTGAAAAAGGGATTGAGGCCCATGTGGGACCAAGTCCAGGCTGGACAGCACTGCCAGTCCTCCTGGAGAGGGGTTTAGAAAACTTTGAGGAAGGCACTCCAAAGTGCAGGCCCTCTGAGGTGTGGGCCTTACTTGCCCAGGTCTGAGGATGGTAGTTCCCAGGTGATCTGGGATTAATGTCAGCTTCAGAAAGCAGAGTGAGAGGTGGACAGCAACATTTGTTTTGTGTGTGCCCTGCATGCCAAGCACCATGCAAGACACATGCTTCATGTGACCCTCACAAGCACTTTCTGAGGTAGGTAATATTATCAAACTCATTGTTTAGATAAGAAAACATTGTCCCAGGGAGATTGTGTGACTTCGCTCAGGTCACCCATGGTGGATCCAGGCTCTAAAATGTGTTCTCTAGCAAGGCTTGGTGGCTCACACCTGTAATCCCAGCACTTTAGGAGGCCGAGGCCGGGGGATCACTTGACCCCAGGAATTCAAAACCAGCCTGGGCAACAAAGTAAGATCCCATCTCTACAGAAAATCAAAATATTAGCTGGGCAGGGTTACATACGCCTGTAGTCCCAGCTACTTGGGAGTCTGAGGTAGGAGGATTGCTTGAGCCTGGGAGTTAGAGGTTGCAGTGAGCTGAGATCACACCACTCCACTCCAGCCTGGGTGACAGAGTGAGACCCTCTCTCTAAAAAATAAATAAAAATAAATAAAAATAAAATACATTTTCTTTCTATACCCTAGGTGACTGCCATGAAGTGTCTTGCCTTTTCCACTCCTATTAAAAAGGCTTGTATTATTTCTCTGGAAGGAGTGCATCACTCTGATCTCTCTGGTCACTGAACATTCTCTGGCTGAGTATACTGCACACAGAGTCTCTGTGTCTAGGCTTTGGCCATGGCCCAAAGCCCTCTCTGATCTCTTGCAAGACAGAAAGTTAGGAAGTGTCCTTCCCTGGTTTACATCCCATGGTTCTGTGGCTTCCAAATTCCTGACACAGGCCCTAGGACTCCACCTGTGTCTGTTGTTTCGGGAAGGTTCAGCTCACATACGTAATGAGCCTGAGCAACTCCCTGCACAAGTTTTAAGCCAAAGGAAGAGTAATCAGGATGGGTGATGGAAAGTTTATTCAGAATCTGACAGGACACCAGGTTGAGATCATTCTGCGTCAGTCTGTGGTATTGTTAATGATTATTCTGGCTTGCATTCTCATTGGTTGGAATAGACTTTGGGGAAAAATCATTAAAGTGGGGTGTGGTTGATGAAACCCTGCACCTAGGCAAGGGGCCAGACTGGGATTTAAGGATGGCTACATGGCTAAGCCATTGTTTCAACACTTTCACCAGAAGTTCTGAATGACAGATGGTTTCAGCTCCTGATAGGTGTTGGCTTGGAGTCAGGGAAGAGCTTCACTGCTTTTACATCCTGGTCTCCTTCTCTTGAGCCTCTATCTTTCCCCCTGACCCACCGTTTATGATCCCATAAATAACTACAAATGAATCAGTGAAATAAAGCTCCTGTGAAGGCAGAAAGTCAGGATGTTCATCAGAGGGAGGGGAATGGGAAGCCCCATTTCCTTGTAAACACAACATCCTGAGATAAAACATCTGGACAGTGTTTAAGAAGGAGACGAGGTGTCCCAGATTATCCTGTGGTTTCGGCAACATTTCAAGGCTGAGGTAGGTGAGGTGCTGAGTGTAACCATTAAGCAAGTTTCCAAGGTTCAAAATAGCAGCTATTTCCACTCAACAATAAGCCAGAGATTCATTCAGTCCCCCTGAAAATGACATGTTCCTGTGGTTTCCAGAAGGGGTAAAGAAAATGCCTCCCAGGCCAGGCATGGTGGCATGTGCCTATAGTCCCAGCTACTCAGGAGGCTGGGCAGAAGGATCCCTTGAGGCCAGGAATTGGAGGCTGCAGTGAGCAATGACCGCATCACTGCACTCCAGCCTGGGCAACACAGTGAGACCCTGTCTCAAAAAAAAAAAAAAAAAAAAGATGCCTCCCAGCAGGGTCTAATGTCAGGACAGATGTCATTTCTTCCATGTGGGTGGTTATCCCAGGATCTAAAAGTTAGTGCTCACTCTTAACTTTTGACCTATAGCAAAAAAGATTATGAATATGAAATGAAATGCTAAAGGGAGTCTGGTTTGTAAATCAGTTGGTAGAACAGTAGCAAAGTTTCTAGATGACAGAATGACTTTCAGATTAATTTAATCTCCAGCAGTTAGTACCCAGACTTCTCTCAAGTCATCCCATGGTGGATTCGGGCTCTAAAATGTGTCCTCTAGCCAGGCATGGTGGCTCACACCTGTAATCCCAGCACTTTGGGAGGCCAACGCAGGAGGATCACTTGACCCCAGGAGTTCAAGACCAGCCTGGGCAACAAAGTGAGATCCCATCTCTACAGAAAATCAACCCAGTTAGTTTTCAAGTTGAGCTATGGACTGGGCACCTGGGGTGGCTGCCTGTACTACGCCAGCCCCAGGAAATAGCAAACATTTCTTTCATAGTTTCACGCTTGGTTGGTTGTTCTGGACAAAAGGACAATGGTTCCCCTTAATGGTTTGTGTTTAACTGCTGTGACAGAAACCAATGCCTTGATTATTTGATTTCAGTGTGGCATGAAATCATGGGCCTGTAAAAGAAGTAGAGGCAGCAAAGGGTTATGTAAGGCTTCGTTCTCAAAGTCAACAGAAATTGTTCTCGGGTTGCTGGGTTGGCAATGTGGAGAAAGGAGTTTTGCCATTTCAGGGGCAGAGTCAACGCTGCCGGTACGGCCAGTCTGACCAGCAGCACATTCTCAGAGGTACTTCCTTCAAGTGCCATCTTGACTCTTCCAGTTAGGTCTATAAGATGTGGTGGTGGCCGGGTGTGGTGGCTCACCCCTGTAATCCCAGCACTTTGGGAGGCCAAGACAGGTGGATCACCTGAGGTCAGGAGTTTGAGACCAGCCTGGCCAACATGGTGAAACCCCATCTCTACTAAAAATACAAAAATTAGCCAGGCGTGGTGTCGGGCACCCATAATCCCAGCTACTCAGGAGGCTGAGGCAGGAGAATCACTTGAACCCGGGAGGCAGAGGTTGCAGTGAGCTGAGATGGCGCCATTGCACTCCAGCCTGGGCGACAAGAGTGAAACTCCAGCGGAAAAAAAAAAAAAAAAAAAAGATGTGGTGGTGGTGTTTCTTGCCAGGAAGATTAGTTTAGTGTGTCCAGATTTGGTCCAAGCCTCCAAGCTATCTTGACACTTAAATTACTACAGGATTCTCAATCCTGAGTTTGAATCCTGTCTTGCTTTGTCTGTGTCTAGGAACAAGTTATATCCCTCCTCTAAGCCTCAGTTTCCTCATCTTCAAAGAGGACATGATCACAGGACTTACACAATAAATAGCAACAAGTGTTTTTAACTTAACTGTAGGCGAACACATAGCAGGATGCAGAAACCCTGAGCTGCTATGTGTTCTAGCTGAATCTGTATAGTTAAATTAACACTGGTGTGAGTCTAGGTGTTCAGCTGAAACCAACAGTGGCCACAGGGATGTCTTACCAAAACTGAAAAAATCTAGGCTAGAAAGTAGGATGCTGGTTGAAGTCATAATGGAGTGAATCTTAGTAGTTAAAATGCAATTTCTATACCAGTCTTCTACTAAAACAATAAAAACTCGCTGTCTGTATGGCTTCTTACCCCCATCACTACCCACAAGATGTCTCAGTGGGAGATGAAGGAAGCAGCAGGGCTGAGAATGGGGTTCCAGAAAGCAGTTGTGTATAATCACAGCTCTGTTCTAAAGGTGCTGGCTGATTCTCTGAGTTTGTGACCAAGGGCACAGGTTTGCATGACAAAAGCTTGTGATTTTTTTTGGATGTCACTGTATTATTGCTCTCTGGTGCTACCCTATCCTTCCCTATCCTTCCCCAGGAAGCCAGTGGTACAGGATTTGTTACATTGAAAGGGCATGAGAAATGCCTGGCTTTAAGAAGTTAAACACCCATAAGGAGAGACTCTTGTTCACTTAAGTGTTTATAGAGTGCTGGGTACTAGGAGTACAAAGATAAATAAGATACTATTCCTGCTAACAAGGAACTTCAGTCTGAAGTGAGAAGACGGACTGAAACACAGATTAAACAAAATATGATAAATGCAGTATGGATGATATTTATAAGGTGCTATGGCAATACAAAAGAAGGGCAACCTATCCCAGCCTGAAAGTGGGCAGGGTTCGAATCAGGAAATGCTTTCCAAAGGGAAACTTTGCTTTTTATTTTTATTTTTGAGACAGGGTCTCGCTCTGTTGCTCAGGCTGGAGTGCAGTGGAGCCATCACAGCTCACTGTAGCCTTGATCTCCCAGGCTCAAGGGATCCTCCTTGAGCAAGTAGCTGGGACTACAGGCAGGCACCACAGCGCATGGCTAAATTTTTTTATTCTTTGTTGAGACAGGGGTCTCCCTATGTTACCCAGGCTGGTCTCAAACTCCTGAGCTCAAGGGAACCTCCCTCCTTGTGCTCCCAAAGTGCTAGAATTATAGGCACAAGCCACTGTTTCCAGGCCTCAAAGCTAAGGTTTGAAAATCAAATAAGAATTGTGTGAACAAGGTTGGGATGGCTTGGAAATGGGATAGGAGAAACAATATTAAGAGTCCAGACAGGAAGAACATTGTGAGTAAAGGAATGGAGGCATGAAACAGCATCATGTACTTTGGGAACTGGGTATAGTACCAGCAACTAGGATGCCAAGTAAGGGGAGGTGGCATGAGGAACTGTTTCAGGGGATAGGCTTGTGAGATGAGGATTATCTGATTCTAGCTTTCTGAAAACACTGCTAATAAAGAATTACACAGTGTAATAAATATTAACATAGAAAGAAAGAAAAGTCATGAAAAAGAGAAAACAAAACAATGAGTCTGAATGAAAGCAGCTTTGGAAGCCAGGACCAGCCAGGCTTGGGCCATCTCACAGGGTATTTGCTCCTATTCCTCAGCTACAATTTGCATTTCCAATTTAACCATTTTTATTTGCTAGTCCCATTCCTGTATTGGGTCTGGATATTTGCAGAAGAAGAAAAAGAAAAAAGTGGGTGAATGTAGAGGATGAGGAAGAAGGTTATAAAATAAATATTTGAGTCAGTAGATCTTCATTCGGATATCTAACAGACATCCCAACATCAGCATATCCAACCTGAATCCTAAACTCCCCCTAAAACTCTGTGCCACAGGGAGCCTCCCCCATCTCAGGTGATGGCGACTCCAACCTTCCAGTTACTGAGGCCTCAAGTCTTGGATCCCATCCTTCACTCTTCTCTATCATACTCCATATCCAGTCCATTAGGAAATTCTGTTGGGTCTACCTTCAGAATAGCCTCCAAATCTTATCATTTCTCACAATCTCCAGCTGAATTCACATCATCTCTCATTTTGATTACTGCAAAACCTTCCAACAAGTCTCCCTGCTTAGACTCTTGAACTCCTACAACCAAATCTCCTCACTAGAGGAATCGTTTAAAAATGTAAGTCAAAGTGTGGGCCAGGCGCGGTGGCTCACGCCTATAATCCCAGCATTTTAGGAAGCCAAGGTGGGCCGATCACGAGATCAGGAGATCGAGACCATCCTGGCCAATATGGAGAAACCCCGTCTGTACTAAAAAATACAAAAAAATTAGTCAGGCGTGGTGGCAGGTGACTGTAATCCTGGCTACTAGGGAGGCTGAGGCCGGAGAATCGCTTGAACCTGGGAGGCAGAGGATGCAGTGAGCCGAGATCGCGCCATTGCATTCCAGCCTGGGCAACAGGAGGAAAACTCTGTCTCAAAAAAATAAAAATAAAAATAAAAAATGTAAGTCAAAGTGAAAGAAGCCAGTCTAAAAAGGCTGTATGATTTCAACCATATCACATTCTGGAAAAGTCAAAATTATGAAGACAGTAAAAAAAAAAAAAAAAATTAGTGAATGCCAGGCATCTGGCGGGGGGAGATGAATAGGTGGAGCACAGAGGATTTTTAGGATAGCAAAACTATTCTGTATGATACTATAATACATGCAGATGCATGTCATTATACACTTGTCCAAACCCATCAAATGTACCACTCCAAGAGCGAACCCTAATGTAAACTGTGGTGGTAATGATGTGTCGGTGTAGGTTCATCAGGTAGGTAGGGGTGTTGATGTGGGGGAAACTATCCGTGGGTGGAGGCAGGCTTTATATGGGAGATCTCTGTGCCTTTCTCTCAGTTTTGCTGTGAACCTTAAACTGCTTTAAAAGATAAAGTCTATTAAAAAAAAAAAAAAAGTAAGTCAAACGATATAATCCAGAGCCCTGCACAACTCCCCTTTTCACCAGATGAAAAGCCAAAGTTCTTAATGAGTAGCATTAGGAGCTTTGCTCTGGCTATTTCCTCTGTCTGAAATATTATTTTCCCAGTAATCTACTTAGCTAATTCTTTTGCATCCTCAAATCTTTGCTGAAGTTTCACCTCTCCGTGAGAGAGACTCTATCTGCCCTACCTAGTTAGTATTGTAAACCACTACCTGCACCCCCATGCACTCCTGATCCTCCTTATCCTACTTTACTTTTTTCCAAGTCCTTCTTACTTACATACTGTATTTATTATGCACTGTATTTATCATCCTGATAGTTTAATCTCTCATCTCCTTCTGCTAGGTTGTAAATTCCACAATGGATTATTTGGTTTGCTGATGTATCTGCTTAGAACCATCAAATGCTGAATGGATGAATGAATGAATATCTTCGATTGAAAGCTCCATCTTCCATTACTCAAATTTCCCATTCTTAATGTATCTCAGAAGCTAATATTGAGAAACTGAGGGATTAGTTCTGTGCATCTTAATTCAGGTACTGATTGAAAAAGAAAAACCAAAATCTCCACAGGGCATGATGACTCTGGAGAAGGAAGGGATACCTTGTGAGCTATTCATCTAAGGAAGAGAGGAATTACAAACTAAAATATTAGTTGACCACTAATATTTTAACATTTTAATGTATTTTCTTGCTGTCCAGAAGTTTTAAATACCTGTATAAAGTTATCGTTTTTTTTCTCTATTCATTTTGTTTGTATTTCTGCATTCTTTAAGGACTTTCCTACCACCAACGTTGTAATCATATTCTTTTATACTTGTTCTAATGCTCATCCAATTTAGGTTGTGTGTGTGCTATTTAAAAATTTGTGTCTGGTCTTTAATCCCTTTGGAATTTATGCTTGTGACTTGTCAGAAATAGGGTGCTAACATCATTTTCATAAATACAGATCAGCCCAGACCATATACTAAATAATCCAGCCTTTCCTCATTGATTTGAAATGTCACCTTATCACACAGTCTGTTTTTAATTCTTTATTCCTTTGATTTATTTATTGTGACATCAATACCAAACTATTTTTAATTATGACATTAAACTATATTTTGATTTTCTGGTGGTAATCTCTGATTTCAACATTACAATTTACTACTCATTTATTACTGATTTGAGCTTAAATCAGTCATCCGTACATTCATGTGATAAATATGTTATGCACTGAACATAAAAATATTGTTGACTAGGCTGGGTGTGGTGGCTCACGCCTGTAATACCAGCACTTTGGGAGGCTGAGGCAGGCAGATCACGAGGTCAAGAGATCGAGACCATCCTGGCCAACATGGTGAAACCCCGTCTCTACTAAAAATACAAAAATTAGCTGGGCGTGATGGCATGCGCCTATAGTCCCAGCTACTCAGGAGGCTGAGGCAGGAGAATCTCTTGAACCTGGGGGCTGAGGTTGCAGTGAGCTGAGATTGTGCCACTGCACTCCAGCCTGGTGACAAAGTGAGACTCCATCTCAAAAAAAAAAAAATTATTGCTGACTGGACTCAACTGTTCAAATGTAAATTCAATGGATTGGGGCCTAGACTCTACTTTTTTAACTAAGGGTTTTTTAGCGGGGAGGAAAGGGAATGGCAACATTTATTTTCCTTAAATATTGGTTAAGTTGCTGATGGATCCATAAACAAGAAAGATCAGCTTTGCTAACTTCTTCTGAAGCAATATGTCTAAATATGAATCAGAGGTTGGGGCTCTAATGGAAAGCCTAAAAATGTGGACAAAGGCTGGGGAATGAGAAAAGCAGAATGCCATGTAATATCCTAAAAGCCATTATTATTTCAATTTATTTCCTATCTTTAGTCTGACAATTAGGTGGCAAATGACTTTTCACATAAAAATTAGGGCAAGGTCTTTCCTCTTCCTCTATTAAACTTCCTTTGAGAGTTACACACAAAGTCATGCCCAGTGAACCATCACAACATCCTAGGAAGATCCTGTGTATATGTGCTCACAAGTACATTTAATTGCATGTTCCCACTCCCCCAGATTAGCCTTTTGCAAAGTTAACTCATTTAATCTCCAAAGAATACAGTAATTGTTGAGCAAAAGAGGATGAGAATCAGCTGAAAGTTGCAATCAGGGAGAAGGTTCAGGTTTATTCCATAAAGATAGAAATGACACCAGAAAGTCTACCACCTTTACCTGGGTCAGAAAAGTTGAATGTATTTCCAAAGACTCTTAAACTGTGGGTTCTTTAAAATTTTAATGCTTACCTCCCCCTGACACACACACATACACAACAATTACAGGAGTTATTGACATCAGTTTGTGCATAAGAACTATAGTAATATTCAAATATAATTTATTTGAGTACAAGAGTGGACCTCTATCCAACAAGTATTTGTTGAGCATCTACTATGTTGGTGATAGAAAAGTGAACCAGACACAATTCCTTCCCTCAGTCAAGGAACTGCCCCTTCCCAATCATGTGCTTTCTATCAATGTCCAAGACAGATAAGTAAGCAGTCTTGTAACTGCTTACTTACATGTGGGATGACAGAATTCTTGTTTACTCATAATTATTGACATCCAAGGAAATCTCAGCCTACTCTAAAGCTGATTATAAATTTCATAATTCCTGCTCTACACACTCTCCTTCTCTCTTTAAACATCAAGTCTAATGTGATTAGCCAAGTTACATGACCTAACTTGCCGGCTTAATGCTATTTTACACCCCTTCCTTCATTACTGAAGTTAAAAGGCTTAATCTTAAAGTCAAACTAGACATTATTGGACTGTCCCTATGGTTAAAAACCCACCTAGGCCAGGCATGGTGGCTCACGCCTGTAATCTCAGCACTTTGGGAGGCCGAGGCGGGCAGATCACTTGAGGTCAGGAGTTGGATACCAGCCTGACCAACATGGTGAAACCCCATCTCTACTAAAAATAAATAAAAAAAAAATTAGCCGGGCATGGTGGTGCGCACCTGTAATTCCAGCTACTCCGGAAGCCGAGGCAGGAGAATCACTTGAACCCAGGAGGTGGAGGTTGCAGTGAGCCGAGATCGAGCCACTGCACTCTAGCCTGGGCAACAGAGCAAGACTCCGTCTCAAAACAAAAAACAAAAAGCAAACAAACAAACAAACAAACAAACAAACCCAAAAAACCTCACCTTATTAACTAGTTCTTTTATTCACCAAACTCTTCAAAGAGCTTCTCTTCAAAGGCTTCTCTTGCACAGGGAGAAAGCGGTTGGTTCCATTTGGGGCAGTCATATAGGGCTGTTTTCCAGGAGATGACATGTGGGATAAGTCCCAGGGTAAGCATGGGCTGCTTGAGGTTGGGTTTGTGATCACAAAATACATATGGAATAAGCTAGGACTTCAAGGTCTGAGATCACTGAAAAAGACCAAGGAAACACCTGGGTCCTGGAACATATTGGATACATACCATCTCCCAAAGATCATTAAGAAGACTTAAAGCTCCAGAAAGATGAAAAACGGGCACTCAGTTTTAAAACTCAGAAAGTACAAAAAGAAGCAACAGCACTGGCCTTGAAGAGCATATCCTCCAACAGTTGTTCTTAACCTGTTTTCATCTTCACTATTATGATACACTATTTTTGAAACCCTGACCCAGAGTGGAGATTCAAAATAAGAAATTACTTTCCTTCCTTAAGTAGTTTATCTGGTCTAGAAGTAATCCCTAAAAGAGGAAGAGACCTGTTCATTAACTCTCATAACTACTCCAGAGCTCCGTATCAGAATTTTAGAACAAAAACTTCAAAAGTGAAATGGAGAAGCAAGAATTATTATCCAGCTTTGGTTCTCAATCTGGCTCACACCTCCAACTGTGCAGATTACTGTTAATGAAACTGTGGTTCAACGCTAGTCTATATTGAATGCTGCTCCAAAGGCACAGGGTAAATATTGCTGACAATACTTCTAAGTGCTCTAATGAGTAGAGCTCGAGAGATGAATAATTCCTTAACTGAGCATGATGCTCAGTTAGAGGTGGAGGGCATGCTTAATCTGGTAATCACTTATAGGAAATGTGGGTAATTTCTCTCGGGAGAACAAGCCCTGTTACTCATAAGGCGCCCTAATGGACAGTGCTCAAGAGAATAGGCACTATTGCACTCCTAATTTAGGTCTGGCACACGTCCACATTCTCTAGATGACCTCCCTCCTCCCTTCTTTTCCCCCCAAAAGTAATGAAATAATGGCTGATGGCATGATGTAAGCAGCATCATAGTGGAAGGTGTAACCTGGGCTTTGGAGTTAGATCTAGGTTTGAATTCTGGTACACTCTACTACATAGCTGAGAACACTCATTTCATTACAGTGTTGTTATTACTAGAGACAGGGTCTCACTCTGTCACCCAAGCTGGAGAGCAGTTGCATGATCTTGGCTCGACCTGCCAGGCTCAAGTAATCCTCCCACCTCAGTACCTGAGTAGCTGGGACTACAGGCATGCGCCACCATCCCTGGCTAATCTTTGTATATATAGATAGATGGATAATTTTTTTTTTTTTTTTTTTTTTTTTTTTTTTTTGGGTAGAGACGGAGTTTCACCATATTGGCCAGGCTGGTCTCCAACTCCTGAGTTCAAGTGATCTGCCAGCCTTGGCCTCCCAAAGTGCTGGGATCAAGGCATGTGCCACTGCGCCTGGCCTCATCACAGTGTTCTGCTTTTATCTGCTCCTGAAAGCTGGGGTGTGCTGTAGTAAACTTAGAAACAGGAAATACAGAACAGCCATTTTCTCCTGCTGATCATATTCCCTGCCAGTTTTCTACTACCTGGCCCACTGATCGCCTTGCCAGATGTCTTCCCAGCTGTAATAAGCCCTGTTTCCCAGGACTCAGTCATAGCCATAACCAATGCTTTCCCTAGAAATGGCTCTTACAAAGTCTCAGGAAAGCTGAAGTTGGACAACAACCTTTTTTTTTTTTCTTTTTAAGAGACGGGGTCTCACTCTGTCAACCAGGCAGGAGTGCAGTGGCACAATCACAGCTCACTATCACCTCAGCCTCCAGAGTATCCAAGACTACAAGCACACACCACCGTGCCTACTTATTTTTTTGTAGAGATGGGGATCTGACTTTGTTGCCTGGGCTGGTCTTAAACTCCTGGCTTTAAGTGATCCTTCTGTCTTGGCCTCCCAAAGTGCTGGAATTATAGGCGTGAGCCACCATGCCCAGCCTATACCACAACCCTCATTCAGCTGGTCTCCCCCGGGGAGGCTTCATCTAACAGAGCCAAGACTGTCCTCTCCATACACTTAGGTTTGTGTTTGCTACTTGGTTTTTATATTAATCACCTTTCACATCCATTTATATGCAAAATTAATAGAAATAAAGGATGCAATTTGTCATCAATGATGGTTCATAATAATCATTTAGGCACTTGTAGAATGAAAACTACTAAGGTTTCTAGGACTAAGAAGAAATACTAAAGTAATACACTTATTACCACCAAAGCCACTACATTTTTTGAGGTGTATATTTCACAAGGTATGCATAATTTAGATGACAAATTAAGGCTCAAATTTTAAGGATGAATAGCTATTTCATTGATCTCACATGGCTCACTAGGCAACAGATTCCCATTTAAAAGGGATAATTGAGTTTAATGGGATGCTAACTATAAGGGGCTGAGTAGGGTTAAGGGAAACCAAGTCAAGATATCCAGTCAGCAGTGTCCAGTAGAAATTTCTGTAACGATGAAATGTTCTACATCTACATTGTCTAATACAGTAGCCAAAGCCACACATAGTTATTAAGCACTTAAAATGTGGTCAATGTGACTAAGCCACTGAATTTATTAATTCGTTTAAATAGTCACATGTTGTCAATAGCTACCACATTGGACAGTACAGTTCAGGTCTAGCAAAGAGCCATCACAACTCCTAGGCCTGAAAAGGTGAAGTAAAGGAACAATTACTGAAACCTGGGATGATGCAGAATTAGAACTCTGTCTTCAGGAAAGGATTACACGGCAGGAGCTGTAGCCTTTGACAGAAGAATGCTGCCACTGCCAACTTGCAAACCAACAGGGGAAGAATTGGGAATAAATACCAACTCACTCTCACTCTTCTTTTTGCCCCCATTCCCCTCTGGTGCCTCTGACTGGTGGAACTCAACCAAAAAGTAAAGAGAGCTCCTTGATGCAGCCCATAAAGGTCAGCCTCTTGGAGCACAGAACAGTGAAAGGTGGAGAGTATATCTGGAACAAAACATTATTATACCCCGTGCAAAATGAATTGAGGCATCAAAAGTTTGCTTTATTGACACTTATAAATCTAAATAAATATGGAACCAATAGCAAAACATTTAAAAAGTATGTTGGTAAAGGAAGTCCTACAAGTGTTTCCTGTTGTTAAAACTATCCGAGTTTTCTGTTGCAACAAACAGGACAATGTTTTAATCAAACTGTGACTGTGTTCATTTCAGGTTTCCTACATGAAGAATTGTCAATACTACGCTCCCTCAACTATATTCAACCAAGGATCTGCGTGAAACTTTTTCTAAGGTACCATCTCAAATATATTCAACCACGGAACTGCGTGTAACTTTTTCTAAGGTACCATCTCAAATCACAAGGCCTGGGATTGGGAAATTGTTTTACTTTACTAAAGACCACTGTAACTCAATAAACGAACTTAGATTAGAAAATTAGAGGCAGACCACTACTCCTCTCGGACTGCATGGCCACTGTCTTCAGCTGTTTTCTGTAGTGATTGTTTCTAGGTATTTTACCTATTTTACCAACCTTTTTCACTTTTTGCACTGAATAGTGCTAAGGGAAAAAAAGGATGGGGAAAGGAGGAGTGGCAGTATCTATAGCTAGAGGGTCATCCTATTTGTGGAAAACTTTATTGTCTACTTTAGTGGGTCCTGAATATTAGTCCAGTCCTTACTGCCCAGCACTTAAGGAAGAAAGGTCTAATGTGACTGTATGGGGGTTGAAGTAGGTACCAAAGGAAAAGCAGTTCCCACCACCTCCAAGGAGCAGGAGCTGTTGCTCTTCAGGAAGAAGGATACTAGTATGGTTGTGTAACATTAATGGCCATGGCACATATGTTGTGTCAATCTGATACTCAGAGCTCAATCCTGTAGTCAAATTGATCACAGTCACTCCAGGAAATGAGGAGGAATGAATCCAGATCCCTCCAACCAGTAACAGCTTTCCATTGAGCACATGAGCTGTGTGGGAGTACCTTGGGGTAATGGGAGGCTGGATGTCTACTGACTCCCAGAGGAATCCACAAGAGATTGGTCTCAGAAAGAGCACAGAGTTCAATGGCTCCTCAGAAGCCCCGAGACCTCCAGCAATAAGGGCTCCCCCTTGCCAAGTGCAGGCACTGTGAGAATGCCGGGCTTCAGGTACTTCTCCCTCCACTGGGATCCTGACCCAAGCCATTGTCCCTACATGGAGGAAATGCCAGTCACTTAGTACAGGTTCCACCACGCTTCGACCCCCATACACAAACAAATATTCCTGATTCTGACAGGACACTTCTGTTGTTGAATGCCGCCAACAACACAAAGTGGAATCATCCTTTCGGCCAGCCTTTGTTATTGTCACTTTCAGGTCCTCAGTGTTATTATCCTCACTCTTAAAAAAATGAAGCTGGAGAACCCCCAAGGCTGGACTTACTGGGGACAGTCTCCCTCCCAGAACCAGAACCCGACTCTCTGAGAGTCTTGTCATGGTGTGATAAAGGCGTCCATCCCACTGAACTCCAGTCCCACAACTGCCTATTTGGCTGCCTTTCCATTCAGAGTCACAATCTCTTGAGAGCAAGTGAAACTGGCTCACTCGGCAGTGCCGCCCCTCCTGCTCTCCAAATCCTCCTGCACTGAGAATAACGTCTGGGCTCAAGAAGACAGAGGCGTGGCCATATCTCTTCAGGTTTGGGACCTGGCCCTCGCTACTGACTACGCTGGCAGGGAATACCCCTGAAGGCGAAGCAGGATTTACGCGAGGAAATGCCTCTGAGGATGGAAACACTAGGGTGTGGGAGAGGGTGTCTCCCCTAGAAGCTGCCAGAATGAAATAATGGGCGCACTTCAGATGCCACTCCTCAAATTCGTCAAAGGGTTCAATATTTTCCACCCGCCGGCGTTCTTCTGCGGGAAGAAAGCAGTGATAGAATTCATTCATGTCCACGGCACCGCAGGCGGTCCAGCCAGCTTGAAGGAAGCGGCGCCGCTGCGCCTCCACGTCAGGAAAACGCTCCAGGCCATGCAGGGGGGAGTTTAGCTGCCGAAAATGTTGCAGCATGAACTGGCCAAAGGCGTCTTGAGGCCTCATCTGCTCATAGACCACGAAAAGGGCATTAGGAAAACGCTGGGCTGCCCAGGCGATGAGGGCCGCGGCACTCTCCGGCTCGAGGTAGGTCAGCACCGCCTCGGCCAGGAGCAGAGTGGGTGAGGCTGCGTCGAGCCCCGCGGCGCCCAGGGCCTCCTCCACTCGCTGGAGCTGCCGCAAGTCCAGACCCAGGATGCAGTAGTCTGCGCTCTCAAAGCACAGCGCGGACGCGGGCTCCCCCCTCTCGAAAGGCCCGGTTAACGCGCACAGCTCTGGCGTCTCTCCAATCCTTTCTGCTTTGCGCCGCGCCACGTCCGGAAAATCCACCTCCCAGACTGCAGCCCGGGCCAGGCGGCCCGCGGTTTTTAAGCGAAAATAGAGCGAGTCGAAGCCAGCGCCGAGAGACAAGATCTGCGCGCGAAGCGCGGCCTGGGGCGCGCCAATCTGCTCCAAAAAAGCGCGCACGCAGTGCCTCACGGCGCGTGCGCGGACGTAGTAGCCTCGGTGAATGAGCGGTGCGCGGCGCGCCGCGCCCGGAACCAGCAACGCGGCAAAGGGGTCCTGCACGTACCCGCGCGCGGCCAGGGAACGCTTGCTGAGGGCGCTGCTGTCGTTGGTGTTCTGTACCGCGCCTGCCCGACGCTCACGGCTCCGGGGGCCCATGGCCAGAAGAGACTCAGGAATGGCAGTCTGTCACGGTTGTGAGCCGCCCCTTGGTTAGCACACACCTCACGGACCTCGGTAGGGGGAAAAAAACCACCCATGCTCCTGGACTTCCCCTTCCGCCGGCACTTGTGCGTCACTTCCGGGAAGAGCGCATCTCGCCAACCAGAATTGAGGAGGGTGTAGCCAGTGCTAAGTTCGCTTGCGGCTGACCTTTCTTTGGAATGTCGTGAGTTCCATTTGTCCCAGAATACGGTCCGCTACCGCTGTGACATGAGTGTTAGGGAAGGCGGGTTGTCACGTTTCTACAAGCCTTCCAGTCAAAAGGGAAACCTTGCCTAAGTCCTTGTAGTTGAGAAATCTCTAAGAGGTGAGTCTGTGGGGACTGACGACTTGGCTTCCTTGGACCGCCAAGGAAGGGTCTGGTAGGAGCCAAGAAGGGTCGGCACCACGGACCTTCAGTAGGCAAGGATTAGTTAGCTTCCTTGGGTGCTAATAGTTGCTGATTTATTTAATGCTCTCACAGTTGCAAAAGAGAACCCCATTTAAAACTTGAAAACAAGTCACTAAGGCCAGGGTGCAAACTGAAGAAACCGACCTTTACAAATAATTTATAGACACCTAACAAGAAGACGTTTCCCCACAGATAGTAGACTGTTGATTCCCTTGTATTCCCAGCCCTATGTTAGACTGACGGTGAATAAACCACTCAGCCTCTCTTTCTCATCACACCGCCTTGGAGAATTCTGTGGATTTTAAAGTAGTGTTGAATATGTCCCCAGAAAGGGGAGTCACTGAAGAGAGGTGATTGTTCCCTGTGATATGTTCTGAGCTTTGTTTTTAAGGAGTAAATCCAGGTTAGACTTCAGAATAATCATAAAGTTTCTAAATTGGGTGTCTGGGAGTCATCCATAGGAAACCACTTCCAGAGACATTTAGGAAATTTATCATTTGTTCACTGGGATTTGGTGACTGACTGGCTGAAATAGAAAAGGAAATCAGATAACTTTATGGTTAACTACAGGTGGTACTGCATAATGGTTAAGAGTGTGAGTTTTGGAGTCCAGCAGATTTGGATACTGGAGTCAAGAAAAAGTTTCGTATTTTCCAATGTTTTCTTGTGGAACAAAATGAAATAAGAAAGAAAAGGTTTGGATCAGGATAAAGATTCGGTAATTGAAAAGTGACATTTAGATTTGGTGTTTAAAAGCTC
Organism: Homo sapiens; assembly: GCF_000001405.40. Classification (NCBI taxonomy): domain Eukaryota; kingdom Metazoa; phylum Chordata; class Mammalia; order Primates; family Hominidae; genus Homo; species Homo sapiens. The sequence continues at coordinate 43,331,703 of NC_000015.10, forward strand.
ATTAATGGCCTTAGGGAGAGCAGTTTCTGTGGAGCAATAAGGGCAGAATCCATGTTTCAGTGAATAGGAGGTGAGTTAAAGGAGGTATCCAGTCTAAATTATTATACTTTCGAGGAGCTTAACTCAGAAGGAAAAAAGGGTCAGGGCAGTGGCTAAAGAATATTGTGGGATAAAAGAGTCTTTTGTTTTGTTTTCAGGTGGAAGCAAATACTGCACATGCGTGTTGGTCCTGTGAGGGAAACCAGCTAGTGGAGAGGGAGAGGTTGAAGGAACAGAAAAATGAGAAGACAACTCACTGGTAGAGTAACTTGGAATAGATAGAAATGGGATCCTGGGCACGTATTAGTTGTGGGGATAGGAGAATGAATCCTTTATCTGTGACTCCTGATGGGGTAAAAAAAAGATTATGGATAATCATAAGCTCAGGTGTGAGGTAGGGCAGAGAGAAAAAGAAGGAATTTGCACCTGATGGCTTCTGTTTTCTCTGTAAAGTTGGTGACAGAGTTGTCAGTTTAGTGTAAGGCATTCAGATCTGATGGAACATTTGAGCAGTTTGAGAATTGCTTCTGAAGGGATTAGAAGAAGGGCTCACCTATGCCTGCTGGGTCAGTGGATCCTCACCTCTAAAATGAGATTAAGTACTGCTTCGTGAGGTATCTCAGGGTTGATTGAGGGGCAAATAGAAAAAAAAAAAAAGTTGAAGGACTTTGAAAAATACGTAGCACCATAGAAACAAATTTATTTAATGACAGGTTCCTAAAATGTAGGTGTTATGTCAAAAATACTACTTGTTTTGCAAAGACCAGATCAAGAAAAGTAATTAAAGAAGAAAGAGAATGGAGTAAAATTTCTGATTTCGATGCCTTATGATTTAGGCCGGGGGAGGAGGGGCCATTGTTTAAATCTCAGTTTATTCTTATATAAAATGGGGATAATAATATCTCAGGGGTTGTTGTGAGGATTTAAACAAAATAACTATCTAAGACACCACAGTGCCTGGCTCATGGTAAGTGCATAATAAACAGTAACAAATTTTTTTTTATTCTGAGTTCCCTTTTGGGGGAGTAGGTGGGAGCATGAAAAAAGTTCCCTGGGAGACAGGATACTTGCTTCTGGCCCTGCTCTAATATTGATGAAGTATTACTAACGTGGATCTTATCCCAGTGTTTGTTGCCTTCCGTCCCAGAGCAAAACCAGTCCAGAAAAGTTAAATTTGTCATGGCATGCTGTTGTTGGTATCCATGTTTTAGGCAAGGAACAACAATTTTTTTTAATGTGTAAAGATTATGATTGCTTAGTTGCTTTTTAATTTCCATAGGTTAACATTGTAGCCAGTGGGTCAGTAAATTTACTCACAGCTAGTTAAAGGTCAGTCTGGAGGATGGTTTGAATGGGGCACAAATTAAGGTCAGGATCCTGGAGTAAAATTGAAAATCTGGCCGGGCGCAGTGGCTCGCTCCTGTAATCCCAGCTCAGGCTGGTGGATCACTTGAGCCCAGGAGTTTGAGACCAGCCTGGGCAACATGGTGAGACCCCGTCTCTACAAAAAAAATTTTATATAAAATTAGATGGGCATTGTGGTGCATGCCTGTGATCTCTGCTGCTTAGGAGGCTGAAGTGGGAGGATCGCTTGAGTCTGGAAGCTTGAGACTGCAGCAAGCTGTGATCGTGACACTGCACTCCAGCCTGGGCAACAAAGTAAGATCCTGTCTCAAAAGAAAAAAAAAAAAAGGTATGTTTTTCCATTTTAATTAAATCATTTATGTTTTTCGGTAGAGATATTAAATGCCATTGATTAAATAGTCCATCTTTTTCATTTTTTACTATTTATTAAGCACTTACTATGGCATTACTTTGAAATGCCATGTTTATCTCATACTAAGTAGGCCTTTCTATGGATTTCTATGGCTATGTTTAGTCCTATACAAACTACTTTCTTTATTGTACATTTTAATATCTTGGTAACTTATTTAACCCCACTCAGTATCAATTTATTGATTTTCAATACAGTAATATTTCACAAAGTTATTTCAAGGATTAAAGATAACATTATTAAAAGCGCTTGTCACATACCTGTTAGGTTCCAAATACATGGAAACTGTTATTCTTAAACATCATCCTCATTAATACGTGAGAACCCAGAGAGTCAAGGTGGCTAGTTTGAAAATCACTAAATTTCACTTGGAATTTTATCTTCACTTATAAACCACTTTCAGAAGTGAAGGGAAATTATGATTGATTTATCACCTACAGTGTGCTAGGCACTGTGCTAAGTGTTAGAGTGGTGGAATAATTCAAAGGACCTGTCCTCAAGGAACTTACAGTCTGGTGAGAGAGAAAGACAAGTATATCAGTGATTGAGATATCAGTGTGATTAAATGCTGAGTTAAAGGCAGTGACTGGCTCATGTGGGAACATAGATGAGGGGAATTTAAAATACTTTATTAATCGTCACTGCTACTTTGCATTTTTAATCCCATTTTTGTAAATAAAGAAACTGAAGCCATGAAGGTGAGTGACTAAGGCCACACAGCTTCTAACCTGTAGAGCTGGTAAAAGGACAAACCTAGGTCCATCTAATGCCAGCACCTCTGTTCTTCTTTTATATATTTTAAACAATTCAAAATTTAAAATTTTATTTTTGGCCGGGCATGGTGGCTCATGCCTGTAATCCTAGCACTTTGGGAGGCTGAGGCGGGTGGATCACTTGAGGTCAGGAGTTCGAGACCAGCCTGGCCAACATGGTGAGACCCTGTCTCTATTAAAAATACAAAAATTGGCCAGGTGTGGTGGCATGTACCTGTAATCCCAGCTACTTGGGAAGCTGAGGCAGGAGAATCACTTGAACCCAGGAGATAGAGGCTGCAGTGAGCTGAGACCATGCCAGTGTACTCCAGCCTGGGTGACAGAGGGAGACTGTCTCAAAAAAATTATATATATATATATATATATATATATATATTTTATCCAAAGTAGGCCTTATAAAATTTTGAATTTTTGAAGTCGTTGTATAGAAGGTGCCAATAGTTAAGGAATATACTCTACTAAATGTCAGGTTTTAGTACACCTCTTATAAGCTTGAGGTCTTTTCCTGTTTCCAGTTTATGTTGTTTACTAATCGTTTTCCCACCTTAGACACACTTAAGTTAGTTTTAGAGGAGCTTTTGCCTTTTAAAGAAAAAATTAACAAAATCCTGTTTCTTTGCTTTTACATCTGAAAATATTAACATTTGTTAAAATAGGTGAAGCTGAACCCAGATCTACACATACAGCTAATCTTACCAAAATGTGTGGAAGTAAAGCAATCTGAAGGAAATTCAGTACCATACAATTTACTGACTGAAATACATCATATTGCTCATACTAAGAATAAGAGTGGAGAAGAATCATTTTTTTCCTGCTAAAATGATAGAGGCAGAAGAGCAACAGCCTTGCAAGACAGACTTCTATTCTGAATTGCCAAAAGTGGTGAGAATTCAACTACAGAAATCTTGAGTGGTTGCTAATTATAATGACTTTGATGTTGCTTCTTTTCATCAAAGTAAATTTTGGCTGGGCGCAGTGGCTCATGCCTGAAATTCTGGCGCTTTGGGAGGCCAAGGCGGGTGGATTCACCTGAGGTCAGGAGTTTGAGACTAGACTGGCCAACATGGCAAAACCCCATCTCTACTAAAAATACAAAAATTCGCTGGGCTTGGTGGCATGCCTGTAGTCCCAGCTACTCAGGAGGCGGAGGCAGGAGAATCGCTTGAACCCAGGAATCGGAGGTTACAGTGAGCTGAGATCGCACCAGTGTACTCCAGCCTGGGTGACAGAGGGAGACTCCATCTCAAAAAAAGAAAAAGTAAATTTTGTAGGCAAAATTTGTAAACTTTATTATGTAGCTAAATCTAGTAAGCAGTTTGCCTATTGCAAACTACCAACATTAAGTACTTGGTAAGATGCTATGAATCTATTGGATATTTGATAAGTTTTACTGGTTGTATCTCTTAGGAACTTCATGCCCACTTGAATGGATCCATTAGTTCTCATACCATGAAGAAATTAATAGCCCAGAAGCCAGATCTTAAAATCCACGATCAGATGACTGTGATTGACAAGGGAAAGAAAAGAACTTTGGAAGAGTAAGTGTGGGGAGGTTGTGGACATACTCCTTTTTTTCTCTATCAGTATTTTGAGATTGTAAGTAGTATGTAAGAATTCAGATTTTGGTAAACAGAAATAGGGTTGGCATGTGGTGTGGAGCATATATCTTAACATACAACATTTTTTTCCAGCTGTTAGACTGTTGACAGTATTTCTAGTGATTTCTGTTGTTTGTGAAGTTATATTGGGATATTCTTTCTTTTCTTTTTTTGAGACAGGATCTCACTTTGTTGCCTAGACTGGAGTGCAGTGGCGTGACCACAGATCACTGCTGCCTTGACCTCTGGGGCTCAAGCAGTCCTCCTATCTTAGCATCCCAAGTAGCTGGGACCACAGGTGCACGCCACCATGACTGGCTAATGTTTTTTTAATTTTTTTAGAGATGGGGGTCTCCCTATGTTGCCCAGGCTGGTCTCAAACTCCTGGCCTCAAGCTATCCACTCGCCTTGGCTTCTTAAAGTTCTGGGATTACAGGCATGAGCCATTATACCCAGCATGTGATAGTCTTTAGATTTGAAAATATAGGCATATTGAATTTCCCCATGTCAGGTGTGGGTTGGAGAAGGGGTACTATTATTTCCCACTTAAAAATATCAGTAATGTTTTATTTTCTATCATTTGATTATCTTTCCAGATCAATGTAATTTTTGAAACATCTATTCTGTAGTTCTTTGTAAATATAAATATATATTTACTATTAGCCTAAAATTTAATTCATTCAGTTAGTGAGTTTCTTTGATGACTAGATTATGTTAAAACTTTTCATTCATGTTGCAGATGTTTCCAGATGTTTCAAACTATTCATCAGCTTACTAGTAGCCCTGAAGATATTCTAATGGTAAGACATGAAGGAATTTTTAGAATGGTTTAAAAATTATGAAGTAATTTCCTTCCATTATTGCACATGGCCTTTCATTTTTGCTCTCATTAAGAGTGATGAAAAATGTTTTCTCTATTATGGCAACTCTTCAAAACCTATGTAAGTCATTTGCCTAAGAGCTAGTACAGAAAAACTGTGTTTCTTGTAAAAGATATGAGGAAAGAACCATGAAGAGCATCTTCTATAGGATAGAGGATGATATGGAAGAGAAAATTTGGTCCTGTTTTTCATATATAACATACATATATGAAATATTAGGGCTGGGCGTGGTGGCTCACGCCTGTAATCCCAGCACTCTGGGAGGCCGAGGTGGGCGGATCACAAGGTCAGGAGTTGGAGACCATCCTGGCTAACACGGTGAAACCCTGTCTCTACTAAAAATACAAAAAAAAAAAAAATTAGCCGGGCATGGTGGCGGGTGCCTGTAGTCCCAGCTACTCGGGAGGCTGAGGTAGGAGAATGATGTGAACCCGGGAGGTGGAGCTTGCGGAGAGCCGAGATCGCGCCACCGCACTCCAGCCTGGGCAACAGAGCGAGACTCCGTCTCAAAAAAAAAAAAAAAAAAAAAGAGAAGTATTAGACCACAGATGGGGATATCCTTAATAAGGCATTGTCTGTATTACATAGGAGACTTACTGTATGGGTGGACATTATAGAGAAGGAAGAAGTTCAAGAAGAGCTTAGAGAGTAAGTGATTAATCCCTAGGGAAATTGTGCTTTCCCTCTGAGGGCACAAAGGATACCACTGTGTTCTCTTATCTGAAGCTCCATGATACTAGAGTCTGACATGGAAGATTGTCTTCTGTATCATTGATCTGACTAGGATGGCATTTTAAAATGTTCTCTTTCTAAATGGAGAGAAGCAAAATTGTGTCAGTGATCTTAACCAGTAGAAAAAAAATGCAAAGAAAGTATAACCTGTTTCTGGAGAGGTAACTTTTGACTGATCAAGCAAAAATTTTCCTCTTTGGTAAAGACTGATCTTCATGATAAGTGGTAAGTAAATTAAGCACCTTTTAGAGGAGAGGTAACTCTAATAGTTTCATTCAACAAAAGTTGACTGAGTGCCCACAATGTTCCAGGCACTGTGCTAAAGTCTGAGAGAGATTGACACAGTTTCTGCCCCTGAGAAATTTATAATTAGGTTGGAGAGACAGACCCATAAGCAGATACTGCAACATAGTGTGGTAAGCTCTGCATTAGACACACACATAAGGATTTATAGGGAACCAAAAGGGCATTCTCTAAGCAGCGTCTCAAAAGATACCATTGAACATAGCTAAGAATATCCACCACAGGGGCCCTGGTCTCACTTTGTTGATGAGTGTTATAGAGCAAAATGATTAAATTGAAACTTTGACAGTTTAATACTCTATGGGTATATTAATGGCATGCTTGTTGCTACATTCATTTCAAAATGAAAGTTGAAAAGCTTTATTAAATGAAGTGAGAAGATTCTGTGCATTTGACCTAGTGCTACTAGGTGGTTCAGAGGGTGACAATGGGGTGCCCCATATGATAAATGAAACGTCTATGAGGATAAACTAAGAGATTGTAAATGTAGAACTGAGTGTGAGGGAGATCACTTAAAACTCTAGTCAAGGTGACCTGGGTATAATCTCAAAGAGAGGATTGGAGTGTGGCTGAAAAAATGATACTTGTTATTACATGTACCAGACATTATTCTTAGGACTACTTTCAGAAGTAGGTATTTTTATTGTTCCCTTTTTGTAGATGAAAAAATAGGCTTAAAGAGGTTAAGTGTAACTTGCTTAAGATCACACACACAGAGTAAGTGGCAGTACTATCTGGTTGCAGAGCTCATGCTCTTTCCCATTCAAGCTTATACAGTCTTAGAGAGGTTTGAGTAAGTAGGAACTTAACTAATTGTGATGTACTTTGTCTGGAAAAAGAATTTGAATAGATATTCTCAGTCCAGCGCATAGGAGAGGAAAGCCCAAAGAGCTGTTCTCAGTACCTACCGCACTACCTGCTGCACATCACAGAAAGGGCTAAATCTGGCAAACACAGATGTAGACCCCAGGGAAATGTTCTTGGATGTGGGTTAGGGATGGTTCTGTAGGCTTCACTGTGGCCTAGATAAATCTTCCTCCCTTTGTTCTTGCTCCATACTTGTTAGTTTTTCATTGTTCATTTGGTTTTACAGGTACCTAGCCACTCAGAAAGAGGGAGCCTTGGATAGTAGTCACTGAAAAGGACTACTATTTCAAACCCTCACTTCAACCGTATTCCTCGTTGTCAAACAGCTTTCTGCATTAGTCTCATGTGAGCTGGGGTAGCTGAGTGTGGGTCTGTTCTGTTCTGGGGCAGTGACAAGATCCAGATTCCTCAACCTATTAATACAAAGGTGAGGCCACAATTTCATGGTGTCAGTGACAGCAAGAGGGAGTTCCTGGAGTAGCAGTGCCGTGGGGCCAATGCCATTCATGATGGCATGGAGGCTGCAGTATCATGCTCCTTGGAGGAGGCAGCAGTGGTATCTTGCTTGGTCCTGGAGTTTCATGTGATTTAGAATGCAGATGTATTATCTTTGGCTGTGTATTCTCAGAATCTGGGTCTTTAGACCTCTTGATGAAACTGAGCTACCCATTCCACTTACATTATAATAAGTTCATTTTTGTCTTTAGTGGAAAAAGAAAAAAGAAGAGGCCTACAACTTGGATTGCTATGAATTCACCAAGGTAGTGCCATACTGTTAGGCACTGTATGTATGAACAGCCAGCCCCTCTTGCTTTGCCAGGACACTGCACTCACATGCTTGTGTGTGTGTAGTCAAAGCAGATTAAGATTAGGATACCAACTGTAAGGACTAATTACGGCAGTTTGTCACAGCTTCGCCAACCTAGCCTTTTTTTCTTCTAGATTTTTTAGGATTGAAGGCAGAAAGGAAAAACATCCTTCAGGAAATCCTTCAGGAACTTTTGGATTATTGAGATTTGCACTAAATTGGATACAGTTTTACTCATATTTATCACCTACTTTCTTTGCCCTAAGTACTTCTCGAGAAAATTTAACCCTGCCAGAATTTATTGAAAAATGTAACTTATTCCTAAATAACTTGAATAAAAACCTTAAGCCATGACTTCAAATAGCACATCAGTAATACCTAATCATTTTAGCTGTTTATTTCTGTATGTGCATTTCCTAGCAGTCTACACATACAGATGGTTCCAGCTGGTTTTAGTTTTGCACCATTTCTCTATTTTATCAATCTGCTATTATAAATACTAGGAAATAAATGTTTAAAAGGGGGAAAAGAAGCAAAGGGTGTAGCTGATGTGCAGATTGGGATTGAATGTGGGAATGAGGGGTGATGGGAGTGATTGGAAATATTGCAGCCCTGCATAGTCTCCATCAGGGATGTGACAAAGTGGATAATCTCTACCACGTGAGAAACTTCCAACATTACTTGCAAATCAGATTTAATGAATAAAATAAAGCTGTAGCACTTGGCACATTCATTGGGACCCTTACCCAAACATTATCAATATTGTGTACGTTATCTTTATTATCAGGTCACAAAAGATGTCATAAAAGAATTTGCAGATGACGGCGTCAAGTACCTGGAACTAAGGAGCACACCCAGAAGAGAAAATGCTACTGGTAGAATTTATACTTCTCAGCAAATGTACTGTCCTTTTCCTATGTGCTTTGATCACTCACATGTTTGTGAGTGGGAATATGAAGCACTAACTTTTATACTATTGTGTTGTTCTGTATTTCATTGAACCTTTAGTCAACAGTCCAAGTCCTCTCTCTGATGTACATTAATGATGTTCATTTTGTTTGTTTTAGAGACAGGGTCTTGCTGTCTTGCCCAGGCTGGAGTGCAGTGGTGCAAACATAGCTCACTGTAACCACAAACTCCTGGGCCCAACAATCACCTCAGCCTCTAAAAGTGCTGGGATTACAGGTGTGAGCCACCGTGCCCATCCTGATGTACATTATTAATGAGTGAGTTATTCTTAAGTAAAAAGTAGTAAAATTCCAGTCAGGCATTATCTGTTTAAGGAAGGAAACAAAGGCCTGCAGCAGTTTCTTTTGTTCTTCCTTGTTTAGTTGTTTTCACTCTGAGAAAAGGATACCTGCTCCTTATGTTTGCATTGTTACAAGCAGAGGCTGATTCTTGCTTCCTGCATCATGGGCACTTGTGAGACAATGCCATTGAGTGGATGCAGAATCATGTTTTATGGTAGTTACTAAAATGTAGGTTATTCATTCGCTTCTCAGGGAATAGTTTCTTAGGCCAGGAGCAAGCTGTGATGTGGTAAAACCTCTCTGGATAGAGATGAGATCTGGCTATGATCTGGAGGAATTTCCTGAGATCCTCCTTCTATAAGAGCAGCATCAGGAGACATTGGGGCCCTCTTAGCACCTTGTTTATGACCCAAAGAGACCTAGGTCATCTTGTTTCCTGATATATGTAGCTCAGTAATCATTTGGGGGTAAAATTTTTGAAACTTATTGTAAAGTATAAGTGTTTACATAAGATAAGGAGAAGGCTCTCATCTTGCATTTTTGAACCATAGAATCAGTTCCACGTTGTACTGGTGAGAGTAGTGAAAGGGAAGGAGAGAAGAGCCAACTCATAGGGCTCTTTCAATGGAGTTTTAAAAGAAGGATATTAACCTAAATATGCAACAGTAGAGGAATGGTTAAATAAAGGCTAATGGAATATTAGGCAACCATTAAAAATACTGGTGAAGACACTTTAATGACATGGGGAAATACTCGGACTCATGTTAAATGACTGAACTGGGTACATATATACCTAGTAGTATCTTCTCTATTTAAAAATGTGTATATGGGCAGAGTGCAGTGGCTCATGCCTGTAATTCCAGCGCTTTGGGAGGCTGAGGCAGGAGGATCACTTGACGCCAGAAGTTCGAGACCAGCCTGGGCAGCATCATAAGACCCCCCCCACCTCTATGGGCTCCAAGGGCTGCAGTGAACCATGATCGTGCCACTGCCCTCCAGCCTGAGCAACAGAGAGAGACCTTAAAAAAGGTCTCTTGAAATAATACATAAAAATAAATGTGTATATGTGTACTTGGAAAACAGTAGTTATCTCTGGGTGGTGGGGTTATTTTTATTTATTTATTTTTTTTGAGACGGAGTCTTGCTCGTCACCCAGACTGGAGTGCAGTGGTGGGATCTTGGCCCACTGCAACCTCCGCCTCCAAGGTTCAAGTGATTCTCCTGCCTCAGCCTCCCGAGTAGCAGGGATTATAGGCACATGCCACCACACTTGGCTCATTTTCATATTTTTAGTAGAGACAGGATTTCACCATGTTGGCCAGGGTGGTCTCGAACTCCTGACCTCAGGTGATCGGCCCGCCTCGGCCTCCGAAACTGATGGGATTACAGGCATGAGCCACCACACCCTATTTTTATTTTTATTTATAATTTTATATATTTTACCAGAGACTTTCCACCAAACATAAGCATTTTATAATCCGGGTAAAAGGGTATTTTATTTTACCCAATGTAGCCTAAAGAAAAAGAAAAAAAGGTATTTTACAGGAGGTTGCTCTGGAGAGTGCTCTTGCAGATCCCCTCAGAGAGCAGAGCACTCAGACTTGGAAGAACATGCCTGGTTCCCTGGATGAGAAACACTAAGCCCGAGCAGGATTGAGGGGAAAGGAATCCAAGTTAGGACTTTTTTTCTGGACTAGGAGGAGAGAAAATATCCCTTTTAAAAAAAAAAAAAAAAAAAAGGACAAGTGTAGTGGCTCATACCTGTAATCCCAGCACTTTGGGAGGCCAAGGCGGGCGTGTCACTTTCAGCCCAGGAGTTTGAGACCAGCTTGGGCAACATAGCAAAACCCCGTCTCTACTAAATATCCAAAAACTAGCTGGGCGTGGTGGTACCTTCCTGTAGTCTCAGCTACTCAGGAGGCTGAGGTGGCAGGATGGCTTGAGCTCAGGAGACAAAGGTTGCAGTGAGGCAAGATCATGCCACTGCACTCCAGCCTGGGTGACAGCCAGACCCTGTCTCAAAAAAAAAAAAAGCCTTTATTTTTTTTCATTTCATTTCTCTAACACTTCATTTCCCCCTAATTTTATTAAAATATAATTTGCATTTACTAAAATATACCCATAAGGGCCATGTTTTCACTCATCTTTAACTATGCCCTTGTCATAGCATAAAGTGAAAATGTAATTGTTCATATAGGATTGCTGAAGGTGAGGGATGAAATAGTTGATGATCTCTTTACATGTATTTTCTATGTGTCCTTTCTAGGAATGACTAAAAAGACTTATGTGGAATCTATACTTGAAGGTATAAAACAGTCCAAACAAGAAAACTTGGACATTGATGTTAGGTAAGAAGATTGTACCTTAGTAGTTAACATTTACAAAACCAGAATGTGAATTTTTACTGTTTTGATCATGGGTGTAATGGATTTTTTAAAATTAATCATTCATTGATTTATACAATAGAAAAATAAAATCAAGGACCCTGTTGTTTAAAGTGAGAACACAATTCTGAGTTTATTCATAAGGCAATAAAATTCTGAGTATTTTTACATGAGTAAAGTATGGTGTTCCTTTGCCATTAAGCTAAAATGAACTTCTTACTGTGGCCTACAAGGTCCCACATGATCTGGCTGCCTCTGTTACTTCAGCAGCTCATCTAGACCACTCCTCCTCCCTTACACGTGGGCCTGCTGTCTGTTCCTAAAATAAGCAAAAAAGACTGTTCCCCTTCAGCACCTTTGTTTAGTATTCCCCAGAACACATTTCTACCAGATTCCTGCCCAGCTGGCTGGCTTCTTCTCATTATTCAGATCTCAATTGGCTGTTACTTCCTCAGAGGGGCCTTCCTTTACCACTCTGTCTAAAGTGCCCTACTAATCCTCTAGTCACCCATCTATTTCCTTTATGGCATTATTTGTAACAAGATTAGGAATTATCTTGTGTTAGTTTGTATATATGCCCACCCACTAGGGTGTAAGTGTAGTGAAGCCAAGGACCTTGTTTTTTGATTCACCACTACATCTTTAGTACTTACCACAAAGTAGGTACATAGTATGGGCTCAGTAAAGCCCTAAATGAAGAAAGAAAAAAAGCTAGCTGTATAGTTTCAGGCTATAAGACTCTAAAAATTAAGCTTAAGTAATAACCCCAATAAAAAACCAAGCAGAAGACAATAGAATGCAGAGAAGAAGACATACAAAGAGCTGGTAGACATATAGAAATACAGAGAAAACTACTTAATTCATTAATCATATATTACAATACTGTTTCAGTAGGCTAAAAAAAGTAATAGCCAGTGTTTGTAAGTTACACACTGCTGGTAAGCATATGTAATTAATAAAACCTCTTTAAATCCTGCACTGGTACACAGGTAAGGGGGGAAAAACCTCTCTAAAGAGCAATATATGTCAAGATTTATAAAAAAGTTTTTCCCTCTGACACAGTAATTCTGTGCTAGAAATGCATCCCAGGAAATAGATTGATTTATGCATAAGATTCCTTATTATAATGTTATTTATAACAAAAATTAGAAAATAGCTTAAAATATCCAGCATTCAGAGGATAATTACATTATGGTATGCTCATATGATTTATACTATTTTCTAACATTATTTTAATGGCATGGGAAGTTGCTAAGTGAAAAAAAAAGATACAGCATTTTATATGTAGTTGATCTAAATTTTGTAAATAAATAAATGAACAAATGCTAAAGGAATTTATTTCGTCAATAAATAGTAAACTCATAACTGCTTTAAAAAATTATAGGGGTTCTCTGGGTATTCAAGAAATATTAACAGGCCAAGCACAGTGGCTCATGCCTGTAATCCCAGAACTTTGGGAGGCCAACATGGGCAGATCACCTGAGGTCAGGAGTTGGAGACCACCCTGGCCAACATGATGAAACTCCATCTCTACTAAAAATACAAAAATTAGCCAGGTGTGGTGGCAGGCACCTGTAATCTCAGCTACTCAGAAGGCTGAGGCAGAATTGCTTGAACCCGGGAGGTGGAGGTTGCAGTGAGCTGAGATCGTGCCATTTCACTCCAGCCTGGGTGACAAGAATGAAATTCTGTCTCAAAAAAAAAAAAAAAAGAAATATTAACAGAGATTCTCTGGGTATTCAAGTCTTATAGAATTCCAGCTGATATTTGAGGAATGAACTTTTATCAGATATTTGATACATTTTAGAAAGAGAATATTTCTAATTTTGTAACCCCCTAATGAAATAATGGATCTCACCCTCCTAAGAACACACCACCACCAGTTTACTCTTGCCAAAAAATGGAACCTGATCTGCCTCTGGACTAGACAGGAAATGTAAGAAATAGGACAACATGTTAAAGGCTGGGCATGGTGGTTCACGCCTGTAATCCCAGCACTTTGGGAGGCTGAGGCGGGCGGATCATGAGGTCAGGAGATCGAGACCATCTTGGCTAACACGGTGAAACTCCGTCTCTACTAAAAATACAAAAAATTAGCCGGGCGTGGTGGCACGTGCCTATAACCCCAGCTACTCGGGTGACTGAGGCAGGAGAATCGCTTGGACCCGGGAGGCAGAGATTGTAGTGAGCCCGAGATTGCACCATTGCACTCCAGCCTGGGCGACAGAGTGAGATTCCATCTCAAAAAAAAAAAAAAAAAATAGGACAACATGTTAACAACACAGGATACAATCAACAAAATCCAGACCATGGAAAACTTTGTAGGACAAACAACTTGGTTTCTTCAACAAATAAGTTACAAGAAAAGCAGGGTGGGAGGTGGGAGGAGAGGAAAGAGTGGTTGTAGATTAAGAGAGGCTTAGAAGATACATTGACTTACACAAAGTGTGGACCTTGTTTGGATCCTGAATCAAACAAACTGAAGAAACAAATACAGGAACAAAAAAACCTCGAAAGACAACTGTAAATCTGAACAGTGACTGGATGCTTGATGCTATTTAGGAATTCATGTCTCAGTCCGTATGACAAAGTAAAATGTCATGTTGTCTAGATTCAGTCAGGCTATACTTTTCCTAGTGAGATGTATTACACGTAGTCTGCCATCTCTGTCTGGCTGTACTCAGAATTGTCTTTTTCATCTGTGTCATATTAGTTTTCAACTCTGTCTTTCTTACATTAAAGGTATTTGATAGCAGTTGACAGAAGAGGTGGCCCTTTAGTAGCCAAGGAGACTGTAAAACTTGCCGAGGAGTTCTTCCTTTCTACTGAGGGTACAGTTCTTGGCCTTGACCTCAGTGGAGACCCTACTGTAAGTTATTTTTCCTACGTACATTTTAATTCTAAAAGGTAGAATCAGTGGGATAAGGACTAGCTTCGGGCATCTTGCATTGCATTCTCCAGAGTGTCCAACAGACACTCCATTCTGTGGATGAAGGCCTGTTCTGCCCTGGATGACCAGAATGCCTAGAGCAGCTCTCATCCAAGGTTCTGTGAAACAATTAAGTACCCTAAAAGAAAAAAAAAGAGTTGCCTGACTATATGACTATTTTCTCCATTCTTCTAAAGATGGTGCACAACTAGTCCCAGACTATATGCACTATAATGTAATTCATTACATACAATGGATGGATGTCTTAGGGTATTAGGGCTTAACTGTCTCATAGATAGTTGAGAAATGTTGACTTGAGCTTCTTGAATGTCAGATTCAAGCAGAAATCTTGATATTCGGGGCTGGATAATTTGTTGTGGGGCTGCCCCATGCATTGTAGGATGTTTAGCAGCATCCTTGGCCTCTACCCACTAGATGCCAGTAGCACTCTCCCAGATATGACAACCAAAAATGTCTCCAGACATTGCCAAGTGTCCCCTGGGGGGCAGAATTGCTCCTGGTTGAAAACAGCTGAATAAGAGAGTCCCATGAAATTGATTCTTATGGCTTTGTCCAAACCTGGAGTATTCTGCCCTTCTTTTTATCCACCTGTTTAACGGAAGTGTTTTGAGTAATCATGAGAGTTCCTGAGTCAAGTGAGTGAGTTCTCCTTAGCTCTGGATATCTAGGTGTCCTTCCAGGCATAAAATTTGGTGACTACTATATCCAGCTTAGCTGATTGACCTCAGTTTACTGATACTAGACAAGATTCTCGAGGGCAGGAACTGTGCCTTTGCCAGCTTTGTATTCAGTGAAGTGGCTCGCACATTGTAGGTGCTTTATAAACAAGATGTGCAAATGAATTAATCTACCATTATTTTTTTCTGCCATTATGTTGTTTATTGGAATGGAGTACTCAGTTCCTCAGTTTTCCCAGAATTCTCATGCATCCTTATTTTAACTTTTATCTTTAAGGTAGGACAAGCAAAAGACTTCTTGGAACCTCTTTTAGAAGCTAAGAAAGCAGGTCTGAAGTTAGCATTGCATCTTTCAGAGGTAAATAATATTGTCTTAGGCTAGAAGGGACAGATTGTAATAGAAAATAATAGGGTCATTTGTAAGTGACTAGGAATAAACCGGGATTGGAAAAACATTTTTTAAAAAGGGAAAGTAGAAATATTTTTACATCTAAATTTAAAAATACATGACTTGCTTCAGTCTCTACTGTTACTGTTTTTATCCTTTTGTGGTTCCTGGGAGTGGCTGTTGACTCAAATGCCAGCTGTGTCATTAAAAGCAGTTTAATGACGTCTTGCTAGAGAAAATGCATGAATTTCCAACATCAGTCTTGTCATTGGCAAGCTGACTCTAAGAAAAGCACCAATTTATCTCACCTGTCCTCATAGTAGAAGGGACCTGATTGTATCACATCCACTGGCAGTAAAGGAAGCAGCTCGTCATTTTTCAAAGCCCAGCAAAGAGGTCCAGTGCCCCTCATCAGCCCCAAGCTCACTGTTAGCATGAACGTAGTAACAGATAATTGCTGGGAAGTAGTCACTTTCTTAAGCACATCCTTATGAGGCAAACCCCTTTTGAGGGACTTTGCTGCAATTTTCCCCATTTTATAAATGGATGTATTTTTTACCTCAGTACTTCTAGCTATTTAATTATTTCTTAAATGCAGAAAATAATACTTAGTCTACTTACCTCACAGTTATTGTATTAAAGGGGTAATGTATAAAGGTTGAGTAACATCATGATTTAAAGATTAGGGAAAAAAATCAGAACCCCTTGCCAGTACTTGTATCTTTCATGTCTATAAGCAGAAGGTCAGTAATCTAGTGGCAGGACTTAAAATCTAGAATCTATGTTTCCACACTCTTAACTCAAAAGACCTTTCATCCACAGGACATCCTATGGCTGACCTAACTGATGTGTGATAGAAACCATTGGTCATTATAAGGGAATAGCATGTGTGACAGTGACCAGTTATCTCTGGCCTTGTGTGCAACATCAGAACTTGTTCTTTACCTTAGTTTCTGTTGCTTTTATCATCCAGTCCATTGGATATAAAAGATTTCATTTAAAAATGTTCTGAGCATTTGTGTTTTGGGCTATCTAGGAGATAAAGAGCACAGCCAGACATTTTCATGGTGATTGTGGTATGTACATAGCCAGCCTTGTCAGAATCAAACATGATGAGCACACTATGTGAGGAAAGTAACTGGGCCCTGGAGTCAGATTGAGTTAGGTTTCACGCTTATCTCTACCATTCACTAGCTCTATGACCTTGGACAACTTTTTTTAAAAAATCCCTTATATTTTTAACTATAAGAGTTATGTATACCTGAAAAAAATCCAAGTGTCAAGAAGGAAAATAATTAAAAATTAAAAGCCCAATTTCTATTTGTTTTGCTCCCCAGAGTTAATACTATTAACAGTTTTGTGTTTATAGTTTTTCAGAACTTTTTATAATATATATGAACACATGTCTATAACGGAACACACATATACATATGGAGTTGTGAAGTTTTATTTTTTGAAAATTACTTAATTTTTCTCAGCTTTAATTTCTTCATCTTAATACTTTTTAAGATTCTTGTGAGGCCTTAAATCATTTGTGTGAAAAGGCACAAAGTAGGTTCTTAATAAGTGTTTATTATTATCATTGAAATGAATCTAGAAGAATATTGAGGAAAGAATGAGAAGATAAAAGGCAAAGAGCTAGGAAGGCAGAAGTAGTTCAGTTTTCCAAAAGGTCTGCATTAAGTACTACTTAGAGGGGCAGGGTACCTAGCTATAGAAAAAAATACTCTTAAGAACCACTGAAAGAGGCCATTGATCCCCTTTCCTCCCCTTTCTTTAGATTCCAAACCAAAAAAAAGAAACACAAATACTCCTGGATCTGCTTCCTGACAGAATCGGGCATGGAACATTTCTCAACTCCGGTGAGGGAGGATCCCTGGATCTGGTGGACTTTGTGAGGCAACATCGGATACCACTGGGTAAGGCTTGGAGTTTCAGGTCTTCCAGATGACTCTCTGTCTCTCCCCCAATCCCCAGGTTGCCTGGGGATTACAGAGAAGTACTGTTCTAAAAGTACGAATGTCATCTAGCTATTAAAAGATGGAGTGTGTGCTTTCTGAGCCTTATTTAAAACAGAAAGCTTTAGCTTCCATTAGAATATAAGCTCTATGAGAGCAGGGCCCCTGCTTGTCTTATTCGTTGTTACATTCTCCAATGCTTGGAACTCAATAAGAATTTTTTAAAGGAATAAAGGGTCATCTAGAATTTTAAAATGACTTTAACAAAATTGACATGTGTTATGAAAATATGTAACATTATTTAAAAATTAAACATGGAAAATCCCAAGTATATTTTCACATGTCTGTTGATCATTACACACTTGATTGTCTATGTGTTTATGAAGTGCCTACTTTGTTGTCATTGCTGTCGATAGAGCAGTACACAAAACAGGCAAGATTTCTTTCCCAAGAAACTCATATTCTAGCAGAGGGAAGACAGTAAACAAATATACAAGAAAGTATCAGTGTTCTGTGAAGAAAATTAAACAGGCTGATATAGTAGTGATTGTATAACCACTTTTGATTGGATGGTTAGGAAAGGCCTTTCTAAAGAAGGAAAAAGTGGTTGGCTGCAAACTATTTTACAGAATGATCAATTTGCTATATTTACCAATTTATAAAAATGCTTGTGTGAGTATGTTTTAACTATAGAGTTTTCAGCAATTCATAATGGGCTAGATTTGCTAAGGAAAATTTTAAATATCCACAAAAGTGGAGAGAATGGGAACCACTGGCATAGTGATCTTACTTGGTGTGGTGGCCTAGCTCTGCTCCCAACAGAGGGGGCAGCTTGGGTTTGTCATCCGTTAAACTGAGTGAGCCTGTGTTGAGGCTGCCTTACTCAAGTGAGCAGATACCATCAATCAAGTCAGTAAGGTATTTTACTCTGGCTGGGGAGCCTGGTAATATTTCCAGGAAGGAATTTGTTAATAATAGGAGTCACTCTTTTTTTTGGGGGGCGGGGGACGGAGTCGCTCTGTCACCCAGGCTGGAGTGCAGTGGCGCGATAGCTCACTGCAAGCTCCACATCCTGGGTTCACGACATTCTCCTTCCCCAGCCTCCTGAGTAGCTGGGACAACAGGCGCCTGCCACCACGCCCAGCTAATTTTTTTTTTTTTTTTTGTATTTTTTTAGTAGAGATGGGGTTTCACTGTGTTAGCCAGGATGGTCTCGATCTCCTGACCTCATCATCCACCCACCTTGGCCTCCCAAATTGCTGGGATTACAGGCGTGAGTCACCATGCCCGGCCAATAGTAGGAGTCATTCTTAAGATGGACTTAACTTACCTAGAAGCAGAAGGAGGTGAATGGATGATTATCTGGGTAAAAGCGTTTAGGGGTTCTTAGAAGCCATGGCAAAGTCTCTGCTCATTCTTAGCTCTTTATAATGCTCTCACACCTGGTGCTACAGTTTTCTTACCTTTGTTTTGGCTTCCACCATTAGACCAGGAGGGATTGCAGTAGCTTTTCAAAAAACCCTTCTGCTCCTATCATTGATAATTCTCTGCTTTTTTCATCATGACATTCCTCTTTCCTCTCTATTTTGGTCAAAGAAGGAGAAGTGCATGGCTGTAAAAGGGATATTAATTCCTTGCCTGGTACCTCTGTTGCCATAAGTTGCACCACATGCTTCCTGTACAACTACAGTAATTGAACTACAAATTTTCACACGTAAGGAAAGGTCGACTTTGTAAACTAATAAACTACTTTAAATTAGCAAAATTTGGAAATATTTCTCGTGTCTACTTGGTGAACACTGAATGAGTTCACTTATTTGCTTTTAATAAGAGGTTTTTTTCCCCTTTTCATCTAGAACTCTGTTTGACCTCAAACGTCAAAAGTCAGACAGTTCCATCTTATGACCAGCACCATTTCGGATTCTGGTACAGCATTGCCCATCCTTCTGTGATCTGTGTAAGGTGTTCCGTGTGAAGTATTTTGCTCCTTTTTGCTCCCTGAGTTGCATTAATTCAGATGTTCACTATCTAGCTGACTGCCTTGCATGCCTGAGGATAATGCCCAAGTAGAGGAGTTAGAAGGGACCGGGGTGTGGCTGAGTATGGTGGCGCACACCTGTAATCCCAGCTACTCGGGAGACTAAGGCAGGAGAATCACTTGAACCCAGGAGGAGGAGGTTGCAGTGAGCAGAGATCATGCCATTGCACTCCATCTTGGGCAACAAGAGTGAAACTCCATCTCACAAAGCAAAAAAAAAAAGGGACTGGGACATGAGAGGCTACAGAGGGCCAGGGTGACTCTGGTTTGGCTCTCTAGCAAAAGGTACTTGAGAGGACTTAAAAACAAACAAAAAAACTGATGCTCTGCACCCATCCCATGAGATTCTGTTTTATTTGATCTGGGGTGAGTCCTGGGCAGAGATAGGCTTTAAAAGCTCCTTAGGTAATTTTAATATCCAGCCAGAGTTGAAACACTGCTCTGGTATCTTTTCTTAAGTATAAATAAATCTGTTTAGTTACAGCTATGCATAGATAAATTTGTAGGCCCTTGTTTAGACTCTTGAAAGAAGCATAGTAAATAGGAAAATAGACTCTAAACAAAAAGATGGTTGTTTTTGAAAAATCCTTCCTTTTTCATTTTGAAACATTCTTGTTTACGTTGGCAGACTGATGATAAGGGTGTTTTTGCAACACACCTTTCTCAAGAGTACCAGCTGGCAGCTGAAACATTTAATTTGACCCAGTCTCAGGTGTGGGATCTGTCTTATGAATCCATCAACTACATCTTTGCTTCTGACAGCACCAGATCTGAACTGAGGAAGAAATGGAATCACCTGAAGCCCAGAGTGTTACATATTTAAGCTATAATGAGGTGAACTACTTCTGAGTATGTGTTTCAATCAAGTTCCTGCCATATCCCACTTAGTAAAACAGTCCACCACTCCTTTGAAGCATAGCAACCAAGTTCCTTGGGCTCTATCACCAGCACCTTACACATGGCAGGTACTCAGTAAATACGTGTCTTCAACTGACTCACAAGCTCTCAGGTGCTTACTGGGTGGGACTTGACTGTTGTTGCTAATTAAATCCCCATTCCACCAGTGATTATTGTGACTCAGCAGTCCTTCCCTATTAGTGATCATAAAATTTCAGGGAAATCGAAGTTTCTCATCAGGAAATGTTTTGGAATTACTAGTATAAAGTTAGGAAAGTGGGGAAATTAGGTTACTGCCGAGACCTTTAAGCCTTCTAAACAGCTTTATATTTTATTGTGCATACTTTAATCAGACTCCCTTCACTCGCTTTAAGTTTTTAAAAGTATTCCCCAGCCGGATGTGATGGCTCATGCCTGTAATCCCAGCACTTTGGGAAGCCAAAGTGGGCAGATTGCTTGATCCTAGGAGTTCAGTAGCAGCCTAGGCAACATGGAGAAACCCTGTCTCTACAAAAACAAAAAAACAAAAAACCGGAAATTAGTCAGGCACGGTGGTACACACCTGTAGTCCCAGCCACCAGGGAGGCTAAGGTGGGAGGAGACCTGATCCCAGGGATGTTTGAGGCTGCAGTGAGCTGTGATGCTACAGCACTCCAGCCTGGGCAACAGAGTGAAACCCTGTTTCAAGAAAAAGAAAAGTATTCTCCAAGATCCCAAGACCATTGACACCAGGCCACATTGTATACCAGGGATTTATGTGAATGCCTAGGGATGACCGTAGTGACAGATAAAGCTAGGTGCTGAGATCTGGTTTTGCCCTCTTTATGATTGTCCCATCGGTACTAGAAAGTGAAGTCATTGCTCCAATTTTGGAAGAGGAGAGAATAACTGGCTGAGGGGTGAGAAAGACAGAAATAGCTGCAGCTCTCTTTTTTTTTTTTTTCAACAAAGGCTCTCACTCTGTTCCCCAGGCTGGAGTGCAGTGACATGATCACAGATCACTGCAGCTTTCAGTTTTAAAACAGCTTTTATTACATTTTCTTTGTGGAAGCTGTATTTCTACCTTAGTACTCACTTTCTGCTTGGTCTGAAAGATACCTCTAGTAGTGGCAACATTGTGTTAAGTAGAGTTCATTGGGTCTCTTGTAACCCTACCCCTACATAATGGACCACTGGTGCAGGCTTACATAAACACACATACTGTGGCCACTTCAGCTGAAGACAAGGGACAAACTAAGATAGTTCTGAAAGGTAAAAAAACAAACAAACAAACAAAAAACAAAAACAAAATTATTAGATACCAAGTTATGCTTGAATTGCTTTGCTCTTTAGAATGTGTGTTTTTCCCTGGTATCAGAAGAAGTTAAGGCTGATGACACCCCTAATTTAAATTACTAAGGATTTCTGATAGGTTTTCTGTCTTTCTGTGATATCGTAAAGTATTTATTTGGTCTTTGACCCTGTTTCCTGGCATACTGCTCCTAAAATCCTTAGAGTCTCCAGAGTGATGGCTTTTTGTATCTAATGAGTTGACTGCTGGCTGGCAGCCCCTAGGGGCTGGTCACTGGAAAGACAAATGCATGATTAGAGTTGGGACTTTCAGTCCTCCCCCAAACTCTTGGGAGAAGGGCTGAAGGTTAAGTTGATCACCAGTGACCAGTGGTAATCATACCTTCATAATGAAGCCTCCATAAAACTCCAGAAGAACAGATTTTGGAGCATTTCCAGGTAACTGAACATATGGAGGTCCCTAGAGGGTGCTGTACCTGAAGAGGGTAGAGGGTATAGGAGCTCCCTGTCCCTTCCCACATGCCTTGCTCTATCCATTTCTTCATCTCTATCCTTTGTACTGTCCTTTATAATAAACCAGTGAACCTAAGTGTTTCCCTGAGTTCTGTGAGCTTTACTAGCAAATTAAACTCAAGGAGGGGTCATGGGAACCCTGATTTATAGGTTTGGTCAGAAGCACAGGTAAAACCACCTGGGGTTTGAACTTGGCACTGGAAGTGGGCAGCAGTCTTGTGGGACTGGGCCCTCAATCTGTGGGATCAAATGCCATCTCTAGGGGATAGCATGGGAAACTGGAGGACACCTAGCTGGTATCTGCTGCAAAATTGATTGCTTGCTTGATGGTGGGGAAAAAACTCCACACATTTGGTCAGAGAAGTTTTCTGTCTTTATTGTGGTGTGAGAGCAGAGGAAAAAAGTTTGTTTTTTCCGCTCAGACTTTGTTTTAAGGAACAGGGGAGAGGGAAGTTCTGTGGTTTTTGAAGTTCTTAGATACGTGTGTGTAGCTTTGTGTGGCATTATATATAGCATTATATTATTTTCTACCCTTATCTACTCATACAGAAATTGCACAGTAAAAACATCAAAGTTTATTCATAAAATGTGGATCTATTGCAGTCACTAAAAATGTTGCAGAACAGATTTTAATGACTGAAAGTGTTCATGATAATATATTCAATGAAAATATGGTTATAAAGTTTTATAGTCCTTTTTTTGTTTAATATCTATACAAAAGCTATTGAAGTGTATGATTTTAATTTATTAGCCTTATCATGAAATTCTTTTCACACTATAAAAGTCATGCTAGTCTTAAGTGAGGGTAGGGATGGCATAAGTTTTTTTTGTTTGAGGTTCTAAAATTTATGTGGATTGGCTGATAAAGAGCATTTATGAAAAACTACAGCTAACATCAGATTTAATGGTGAAATATTGAATTAAAAAAAAATAAACACATGGGCCAGGTGTCATGGCTCACACCTGTAATCCTAGCACTTTGGGAGGCTGAGGCAAGAGGATCCTGGAGTTCCAGACTAGTCTGGGCAACATAGGGAAACCCCGTCTGCAAAAAAATATTTTTTAAAAAACTAAGCGTGGTGGCCCATGCCTGTAGTCCCAGCTATTCAGGAGACTGAAGTGGAAGGATCACTTGAGCCTGGGAGTTCGAGGCTGCAGTGAGCTGAGATTGTACCACTGCACTCCAGTCTGGGCAACAGAGTGAGTCTGTCTCAAAAAAACAACAAAACAGACTGGAGAACATAGGGAGACCCCATTGCTACAAAAAAAAAACATCCTAGCCAGGTGTGGTGGCACATGCCAGTGTTCCCAGCTACTCAACAAGCTGAGGTAGGAGGATGGCTTGGGCCCAGGAAGTCAAGGCTGTAGTGAGCCATGATCAGACCACTGTACTCCAGTCTGGGCGACAGAGTGAGACCCTGTTTCAAAAAAAAAAAAAAGTGTATATACACACACATTCACATACATAGAGAATGAAAAGCAAATGGGCAAAATATAAATAGTTGGTGAATCCAGGTATACAGGAGTTCCTTGTACTCTTGGAACTTTTTCTGTAAGTTTGAAATTATATCAAGATTAAAAGTTAAAAAAACTTTATACAGTGTATATAGATTGGAATAGACCCTCTGAAACCTTATTTCCTGGATTCCTTCAGTGATCTAGCGTTTTGGAAAATACACCTGTCCCCTACTGTTAATACCAGGTAACCCTGTACATGCGTACCATTTGCATCTTCAAAGCCCCATCCCAGGCTTACCTTACCTGGTCACCAACATAGCTGCTATTTCCACTCTCTCTGTTGCTAAGACCATATATAGCTTGTGTCTTATCTGTACCTCAAATGAACCCAGAGGTGAAGTGTTATGGGACTGACCTGGAATGCAGCTTCATTTTGCCTACACTAGTTCCACATCAAGACCACTAAGTTCATTAGAATTTGGCCCAGTCTCTGTAAGTGTTGCTTCTGCATTTATCTGTTAACAACTCTCAAATGCCAACTTTGGGCATCCAGAGATATGTGAGGCCTAAGAAATATTCAGGTGCTCGGTGACTCACAGCATGAGTTATTGGAATATAGACCTCACTGTGTAGAATGATGTGAGTGTCTTTGGTTTCTGTACTATATTTAAGAAAGATGTCAATAAAATATTTGTATATTAAATTATACTTACATAATTTGAGGAGCTCACTAATTATGGAAGACTTTAAAATTACTTCCCTGATTTATCTATTGGGTTATACAAGTTGAACTGAGTCACCTGGGAATCAATGTGTTTTTTTTTTTTTTTAATGTTCTTTTATTTTGACCGCAGCGAAGTTCTGCTCTCCAGAGCCTTTTTGAGCTCTAAGGTACATTGGACTTCTATTTCTAGTCTTTAACCTGACTTCTAGTTGTTCCAAAGTTTTGTTTCTAAAAGAGTACCGTCTTGGGTGCGGTAGGAAAGGAATAATTTAAGCTCTTAAAAAATACACACACACACACACCTGGTACTTAAAGCACCATGGTTTCAGAGAATTCTACATAACATTTTATATGTCAAAATTTTGAGACATGCATGTCATTACATAGCTATTTCAGTGTATAGGAGTAAAGTCTTCATTTTGGATTCTGAATTGAATAATGGGGAAAGAACTGATCTATCTTTACAATCTTAACTCATCTTCCCTTTCTTACCTGGTCACCGTAAAAATAGTGCTATACAGGCTGGGCGCCACCCGGTGGCTCACGCCTGTAATCCCAGCACTTTGGGAGGCCGAGGCAGGCGGATCACGAGGTCAGGAGATAGCGACCATCCTCACCAACACGGTGAAACCCCGTCTCTACTAAAAATACAAAAAAGTAGCCGGGCATGGTGGCGGGTGCCTGTAGTCCCAGCTACTCGGGAGGCTGAGGCAGCAGAATGGCGTGAACCTGGGAAATGGAGCTTGCAGTGAGCTGAGATCGTGCCACTGCACTCCAGCCTGGGTGACAGAGCGAGACTCCGTCTCAAAAAAAAAAAAAAAAAAAGTAGTGTAAAATAGTGCTATACTACATTGACAAGACTCAGAGTCTACACTCAGATTACAATAAATGAGAAATGGCAAAAACATATGTTACATTCTATGCATTGGCCATAGAGAACAAACTTAGGAAAAGTGATAGTATGGGGAAAAAGAAAAGTAATGGCACTAAGGAAACAACTGATGTGAACAGGATTATCCAGCTTCTGCTAATACACATTTTTTGCCTCCTTTGCTGCACATGCCACCCCATCTGTCTCACAAAGGCTTTAGATGTTAAGAAGTTAGAGGTGCAGAGATGCTGTTGCTCCCCCAACAGTGGGCTTGGTTTCTTTCTCAGAATGTTTGAAGGTATTTTTTGCTGCTTCCATCCTGAGGAATGGCAGGTTGGGCAGCATGTACTGCACATTCTTTTCATCTGGAGTTTGGAGGGTTGGTTCTGGGTCTGTTTTTTTTTTTTTTTTTTGAGACGGAGTCTTGCTCTGTTGCCCAGGCTAGAGTGCCGTGGCATGATCTCGGCTCACTGCAGACTCCGCCTCCTGGGTTCAAGTGATTCTCCTGCCTCAGCCTCCCGAGTAGCAGGGATTACGGGTGCCTGCCACCGCGCCTGGCTAATTTTTGTATTTTTTAGAAGAGATAAGGTTTCACCATCTTGGCCAGGCTGGTCTCGAACTCCTGACCTCATGATCCACCCGCCTCGGCCTCCCAAAGTGCTGGGATTACAGGCATAAGCCACTGTACCCAGCCAGTTTTGGGTCTTTTAAAGTAAGACTCAGCTGAGTTGGTCACTGTGGCTCATGCCTGTAATCCTAGCACTTTGGGGGGCTGAGGCAGGAGGATCACTTGAAGCTGGGAGTTCAAGACCAGCCTGGACAACGTAGACCCCTCATCAATACAAAACTTTAAAAAATTAGCTGAGTATAGTGGCTCATGCCTGTAGTCTCATCTATTGGGGAGGCTGGGGATCACTTGAGCCCAGGAATTTGAAGCTGCAGTGACCTATGATGGCACCACTGCACTCCAGCCTGGGCAACAGAGTGAGATCCTATCTCTAAAAAATAAATAAAAATTTAAAAAATAAGACTCTGCATGCCCAGTTATCTTGGGTCCTAATTTATTGTGGATATGGATAGAGGTACAAAGGAAGGATTTGCATTCTAATTTCCCTTTTACCACAATCTGACTTATTCCTCTTTCTAGAATATAAAGATTCAGATAAGCATACTTCTAGTAAACCCACACAAGGAGTTAAAAAAAGAAAGATTGGTCTTTTCCTGCCCTCCATAACTTGATCGTAATTTGTGTATATATATACACACACACACATAAACACTTCAAGAAACACCAGGCACTTTATAGACATGATTTTTATTAATATGGTATCCCTGAGAGACAGATTAGGTGTAAACATTATTTTGCTTTACAGAAAGGGAAATGGAGGCAGGTTAACTTACAAGACATCTGGAACCAGAATATCTGTTGATACCACAACCAATGCTTTTCCCACGAGACTATACATAGATATACTAAAGACAATACTTTTTTTTTTTTTTGACATTACAGCACACTTCCTAAATCATCTGAGATCCTGAGGCACTGCTTCAGACTGGTGTTTCTTGTAGCTTCCTGTCTGCTTAGGCAACATAACAGAAGTACCATCTTCCCTTAATTCCTAATAAATATTAGATTTTTTTGTACTAAGATTCAACAGCAGAATCCTAATTAATCTCTAACACAACAAGCTATGAATTATAGAATACTATATCTTCCTACTGCTCTCCCTGATCTTATTCCAGCCACAGAATTCTAATTGAATGTGAAACGGCTACTTATCCCAGTCCTTGGCCATCTGGCCATGTTTATCTTTCTTCTCACCTGCTCATCAAAATATCTTCATCAGATACTACGATTTCTGACCTTTATCTCCCATAGGAGCTAGTCCCCTAAAACTGCTTATTCTTTCAGTGGCAGTCAGCTGTTTCCTTATCAATAGTTATAGCGTAGTACCTGATTTACTATAGATGATGGTTCTACCACCTCATGGTCTGCTCCTAACACCCATGTTTCAGCTAAGGTGATTCTCTCTGCCTGCTGCACAGCCCATATCATACTATTCCTCAAGTTCTCATGCTACTCCAAGCTTTATCTGGCCTTCCTTACAGTCTATCCTTTGCCCTTTGTTCCATCTACACAAAACACCTTGCTCCCCCTTTTTCCCATTCCTCAACCCACCCAGCACTCAATTTTGCAACTAGTTATGGAAAGTTCTTCCTATCATAATTTAACCAGTAACCTTCCCTCCTTTGACCACTTCCTGCTTCATGAAGCCTTCCTGAATAAAGAGAAAAAATACCTCCCAGATTTTTGTTAAAGCAAACTAATGCATTGGACCACAACATTTATGCATAGTGTTGCTACCTAGCTTTCTAGATTTCTCTAAAACTGCCGCAACTATGCATGTGCACTTGTTTGTCCATGTCAGTGTCATCTGCTTTAGATTGTAAGGACAAGGAGAGGACCTGTTGACCTTGTGCTATACAGGGCTCATCATACTATGAGCATATGGGCAGTTAATACTATTGTATTATAAAGATGAGTAATTATATTTGCATTTAAAGAACTGCTTTTAATTGTATTCAGTTGAATGTGTATGTCTAGATTGGCAGCTCCACTGGCCAAAGATAATCCATCTTCCCTGCCATTAGGGTAAAGGGCCTGTTCGCACACAGTAGTCCATTTTCCCAATACACGGGAATGTGGCAGTGGCTTCTGCTTATTGCAGGTAAGTGCCCATGGAGGGCATAACACTATACCAGGTGTGTGGAATATGGACGAGTTCCTATTGGCAGCTTTAACTGCTCTACCTGTCACCACATGCAGCTGCGTTGCTCTGTGGAACTTCTGGACCACAAGAGACAGACGAAATTCAGATGAGACTGGACAGAAAGAAAACCAACCTAAATCCTGTAAATGTATTATTCTATTCCAACCCTTCTTCTAGGACTCAGAAGAAACTAAGAAATCCAGGGTTCACACTTCAGTATAAGGTTTTCATTGTTTCTGCATAAGAACACCTGTTCTTGACAAGATGATTCATAGGGCAGAACCAAGATGGACATTAAACTCTCCTTCTTTAAGGTAAATGAAGAGGGTGCCTGACAAATATGTCATTTTGAGCACAGGTTTAAGTGAGCAGGAAGAGTCATTCATTTTAGCATTTCCATTATTGTATAAAGAAGAGCTGGGCCGGGTGCAGTGGCTCACACCTGTAATCCCAGCACTTTGGGAGACCTAGGCAGGCAGATCATGAGGTCAATTCAAAACCAGCCTGGCCAACATGGTGAAACCCCATCTCTACTAAAAATGCAAAATTTAGCCTGGTATGGTGGCAGGTGGCTGTAATCCCAGCTACTCAGGAGGCTGAGGCAGGAAAATTGTTTGAACCCAGAAGGCAGAGGTTGCAGTGAGCTGAGATCATGCCACTGCACTCCAGCCTGGACGACAGAGTGAGACTCCATCTCGAAAAAAAAAAGCCCGGCGCAGTGGCTCATGCCTGTAATCCCAGCACTTTGGGAGGCCGAGGCAGGCAGATCACCTGAGGTCGGGAGTTTGAGACCAGCCTGCCCAACATGGAGAAACCCCATCTCTACTAAAAATATAAAATTAGCTGGGCATGGTGGCGCATGCTTGTAATTCCAGCCACTTGGGAGGCTGAGGCAGGAGAATCACTTGAACCCGGGAAGCAGAGGTTGCAGTGAGCTGAGATCGTGCCATTGCACTCCAGCCTGGGCAACAAGAGCAAAACTCCGTCTCCAAAAAAAAAAAAAAGAGCTAGACCCACCTAATGGGCAAAGTCTCATAACTTCTTCTCGAAATGTAATGGGTTTTTCCTGTCAAAATGCAGCTGAATGACAGAATGAGTAAAGAAGGATGCTTATCAAATTCATAGGATCTATTACCTTGTCCTCTGTGCTTATATTAAGGGAACACCATAGGCACTGAGAGGGAAAAGATGTTATCCATCAATTCAGATGCAGGCAAAGAGAGGGACTGAAATCTTCCTTTCATTCTTTAGACTGCCTTGGGGATTTGAGTCTAGATCAGGAAAAACAAGGAACAAACAGTGGCATAAATCCTAAAGTGAATTTCCTAAGCTAACTGGACACAGAATAGTAGATGAATCTCACTATTGGAAGACTTTCTAAACAATACATTTATTGAGCCTCTTTCCGTTATATATCCTCAGGGGCTTACTTGGGAGCTGACTGTGTCAGAAGCTTTTCCCGTGCATGGATTTCTCCGTGCTTATTAAGGGCAGAGCTTTTACTGAAGCACTTACCACAGTCATGACACCCATAGGGTTTCTCTCCTGTGTGGGTTCTATGATGTGCACGTAAGTCAGAACTCTTACTGAAACTCTTTCCACAGTCAGGACACACATGGGGTCTCTCTCCTGTGTGTATCCTCCGATGTGCACTAAAATGAGAACTGTTATTGAAGCTTTTTCCACACTCTTCACATTGATAGGGCTTTTCTCCTGTGTGGGTTCTCTGGTGAATGATAAGGCTTGAGCTCTGATTGAAGCATTTCCCACACTCACCACATTGATAAGGTTTCTCTCCTGTGTGGATTCTCCTATGGGTGATGAAATTTGAACTGTCACGGAAACTTTTTCCACAGTCAAGACATTTATAAGGTTTCTCTCCAGTGTGGATTCTCCGGTGTCTAATGAGTCGTGCACTCCGACTGAAGCTTTTCCCACAATCAGCACATTTATATGGATTTTCCACCTGGTGGGATACCTGATGCATGAGAAGGGAGTTTGGACCAAAGCTTTTGCTGTATTTGAGATATTTATAGGGTCTCTCTCCCAAGCAAGGTCTCTGTTGACTTAGGACTTCACTTAAGCTCTTCTCCGGGAGTGTCAGTTTTCCTCTTTTCTCCCCTGAGGTCTTTGCCCACTGTCTTCCTGATCTACAGTCACTCTCATTGCCTTTACCCTGATGAAGATACCGGGGAATTTTCCTTTCAGATCTTGCAAGTAATGTCCTATGCAGTTGTACTTCCTCAGAAATATCCCGTTTTGAATTATCTTCATTCTCAAATCCAGCTTCAAAACCTGATGTAAAACAGAATTTTAGAAGTTATCTATTTTCTTAATCATATGTGCCACAGGAATGTAAAACTTGGGAAAAACAAGCATTACACCACATGATTAAAATTTAGGGAGCCCTAGATCCCAAATAACTACCATTATCTTATTAAAATCCCAATGTTTTACTTCTCTACTTGTTAACCTATCATGTGCTTCTCATCTACATAGGGTCTGAATAATATATACTTTTAATTCCTCTTGGTCATCTAGGATCTTTGGAAAATCCTCCCAGTACAGCATGGAAAATCACCAGGTTTTAGATAAAATAATTTCCATGTTTCTACAGGAAAGACACTTTCTAATACGTATTTTTGCCACATCTCGGGTCTGTCATAGTATTCTTATTCATGTTCTTCACCAGTAACTAAAAGGTTTAGAAGGACATGCTCAGGAAAACATTTTTGGAAACTTTTATATCCAGAGGAGCTTCATGAGTCCCCTTCCCCTCACATTCCAATATACGTTGCAAGTAAAAACAGGATAGAAAAATATGTAGTGTCTTTCAAAGAACCAAAAGGCCCTAAGAACCAAATGCCTGGCTTTTTTGGGCCTAGGCTATGCAAATTTGCATTTATTCAGCTATTTCAGGTAAACTCTGAATCCCATATTCCCTAGACTAAATCTAGGAGTAAAAGCATGTTGAGTATCAGCCCATGTTTGTACCTCCTGAGACAGTATTTCTACCCAGAAGCCTAGTCTTATGAGATATTTCATGAAATATTCACTAGATTAAATAAATCTTAGAACCTTAAATATGTGAATATGTATTGTGAGCCTCCAACAGGGGTATTTACCATCTTCCCAAACCTATAAGTTATTTTTTAGTAGAATATATTAATACCCCATGGAATTGATATTCCAGGGAACAACATTAAAAAATGCTGATCTTAAAGACTTATGAAAATGAAAACTATTATTAAATGGCTACTATGTGCCAGGCACTGTGCACAGTACCTCATTTACATCAACCCTATGAGGTAGGTCTTAATATATAAGCAAACTTGGGGGTTAAGTAACTTTTTTTTTTTTTTCATTCGTTGCCCAGGCAGGAGTGCAATGGCACGATCTCAGCTCACTGCAACCTCTGCCTCCCAGGTTCAAGCGATTCTCCTGCCTCAGCCACCCAAGTAGCTGGGATTACAGGTGCGCGCTACCACCCCTGGCTAATTTTTTGTATTTTTAATAGAGATGGGGTTTCGCCGTGTTGGTCAGGCTGCTTTCCAACTCCCGACCTCAGGTGATCTGCCCGCCTCGGCCTCCCAAAATGCTGGGATTACAGGCATGTGCCACCATGCCCAGCCTTAAGTAACCTTCTCTAAGTCACTTAACTAATAAACAACAGAGCCCAGATTCACATACGTACACATATATGACTCTGAAATCAGAACTCTTCTCACAAGGATGGAAGCCCTTGTGAAGTATTTTTTTCTTATCTAGCAGCTAAGATTCAAAGGGTCAGTTCTCTCAGGAACCTCAGATTCATAAAAGTGAACAACAGTTATCAGATTTTCATAAATGTGAATAAAGCAGACATACAGCTGGTATATGAGCTGAAACTAGAAGAAGACATATAAAAGAGAATGAACTTTTAAAATCAACTTCATCCTACCGTGGGTACGTGACATGCTACTTGAGAAATGTGAGCTTTCAGATTCCCTGCTTAGTAAACTGGTTGGAAACCTAGTGGTTCATGAATAAATCACAGCAAATTTACAATGTGCAGCTATCTCAGATTGATGCTCTAGTGTGGGAAGTCAAGTCACATAAATAATTTATATCCCCTCAGTGAGCTGCTTTAATAGACAAGAAATATGGGTGGTCACAAGAAGAATCCATGAAAGCTGGGTGTAGAGGCCAGTTCTCAATCAGATGATATTTTTCCTAAGTCCCATTGTCTTCCCTTTGTTATTTATACCATAATAGTGAAATAATCTTACCACGGGGGCTTTGGAATAACACTGGAGCACGGGTTATGACAGCCCCTGGGGGTATCTCAGTATCCTCTTCATCATCATCAGAATCTTCCTCTGTGGCCTCGTCTGCTTCCTCAGCTTGCTTCTGAGCTTCAGCCTCACTGGTCCCCTGGACGGGGCAAGAAGCAGTCTCTTCCTGGCCATCATTGGGTGGGGCAGCAACCCGGACACTCACCAAAGCATCCATCTCTTCAAAGAAGGGACAGGTCTCTGGTGCCTGGCCATTCTTAACTTTCCGATAGCTGGTTTGCAGGCTTTTAAACTTGGTCCGACACTGTTCTGGGGTCCTAAGAAAGCCATATTCCCATAACCTCTCAGCCACTGCTCCATACAGCTGGCTGTTGCGGTGACAGTTCCGGAGGGCTTCATAAAACTGGGTCTCACTAAGAATTGCAAGGTAAGTCTTGGTCTCTTCATAGCCCCAGTGTACACCTGCCACCAGAAGAGAAATTTCAGCACCACTTAATCCAGAGCTTTAGAGCCTGAATTCCTCAGTCCTATCATCTGCATCATGAGAATTCACCTAAGCTCAGGCTCCTAGATGAAAAAGTAAAAATACTTCATGTTTCCAAAATCCACAAACTCAGTATAGAATGTTTTGCTTCTTTATATCCTTTAGCAATTTCACAGAGACCTTTATTTACAAATTCTGTTTAGCCATATAAAAAAGAAGCTGGCCAGGCACAGTGGCTTATGCCTGTAATCCCTGTGGATCGCTTGGGGCCAGGAGTTTGAGACCAGCCTGGACAACATGGTGAAAGCCTGTCTCTACTAAAAACACAGAAAAATTAGCCAGGCGTGGTGGTGTGCACCTATAGTCCCAGCTACTTGGGAGGCTGAGGCATGAGAATCGAGAATCGCTTGAACTGGGGAGGTGGAGGTTGCAGTGAGATGAGATCACACCACTGCACTCCAGCCTGGACAACAAAGCGACTCTGTCTCAAAAAAAAAAAAAAAAAAAAAAAGTGAAAGAACAATGATAATGAAAATAACATTGAGCACATGTGCCACATTTAATTAACCTACATATATTTGTGTCTGCAACAAAAAAGGAAAAAGAGAATGAAGAAAACAAGAAAAATAAAGAGAAACGAAAAAGCAGAAGACACAAAGACCAGAAAGCTAGAACAGAACTAAAATAAGATCATGCATGTCACAAAAAACAGAAGGAAAAGACCACTGCTCACAAAGGAACTGCAACTTTAGCGATGTAGTCCTCCTGCTTTGCCCCATTTTACACTTGAGGAAATGGAAGCTTAGAATGGTTAGATAACTGCTCAAGGTCGCCCAGTTTATTAGTGGTCATCAGGATTAGAATCTAAGCCTCCTGAGTCATACTTTGGTGCTCTTTCCATAACAGCATAGTTGTACCGATTACATTAATGGTAGTAAATGATACTTTAAAAAGGATTCCATAGGCAAGAATATTTAAATAGAGTGTTAAACAAGCTTTCTCACTGTAGGACTTCTCAATCCTGTTAAAATGCCAATGTATACTATGAATCTCAGAGGAAACTTAGATGTTTCCCAGCTCAGTGTGGTGGCTCACACCTGTAGTCCTAACTACTCAGAAGGCTGAGGTGGGAGGACTGCTTGAACCCAGTGAGACCAGCCTGGGCAACACAGCAAGACCCTGTCTCTGTTTAAATATATTTTAAAATTTTTAAAGAAAAAAATGTTTCCCCAACTTTGGACAATTCTTCACTGTACTATTCTAAGTAAAAACGAATATAATAAACTGACTTTGAGCTTTGGGGAAGTAAAAGATAAAATATGTAAAACATCAAGTTCATATGACATACTCAATAAACACTGGTTCTACTTAAAGATAATATTGTGCCACATTTTTCTCAGTGAGCCTGCTGCAATGATTTTAAAATCAGGGAAAAAAATAGTTTAGTAAAGAAATGGAAGGAATGATACTCCTTCTCAGGACTGTGAATTTTCTGAGTGTATTTCTTCTAAAAATCTAAATGTATTCCCAATTATCTCACTGATTTTCCCATAAAAGAGAATGAAATACACACAAAGAATGGAGAAGCACTTCTTTGTTCCCTAAGTGGCAAAGCTGGCATGTGACATTAAGCCTTCTGACTCCACATCCAGTCTCTTTGTTCCCCAAGTCTAATTCCAAAACTCCAAGAAGAAAAGCTTCTTACCACCTGGGCTTCTGAACACAACAGGTGCAGCTGAGTTGGGGTCCTGGGGGGTCGCCTCTAGATCCATGTCATCACTGTCAGACTCCTGAGCCACAGCCTCTTCTGCTCCCTCCTCATGCTGCCAGCCCCTCTGCCCTGGCTCTTCAGTCTCAGCATCGCTGCCTACCAGGCCAGAGTGAGAGGCTGCTGCTTCCAGGCCATTACTGGGCAGGGCAATGACCTGAGCACTCATCAGGGCTTCCATCTCTTCAAAGAAGGGGCAGGTCTCAGGTGGGTGGCCGCTCTTGACTTTCCGATAGCTCTTCTGGAGACCTTTGAACTTGGTCCGACACTGTTCCAGGGTCCGGAGGAAGCCATATTCCCTGAGCCGCTCAGCCACAGCCCCATACACTTGGCTGTTCCTATGGCAGTTTCTGAGAGCCTCATAAAACTCAGTCTGGCTGAGAATTGCGAGGAGCGTTCTGGTCTCTTCATAGCCCCAGTGCACACCTGCCACCTTCTCATCTTCAAAGCTCCAGTGATCCTGTTCCACCCAGCTTCTTCTATCTTTCTTGGATGGTAACAGATCAGCATGCACTCGTCTGTCTCCTATGTGGCTGCCACTTGGAAGTTCTTTCTCCTTAGAGCCCAGCAGATCTGGGATCCATGGCTCTCCTTGCTCCAACCTGGAGACCACACCGGATTTAGGAAATGGCAATCCTGCTTGCAGGGAAACAAACAAAAGTTGTCATAGTTTGGACTGATTATCACAAAAATCTTGAAATTCAGTCCTGCCTTTTTCATCCAAGAGGATTATAAACAAAGTGTCTAGGGAAATGTTTTCAGAAAGTTCAGTGGGCTGAAAAAGGTGGGGAAAATACAGGAAACCTCAAAAGATGAGAAATGTTTTATTTTCCAGAGCAGGGTGACAAGAGAGGAAAGGATTCTGTTGTGTGTTCAGAGCAGATAATTCTATTCCAAGCTCTCCTATTTGTAGGCAGGTCCTAGTACTGCTGGGAATAATTGTTCTTCACTTGGGGCTACAGAATTAAACTCGGCGTGATTTCAAGGGGGAAGCGAGAGAAGATTGTCTTTACCTTATCCGTTTCCTTCACAGTCAGTCACCAGGTTCTAAAGGTGTTCACCTTAGTAGTCCTTCCTCTCTATTCCTACTGCCACCATCCAAGTCCAGACTACTTATCCTCTCACACCCAGATAATTGCAGCAGTCACTGTTCTACCTAACCGCAGGCTCTTGCTTGCCAGTGCACATGCTACCCTGGTGAACCTTAACCTTAGTGCCTACCATACCCATTCCTGTCAGACTCTTCCCTTCAGAACACAGCACACTGTTGTTCACCACTCTGTGCCTTTACTTTTAATTCCCTCCTATCCAATTTTAGCCCATCCTTCAAGAGGCTGTATTTGCCAGTGCCCTCAAGAAGCCTTACCGTCAGCCCTCCCTCATCTCCCACTCTGACAAACCCATACGGTACTCACACAATTGGGCAAGTCATTGTCTGGCACTGTTTCAGTTCAGTTCAGTTCGGCACATACTTAAGAGTTAGCTATAGTGTTCTCAATCATGTTTTTAAGTTCTTTGAGGATAGGCACATTTTCTTATTGCAGAGTACCCTGCAAGATGTTGAGCACCTTGACAGGTGTTCAAAAACTGATGAACTCTGCAAGTCTGTGTGTGAGATTCAGGGATTTCATCTGGGTGACTAAACAGACCATTACCAAACTGGCTGAGAAGGCTATTGTCTTGGATGATAAGATCAGAATTCAAAACAACCTCAACAAATTTTAAGTGAAATGGTAACAGAAAAAAGCATACAACATGGAGATCAATAGACTACAAAGAAGAAAAACAAGTTCTACAAAAATCAAGTACAAGAATAATCAACTAGGTATAAAGGCATTGGGGAAAGCTATCAGAGTCCTGGAAGTTACCAGGTGAACAAAAAAATATAACAGGTTGGGCTATACTGATACAAGACATTGCAAGATTCTGAAGTAAAATTCTTACTTAGCTTCTAACAGACTTTCAGGAAAATAATAAACATAATTTAGTTCCCCACAATTAACATGATATTTGGAGAACTTAAAGGTTCCAATAGAGAGCAACAGAAACTTAGGTTTAAAGAATGGATCTTGGCCGGGCGCGGTGGCTCACGCCTGTAATCCCAGCACTTTGGGAGGCCGAGGCGGGCGGATCACGAGGTCAAGAGATCGAGACCATCCCGGCTAAAACGGTGAAACCCCGTCTCTACTAAAAATACAAAAAAATTAGCCGGGCGTAGTGGCGGGCGCCTGTAGTCCCAGCTACTTGGGAGGCTGAGGCAGGAGAATGGCGTGAACCCGGGAGGCGGAGCTTGCAGTGAGCCGAGATCCCGCCACTGCACTCCAGCCTGGGCGACAGAGCGAGACTCCGTCTCAAAAAAAAAAAAAAAAAAAAAAAAAAAAAAAAAGAATGGATCTTCTGGGGGAAAGCTTAAGGTAACAAATATAGTTTAATTTGAAGATGGAAAACAACCAAAAGGAAGATGTGCCTTCAAGTATAGAAAAGAATTTTTATCTAGAAAATAATGACCTATACTATCATCATTACCAAGAGGAAATAAAATAATTCCAAGTTCCGATAAAAACTAGGGAGCCATTCTCTTGTGGACTTATCAAGAGGTAATATGAATACCAGAGGCTAAACTACATGTCAACAACCACATATTCTGCAATTTCCACTTACTCCTGAAATCCCTTTCCCACTCACTATTCCCAACCCTACTTCCCAACTTGGAATGGCAGTCTATCTTCCCATATGAATCTACTCCTCACCGCTCCTTTGAAAAGGTTTGAGCTTCTCCTTTGGGTTCATCTGCTCCTGTGGTCCCAGGTCTGGGCTTCTTGCCCTCTCTTTCTTGGGTACACCCCTGGGCTGGGGTTCCACTGACTCCTGCCGAACACTTAATAACTCTTGTGATGATTTCGGGGGTGTCATCTTCTCCAAGCGCACTTCCTGCCCCTTCACAGAGACTGTGACCTAGAAACAACCCCCGTTAATTGTCACTGCAAGATCATAATGAGGGGCATTCCCAGAGGAGAGTATTTAATACCCCAAAAGAGATCATCTTTCAGAGCCATGGCCAGGGTTGTAGGGGTGAGGGAGGTTAACGCGAACAAGGGTCTTATTCCATTGCCATTAGCTTAAAGCAGTTGAAACTCCAGAAGGAAACGATCAAAATAGTAAACCCACCTTCAGGCTGAAAAAAAAAAATCCCCTTTCTTCCCTATTAAGAAACTATAGGAAAAACTCATTATGACAGGGTAGGTGAAGGTACACCCAGGAAGCATCTCCAGACAAGCACTATCTGAAAAAGTTACCTATACCAGACCAGAAGTATAAGCCTCACCAAGGGAGACTGTGTCCCTCTTTAAGCCTGTCTATATCTTAATTTAGCCCTCCACCCAGTATCACACTTTTGAATTTGAATTCCCCCTCCCTTCTCACCGAAGATCTAGGTCTTCCAGGCTCTCTTTCTAAATCTTCCACGAGAGTCACTGCCTCCTCTCCATTTTCTGGACATTGTTCCTGTACCCAATTCTGGATCTCCCCAGGTAAGACGGTCAGGAACTGCTCTAGCACCAACAGTTCTACAATCTGCTCCTTGGTGCGCACCTCCGGCCTTAGCCACCGACAGCAAAGTTCCCAGAGTTGGCTGAAAGCCTCCCGCGGCCCAGCCACCTCCTGGTAATGGAATCTCCTGAAACGCTGTCGGAAGGTCTCAGAGTTAGTGCCATTCTCTCTTAGAGCTGATTTGGCCATCATTAATAGCAGAATGCAGCTTCCCTTCGCTTAGGAGTCTGGGTTCCAGGGCTTACATCTATCTTCCCATGTCCTTGGAGAATCCCCTGCAGATGACTGTAAGAGGTGTTTCTTCCTAGGGCAGAGAAAGATGGCACTATCAGAAGGAATACATTCATATGTCTAAAGTCTTGCCAGAGCTGGCCTGCCTTTCCATGTGCTCCGAGTGGCCTTCTAAGGTAGCACAATCTTCAGTAAATAGACTTTGCAAAAACTGCTTTTCTGGTTGACTTCCAGGGCAGCCCCAGGAAGCAGCAGAGAATAAAAGTACTGTCTGCCCCTCTCCCACCTCCTCCAAATCCGATCCCATTTAACTTCCCTGGCCAATGTTGCACAGTGAGTCCGAACCATATAGGAGAGCTGGAGTTCGAGAGGATCTAAAGACAAGTCACCATCCTGCTTGAAGGCAACAAAAAGCCTCTGTCCAGCTGGTCGCAGCTGATCTCCCCCAGTATCTCCGCAGTCCTTCCCGAGGCCTTCTGCGTCCGCCCCGCCCCCTCGGGCTGCACAACTCCCAAAGCCCACCCCAGGCAAAAATCACGTCCAGAATCTCGGGTCTTTGTTTTCCCCGCGTAGTAGTAGCCGCTCAGCAAGGATTAGGGAGCTACCTGTCGGAAAACCTCGCGCAAGGAGAGAAGCTGGTTTTGGCTCCAAAGCGAGGACCATGGGGGCTTGGGGAGAGTCACATTGGGCAGGAGAGACGGAATCCGAGGAGCAGTAGTAACGGGCTTCCTGAGGACGGGCTCGGGTGTCGGCCAGAGGCTCCAGGTGCTGCCGGTTCGCGGACGCAGAGCTCTCAGCCCAAGGAGCAGCGGCTGCGGGATTCTGGCCTCTTTTGTCTCCGCTCCCTCCGGCCGGGTAACCCGGAGCCGTCGTGCGGTCCCTCCAGAGGCCTCTGACCCGGCTAAGGCGCCCTGAGGGCGCCCTCCAGCCCACCCCTGGGAGCGTCTCCCTCTCGAGCTGCCCCTCAACCCCCTCGCATCCTTGCCTCCGGGCCAGCCTCACCCACTCGGGGTCCGACCCTGACCCCGGCCCCGGCCCCGGCCCCGGCCCCGGCTCTCCAGCCTCCCAAGTACAGCTCCCAAACCGGAAGTCCGAGCGGGCGGCTCGGGGCACCGAGGGCGCATGCGCGAGGGCAGCGACCGCGACTCAGTCTCCGCAGAGCCCGGGCGGGAGTAGCTGGTGGACCCCGTTGAGCTGCCGAACTTCCGGGACTCCCCCGCGACCCCTTCCCAGCTTCCCGTCCGCTCCGCCGCAGCGATTGTCTCGGTGGGTTGATTCGGCACAAACCGCCCGACCCAGGGGCCGGTGCGCGTGTGGAAGGGGAAGCACTCCCCTCGTGGTCGCCTGGAGGTGCGCTGGAGGAGGGGGTGACATAACCAGGGACTCGAGGTCCGCCGTGGGAATGATCCACGAACTGCTCTTGGCTCTGAGCGGGTACCCTGGGTCCATTTTCACCTGGAACAAGCGGAGTGGCCTGCAGGTACTGTCCGGCGCAGAGCGCGGGAACCAGGGAGCGCAGGAGGGGGGACCTGAGCCAGCGCCTGGGGGAGTAGGCTGAGGGACCTAGCGAGCGGGGCTTCCAGGGCTGGGGGCGTATCCCTGGACAGGTGACTGGAGGGCAGCCCCTTAGGGTCAAGGCTGATGCGACACCTAGAGAGGCCGGGCCTAGGCTAGAAAACGGAGGGCAGACCTCGAAGAGCCCCACCTGTGGCGGGGCGAGGAAAGGGCCTGAGGTCCAGGTGTCTGACAGTTGCTGGGGAATGATATAGAAGTGTGGGAGGCACTTTCTCCTATTTATTTTCACACGTGCATTGTTTGAGTTTTGAAGTACTGGGCCAAATACACAGCTCCCAAACACATGGTAAGCGCTCAGTAAAGTTTGTTGAAGGAAATAAATGAAATCGAGAGCGTGTGGTGTTTCCCTCATTACTCCTTTACCAGAAAATTTCTGCACTAGGTAAAGCACTTGGTAGGGGGCCTTTGTGTAACCAGGAATGTATGATGTTCCGTATGCATTATCTTATTTAATCCTCACAACCACCTTATCCATTTTACAGATTAAGCTAGGTTTAGAATAGTTAAATAACTATCGGGGTCATAGCTAGTAATTAACAGAGCTTAGTTTTGAAGCCAGGTCTGTCTGGCTTCAGTATTTGAACTACTTTTACCTGCTTCTGCTTCCAGTAATGTTATCTAATGCTCTCAATAATTTAGTCCACTTAGGTATTGTTTCTACCAGTTAACAAATGAGCAAACTGAAGCTCAGAAAACTTTATGCTGGCCAGTCCTAGTAGTGGCAAGACTGAAATCTAGGTCCGTCTGATCACCAAGACATGCCGATTCTTAGGAGACTGTGGAAGAGCAGAAAAAGTACATTCTTAGTCTATAAAACCTATAAATCAAACAGTTTCCTTTCGTTATTATTTATGAACATGTATTTGGAGTTTGGGAGTTTAGGTGAATTTTTGAAAAAAACAGGTGAAGATTTGTGTGGTGGAGTTTGAATTGTTATCTTTCACCTGTAGGTCTTTGAAGACTAATTCGATGTTTCACTTTTCTCCATAGATCTTAGTACAATGCCAGGCATATAGGAGGACAGTATTTAGGAAGTATGTGGGTGCCTGATGGTCCAAAATAAGAAGAGATAACACAGTACAGGAAAGATAGCTAGGGAGGGGGTGGGGGAGACAACCA
The DNA here is from genome assembly GCF_000001405.40 of Homo sapiens. Taxonomy (NCBI): domain Eukaryota; kingdom Metazoa; phylum Chordata; class Mammalia; order Primates; family Hominidae; genus Homo; species Homo sapiens. Next base: position 43,372,647 of record NC_000015.10, read on the forward strand.
CAAGTAATTCATCTTTTCCCTTCCTTTCTTTCTTATGAAAAATTCTCAATCATGTATTTTCTACCATTTCATCCTCAAGGTCTCAGCTTTAAAGTCACTTTGTCAGAAAAACTTTCTCTGAGCACATCTTTAAGCATCCTCCCCTGATGCCATTATTCTCCATCAACTTGTTTATTTCCCTTGTAGGATTTGTCACAATTCATAATGTATTGTTGTTACCTGTTTTTAGCCTTTCTCCCGCATAGATTGCCCCTGGGAGCGAAGACCAGTGGTCTTCTTCATTCATCTACCCAGAGCACCTAGCACAGTTTCTGCCACATAGCAGGTGTTTAGGTATTGATGGAAGAAAAGAAGACAAAGATGGCAAATATTACATAATTTCTGCAGAGCAGTGTCTTTTACATTTGAGTAAAGGGAAAAGTTGTCATGAGTGCCAAGTGTTAATGAAAATTATTTTATTATATTGAATATGTATATACATAAGCTAGGTATAAACTCAAGCATAATACTCTTAAACAACTATAAAATCAAATATTTTTATAAATTAAAAGTAAACAAAACTACCAAATCAATAAGTTCAAATGACCATTATTCTAATGCAGGATTTCTCAGCCTGTTCCTATAACTGTGTTATATAGAATGGTATCAGTAACTTCGAGTTATTATTTGCTGTTTCAGAATAATTAGATATTGAACTTTTCGAAAACTCTGCCAACAAGAAACGCTCAAATGCCAATTTTAATAGTAGTATCACTTGATAACTGGTAGAGCTGTCTTGTTAATAATATAAAATTGCTTATGTGTATTGAGCACTAGCTATGTGGTTGGGATATGTGCTTTACACATGTATTAACTTATTTAATCCTCACAATTATTTTCTTCAGTTTATAGGTATGAAAACAGGCACAGACAGGTATAGTAACTTGCCTAAGCTTTCAAGCAAGTAAGAGGCAACTCAGGGATTCAAACCCAGGCAGTTGGGCTCCAGAGACCAGGTTCTTTTTTTTTTTTTTTTTTTCCGAGATGGAGTCTCGCTCTGTCGCCCAGGCTGGAGTGCAGTGGTGCAATCTCGGCTCACTGCAAGCTCCACCTCCTGGGTTCACGCCATTCTCCTGCCTCAGCCTCCCGAGCAGCTGGGACTACAGGCGCCTGCCGCCACACCCGGCTAATTTTTTTGTAGTTTTTTTAGTAAAGATGGGGTTTCACCGTGTTAGCCAGGATGGTCTCGATCTCCTGACCTCGTGATCCGCCCACCTCGGCCTCCCAAAGTGCTGGGATTACAGGCGTGAGCCACTGCGCCCGGCAAGAGACCAGGTTCTTAAGCACCGTGTTGTGCAACCTCTTAAGTTACTAACTTGAAGATGTGATTAGCATTGTGTCATTAAAATCTACATTAATTGGATTCCTAATCAATTTTCTATGGACTTGGTAACAGAAAAATTCTTCTTCGCCTATTTGTTACCACATTTACTGTCATATAAAATGGCATCCACATATAATCCATATTATATATCCATCCATATAATATGCTAAGTTCCTTTGGAGCAGTAATTGTATCTGATTTTGTTCACTCTTTTATCTCAAAGTATTAGCACAGTACCTGGGATATAGTAATGGAAATGTAAAATGGTACAGCCATTGTGGAAAATGGTATGGCAGTTCTTCAAAAAATTAAATAAAGGCCAGGCACAGCGGCTGACACTTGTGATCTCAGCACTTTGGGAGGGTGAGGCTGGAGGATCAGTTAATGCCAGGAGTTTGAGGCTAGCCTGCGCAACAGAGCAAGACTCCATCTCTACAAAAAAAAAATTTTTAATTAGCTGGGCATGGTGACACATGCCTGTAGTCCTAGCTACTCTGGTGGCTGAGGTGGGAGAATTGGTTGAACCTAGGGGTTCAAGGTTACAGTGAGCTATGAACCCACCACTGTATTCCAGTCTGGGTGACAGAGTGAAACCTTGTCTCTAAAAAAAAAAATTAAATATAAAATTCCCATACAATCTAGCAGTTCTACTTCAGGGTATATCCCAAAAGAAGTGAAAGCAGGAACCCAACAGATATTTGTACACCCGTGTTCACCAAGCATTATTCACAATCGCTGAGAGGTGGAAGCAAGTGTCAGTGCAGGGACGAATAGGTAATTGAGATGTGGTATATACACACAAGGGAATATTGTTCAGCCTTAAAAAGGAAGGAAATTCTGGCATGTGCTACAACATGGATGAGCTGAAATAAGCCAGTCACAAAAGGACAAATAATGATTCCACTTTTTTTGAGACAGAGTCTCGCTCTGTTGCCCAGGCTGGAGGGCAGTGGTGCAATCTCAGCTCGCTGCAACCGCCGCCTCCCGGGTTTAAGCAGTTCTCATGCCTCAGCCTCCCAAGTAGCTGGCATTACAGGCGCCCACCACCACGCCTGGCTAATTTTCGTATTTTTAGTAGAGACAGGGTTTCATCATGTTGGCCAGGCTGGTCTTGAACTCCTGACCTCAGGTGATCCACCTGCCTCGGCCTCCCGAAATGCTGGGATTACAGGCGTGAGCAATTGTACCCGACCTGAGTGATTCCACTTATATGAGGTAGCTAGAGTAGTCAAAGTCAGAGGCAGTAGAGTGGTGTTTGGCAGGGGCTGGATACGGAGTTTCATTTGGGGCAAACAAAAAAGTTCTGGAGATGGATGGTGGTGCTGGTTGCACAACAGTGTGAATGTTCTTCATACCACTGAACTATATACTTAAAATAGCTAAAATGGTAGATTTTATTATACGTATTTTACCACAGTATTTTTAAAAAGTTGGTTGAAGGAATATATTTTCCCACTACTTTTTTCTACCTGAACTGCTGTGAAACCTTTGTATATAGCATATTAGGCTATCATTTGGCTTTCATTTAAATTAAAAATACAAATGTAAATATGGACACTAAATATATATGGCCAGTTATAAGGTGCATTTACAGATAATAGGTATGCTTAATTTTAGATTTTTACTGGAATGAAAACAATGAAAACTTCTATAGGGAATTTGTAAATCCTAAGAATATGTCTGAGAAACCCATGGAGTCTGCAGACCCCCATTTGAGCAATATTGCTAAAGAGACTTTGTTGCAACCAGGTCAAAACCCCCATATCCTTAGAGACCATCCCTAGAAGATTGCTTAAGAAGCAGGTAATAGCGGCTGCTTCTGGGGTGGTTGACTTATTTTTAATGTACACCATTTTATATTGTTTAAATTATTTAGCATGTGTTACCTATTTTAAGAAGCAAATAATTGGGTCAGGGATAGGGAACCCCTTTGAAGTGCTTTGGAAATACATTGTTATCCAGAACTTAACACCTTTAAGTGGACATCTTGAGAAAGAAAACGATAAATGTGTAGTATGAAGCGTTTGAAGCACCTGAAAGTTGGGGCAGCGACTGGCGGTGTTTTCGGCAGTGTTCCTCTTCCTGCAGGTATCGCAGGACTTCCCTTTCCTCCACCCCAGTGAGACCAGTGTCCTGAATCGACTCTGCCGGCTCGGCACAGACTATATTCGCTTCACTGAGTTCATTGAACAGTACACGGGCCATGTGCAACAGCAGGTGGGTCCTGTTCTCTGTGGGTGTACACCTCTAGAGGGCAGGAGCTATGTCAAGCTTTCACCTCTAGAGGGCAGGAGCTATGTCAAGCTTTCAGTGAATTTATCGGTAATTCATGTGAAATAAGTTATGGATTTCTCATCACTAGAAATATTCAAGTGAAGGCAAGGCCTCTAATTGGTTTGTTTGTATAACTTTTAAAAGAAACAAGCCTGATAATGTCTTTCTCAGGTTTCAGGGCCTGAGCTGAGAAGTTGGCTTCTGTTTGTTTGATTTCAGGATCACCATCCATCTCAACAGGGCCAAGGTGGGTTACATGGAATCTACCTGCGGGCCTTCTGCACAGGGCTGGATTCTGTTTTGCAGCCTTATCGCCAAGCACTGCTTGATTTGGAACAAGAGGTAAGAAGGAGGAGATATAGGAAACACCTCTGGGACAGTAGATTAGGGCATGTTCTTGAATCTGAAATGCCCTTTGATAAGATCAGGTAGTTAAGAGTGAGCAGTTGCCTGCATGGCTGGAAGGTACAGTGTTCTCTCAGTGATTGCCCAACCTGTGATCAGAGTGGCTTACAGATCATGGCAAAGACTCTTTAGTGAGTTTATAAGAGCCCTGGCTTGGTTTCTTTATGGCCCGAAAATCAGGATTAATAACCTGATTAAATTATCAGTTCTCGATAGCCTAAAATTAACACTTAAGCCCATCATGAGATTCTCTTCTCATTTTCATAGATCAAATAGATTTGAGATATTTTGTGTGGAGCTCTAATCACAAAGTTTTTTATTGCAGTTCCTGGGTGATCCCCATCTCTCCATATCACATGTCAACTACTTCCTAGACCAGGTATGCTGCCCAAATAACCAAATGCCTTGCAATCTGTTGATAGTGTTAGAATAATCTAATTTATGGTACTGTTTTTGAGAACTTTTTTTCTTCTGGATTCAGAGCCTAACATTTTATATTTTGTGCATTTTGTATGTTTTACTAGATCAAAACTGTTTAAAGATTTCCAAATATAGTTAAAACTTAATGTCTGATATTAACGCTAATGTTACTGCTCTATATGGACATCAGTATTAACAAGTATGCCAGCCTCAGAAATAGAAACTGCTTCCCGACTGGGCATGGTGGTACACACCTCTAATCCCAGCACTTTGGGAGGCCGAGGTGGTTGGATCACTTGAGGTCAGGTGTTGGAGACCAGCCTGGCCAAAATGGTGAAACCCTGTCTCTACTAAACATACAAAAATTAGTCGGTTGTGGTGGCGTGCACCTGTAGTCCCAGCTACTTGGGAGGCTAACGTTCTGAATCCAGGGGTGGAGGTTGCAGTGAGCTGGGATCCTACCACTATACTCCAGCCTGGGTGACAGAGTGAGACCCTGTCTCAAAAAAAAAAAAAAAAAGAAAAAAGAAAAAAAAGAAACTGCCTCTCTCTGCCATCCTCTTCCTATCTGCAGCGAACCTCCACATCAAATTGCCTTAGGATGCTGGATCTTGACTGTTCTGTGGTATTGCCATTTTATCTTAAGTTGAACTATTTAGAAACAAAAGCATTTCCCAAGTTGATTTTTTTTCCCTTACATTTGATTACATACCCTTCTAATTATTCTCTACTTTGCAGTTCCAGCTTCTTTTTCCCTCTGTGATGGTTGTAGTAGAACAAATTAAAAGTCAAAAGGTGAGAACTTTCCTTATTCCTTTTGCTTTGCTAAGCACTGAGGGAATATTACTAATTAATTTTGCTTTACATTATTTTTCGAAGACCCTAGTTTTTAGTAGTTTTTATTTATTCATTCATTTAACAATATCTGCTTGGTTATCATGTTAAGTGTCAGGAATGCAAAAGTATGACTCTGCCTTTAAACACCTCCTGGTCCAGAAGGTAGAGGAAATGTTCATAGATGTTCCCAAGAATGTTGTTGGGGTAAGAAAAAAAGTGCTGTGGATGTTTGCAGGTGAGAGGAACCTGCAGTAAGGTTTTAGAACTGTTGGGTGTGAAGCAGAAAGTTAATTCTTAGGAAGAAGGTAATAGGTTTATGGTTAGTGTGCTGGCAGTTTTCTGAGAATTTTGAGATCAGTGAGTGAAAGCCAGATGTTTAATAAATATGCCTATTCTTATCACAAGTTTTTATCAGGTGTATTGAGAAGTTAGGAGAATGTCTTTCTGGGCAGAGTTAATAAGTCTGAGGAATAAATGCTTTGAGATTTCATATTAGAAGAATCTGCTGTCCTATTGAATTGGTCCACAATTGGACCAAGTGGACAAATGGATTAAACATCTTTAGCTCAAGTCGTCATTTTTTTTAAGCTCTTTATTTGTGCCTTAGCTTATTAGGGGTGTTCATTTTCATTAATGTAACTAGTAAACCAGTTAATCTGCCACATTGCTGCATCATTTTTAACTGTGTAAGTGTAGAAACAGTGCTCTGCTATGTTCATGCTGTGCCAGCAAAGCCAGTGGTGGGTGCTCATTGGCCCTTCAAAGCTGATTGTCCTCATCAAATAACAACATCCAGCTTTTACTGTCACTGGCTGTGTACTAGGCACTGTGCTAAGTGCTTTAAATACATTATCACACACAATCCACTAAAGGGCTAAGTTGGTTAAGGGGTGTGCCCAGTGTCACACAGATAGTAGTAAATGGGTTTATATCCCAGCTCTATCTGGCTCCAAAGAGTGTGCTCTTAACCACTAGATTAAACTATCTCCCAAAATAAAAGGAGACATTCTAGGCAAATAGAGTTAATGAGGACAGCATAAGGGAGCCAGGCCTAGCTGCACGTCTCAGTTGGCCTTCAACTTCCGCTGGCTATAGGAAGGAGAGTGGAAAATAGGGGGATTGCAGATGGCTGAATCTTCCTCCCTGCCAGAATAGTGGTAGAGAAACTAGTGTACCAAGGCTCTTCAGAGTTTTTAAAATCAGGTGGTCAAAATTCTAGGTTTGGGTTGAGAATGGAGATTGATTGCAGACAGGCACAAAGGCGCTTTTTGGAGTAGTGGAAATGTTATAAAACTGGATTGTGGTAATGGTTGCCCAGTGTTTGAAATTTACTAAAAATTGTTTATTAGTATGCTTAAAATGGGTGAATTTCATTGTAAATTATACCTCAAAGTGGTAAAAATAAAAGTCTGGGGACCGGGCATGGTGGCTCACGCCTGTAATCCCAGCACTTCGGGAGGCCGAGGCGGGCGGACCACGAGGTCAGGAGATTGAGTCCATCCTGGCTAACACAGTGAAACCCTGTCTCTACTAAAAATACAAAAAAAATTAGCCAGGCGTGGTGGCGGGTGCCTGTGTCGCACTACTCGGGAGGCTGAGGCAGGAGAATGGTGTGAACCCAGGAGGCAGAGCTTGTAGTGAGCCAAGATTGCACCACTGCACTCCAGCGTGGGCGACAGAGCAAGACTCCGTCTCAAAAAAAAAAAAAAAAAAAAAAGTCTGAAGAACATAGAGGCAGAGGATTTTTGAAAAAGTATATACCTTAGAAGTAGACTGAATTGGGCCTTAACTTGAAATAAAAAGCTTTCCTTGGCTTTGGTGTTCCAACTCTAAATGATTCTGGTTGCTTTAAGTGCAGTGGTTCTCACACTTTACTGTGCATTAGAATCACCTGGAGGGCTTGTGGAAACACTGAGTGCTGGGTTCTAACCAAGAGTTTGCATGTCTGATGAGTCTCCAGGTCATGCTGCTGATGGGAGAGAGGTCCCTCTTTGAGAACCACTATGTGTAAATCTTAGGAGAAAGTTTATCCCCAGTCTCTCCTAGATTGTGCCCTCTTGGTTGAATATGGAATAAGAATGTGTCTTGCATGGACTCTTAGAATGGAATCCAGTTTGACAAGGCCGTATTTTCCACAGATTCATGGTTGTCAAATCCTGGAAACAGTCTACAAACACAGCTGTGGGGGGTTGCCTCCTGTTCGAAGTGCACTGGAAAAGTAAGTCATGGCTTAACTGGGAATTGGTGGTGGAGGTGGGTGGTCAAATTATTTGACTTCTCACATGTTTTATTTTCAGGTCATTTCAGGTTTCCCTCTTGGGAAGGTTATAACCAGGATAGAAAAAGCTCCATGAGCAGAGGAGCCCATGTAACCTTTATTATGGCTCAGGCCTTGCAAAAAGGGCTATAGAGTGTTGAGTGACAAAGCCAGGATTTAGGTGCCTGGATGACCTTGAGGCAATCTTTTTAAATGTTTAGATCCTGTTATCCTTGCAGGAATTCCATTACATGTGCCAGATGTTGCTTGCTGTGTCTAAACATGTGTATTTGAGTAGCTGGTATTTTCAAATTGAAGGTCCTTAAAAATGTTTATGCTTTATAATCCCATAATGCCACTCTTGGGAATTTTATCCTAACAAAACTATTTAATAGAAGAAAATAACTATATGCACAAACGTGTTCATTGCAATGTTGTCTACTATATCAGGAAATTAGAAAATTACCAACAGTAGAAAAAAATTTAAATGATGATATATTCACTTGATAGACTATAAAGCCACTAAAAGTGTAGGTACTATAACATGTAAACTATTTTATATAAATATGTACTGACAAATGATACAAAATTGTATTTATCTTGTGATTACAACAATATGAAAACATGTAGAGTATAATCAAAGACTGCCTGTTTGAGCTTTCCATTTATCCATTTTCCTTATTTTAAAAAAACTGTGACATTCATTGAAAAATTATAATAGATGATCCCTGAGGCCACTCACAACTCTGTTTTGTTCTTTTTTTCTTATTTTATTTTAATTTTTTGTAGAGAGAAGGCTTTGCTATGTTGCCCAGGCTGGTCTCGAACTCCTAGGCTCAACCGATATTCACATCTTGGCCTCCCAAAGTGTTGAGATTACAGGTGTGAGCCACCGCACCCGGCCACTCACAACTCTTAATCTCCACTCTAACCACTGCATGAGTAAATCCTCCAGAACATTCCTTAGGGACTTAATTCTCTATTATACTTTTGTGTATAGAATATAAAATCTAATGTAGATGATACTATATATACATGTTTGTTCTGTGTTTGCAGGGACCAAACTTTACAGACCACATACTCAGAAATGCATAAATGTAAATAGCTTCACATTTGATCTTTTTAAAGAGAGATTCCATTCAGTTAAATAACACAGTCAAGTTCTTGTAATTTCTTTTTCTCCCAACCTTTTATTTTGAAAAATTTTAAACCTACAAAAAAGTTGAAAGAAACGTATAATAAAACACTTGTAGGCTGGGCTCGGTGGCTCACGCTTGTAATCCCAGCACTTTGGAAGGCTGAGGCAGAGGGATCGCTTGAGCCCAGGAGTTCGAGACCAGCCTGGGCAACATAGCGAGACCCTGTCTGTACCAAAAATAAAAAAATTAGCCAGGTGTGGTGCCTGCCTGTAGTCCCAGCTACGGGAAGCTGAGGCAGAAGGATTGCTTTAGCCCAGGAGGTTGATGCTGCAGTGAGCTGAGATCTCGCCACTGTAATCCAGCCTGGATGACAGAATGAGACCCTGTCTCAAAACAAAAAACAAAAAAAACCAACCAAACGCTAGTGTATCCTTTAGTTTCACCATTTGTTAACATTTGCCACGTTTGATTTCTCTTTTTCTCCTTCTATACGTATATGTGAAATGCACAAATTTTTTTGCAGAGTCATTTGAAAGTAGTCACAGATACCCTAACACTTAAATACTTCAGCTTGTATCACTTTAGAAAAAAGGCATTCTTGGCTGGGCATGGTGGCACACACCTGTATTCCTAGCACTTTGAGAGGCCAAGGTGGGTGGATAGCTTGAGCCTAGGAGACCAGCCCAGGCAACATAGTGAGACCCCGTCTCTACAAATACAAAAAAAGTAGGCATGCTGTGTGCGCCTGTGGGCCCAGCTACTTAGGAGGCTGAGGTGGGAGGGTGGCTTGAGTCCAGGAGGTCGAAACTGCAGTGAGCCATGATCGTGCTACAGCACTCCAGCCTGGGCAACAGAGTGAGACCCTGTCTCAAAAAAAAAAGAAAAAAGAAAAAAAGAAAAATAAAAGAAAAAGGGATTCTCTTATAGAACATCAATTCCATATTACACCCAAGAAAGTTAACATTAATTCAGTAATACTATATCCAAATTTTTCTAGTTGTCCCTCAGAATTCCTTCATAGCTGTTCTTTTTTTGCAATCCAGGATCCGATCAGTGTTCACATACTACATTTTGTTCTCATGTCTTTTTAGTCTCCTTTAATTTAGAACCGTCCCCCTTGCCTTTTGTTGTTCTTGGTGTTTTGGATGACGCTGACATTTTAAGAGTCCTGACCAGCTGTCCTGTATAATGTTTCACAATCTGGATTTATTGTTTCCCTATGATTAGATTCAGATTAAACATTTTTTGGCAAGAATACTATGTAGGTGATATTATTTCCCATTACATCATATTAGAAGGTACAGAAAGTAACTTTATCCCATCACGGATGTTATGAAGTTGGATCACTTGGCTTAGGTGTTTTCATCACGTCCTGCTCCATTATAGAGGTACATTTTCCCCTTTTTAATTAATATGCTATCTGGTGGGTGATCCTTTGAGACCATCTGAATATCCTATTCCCCAACAACCATTCTGCATTTTGTTTTAGTTTCTGAATTTTGCTAGATAATGGTTTTTCATGTATACCTGGCACTCACGTATTGAATATTCTCTCCCTAAGTGATTCCAACAAAAATAAAACAAATTTAATACTGTGTTAGCCAAAAAGAGACTCCATTAAGTCGATTTTTAAAATTTTTTATTATTTTTATTTTTTATTGCTATAAAACAGTTGTACATATTTAGGACCCATCAGTTTTGAAAATTACATAAAAGAAGGGAAGAAAATGTCTTCCCTAAAATAATATCAGCACATATACTGAACATTTTAGATTTCATTGTGTAGGCTGCAAATATGGAAATTCAGTGAGTTAGTTCACCCACATTTAAATTAAAATAGCACAATTATTTTTAACTTAATTGGTTATTTCTGTTATGACTCATCAAATTCTCAGGCCTCTGTTTATCCTGTAACAGTTTAAAGCATGACTTCTGAGCCTCTTACTTTCTACTCTGCCCAGAATCCTGGCCGTTTGTCATGGGGTCATGTATAAACAGCTCTCAGCCTGGATGCTCCATGGACTCCTCTTGGACCAGCATGAAGAATTCTTTATCAAACAGGGGCCATCTTCTGGTAATGTCAGTGCCCAGCCAGAAGAGGACGAGGAGGATCTGGGCATTGGGGGACTGACAGGAAAACAACTGAGAGAACTGCAGGACTTGGTGAGAGCCCAAAAAGTAGCCTAGCACTCTCCTGCCAGGAGTCAGAAAAGCATGCACACAAATGATCTTCTGGTGATCCCTTCTTAGCTCATAGCTGAGCACCTTCCATCAATCCTTTCGATGTAAACATTCGGCTTTATCTTAACTAGTGTGAGACTATAAAATAGAAAATATGTTTGTGATATTCTTTTTGTTTCCTCTTTCCCAATATATGCATTTGAGAGATTATAAGTCTTACTTATGTAGCTACTCTAATGGAGCAGCTAGCTACATTTTAGATTTTAAATACAGTTTGGAGTTTTGTTTTTTTTTTTAAAGACAGATTCTCACCCATCGCCCAGGCTGGAGTGCGATGGCGCAATCTTGGCTCACTGCAGCCACTGCCTCCCAGGTTCAAGCAATTCTCCTGCCTTAGCCTCCCAAGTACCTGGAACCAGGCATGTGCCACCATGCCTAGCTAATTTTCATATTTTTTATTTTCATATTTTTAGTAGAGACAGGGTTTTGTCATGTTGGCCAGGCTGGTCTCGAACGCCTGACCTCAGGTGATCCACCCGCCTCGGCCTGTAAGTGTTGGGATTACAGGCATGAGCCACCGTGCCTGGCCAGTTTGGTGTTTTGATTAGACTCCTCAAAGTTCTACATTGTCCATATTCATCCATTCATCCATCCATCCATTCATTCATTTATCCTGTGGCAATATTTCATTGAATGCCTGTTATGTGCTAGGCATTGTTCTAGGTGCTACAAATAAAAAGTAGTAGTGTCTGTCCCTAAGGAGCTCATAGTTTAGGGGAAGAGATATAGAAAAGTAAACAGTTACATTACAGTGTGCTAAGGGCTCTGAAAAGACTAAATATGGGTATTCTTGGAACATGGTCATGGGATAGGGTCTTGGAGTGACTAGGGAAGGCTTTTCAGTGGAAGGTATGTCTAAATTGCAAAGAGTTTGGGAGGAGCCATCAAGAGACATCCAGGCAGAAGGAATGATATGTGTAAAGGTACAGGGGCCATTAAGGACATGGTTCATTTGGGGAAACAGTAGTAATTCAATTGAAATGATCAAATAAAGGCTGAAGTAAAATGTTACAAGAGATGGTGTGAGGGAGAGGTGGTACTTGAAACTGTGTAAGTTGGTACTTGATGAAACTTGAGTTAAGCAGAGGCAAGATCACAAAGGTGCATGTAAACAGTGGAAATGAGTTTGTACTTGAACCTGAAAAGAGTTGGGGGCTATTGAATTTTAAGCAAGTGGGTACCACAGTCAGACTTCATGATAAATCACTCTGGATGCTGTGTGGGGAATCATTTTTTAAAAATCAAGATTAGAGGCAGGTCGATCAGTTAAGAGAGTGTTGGGGAGACTTAGGTGAAAATAATAGTCCCCTAAACCAAAGATACTAACATTGAATATGAAAAAAGAGCAAAGAGGTGTGAGAGATGTTTAGAGGGTGGAATCAGTAGGCTTAGTGAGTGCTTGGAAATGAGTCAAGAGGGAAGAATCATTGATGATACCCAGGTTTCTGCCTTCAGCAGCTGGGCAAGTAGTGACGATAGGGGTGTATACTGCTGGTATGCGGGGAAGAAGATGGGTCTAATGGGGGGCATGTTGAGTTTGAGGAACTTGTGGGAAATGTTCAGTGGGCTGAGCCTGGGGCTCATGAGAGCACTCCAGCTTACTTTAAATCTACATATGGAATCATCAGCATGGGGCTTGGAGGTTTTTAATCTGGGGCCCTTGGGTGGCTTCAGGAGGTTCATGAAATGTTATATGTCTGTACATTTGTCTGGAAGATCCATAGCTTTTATGATTGCAGAGAGGTCTGTGACCTAAAAATTAAAACTATCTGTTACACTGATCAGTCACAGAAGACGATGTGATTGTATAGGAAGTGTAGGCTGAGAGGAAAAGACAGTCTGGGACAGTGCCCTGAGGAGCACCAGCAGAGAAGACATAGAGAGAAGACCTGGAAAACAAAAAAGACCACCTCTTTCATCGTACAAGTAAGGAAGCTGGTCGACTGTGCAAGTTTTTACTCAGTAGTAAAGGCAGAGTGAGGGCCCAAATCCCAGTATTTAAGCCACTCTTATTTCCACCATGCCACTCTGCTGCCTGAAGATGAAATACATCTCTCCAAAATGGGTGGTTTGAGAACTGTGCAACACCAGATTTGAAGTCCCTGCGTCTTTATTTTAAATCATGGGTTGGGAGAGTTACTAGGTATTTTCTTGTTTTCCTTTTCTTGCTTCACACTGCATCTCGATGTGTACTCTTTCCTTGACTAGCGCCTGATTGAGGAAGAGAACATGCTGGCACCATCTCTGAAGCAGTTTTCCCTACGAGTGGAGATTTTGCCATCCTACATTCCAGTGAGGGTTGCTGAAAAAATCCTATTTGTTGGAGAATCTGTCCAGATGTTTGAGAATCAAAATGTGAACCTGACTAGAAAAGGTAGAAATCTCCTTGTCCAATGTACCACACCCTCAAAATCTCTTCTTCCTTAATACTATGTGGCCCCACAGCATGCCTGGTCAGAGCGAGTGGTCGATAATATTCCTATCCTGAGATTGTAGCAGAATCATGACGTTTGTCTGAGAAGCAGGTGAAGTTGCTGCCCCACTGAGATTAGCCCTCCCCAGAAAACCCTAACTGTCCTGGGTATTCTCCGTCCTCCTTTGACGGTGTCTTCCTATTTTGCAGGATCCATTTTGAAAAACCAGGAAGACACTTTTGCTGCAGAGCTGCACCGTCTCAAGCAGCAGCCACTCTTCAGCTTGGTGGACTTTGAACAGGTGGTGGATCGCATTCGCAGCACTGTGGCTGAGGTTTGTGTTTCATCGTATATATATATATATATATATATATATATATATTTTTTTTTTTTTTTTTTTTTTTCTTAGGCAAAATTGGACTAGTTTCCTAGAAATTGAGTTACTTGGTCGGGCGCAGTGGCTCACGCATGCAGTCTCAACACTTTGGGAGGCCAAGGCAAGTGGATCATCTGAGGTCAGGAGTTCAAGACCAGCCCGGCCAACATGGTGAAACCCCGTCTCTACTGAAAATACAAAAATTAGTCGGGTGTGGTGGCATGCACCTGTAGTCCCAGCTACTTACGAGGCTGAGGCAGGAGAATCGCTTGAACCCGGGAGGCGGAGGTTGCAGTCAGCCGAGATCACACCATTGCACTCCAACCTGGGCAACAGAGCAAGACTCTGTCTCCAAAAAAAAAAAAAAAAAAAAAAAAGACACTGAGTTACTTGACTTTTGTTTTTATCTTGATGTCTTGATGAGTTAAGAACCGAGCTTGGAAAGAAATGTTGCAGAGAGTTGAAGGCAGAAAGTAGAAAAGAAAAGCCTCTGTTTTCATTAACAGAGGCAGAACTGCCTTCCCATTTTCCTATCTAACTAAAAGACAGGTGGTTTTTAGTTGGTTAGTTAGTTGAATAAAGGGGGGATCTTGGTTTAAATTCTGAAAATCAGCATTTTGGATCTGTCTCTATCGTTTGCAATAACTCCTAGGAATCAACTAATTCTGACTAAATTTTGTGTCTTGTAGTTTAGTATGGCTCATAACTTATACTTTCATTTCTATACACAATCATCTTATGAGGAAAGCAGAACAAATATTATTTTCTCATTCTTATAAATGAAGCAAACACTCAGCAAGCTGACTTGTCTGGCTTGCCTGGTGTGGCACAGTGAGTAGCCATAGTGAGGTCAGTGCCAGGCCTCCGACTCCTGGTGCACAGTCTTCTTCATTTTGAATTGTGCTGGTGCCACCGACTTAAATTGTGACCAGTAATTTTTCAAAGGAGCATATATGTTCTGTGGCTTATATTAACATTTGTCTCATGGATATGTGATAACACGAAATGAGACATTTAGTCAGCTGTGTTGTTAACTATATTCCTGGCTTTCAACATTGGCTAAGCATAGAATCGCATGAGAAAATTTTATTTTTTATTTTTTATCTTTTTATGGAGTCTTGCTGTGTCACCCAGGTTGGAGTGCAATGGTGTGATCTCGGCTCACTGCAACCTCTGCCTCCTGGGTTCAAGCGATTCTCCCGCCTCAGCCTCCCAAGTAGCTGGGATTACAGGCACACATCACCATGCCCAGCTAATTTTTGTATTTTTAGTAGAGATGGGGTTTCACCATGTTGGCCAGGCTGGTCTCAAACTCGTGAGCTCAAGTGATCCTCCCACCTCAGCCTCCCAAAGTCCTGGGATTATAGATGTGAGCCACTGCGCCTGGCCCGCATGAGGAAATTTTAAAACCTGCACTTGCACCAAGTCCTTACTTCCAGAGCTTCTGATTCATAGGTCAGGAGAGGGTAGGTACCTTTATTTTATTTTATTTTTGAGACAGGGTCTTGCTTTGTCACCCAGGCTGAAGTGCAGTGGAGCAGTCGCGGCTCACTACAAACTCCGCCTCCCGGGTTGAAGCAATTCACGTGCCTCAGCCTCCTGAGTAGCTGGGACTGCAGGCCTGCACCAGCATGCCTGGCAAACTTTTTTGTATTTTAATAGAGATGGGGGTTTCACCATGTTGGCCAGGCTGGTCTTGAACGTTTGGGCTCAAGTGATCCTCCTGCCTTGGCCTCCCAAAGTGCTAAGATTACAGGTGTGAGCCACCACGCCCGGCAGGTACTTCTATTTAAGCAAGCCAGTCCACCCACCAAAGACAAACCTCTACAGGGGTTTTTGAAACAGACAGGACTAAAAAGCAGTGCACTTCGTTCAGTGTCTGGAACTGCTAAGAGCATCAAATCTCCATGGGTTAGAAGCACAGTAATCTATTATAAATATGGTTTCCCTTTCTAGTCACTGTCTCAAAAACTCCTGGTCATCAGAGGTAGAGCTGTGATATAGACACAGAATGTTCGATCTTAAAATGGCTGTGAAGTATCATTTGATTTGAATCTTTCTGGGCAAGTAAATATCTAAATGACCCATGTTCCTGTCCTTTCAAAATTTTAAGACATTGCTTCAACCCCGTCTATAGGCCAAGGCAGTTTCTAGTCTAGAGGGGTTGGTATCAGTTCCTTTCATTTTTGAAAATTGAATCTAGTTCTGTTGCTTTATCATTTTTATTATAAATCTTTGGAAAGTATAATTAATGGAAGAAAGTAAAATTGTACTGACTGAATTATAAACAATAGAAAAATTGTTTTTTCTTGTGAAAGTTTGCTAGAAATTATATTTCCAATTTGTAAAAATGATAAGCAAACTAAAGCACAGACTCTTTGAAGTTTCTTAGAATTGTAGTTAATAGACTTTGGAAGCATTATTGCAACAATAACAGCCTACAGCAATGAAAAGCTGTGCCCTGAAGGAAAAGGGGGGAGTGTTTTGTAAATATGTGTTATATTTATCCCTTTTGGGATTCTTTCTCTCCTTTAAAAATTTTTTTCTTTAAAGTGTGTATACTATGTGAATCTATTTCTGTAAAGTTCAAAAACAGGCAAAGTGAATCTGGCGCTAGAGGTCAGGACTATATTTGCCTTTGAGTCAATGGGAGGGGCATGAGTGGGGCTTCTAGGGTGCTGGCAACACTCAGTTCGTTCCATTTCTTGATCTGGGTGCTGGTAATACAGGTGTTCAATTTGTAAAAATCTTCAAGCTGTGAACTTACGACTTGTACTTTTCTGTATGTATTTTGGTACTTCAACAAAAGGTTTTAAAAATTCTGAGGTACTTAATAGTTTTCATTTTAATTATGTCTTTAGTTTTTACTGCTTACATAGAGAAATGGTGGTATTACTTTTTGTGGTTAATCTTATAACTTGCAACGTGTTGAACTCTTTTTAGTTGTAATAGTCTGATTCTATCAGTTGTTCTAAGTAGATGATCATACTATCTGCAAATGAGAGAACTTTCCTTCTATTTTTATTTTTATTTTTTGAGATGGAGTCTTGCTGTGTTGCCCAGGCTGGTCTTGAACTCCTCGGCTCAGGTGGTCCTTCTGTGAGCCACCATACCCAGTCCAGAGCTTTTTATCATAAGTAGATGTTGAATTTTATCAACTGCTCTTTCTGTGTCAATTAAGGTTCAGTTTCTTGCTCTGGGTTATTTTTCTCCTTTAGTCTATTTATATGATAAATTTCTGGTTAGATTTTGAGATACTGATTCTTCCTGAGATAAACACTACTTGATTGGATGTTTTACATCTGTATTCACTAGTTGTATTAGTCTGTTCTCATGCTGCTAATAAAGACATACCCAAGACTGGGTAATTTATAAAGGAAAGTGGTTTAATGAACTCACAGTTCCACATGGCTGGGGAGGCCTCACAGTCATGGCTGAAGGCGAATGAGGAGCATAGTCAGGTTTTACGTGGCAGCAGGCAAGAGAGCTTCTGTAGGGGCACTCCCCTTTATAAAATACTATAAAAATATATAAAATATATAATTTATTATAAAGTAAATCACCCCTTTATAAGAGTGATTTATTCCCTCTCAGAAGAACAGCATGAGAAAGACCACCCCCATGATTCAATCACCTCCCACCGGGTTCCTCCCACAACACGTGGGAGTTATGGAAGCTACAATTCAAGATGAGGTTTGGGTGGGGACACAGCCAAATCATGTCACTATGAAATAAGACTGTACCCTTCTTTTCCTGTATTTTGCTTATGTGGTTTTGGAATAAAGATTCTACAGTCCTCATAAAATGGGCTAGTTAGGTTTTGTTCTTTTTCTATTTTTTAGAACAGTTTATATAAGACAGGAATTCTTACTGAAAGTTTGAATTTACCTGAAAAATAATCTAAGCTAGATATTTTTAGGAGGGAAAACTTACCTAGTTCAGTGTATTTAAAACCTATTGACATAAAACAGGTATTTCTTGTATTAATTTTGGTATTTTCTAGGAATTTACCTATTTCATCTAGATTTAATTTAAAAAAATCTAGTCATTTATGTTTTATTTATTTAGAATTTCTTTTTATTGTTTAGTCTTATTAGTCTTTTCAAAGAACAAGCTTTTGTTTTTAATCTTTTTTCTTTTTTCTTTTTTTTTTTTTTGAGACAGAGTCTCACTGTGGCCCAGGCTGGAGTGTATTGATGCAATCTTAGCTCACTGCAGCCTCCACCTCCCAGGTTCAAGGGATTCTCCCACCTCAGCTCCTGAGTAGCTGGGATTACAGGCGTGCACCACAACGCCCAGCTAATTTTTGTATTTTTAGTACAGATGGGGTTTCACCATGTTGGCCAGGCTGGTCTCGAACTCCTGACCTCAAGTGATCCACCTGCCTCGGCTTCTCAAAGTGCTGGGATTATAGGCGTGAGCCACTGGGCCTGGCTTTTTCTTTAATTTAAAAAAAATTTGTAGAGACAGCTTCTCGCTCTGTCACCCAAGCTGGAGAGCAGTGGTGCAATGATGAGTCACTGCAGCGCGATCTCCAGGCTCAATCAATTTTCCCATCTCAGCCTCCCAAGTAGCTGGGACTAGAGGTGCATGCCACCATGCCCAGCTAATTCTTTTCTTTTTTTTTTCTTTTCTTTTCTTCTTTTTTTTTTTGAGACACAGTCTTATTCTTCTTACTCTTCTTACTGTGTCGCCCGGGCTAGAGTGCAGTGGTATAATCCTAGTTCACTGCAGCCTCCAATTCCTGGGCTCAAGCAATCTTCCCTTCTGCCTCAGCCTTCCAAAGTACAGGGATTATAGGCATGAGCCTCAGCACCTGGCCTTTCATTTTCTTTTTTTCCCCCAGAGACAGGGTCTTGTTCTATCTCCCAGGCTGGAGTGCAGTGATGTCATCATAGCTCACCATAATCTTGAACTCTTAGGGTAAAGCAATCCTCCTCCCTCAGCCTCCTGAGTAGCTAGTATTACAGGTGCAAATCACCATGCCCTGCTATATTTTAAACTCTTTTGTAGAGACGGAGTCTCAGTATGTTGCCCAGGCTGGTCTAGAACTCTTGGCTTCAAGCAGTCATCCCATTTCAGCCTCCCAAAGTGCTGGGATTACAGATGTGAGCCACAACACCTCAGCACTGCAGTTTTGACCTGCTTCATTTCTGACCTGGGCCAATTCACCCATTCTTAGGCAACCTGGTGGTCCCCCACTCCCAGGTGGTCACCGTATTGATGCCGAATTTATTGTGGACACCTGATTGGTGTAGCACACTACAGCCCAGAATTCCTAGACTCAAGTGAAACTTCTGCCCCAGCCTCCCAAGTAACTGGGCCTGTAGGCATGCACCACTGCGCCCACCAGGCTTTTTCTTTTTTTAATTTTATTTTTTAAATATATATTTTGGGGTCAGGCACAGTGGCTAATGCCTGTAATTCCAGCACTTTGGGAGGCCAAGGCAGGCAGATCACTTGATGTCAGGAGTTTGAGACCAGCCTGGCCAACATGGCGAAACCCTGTCTCTACTAAAATAAACTACAAAAATTAGCCAGGTGCAGTGGTGCGTGCCTATAGTCCCAGCTACTCGGGAGGCTGAAGCAGGGGAATTGCTTGAACCTCGGAGGCAGAGGTTGCAGCAAGCTGAGATGGTGCCACTGCATTCCAGCCTGGACAATAGAGTAAGACTCCGTCTCAAAATAAAATAAAATAGAGATACACACACACACACACACACACACACACACACACACACACACACATATTTTTTTTTGTTTGAATTCTGTGTTTCATTGATATCTGCCTTTTTCTTTATTAGTTTCTTCCTTCGTGTTTTTTTTTTTACTCTTTCCCAGGTTGAAAGCTTGACTCCTTTATTTTTAACCTGTGTTTTCTGAGAAATATATATAAAACTTTACATATTGTTTTGACTGTGTCTCACAAGTTTTTGGCATGTAGTGTTTTCATTATATTCTATATAATTCTAATTAATTTTGTTTATGATTTTTTAACCAAGGAATTTGTTTTAATTTTATTGCATTATAGTTGGAGAACATAGTCTGAATTATATTGTTTCTTTGGAATCTATTGCAGGTTTCTTTATGGACTAATACAGGTCTGGTTTTTGTTTGTTTGTTTGTTTTGTTTTGTTTTGTTTTGAGACGGAGTTTTGCTCTGTCACCCAGGCTGGAGTGCAGTGGCGTGATCTCGGCTCACTGCAACCTCTGCCTCCCGGGTTCAAGCGATTCTCCTGCCTCAGCCTCCTGAGTAGCTGGGGTTACAGGCATGTGCCACTACGCCCGGCTAATTTTTGTATTTTTAGTTGAGATGGGGTTTCGCCATGTTGTGCTGGCTGATCCCGAACTGCTGAGCTCAAGTGATCTGCCCGCTTCGGCCTTCCAAAGTGCTGGGATTACAGGCATGAGCCACTACACCTGGCCTAATATATTCTTTACTTAGATTCTATTTTGTTAGTTACTAAGATCACTATCCAGCTTCCTTTCAAATCATATTTACCTGATACACTCTTCCATCCTTTATCTGCAACCTTTCTGTGTGCTTTCATCCCACTCTTCCTACCCTGACAGTCCCCAAGCAGCCACTGATCTGATCTACTCCCTGTCACTCTAGGTTAGTCTGCACTTTCTAGAGTTGATAAAAATGAAATCATACAGTATGCACTCTTTTGGAGGAGGAGACCAGGCTTCTTTTACTCAGCATAATTATTTTGAGATGAACCCATGTTGCATTTATCAATGGTTTATTCCTTTATATTACTTACTAGTATTCTATTGTTTATACCAGTGTGTTTATCCATTCATCCTTGATAAATATTTGGGTGGCTTCCCAATGTCTTTTTTTTTTTTTTTTAAGACGGAGTCTTGCTCTGTCTCCAGGTTGGAGTGCAGTGGCGCGGTCTCTGCTTACTGCAACCTCCGTCTCCCGGGTTCAAGCGATTCCCCTGCCTCAGCCTCCCGAGCAGCTGGGATTACAGGCACCCGCCACCACGCCCAGCCAGTTTTTTGTATTTTTAGTAGAGATGGGGTTTCACCATGTTGGCCAGGATGGTTTCGATCTCTTTTTTTTTTAATTTTATTATTATTATACTTTAAGTTTTAGGGTACATGTGCACAATGTGCAGGTTTGTTACATATGTATACATGTGCCATGTTGGTGTGCTGCACCCATTAACTCGTTATTTAGCATTAGGTATATCTCCTAATGCTATCCCTCCCCGGTCCCCCCACCCTACAACAGTCCCCGGTGTGTGATGTTCCCCTTCCTGTGTCCGTGTGTTCTCATTGTTCAATTCCCACCTATGAGTGAGAACATGCGGTGTTTGGTTTTTTGTCCTTGTGAGAGTTTGCTGAGAATGATGGTTTCCAGTTTCATCCATGTCCCTACAAAGGACATGAACTCACCATTTTTTATGGCTGCATAGTATTCCATGGTGTATATGTGCCACATTTACGATTAACAAAATGTGGTTTCGATCTCTTGACCTTGTGCTCTGCCCACCTTGGCCTCCCAAAATGCTGGGATTCCCCACTGTCTTTTTCATTTGCATGCCTGTAATGACTAATGAGGTTGAACATTTTTTCATGTGCCTCTTTGCCTATTTTATACTGGGTTTTTGTTTTCTTGTTGTCGAATTTTGAGAGTCCTTTATGTATTCTGAATTTAAGTTCTTTAACAGATATGTGACTTACAAATATTTTCTCACTATTTTTTTTTTTTTTTTTTGAGACAGAGTCTTGCCCTGTTGCCCAGGCTGGAGTGCAGTGGTGCAATCTCGGCTCACTGCAAGCTCTGCCTCCTGGGTTCAAGTGATTCTTCTGTGTCTGCCTCCCAAGTAGCTGGGACTACAGGCGCCTGCCACCATGCCTGGCTAATTTTTGTACTTTTAGTAGAAATGGGGTTTCAGCGTGTTAGCCAGGATGGTCTCGAACTCCTAACCTTGTGATCCGCCCACCTCAGCCTCCTTAAGTCCTGGGATTTACAGGCATGAGCCACCACGCCTGGGCTATTTTCTCACAATTTATGACTTGTCCCAGAAGTTGTTAATTTTGATGAAATCCAGTTTACCTTTTGTTTTTCTTTTATGGATCATGTTTTTGGTGTTATGTCTAAGAACTCTGCCTAACTCAAGGATACTAAGATTTTCTCTTCTCTTTTCTTCCAGAAATTTTATAGTTTTCAGTTTTATACCCAGGTCTATGATTGATATGCTTGGACCTGTGTCCCCGCCAAAATTTCTTGAGTTGTAGGGGCGTGGTGGGAGATGATTGGTTCGTGGAGCAGTTTCTCATGAATGGTTTAGCGCCATTCCCCTTGGTACTGTCCTCACGATAGTAAGTTCTCATGAGATCTGGCTGTTTAAATGTGTGCAGCACCTCCCCCTTGCTCTCTCTTGCTCCTATTCCTGCCATGTGAGACGCCTTTGCCTTCTGCCATGATTGTAAGTTTCCTGAGGCCTCCCTAGAAGCCAAGCTGAAGCCACCGTGCTTCCTGTGCAGCCTGCAGAACTGTGAGCAACTCAACCTCTTTTCTTCATTAATTACCCAGTCTAAGGTATTCTTTACAGCAGTGTGAGAATGGAATAATACATTGATTGTTTTGAGTAAATTTTTCTATGTGGGGCAAGGTATAGTCTTCTTTTAATACATTGCTGGATTTGTATGGAACCATTCTTTGCAGGAGTTCTCACTGTAATGAAATTTGTCCCTGTTTTGTTGGTTGTTTTCATAGCATCTCTGGAAGTTGATGGTAGAAGAATCCGATTTACTGGGTCAGCTGAAGGTAATGGCTTAGCTGTTGTAATTCTTACGGTGATGCTGGTAGGCAGTGACTTGCATTCTCTGATGTTTCCTGAGAGCACTGGTTGCCTATACCCAGACTTCCAGAGTCAACTCATTTGTTCTTATCCAAGTGAGCAAACTATACCTAATGCCACAAATCTACGATAATACAAAGATTTGGGAGTGTACTTTTTTCTGGCATATATATATAATTATGTTGCTATTGAATAAATAATGCCAAATACACACCAGTCATCCTGCTATGCGGAACTAAGTATGCCTCTTTGAAATGCCAAATGCCTGTATCTTTTGTAGCTTGGGCTCAAATTGATGAAATTAGAAATTACTGTATACATGTAATTCCTCAGGACAGTGAGGAGCTCCTGCCTTGCTTTACTGAATTGTAAATTGAAATTCTTTCCTCAGATCATTAAAGACTTTTACCTTCTGGGACGTGGAGAACTGTTTCAGGCCTTCATTGACACAGCTCAACACATGTTGAAAACACCACCCACTGCAGTAACTGAGCATGGTAATTGTCAGTGGCCCTGAGAATGATCAACTGATTGACATTGCAGGGTATTTCTTGGCTGCTGCTGACCCTTTTAAGGCCTGCTCCACATAAGAGCAGCCTGATGAGTTACAGAGCAGTGGCTTCCAGAGATGGAAGGCTCTTGCAGGTAGGCTTCATGCTGGGGTCATTGGGAACAGTGTCTTGGCCTGTGACCCTTCCTGGAAGAGTTGGTTCAGGCCTTCAAACCAGGTATTTTTTCTCATTGGATTATAGCCATATATACTTTATGGGCCATATTGGGACTTAGTGCTGCTTGTAGTTTTGCAGTAGAATTCTTTAGGTGTGAATGATGGAAACTCACCCGAA
This sequence comes from Homo sapiens, assembly GCF_000001405.40. Lineage (NCBI taxonomy): Eukaryota > Metazoa > Chordata > Mammalia > Primates > Hominidae > Homo > Homo sapiens. Next base: position 43,396,037 of record NC_000015.10, read on the forward strand.
CTAGCCTAGTTAGGAAAGGGAAATGGATTTGCTATTGTATCTAAAACCCCAGTGGGAAAACTTCGATTCATTCTCTCTCTCTCTCATTCACTCATTCACCACATCTTGTTTGTGTCTCTTGTGAACACTTTGATGACCTTCTGGAAACATGATCACAGCATCTCCCAGGAATATGCCTCACAGTGTCCTCTACGGAAGGAACTGAACCCAGTCCCTCTTGTTGCAAGTTAGAGAATTCTAGGGAATTATCTAGGTTTTGATTGGCCCAGCCCACATCACATCCCTATCCCTGTATCAGTCAAAGAGGTCAGACACTAGGCTATGCCTAGTTCAGTGAAGAGTCTACCCCTTGACCCACTGATGTCCATTCCCATTCATACTGCATGAGTAGAGTTGGGTAAGGATCCAAAAAAAGAAACTGTGAGAAAGAAAATACATACACACAGGCTGATCATTTTTCTAACTCAGTAAAACCATAGATGTCCACTGTACTTATATAGTACAAATATAAGTACTTGTGGTTGCAAATATCAGAAAATCCAATTCAAACTCACTTAAGCAAAGCAAAAGGAAAGAAATAATGTATTGATTCTCATAACTGAAAAGCTCAGACGTATGATGGTTTTCGGCTAAGTTTGATCCAGTGACAGGTGTGGCACCTTTAGGACTTGGTCTCTTTCCATCTTCTACCTCTTTCTTCTCAGACAGGCCTGCTCTGTATGGTAGCAAGATAGTCTCTAGCCAAGTTTACATCCTACTAAGCCCCTGTTTATCTTGAAAAAAGAGCTGGACTCTTTTAGAGTCTGAATAGAGCCTCTGGATTGGCCTGGCTTGGTCATGTTAATATCCCTAAACAATATAGCATAACAAAGTAGAGTATTACATTCCATTTGATCATGCCTACATCACCCAGCTACCCCTAGAATCAGGTGTTGTCTAGCACTAACCCACTGGAAATATGTGAACTGTACTGAATAGGGATGATTCTCCAAGGAAAATCAAGAGGCAGTTTGTCAGCAAGAAGAGAAGGATGGATGGGTGTTAGACAAATGAAACAGATGTCCACTGTGTCCTGCTGTTAGCATTGAGCATGTTGGGGGAGAAGTGGAAAGCTGGAGGAGTCTGGGTTTGTTATGTAGCCAAGCGTCCCTGTCAGCCTGCGTGTTCTTTCTTGCAGATGTGAATGTGGCCTTTCAACAGTCAGCACACAAGGTATTGCTAGATGATGACAACCTTCTCCCTCTGTTGCACTTGACAATCGAGTATCACGGAAAGGAGCACAAAGGTTTGCCATTCCTCCCTGCCACCTTAGAGTTCCTGCTGGTCATCATCCATTTTCCCATCTCTGCTTCCATCCCCCGCCACAGAAACCATATGATTTTGGATCTTAGAAATCAGCTAGTACAGTACTATAATTCTATAGAGAAGAAAAGGAAAGTCCAGAAGTCCAGAGAGGCTAAGTGAGATGCCCAGGCCATGTTTTGGGGGAGTTGGTTTTTTTGGTGTTTTTTTTTGTCATGCTGCTGGAATGGTGCCTGTTTATTTCCAGCCCCCAGATTTTAAGGCTGAGGAAAGAATCTCTAGAAGACCTCCCAAGAGAACCTCACATAGAAGTTTCCTTGCCCCCTTCTTAGTGTCCCCTGTAAGCTTCTGACATCGCAGACTCCATTGAGCTCTGTTGCTTTTCTTTTGGAGACAGAGTCTCACTCTGTTGACCAGGCTGGAGTGCAGTGGCACAATCTTGGCTCACTACAACCTCTGCCTTCCAGGTTCAAACAATTCTCATGCCTCAGCCCCCCTGAGTAGCTGGGACTACAAGTGCGTGCCACCATGCCCAGCTAATTTATGTATTTTTAGTAGAGATGGGGTTTCACTGTATTGCCCAGACTGGTCTTGAACTCCTGTGAGCTCTAGTTTCATTAATGTTATTCACTTGTTGAGTCTCTGGTTCTAGATTAACCAAGTTGTTATCTTTTCTTTTTTTCTTTTCTTTTATCACAGCAGATGCTACTCAGGCAAGAGAAGGGCCTTCTCGGGAAACTTCTCCCCGGGAAGCCCCTGCATCTGGCTGGGCAGCCCTAGGTCTTTCCTACAAAGTACAGTGGCCACTACATATTCTCTTCACCCCAGCTGTCCTGGAAAAGTGAGTATTTCTGAGTTTCTCACAGGTAAATATGACCCACCTTACTTGTAAGGGAAGAAACTAGCAGGAACAGAATTAGTGGGAAAGCAAGGTGTGGTGGCACACACCTGTAATCCCAGCTAGTCCAGAGCCTGAGCAGGAGGATCCCTTAAGCCCAGGATTTCAAATCCATCCTGGGCAACATAGTAAGACCCCCATCTCATAAAAAAAAAAAAAAAAATTAATGGGAGCAAGAGAGCCACCCAACTAGTTTTTAACAATCTGTAAATCAAAAATTGTAAACCCTTATGCCTTCAGGGGCTAGACTGATCACATTAATAAGTGAAGCCACAGATATGAGACACGGAGTTGGAATCAGTGGGAGGGCATATCTACTTCAAACCATCATTTTTTTAAATTGCCAAATAATAAGCAGTTTGTTGGCTGCCAGTTTGTGAGCTCTGGAAAATAAGGTCTTAGGCACCATGTCGAGATAATGGCCCTTGATGATTCCATCACACCTGACAAGGTCTCTCCCTCACTTTTGTAATATTTTTTGTTGATTTACTTGGGAAAGTCCTCCAGCCTACATGTCTGCTATGGATGTTAGCCACTGGGGAGAAGACAAAATCCTGTGTCCTCATTATTCACCTTCAGTAACCAGCAACATTATACTACTTTTATCTGTCCCTCCCCCACTTTTTTGCTAGAGCTGTATAAAGCAAATCACAGTCATTTCATTCTGCCAATAAACAATTGAAAAAGGCATATTTCAACAGAACTACAATGCCATTATCACATCCAGTAAAATTAACAGTAGTCCCTTATAATCCCTTATAATATCCAGTCTACATTGAAATTTCTCCAGTTATCTAAAAATTATCTTTATGTTTGGGTTTGTTCAAATCAGTTTCCAAACAAGGTCTATCATTTCATTATGTTTGTTCCTTTAGAAATAGACAATTTTAAAAACCAAACAGAATGGGACTGTCTTCTGCAAGCCTACCTACAAACAGGTAAATAAATCCTATTCTACCAGGAATCAGCTGTTCTTCCCGTGTGTCTTTTAAGTATGGAGTCTCAGCATTAAGCAGTTAGCACCTGAACTTGCAGGGAGGCAGGAGCGGGAGTCTGTCTCAGAGGGAAGCTATTTTACTTTCTTTCGGCTCTCAGCGACAGAGAATCAGATTCATCATAATCCTTGATTCATAACACACTATTTTTTTTGAGACAGGGTCTTGCTCTGTTGCCCAGGCAGCACACTGCAGCCTTGAACCCTGGGTTCAAGCAATCTTCCTGCCTCAACCTCCCAAGCAGCTGGGACTATAGGTGGGCACCACCACACCTGGCTAATTTTTTTAATTTTTAGTAGAGATGGCATCTCACTATGTTGCTCAGGCTGGTCTTGAACCCCTGAGCTTAAGTAATTCTCCTGCCTTGGCCTCCCAAAGTGCCGGGATTATAGGCATGAGCCAACACACCTGGCCTGCTTTAAGAATTATAGAAAAGGCTATATGTAATCTTTTGTGATTTACCTTTTTCATTCAAAAATCATGTTTTTGAATATGAGAAGCAACACGAGTCAACCATTCAAAAAGATTATAAGGGTATAATCTAATATCCAGTCCACACTGAAATTTCCCAAGTTATCTAAAAAATGCAGAGATGGGGTCTCATCTTGTTGTATAGCTGGAGTTCATTCGACTGCTATATAATATTCCATTGTATAAATAAATTATAATTTATTTGTCTACATCTCTAGTCACTCTTTCCTTACTGCCTGTTTGTGAGAGGAGTGGGTGGCACAAAGTCCTAGAGTCTGTCGTGTGGGGGAAGTGCAGGGGATGAAATTTTTGTCTTGAATATCCTGTTATTTCTGTCCTAGGTACAATGTTGTTTTTAAGTACTTACTGAGTGTGCGCCGGGTGCAAGCTGAGCTGCAGCACTGCTGGGCCCTACAAATGCAGCGCAAGCACCTCAAGTCGAACCAGACTGATGCAATCAAGTGGCGCCTAAGAAATCACATGGCATTTTTGGTGGATAATCTTCAGTACTATCTCCAGGTCTGTGCTAAGAGATGAGTAGAAGGAAGGGGTACGGAAAAACGTCTAGGAGGTTGGCAGGGAGTATTGAATAGGGACTACAAGTTTCTATTTGATAAAATGGTGGGGTTTGGGAAAATTCAGGAGTTATATCACCAAGCATGTTTCTTAAAATAAAAAAAGCATTTTATTTTATTTTATTTTATTATTTTTTAGAGACAGGGTCTTTCTCTGTTTCCCAGGCTGGAATGCAGTGGTACAGTCATAGCTCACTGAAGCCTCAAGCTCCTGGACTCAAGTGATCCCCCTGCCTCAGCCTCTCAAGTAGCTATGACTACAGATACATGCCACCACACCCAGCTGGTTTGTTTTTATTTTTTGTAGAGATGGATTCTCACTTTGTTGCCCAGGCTGGTCTCAAACTCCTGGCTTCAGCGAGGTGTCATGGGTCACGTCTGTAATCTCAGCACTTTGGGAGGCTGAGATGGGCGGATCACTTGAGGTCAGGAGTTTGAGACCAGCCTGGCCAGCATGGTGAAACACCATCTCTACTAAAAATACAAAAAAATTAGCCAAGCGTGGTGGCGCCTGTTTGTAGTCCCAGCTACCTGGGAGGCTGAGGCAGGAGAATCGCTTGAACCTGGGAGGTGGAGGTTGCAGTGAGCCAAGATCATGCCATTGCACTCCAGCCTGGGCAACAGAGTGAGACTCCGTCTCCAAAAAAAAAAAACTCCAGGCTTCAAATGATCCTCCTGCCTTTGCCTCCCAAAGTGCTGGGATTATAGGCATGAACCACCGCCACACCAGCCTCTTAAAGGCATTTTAAAGAATCCTCATCAACAATCTATTATTTATTGTTGACTTGCCCCTTATTTTTATTGTTTGCTATAACTTCTGGAATCCTGTAGGTGACCAAGTCAGTCAGTAGACGGAATGTGGCCATGAGTGGATTAGGATGGGGCAGGGGAGGCTGGGCGCAGTGGCTCACACCTGTAATCCCAGCACTTTGGGAGGCTGAGCCAAACAGATCACCTGAGGTCAGGAGTTCGAGACCAACCTGGCCAACATAGTGAAACCCCTTCTCTACTAAAAATACAAAAATTAGCCATGCGTGGTAGCGGGCACCTGTAATCTTAGCTACTCAGGAGGCTGAGGCAGGAGAATTGCTTGAACCCTGGTATGTGGAAGTTGCAGTGAGCCAGGATCGCACCACTGCACTCCAGCCTGGGTGGCAGAGCAAGACTCCGTCTCAAAAAAAAAAAAAGGAAAAAGAGAAAAGGATGGGGCAGGGGAGAGTGGTCAGCCAGGACGTTGGAGGGAGGGGGTTCAGAATTATGCAAATAACTTCCTACAAGGCTGGGCAATATAAGGGTGTCTTTGGTCAGCCTTAATGTGACTTGGTTAGAAGGAAGATGAGTGGAGGCAAAGCATTTTCATTTCAATCTGTCAGGCATCTTAATGTCTTCGAGTGCTTAGAATATGCAAAGTGCTAAAATTTTTTGTAATGTCTATCAGGTAGATGTGTTGGAGTCTCAGTTCTCCCAGCTGCTTCATCAGATCAATTCTACCCGAGACTTTGAAAGCATCCGATTGGCTCATGACCACTTCCTGAGCAATTTGCTGGCTCAATCCTTTATCCTATTGAAACCTGTAAGTAAGGCTCATTGGTTTCCTCAGACTGCTTCTACCACTGACCATTCCCTTAGGCAGTTTGAGTTGACAGGATACGAAACCATCATTAAGCAATTATTCAAGTCCATTTTAAAACATTTTTTAAGAATGTGTAAAGCGGCGGGGCATGGTGGCTCATGCCTGTAATCCCAGCACTTTGGGAGGCCGAGGTGGGCGGATCACAAGGTCAGGAGTTCAAGACCAGCCTGGCCAACATGGTGAAAACCCGTCTCTACTAAAAATACAGAAGAAAAAAAAAATAATAGGTGTGGTGGCTCGCGCCTGTAATCCCAGCTACTTGGGAGGCCTGAGGCAGGAGAATTGCTTGGACCCAGGAGGCAGAGGTTGCAGTGAGCCAAGATCATTCCACTGCACTCCAGCCTGGGCAACAGAGCAAGATTCTGTCTTGGGGGAGCAGATAAAAAAAAAAAGAATGTGTAAAGCAAAACTAAAAAGGCATGTTAAACGGGACCTAAGATGTCTTTGAATTTCTGAAATACAGGGTGTGGTGAGCAGCTACAGATGAAAGAATTATGTGCTTAAACCCTCAGGAGTTAAAGAAACTCAAAATTCTTGCTGACAATACAGAAAAACCAATGAAAAGCATATAGAGTTCACCTTCTTAGAAATCTTTTGGACCAGGATGGATCAGTCATTTGAAAGTTCTTTTCATAGACAACTAGAGTAGTGTTTCTCTCTCGATCTATGTATGTGTTTCTGTAAGTACATATATGTCTCCTTCGTGGCAGTTATTTTCAACTTTGGCTGCACATTGGAATCATCGGGACTCTTTAAAAAAATCTAGGTGACAGAGCACTTAAATTAGAATCCCTGTAATAGTGGGACCCAGGTACTAATTTTTTTTAAAGCTCACAAGCTAGTTCCAATTCCAGGATAAAGAACAGGAAGACTGAAATGATCTCTGGTAGTTTCTAATGGAACGGTTATGCCTCCTCTGACATGAGCTGGTTGTTATTCCTCAGTGTGCTACAGCACAGCTGTTACAGACTTTTTAAAAATGTTCTGGTGTTTAGGGCTATTTCTGCTGTACCAGGAAGAGTAAGATATATATTAATAGATGCCACTCCAGAGGGCTGGCTGAAAACAACCAAGAACTACTGTGATGGGTAGATGCTGTCCTTATGTGGCATAGATGTATCCATAGGGAAAAGCAGAATAACAGAGCAGGTCATCATCATTAAATATTTATTGAGTGCTTACTGTATGCAAGGCACTGGGGATACAAAGAGGTATAATTCATGGCTCTGCCCTTAAGGAGCTCACAATCTAGTTGGAAAAACAAGACATATATATATATATACATACAAAAATCAGTAACAACACAGAGGCCTGAACAATTGCCAAGTGGACAACAGTACAGATAATAAAGAAGCAAGAAACGAGGGTTCACTAAAGGCTATAGTGGGGAAGGGAGTGCTTCACTGAGAGAGTGGGACTTGAACTGGTATTAAAAACAAGAGCATCCCGGGCAAAGGGAACAACACTCACAGCTCAGAGGCAGGAAGACACTCTGCGGGTCTAAGAAATGAAGAGTTAAATGTGGCTAGATTGGAGGTTTGGTGCAGGGCTAAGAGAGTAATACTCGCTTAGCCAGGAAAGGATGCATTTGTTTTACGCATTTTGTGCGTCTGAGGGGCTGGCAGGCCTTGCACGTGGCAGTGTCTATCCTGTCAGATTTGGGAGGTCAGCTATTAATTAGATCAGCTATTAATCAGACTGTTCTCCTAACACTTTAACTTCATGGATGTACCTTCCTTCCTTTCCTAATGCCAACTCTGTTTCCCGGGTAGGTGTTTCACTGCCTGAATGAAATCCTAGATCTCTGTCACAGTTTTTGTTCGCTGGTCAGTCAGAACCTAGGCCCACTGGATGAGCGTGGAGCCGCCCAGCTGAGCATTCTCGTGAAGGTGCGTCTGCCTGGAAGTATGCAGCCTTGCCGAAAGGACAGAGGTGGTTTTGCCAATGGAGAATTCATGATCTTTCCTCTGAGTCAGTAAAGCATTTCCTCAATACACACACGTACAGAGATAAGATACAAAGATAAAAATGTTGGTATCAGTTGATTTTGAAGCAGGTAATACTGTGCCACCTCACAGTGCTCAAAAATAGTTCAGTCCTGAATAGTTTATTCAGCCCATCAAATAAGCATTGGGTTGTTCTAACTTCCTCACATCCTCCCCCCTCCTTACTTCCTTGAACTAACCCCCATCTCACTGAGATAATTATCTGCTTGTAATCAAAACGGGTTCTCCCCAACCCCAGTACTTGACAAAATACATTAACTGGAAACCAGCTACTAAATTCCTACTGATGAAAGAGTACTTTCATAGGAAGTCATGCATGTATGGATTTGGTACAAGTCATTTTAGGAACTAATAGAAATAGGAATGTGGGAAGGCCAGGTGGTTCTGTAGAATTTTGAACAAGGCTTTTCCAAGAAACTCCTCCCTCCGCCCCCATCCTCCATATGGAGAGTTGGTGAGCTGAAGTGGAATGACAGCTGAGTCCTTCTCTCTGCAGGGCTTTAGCCGCCAGTCTTCACTCCTGTTCAAGATTCTCTCCAGTGTTCGGAATCATCAGATCAACTCAGATTTGGCTCAACTACTGTTACGACTAGATTATAACAAATACTATACCCAGGCTGGTGGAACTCTGGGCAGGTAGGAGCAACCCTTGGGTAACTCAGTAGACTTTTTAAGGTGGCTTTTTAATGAGTTGTAGAATTCTAGAACTGGAAGAAGACTTTAGTCCAAATACCCTCATTTTATAAGTAAGGCTTAGAGATAGAGGTGTGACCATCTTTAATAATTTTAATGGAGGTTATTTTCTAGTAGAAGTCATCATCATCATAAAATACTAAAAAACCTGACAGTGAGATAGGTGTTAAGTCCTTTGCTAGGTTATGTATTGCTATGCTGGGAGGCAGTGGGCCTTCCACTCCCAATTCTGATATGAACTAGCTGTGCAGCCGTGGGCACCCCGCCTTGCTGGTCCCTAGCTTCCGCATCTGTGAAAGGAGGCGACCACCCCTTCTAACTCTAAACTTTAAAAAAAACTGATACCGAGATTCAGTGGTAGCTGGCTTCCCAGAGGTCTGTCATTCCCATTCAGAAAATCACTTCATTGTCCTTTCTCTCTAAAATGTCTGCAAGCAGATTTTTTTCTAAGCTATTGTAGCAGAAGAGTCAAAAGAAACTCTTCAGTTTTAAGATGACATTATTTAGATCACAGGTTATCCTGATTCATATTTCTTTGAAGGTAGTCTTGGGAAAGCATGACACTTAATAAGGCTCTTTTTCTCTTTTGTAGTTTCGGGATGTGAAAATTTCTGGCTCATAAATTGAAATAACAGCCACGTTCCCAAGGTTGTAACAGAAGATTCAAAACATCCCATTCTAGCCACACACAAATAAATATCTGCGGCTTAGTGATAGGACTCTACCTTTTCTCCTAGAAGCAGTTACTGAACATCCAGGAGTACAACTCCTTCCCATCATTCCCATGTGGAAGGGTCTCTCCCATCAAGGAGAACATGTGGCATCTCTGATCCTTTACATTGAGAACATTTGTTGGATATGTTCATTTATTCAATAGTCATTTATTGAGCACCTACTACGTACCTTGGTACTGTTCAAGCTGTGGGAGATACAGCGGTAAACAAACAATATAGAGCAGAAAGTTAAATATTTTATGGTTCATATGTGAAAAAGTAATTATGTTTATAAATAGACTAACTGCTGGATGTTACCACCAAGTAAGAAAGCAACAGGTAAGATAGGCTTTCTCTCTCCCTATACCAAGTAATTTATACCTACACAGATTGGGCAATTCTAGCTAATGAAAATATACTTAAAAGTATTTCTTAGGCCGGGCATGGTGGCTCACACCTGTAATCCCAGCACTTTGGGAGGCCGAGGCGGGCGGATCACCTGAAGTCAGGAGTTTGAGACCAGCCTGACCAACATGATGAAACCTCGATTCTACTAAAAATACAAAAATTAGCCAGGTGTGGTGGCATGTGCCTGTAATCCCAGCTACTCAGGAGGCTGAGACAGGAGAATTGCTTGAACCTGGGAAGCAGACGCTGCAGTGAGCTGAGATTGTGCCATTGCATTCCAGCCCGGGCAACAAGAGCGAAATTCCGTCTCAAAAAAAAAAAAAAAAAAAAAAAAAGTATTATTCTCCAAGAAAAAGGTCCTTAAGAAAAAATTGAGATCAAGTTGTTAGATTTTTAAATACTGAAGATTGCAGGCCCAATTACCCATCTTACACAAACCATAGGGGTTGAAGTTATCTTAATATGGCCCAGCCATCACTGGTAATCAATATTCATATCAGTGTAAGTAAAAAGAAATATTCACTGAACAACGCCCTCCAAACTGAAAAAGAATGCAGTGTTCTGGCATCAGGTTATAGTCACTGCATCTGGTTTTCATCACTACATATTCTACACACACTGGGAAGCTCTGACAACTTATTCCCTGCTATTATCAACTAAAGATCACCCTTTCTACTGCTGTCTCTGGAGCAGGAGCTGGCAAACTATGGCCTGCTGTCTGTTTTTGTACAGTTTTACTGAAACACAGCCATGCCCATTTGTTTACTCATTGTCTATGGTTGCTTTCATGCCCTCACAGCAAAGGCGAGTAGTTGTGATGGATCAAATGGCCCACAAAGCCTGAAATATTTACTCTTTGACCCTTTACAGAAAAAAACCTTGTTGACCCCTGCTTTAGAGAATGAGAAGCCATGCAGGGATCAGTGATGCCAGAGGAAGGGAAGGAACTGCTTCCAGCTATTGTGACAATAATAATAATAATAATATTGGGTCTTTGACTAGAACGTGTAACATTTCCAGGTGTTCTCACTTGTGCTTCCCATGTTTATCTTACGGAAGGTCATTCCATCAAGCTTATGGTCACTGTCCCTTCATGGCAGTTGGTCCTTTCGTTCTCCCTTTAGCTCTAAGAGTTGGGGAGTACCCACAGGTGAGCTGTGATCTCAGCTCAGAGAGAGAGCATGAGGTCTTTTTTAACTGTCAGGAAACAGAGCTGTGCCCAATTCCACTCAACTTTTGGCACAACTGTTAATCTGGGCCTTCACCTACCTTAAACTGAGTTTCTGCAAGCATAGCATTTTAGACACCCTGGAATAACCTTTTGGGAATGATGCCACAGAATAAAGTTCACTCTTAACTTTTCAATTTCCTTGGCCAGCTGTCCTCCGTAAGTGAATAAGCCTGTTGAAAGACTCAGAGAAAGTACTATGTCTTGTCATTTGTTCTGAGATTAAGCTCAAAAAAACAGATGAAGAAATCCCAGTTACTACAACCAAAGAGATTCAACATTTATTTTATCATAAAAGTTCAGCAAATAAAACTATATACAAGATCCATGCAAGGAATCCAGTTACACACAAGACACATTTAAAACCTGGTTAAAACACAATCTCCACGATAGCAGGGAATAAAACCAGTAAGACCAAGTATCTTTAGTGAGAAACATAATCGTGTTTATATTTTGGATGCTGCTTGAATCCAATTCTCTCCCCAACAATGAGGCACTGGATCACCCACTCTTGTGACACCACAGGCAGCTGCAATGCTTCAGCACACTTCAGCACCGAGGCTGGGCATGAGGGGTCCGTCACCACCACATCAAATACCCCTAAAGCAATATCTGCAAGGAGCAAGGGAAAGTGAAGAAGGAAAGGACACTCAACTTAGCCCTCCATTAGAAAGAGAGATTTGATTCTAACCAATACATCCCACTCTGCACAAACCAAAGCCCTATTATGTCAAACACACTGCTACTGATCATGACCAAAGGCAGAGTTATAATCACTATGTGCTGACCTTGTAGAAATATTTAACAAATATACGTCCAGTGCTTCACTTATGTTGACTCACCTCTTGAAGGTGGTACTTTTCTTCTCTAAGAAACATGGATACGGTCAACCTATTAGGCCTGAGCCTTGGACCACAAGGCCTAACACCTACAGGTCTAAGGAGATCCCTGGAACAAAGACACTACACACACTCTTTCAGGTACCTTTGTTATGGGCACTTGAATGGTGCTGCTTCACAGAGGCTGCACCACCAGTCATGAGGATCTCAGACCAGAGCTCCAGGAAGTTCTGCTGTTGGTCTGATACCAAGAGTACCTTCAGATTCTGGAAAGGATTTTCACGGGGTTGCCTATGAAGGAGACAGGAAAGGACCTTAGCATGACAAGTAATATCCAACAAACTGCCTTTCTGCAAAGGGACTCATGTACATCTGAATGCTTTCAAAAATAAATGCCCCATCAGACATAGTGTCTCAAGCCTGTAATCCCAGCACTTTGGGAGGCTGTCGTGGTTGGATCTCTTGGGCCTGGGAGTTCGAGACCAGCCTGGGCAATGTGGTGAGACCCCATCTCTACAAAAGACAACAAAAAAATTAGCTGGGTGTGGTGGCGAGTGCCTGTAGTCCCAGCAGCTTGGGAGGCTGAGGTAGGGGGATCACTTCAGCCTGGGAGGTTGAGGCTGCAGTAAGTCGTCACTGCGCCACTGTACTCCAGCCTAGGTGACAGAGCAAGACTTCATCTTAAAAAACTAAGCCCTATATTAGGGTCCCCCTTCTCTTCCTTCTTTCTATGAATGATCTGTATTCCTTGCATTCCTGGCTTTCTAATTTCCATGTTTGTTCTGGGGCTGAGAATAATCCAAATCATGCTCCTGAGCCTATATATTTTTAATGCTTGCTTAAAACTTAGTTCTCTGACTTTACAGGTTGAGAATATTGAACCTATATACAAATCTTCACACATTTGCAAAAGGTTCCTAGCCAATGTAACCTAGGGAAATAAACTAGATAAACTCCTGAAGTCATTTCAAACCCACTCAAATTTATCCCACAGACATTCCAATTTCTAGAAAGCTTTACTCTCTCACCTAGATTCTCTTCCCTCCAAAGCTTGCTGTCCTCCTGCCTATACAATTCTGGATGGGCTTCAAATACTTACCAGTCCAGAATTCTTTGCTCCTCAAGGCTGTACCCAGCTGGCAACAGATAATTACGGTAGTTCTGGAGCTGGTTGGCATGGCAACTATCATGGACCCAGACATGAGACACACAAGGAATCCCACTGGCAAGGCACAGGAAGTACTTCCGGGTTCGACAATGCTGATCCGCAATTAGAAGACACTGGTAAGCTGTGTTACACTGCAAGAAAAGAAGCAGAGCCAATGGGTTTGGTGACTTCTGTGGAAAGCTCCTAAGCAGCAGCCATAATGAGCCATGAAGAGCAGATCTGAAGACTCCCAACTACTACCCAAAATGTGATTTAGTCTATCCTGCCCAAGGCCACTCTTCTCACTGGAAGGCCCAAGTAATTTCCATAGATGTTCTCTCTGCCTCACCTGCAGCATACTGAGGACCTAAATCCTCAACGGACAACCAAAACCTATGAACTCAGCCTTTCAGGCTAAAAATCAGCAACCCTAATAGGGGTTTCTACTACTAAACATAAACATCAATCTTCTTTTGTCCCAGCAACAGAACCATAGCCATTAACTAACCCAAGGTCCTACCTTCTCTTCCCTATACACAACAAAAATTCTATTTCATGCAAAAACATTTTGGCAGTTTCTCAGTTCCTGAAATCTCTGGCTACTTTATCCAGGTTCCCCAACCCCTCCCAGGCCTCTTCTCAACACAGCAAGTTGGCTCTTATCATTGCCACTATATTAGGTTACACAAAGAAACTCCTCACCTGGGCTTCATTGAAATCTTCAAGGATATAGCCAGCTCCTGCTCGAAGCTGGGATTCTGTATACTGCTTGTTGAAAGGAGGAATTTCCAAAAATTCTATATTAAAAAAAAAAACCAAGATAATAATTACTGAGTGGTTTTCTTATTTGCTACCTTATGCCTCCTTCTTACTGCCCCCTTTTCCACTCCCCAGCTATCCACAACAGTGTGTCCCCAAAGACAGGCCAAGGGCTTCCCCATGGGTCAGAAAGAGATCTTGAGGCCTTTAAAATGCTGCCAAAAGAAGGGACAAGAGTAGGAGGGAATGGGAAGATGAGGACTGGAGGTAGGTCCTAGACCTAAAAACATCAAAGGTTCCTGCACCGGACCGTTGATAGGGATGGGAACACAATCATTTCCCACAGTGACATATTCCAACTTGAATAACCCTTACCATCAGGAAGTTCCCTTTGTGTCTATCCTAAATCTTTCCTGTTGAAAACTAAACCCCATTTCCTCTAGTTCTGCCTTCTGTGGAGATGAATAGCTGATGAACACTTTATAAGTTATATATGAAGGGTTTATTATAAACCACTGCATCAGCCTTTTTACCCCCTTGTACAACTAAAACTTTAATAAACCAGAATGCTCAATGAAATATGGTTTTAAAATTTTAACTGATTAAGTGAAGGTTAGAAAATCCTGTTTCAACCTTTTTATTGAAAACTATCTACCTTTGATGATCTTGAAGTACCTCAGGACACTGAACACCAATGACTGCTCTATAGTCTTGAGAGTGAAGTAGAAGATATGAGAGATGAGGCTGAAGCTGTAATGACCCTAGGCAATTAGAAATTGCTTCTTTTGACCAAATATCTAATTTGAGCTTGTTTTCTTGTCATCTGCTCCTCTCATATATAAATAACACATTAAAAAAAAAAAGAAAAGAAAAGCAAGACATTAGAGATTTTAGTTAATTAGGAGTTTTGGGAAATTAAGTTCTAATTAACTGAAATTTTTATCACAAATTTTAAAACCCAACCCAATCCAGTGCATAAGGTTCAATGCCGGTACCACTCCCCTTCCCCTTCACACCCAGTAGTAAAACTTAGAGCAGATCCCTTATGACGGCTCCCCCTTCAGTGCCCTCGTTGTCTGCTGGAGGAGCTCAGGCACCGCCGAGGCCCCAGGTCAGGGGTCTCCATCTCCACTTAGTTCTGACTAGCCAACCTATTCACTTTTACTGCTCTTTTCTTGATTCAGCATTCTCCACATTCTTCTCAAATTGAAATCCCAAAACAGAAACTCTAAATGGTTATAAGAAACTCAGAATACAGCAGGGCTATTTCTCAGCTTTGTCATAGCACCCTTTTGCTATCTCAATATAGCATGTCACAATCTTCAGCACCAAGATTCTACTGCTGAGTCACTGCCAACACCCCTTACAGTCCTGTATTTTTCTCAAGACTTCTACTTTATGTCTGCTTAATCCAGGACTGGTCTACTTAGATTTTAATCCCTAATTATATTTCCTTAATTTGTCTAATGAAGTATTACCCTGTCTAGGCAGTGTGTTTCTCTAATTTTTCTCAAATAGTCTGGGTTCCAATTTCTTCATTTTTGAGGTATAAGTGCCCTGCCCAGCCAGATGCTAAAATGAATAGGTTGTTAATCGTGCCATCTAAATCAAGTATGAAGGTACTAAATAAACCCAACTCCAGGGTCAATCCCTGTGTCTGAAGGATCTCTGATGGTGTGCCACCCAACAAGATTAGGTACCAAACTTATTAATAAATATATCTCATAAGATGAATTTAAATATTTTACTGAGCTCCTGTTGTAAGCTGGTGTCTAAGAATTCCTATTTATCTGTAACATCTACCAAACAGTTTCTTAAAAACTATAATTCTGTAGAGGATTGTTTTAGTATTAGATGTCTTCCGCCTTCTTGAGATTGAGAAACCCCCAAGCATTCTCATACACTGAAAATATCAAGGATTCTGGTACTGTTGGGCTGCGCCCAAGGATGAAGGCACCAACATAAAGACACATTCACCATAACCACACTGTCTATCAGAAACCTGAAGATCCCTTCAAAAACACTGTCCAAATGCCTCATTTTATTTTTATGAGTACAGTTTTATTACATCTCACGCAGGCACACGGATTTTAATGAAACTGGACAGCCTGCATCTCATACCAGTCAGCTTTCTTGACTATGCTGAACCAAGCAACAAACAAAACATCTATACAGCTGCCTTGTGAAGTCCTGGTTTCAAGTCCAGCAATATTGTAAAAGGGGGAAAAAAAAACCCATGACCATGACCACTGTTTTAATGCCATGACACACCTCTATGCAGAATCCTCAAAAGACTCCCAATTTTCCTGTCCAGGAAACTCTTCAAATACCTTATTCCCACTGTGCCTATCTGATTGTTTGACAAGCTAGGTGTTGCAAACACTGGACCTTGAAATCCCACCACACCACATCTACTCACTCCCACAGCCCAACTCTCCCAAACCAAAGCCTGCCCCTGATCATCCCTTCCATGTCCTTGTACATATCTACACATGGCTGCAGTCGGTGAGATATAGTTTTGGTTAATTAGGAAAGAGTCATCCACACACCTGAAATGCCAACCCTCACAGATGTCCAGTGGTGCAAATTATGACAACCATGTTGCCTAATTCAATTCCCTCTTGCAAGACAACATTAGTCAGAACTCTAACTTGTACAACATCATTCCATCTGGACCTTTAGCCTTTACAGACACATTCAGATACTGCTGTCAGTCACATTTACAGTGTATACATTTATATCTGCTCATTCCCTCTCCTAGATCACTCATTTTTCAGACCTCTACCCACTGCAGCCTTCCTTCAAAAACTAACAGACAACACAGAAATAAATGCAATGTACAGATTTAATTTAAGGTTAAAGAGAGGTATAAGAGTTGAAAAGGCCTAGAAGCTGTTTCTTTGCAATCACCCTGAGGAACCAGGCACCCCACAGTCCCAGTCTTAGACCTCAGGAGAATGAACCTTACCCTCCACATGGGTTTGCTCTAGCAGATGCCCATAGAACGCAAATGGGGAAGATGGCAGGGCATTCAGACCTGATTGACTTGGATGGTTGCAGTAGGCTAAAATGACAGAGCTCTAGTCACAGGTTTGTCATTATTGTGGACAAAAAAAACACAATTATTTAACCTTTAACCTCTCCAAACTTGTTTCCTCATCCATAAAATAGATAAGATCTATCTCCCATCTGCCTCACAGGATTGTTTTCAGGAACCACTCACTGAGAGGAATTTTGTGAAAACAGTCTAGAAACTGTTAAAAAGCAGGATACAGAGTAATTTCTGTGACCAAGATCCCAGTTGCTACTTGCCTTGCCTCCTCTACATACAACAGGGGGACCACCAGCTCATAAGTGACTGGAAAAGAAAGAAGTGCCTATGTGTCAGAGCTCCCAGGGCTTCCTAAGGCCTTACCCTCCTCTTCTTCACTGCTTCCTGTAGGACCATCTGGCAGTTTGGAGCGGCTGGCCAACTTGTCACTGGTTGTGGCCATGGTAAGGAGAAATGCGTAGCCCAGAAACAAGGTCTTGTTGAGAGGCAAAGGCCCTCTCTGCTCTTCCAGGGCAGAGGGTTCACCGGTGTTGTCTCCACTCTCACAGGGGCTCACAAACTCTCCTGCCCCTACTGCACCTGGGAAGGACAGGGGCACAGTTACTAGAGGGATACACACCATTGCCTCAGCAAAAGCCTTAACACCAAAAGGCCCCAGCACCAAGCATGACCTGATGGGCAGGCACTGTCCTGATGAACTTATCTGAGCCAGAAACCAAAGACCATTCCAATGGCCAACCATTCTAAATGGCCGACAGCCTAGGATAAAATTTACAACAAAGAGAAATTTACATATTTAAATTTTACACAGTCATGATAATGTATACAGTGTTTTCATAAATGAAAATTAACCAAGTATTGTTTTCATATAGCCACACCAAATACTTCTGAGGTCATCTGAAGAAAGAGGTGGTTCTAATACAAAGAAATAGTAGGTGAGAGTGAAAAATGTTTGGAAATCTTCAGCCCACTTTCTCTGTCCCGTGCTCTGATTTCCCCCAGGGTATGAGATATTTTGAAGCAGCCTTTGGAAAAAAAAAAAAACCCAACACTTTTTTATTATCAAGAAATGCCCCTTGTAGATAGATCCTCCCACCCCATCACTGACCGTCACCAGAATGGTGCAGAGAATACTTGGTAATAAAGTGTTTTTACACATAGATGGTGCCACATCAAAATAGCCTGCCTCAACTGAATTAGTTTTCAACACCTGGGTAAGTAAGTGAACCAGCCAGCCAGAACACCCATGCCAAGAGTGCCCCCAATAAGTCCTTGAGAAAAAAAACAGATACCTGACCTGGAGAAGCTGAATCGTAGGTTCATTAGGAGGCTAAGATGACAGACAGGTCATGCATGCCTCCCTAAAATAAAACCAGGAGCAAGAAAACAGTCTCAGAGGCAATATGACGTTATATGAACGAGGCTGGAATTAGAAGTGAAGACCACCAAAGTTTGAATCCTGGCTTACTTTGTCATCTTGGGAAAGTTAGCCAACTTTTCTGTGCCTCAAAGTCTTCAACTGGAAAACTCCTTCTAGCACCTATACTTCATAAGGATTGTATGTGAGGTATTATGTGTGAAGTACTGAGTGCTATGCCTCATACAGTAAATATTCAATGAACTATTGTTTTTAAATACCCTGAAACACAGCAGCAGTTGGGTAGATAAGGAGATGACACAATTCAAATACATAGGAAACAAAAGAAGCTCTGGTGCCAGGACAATGTAACAATCAATGGAGTTTCATCAGTTTGCTAGCCTGAGAAAGTTCCAAAAGGGAATAGACTGATTTTACCTCTGTAATCTCCTGAACCCATAGCAGCTGGGCCTGGGTCACAGTAGGGACTCAATGAACAACAGATGGAATGAACTCCTTTCTTAATTATTGAATGCTAGGGACTGGAAAGGGGTTGTTTCGGGGATAATGGGGAGAGGGAAGAGCATACTGAAATATGACTTTTTTTTTTTTTGATGGAGTCTCACTCTGTCACCCAGGATGGAGTGCCGTGGCGTGATCTCGGCTCACTGCAACCTCTGCCTCCCAGGTTCAAATGATTCTACTGCCTCAGCCTCCGGAGAAGCTGGGACTACAGGCATGTGCCACCACTCATAGCTACTTTTTTTGTATTTTTAGTAGAGATGGGGTTTTGCCAGGTTGGCCAGGCTGGTCTTGAACTCCTGACCTCAAGTGATCCCCCAACCTCGGCCTCCCAAAGTGCTGGGACTACAGGTGTGAGCCACCATGCCCAGCCATGTTTCAATAGGAAGTCTGAGAAAGCTAGAGGGCCTAAGCACAAGAGAGAGGGGAGCAGAATTTCCAGGAAGAAGATGGTGCAGGCAAAGAGAAATTACACCTATTTTGAATCTGCTTACATTTCAATACTTCTCCTTTCCCTCCTAGAACCCACACAGTAGTCAAAGAATGGTGTGATCAAGTCCTGGCCTTCTTTTTTTTTTTTTTTTTTTCTGGAGACCAAGTTTCACTCTTGTTGCCCAGGCTGGAGTGCAATGGTGCAATTTCGGCTCACTGCAACCTCCGCCTTCCTGGGTTCAAGCGATTCTCCCACCTCAGCCTCCCCAGTAGCTGGTATTACAGGCGCCCGCCACCACACTCAGCTAATTCTGGCCTTGCTATCTACCCGCACTAGAGTCTGTAGGGGATGGGGGAGGAGGGATACAGTGAGCTGTCCCTGAATATCACCTGTGGGCTTGGGCAGGACCCCGACTTTATAGCAGGACAGAAGGGCCACTGCCACATATTAAGCTCCATTTTTCCAGCAGCTGACCCTGCATTCTGCCATGGTCTGAAGGAAGAATGAGGCAAAAAGGAGCACTTACCAGGTTTTACTGTGGCAGACTTGCGACCTCGCTTGGCAGGGGACCGTTCCTCTTCAGAAGTGATAAGTTTTCTTTTGCCTGAGAGAACTCCCATGGAGGCACGAGGACTTTCTGTGATCTTTCGGGTAGGGGTTGTGCTGCTGCTACTGGAGGCAGTAGGGGTGGCTGGGGAGCTGACGTTACTGCGCCGTTTCCGCTTCCCTTCCACCAAATTGTCTATGGCAGGATAAGCCAAACAGGTTGGTCAAACTCTATGGTATGAGGCCCTGAACTCCAAGAAACTGGGCAGACCCTGATTCAGACACCACAGTGTTCCTTCCCCCACTTCCCATGAGGCCAAGAAGCTTCTTTTTAAGGCCATATTTTTTATCTAGTCTTTGCCATGACTGAAATGTGTTTAGTCCCCTATAGAACTGAGGAGGCCAGAAAAACCCTAAGGACTTTCTGTTTGGTACTAAGAAGGAAACAGGTAAGGCAGCAGCTCTAGAAAATGACAGCTCATCCACCATCTGAGAAGCCACACATAGGAATAATAAAAGTTAGGGAAACATTACTGACAGGTCCAGAATCTCCTCCCACTGTAAGCAGAACAGGAGCCCAAAAGCAGCTGTTCAGGAAGCAAAAGTCTTACCTAAGCTGATATCTGCTGCCTTTGTAAGAGGTGTTACTGCTTCATAGGGGCCAAGCCCATACTGCTCTCTCAGTCTGTTTCCTTGCTCCAAGGACAGGATGACAGCCATTCGCTTATACCACTTTCTTTGGCCTTCTTTTTCAATGCTGTAGTACAGTTCCCCAGACTCCTTCCTATGTCCTTTCACCACTCCTGGGGGGTGGAAAGCATAAAAGAAGCTTGCTGTTGTCTTAGGCTCCTTAGCACCCTCTCACAAGGGCTCTGTAAAGCAGGCCTGAGTTAGGGAATTTAGAGATCCAACAGTGGACTGAAGTTAGGACTTAACAAAATTCCAGTTGTCAATCCCAAACAGTAACACTTAGGATATATGTAGCTACTACACTGGGATTAGGACAAGGAAAGTTTCTTGACAGAAGGTAGCCTTTAGTTATAAAATAAAGCTTCCCAAAGACAGCCATTGTGGATTGCTGGTGGTTCAAATGATTTCCGTGAAGTGAAATGGCATGTGGTTTCCTAACAATTCCATTATAACTTCTAAACATTTCCTTCTTGGTTCCCTGGGAGGCTGAGTAGTAAGTCTTGAGTTAAGCTGTAGGTGAAAAATGACATCATTCTAAGAGAGACAGCATGTGTGTGTTTTCTCTCTGTGTGTGTAGCAAAATTAGAGAGCAAAGAAAGGAAAAAACAGATCCTGCCTCTCCTACCTAATCTTCCTCTCTATTATCTACTTTCCTGCTCTGATTCAAAACCTGATAAGGCCTTTATGTTAAAAGGAACAAAATGTGGGATGTAAAAGGAAACTAAGCTATAATTCAGGAGAACTGAGCCTAGGCCTAATTCTGCTGCCACCAAGCTGTGTGATCTTG
This sequence comes from Homo sapiens, assembly GCF_000001405.40. NCBI lineage: Eukaryota > Metazoa > Chordata > Mammalia > Primates > Hominidae > Homo > Homo sapiens. The sequence goes on from NC_000015.10 coordinate 43,417,091, forward strand.
GGCAGGACCCATTACTAAGCCTGTGAAAAAGAACACTTCTTCCTATCAATGAATAAACAATTTACAACACACACACATACTATAGCTATAGATACACACCCCCCCACCCCCACACACATATACAATACAAAAACAAGGCATTACTATGAATATTTTTTCATTCCTATAAACAGAAGGGTCCAATTTCTTCTCACCCATTAGCCTATGCTTGAATGAAGAGCTAAAAGAAACCCAGAGCCTACCCCACCCAAGGAAAATAACACAGAGAAAGCAAGCCTTGGTTCTCTATCTATCCTGTGGAATCACTCCCTTTTCCCTTACTTGTTCATCTCCTAGCTTAAATCTCTATCCCCAAACTAAGTCACAAAGACTCCCTCAAAAACACAAAGAAGCCCAAGGCCAACAATATACTTCACACTAATGAAGAGCTACTAGAACTAGAAGTAGTCTAGTGTTGACATGAGCAAACAGCCTCAAGAAATGGGACACAGAATCCCCACACCTTGATGCCACAGTTCACTCTTGTTACAGAACTCCGTCTTTAAAAGGCCAAATATGAACCCCTAAGAGTAGCTTTACACCTGAAAGAAGAACGAATGCATTTGATACATACAAACTATGAGTCACAATAAAAGACCCCAATCCATGTGCTACTCCCAACTGATCCCATATATAGCTAACAATGTTATCCAGAACTAGAAGGTGAAGTGGCCCATTTAATAATGAACAAAGGGCAAACAACAATTACTCAGAGGATTCCAAATACAAGAGAAGCCTGGATGGACTCCAACAGAAAGCCATTTTTCCAGCCGGGAGCAGTGGCTCACTACTGTAATCCCAGCACTTTGGGAGGCTGGGGCGGGTGGATGGCTTGAGGTCAGGAATTCAAGACCAGCCTGACCAAGATGGCAAAGCCCTGTCTCTACTAAAAATACAAAGATTAACCAGGTGTTGTGGCATGCACCTGTAATCCCAGCTACTTGGGAGGCTGAGGCAAGAGAATCACTTGAACACCAGAGGCGGAGGTTGCAGTGAGCCAAGATCGTGCCATTGCACTCCAGCCTGGGCGACAGAGCAAGGCTCTGTTTTTAAAAAAAAAAAAAAAAAAAAAAAAATCCATTTTTTGGCTGGGCATGGTGGCTCACGTCTGTAATCCCAGCACTTTGGGAGGCTGAGGCAGGCAGATAAGTTGAGGTTGGGAGTTCGAGACCAGCCTGGCCAATGTGGCGAAACCCCATCTCTACGAAAAACACAAAAAAAAATTAGCCAGGTGTGGTGGTGCGTGCCTGTAAACCCAGCTACTCGGGAGGCTGAGGCACGAGAAACACTTGAACCCAGGAGGCAGAGGTTGCAGTGAGCCAAGATCACGCCACTCACTGCACTCCAGTCTAGGAGGCAGAGTGAAACTGTGTCTCAAAAAAAAAAAAAAAGATAGAAAGAAAGCCATTTTCCCCCATTATATGCCAATCCATGTTCAAAAAGTCCTCAGAAAGATGTTTTTAAATGACAAACTCAACACAAATAGGTATCTTCAAATTATTTCCATAGAAAGGAGACAATATATTCAAAGAACTAGCACATGAAACAATAACAACAAGCATAACCACAAGCATAAACCTCTCACTATCACCAATATTACCTACTTCAAAAATAAAAAGGCACTGTTCTTCAAACCAGAGAATAAGTGGTAGATGTGCAGTCATACAGACACAGCACTAAAAACTTCTCCCTAAGCAAAAATATCTCAATATCACCTACTGGGTTCCAATCAAAGCAGGTAGCTAAGCTTTAAAAAAGAAGAGAGTATGGAAAGGGAAAAACACTAACTTTAGAGAAGGCCACCTGTCCCTCTCTTGCAGTGGCTCACGCCTGCAAACCCAGCATTTTGGGAGGCCAAGGCAGGTAGATCACCTGAGCTCAGGAGTTTGAGACCAGCCTGGCCAATATGGCGAAATGCCATCCCCACTAAAAATACAAAAATTAGCCGGGTCTGGTGGGGCACACCTGTAATCCTAGCTACTCAGGAGACTGAGGCAGGAGACTCACTTGTACCCGGAAGCTAGAGGTTGCAGTGAGCCTAGATTGCGCCACTGCACTCTAGCCTGGGAAACAGAGTGAGTGAGACTGTTTCAAAAAAAAGTGAAGAAATCTGGCAAATACAACCTTAACCAGTGATGAAGATTAACATCCTGCATCAGTGATGTCATGTGGATACATCACAAACCTTCCCAGGTCCTTATATGATAACATGAGAAGGGCATTTCACCTCTGTGGCATATTTTTTTTTAAGAGACAGGGTCTCACTGTTTCCCAGGCTGGAGTGCAGTGTCATGATCATAGCTCACTGTGGACTCAAACTCCTGAGCTTAAGCAATCCGCCTGCCTCATCCTCCTGAGTAGCTACGACAACAAGCATGTGCCCCCATGCCCAGCTAATTTATGTTCCTTTTTTTTTTTTTTTTTTTTTTTTTTTTGAGAGACAGGGTCTCACTATGTTTCAGCCTGGTCTCAAACTCCTGACCTCAAGTGATCCCCCTGCTTTGGCCTCCCAAAGTGCTGGAATTACAGGCATGAGCTACCACACCCACCCATCTATGTGGCATTATTTTTAAAATATCCCATAACTCCAGTCTAATGAGAAAATATTAGACAAATCCAAATGGAGGGACATTCCACAAAATACCTGACCAGGACTCCCCAAAACTGTCAAGGTCATGAAAAACAAAAGACTGAGAAATTGCCACAAATCAGAGCAGACCAAAGGGTATGTGATGACTAAATGCAATGTTGGATGCTGGAAGAGAAAAAGGACATGATGGAAAAGCTAGTGAAATCCAAATAAAGTCTAAAGTTTTGTGAATAGTAATACACCAAGGTTGGATTTTTAGTTTTGACAAACGTCCCATACTAACACCAGATGTCAACAATAGGGAAAGCTGGATGAGGGGTATACAGGAACTCTCTGTACTAGCAGTACTTTGTACTTCGCAAATTTTCTGTAAATCATCTAAAATATTCCAAAATAAGTTTATTCAAAAACAAATGAACAAACAGAAAAGTCAGTGGCAAGAGTAACCAATTTTGTAGGAATGAAATTTCTGACTTTAGAGACACTGGAAAAGTACCAAGTAATGTCTTGGTAACTACTAACATAACAGAGTATTATTGCCCCAAGGCACAAAAAAATCTCTACAAACTCTGCTTCTTTCATTACCTGCACTGAAATACTCATCCTCCGAGAGGGCCGTCACTTCAGTGTCCAGCGGGATGGGGTCACATAACAGAATGTCTTTGCCCAACACATCACATTCGTACCCATCATCAAAGAGCAATTTATACTTCCCAGCTCCGACATCTCGTGTGATTTTCCCAGAGTAAAAGTAGCCATTGGATGACCACTTGGCTACAACACGGAGCCCTACAAAGCTATTTCCTGGAGAGGAGGCATCTAAGCCATCAGAAGGGCCAGCAGCAGCCTGGAAAGGAATTTCTGGAGAGTCACTACGACGCAAAGCACCAGCACCCACATCTGTTCGTCTGGTGGAGTCTGGCACTCGGGGCACGACACGGCTGAAGGATTTATCATCTGGTGACAAGTTAGGTGAAATGTCCTCTATGCCCAAGGGGCCAGGCACAGCTGTTTCTCTAAAGAGAGATAGGGGATAGGAGAAGCCGGTGAGAACAAGAACACAGAAGTATATATCTACCAATTTTTCCACTCCTTTGTCCATGGGTCTCCTCAGCCCATTCTTTAAAAACCCCATCACAGGCATGAGCCTGGTCTCTCTGTGGCCTCACTCTGATCCCTGCCCACTCCCCAGTCAGTATGGCCCCTCTTCTCCCTCCTGACACCCCACAAACTCTCTACTCCCCTCTCCTCCATTCCCTTGTTTTCTGAACAACAGACTAAGTATATCTTACACTACCCAGGTACCTGGTTCCAGTGGTCCGAGAAGGTGGGCGGCCCCTTCGCCCACGCCCACGAGGCGTGACTGGAGCCTTCCCTCCCTGTCTGATGCCAAGGCCTGCATCACCATCCTCCTCACACACTGGCGTCCCTGTCTGACTGACCCCTTTTCTAGGACTAGAGAATGAAGACAAGTTAGTCTGATAGCACCTGCTACTGAATCTTTTCTTCACAAAGTCTCCCCTTGGCCCTCAGACTACATGACAGGCCTACATGTGCTGAGCCTTTGGGGCAGCAGGAAGCTGGTTCACACACCCACCACCAAAATCTCATGCAGGGAGTGGGGAGCGTGGGATAACAAGTAAAGGACATTCTCCTTCATGTAAGTCTATTCCCTCTGACAAAGCTTCCTACTGCTGCTGCAAAAACAGCACACCCAATTTCTGCTATGCCTTCTCCTCTACTTTAGGCTCTGGACACCTGCAAAGAATAACAAAAAGCTAGGAGATGCATTAAGTTTGGGCTACTATCCCAAACTTCCTGTACTCCCAACTAAATCATATAAAGGCTGTGGTAGAAGCAGTGCCCACCAGATGATAAATTCCCGAAAGTCCCCTCCCCTGTTACCTACATTTTCTCAGGGGCTGCTTTGCCAATGAAGTCTACCTGCCACAGGGCTCCACCCTACTTCCCACACAAACCCAAAACAGGAAGAGAGCAAATAGTGAAGAGGGGTAGTTGATTTATCTTTAATGGAGGATGGGGGATTTCCCATTACTCCCCTTTTCCTGTGATATTAAAATGTCAGCAACCCTGCCCCTGCTGTGGCTCTCTCTCTCTGGAGACCCTGTCTGCACCTCAGTTTTCCTGGGCCTCCTCGGGAGCTGGGTAAGGCAAAATCTGCGGGTTCTGTCCCGCTGGTTTTCCCTCTGAGTGGTCCGGCTCCTTTCCCTGAGCTTCCACTGCTGTGCATAGCTGAGAGACTTGTCCCACTTGATGTGCGGTGTAAGCTGGATGCCTTGGAGGAGAAGGAGCTGATATCCCCCAGGTCACCTGAGGAGCCCCCAGTCTGTGAAGGGGAAACTTCAGTTTCACACTCCTGACACTCTACAATTGGCTCTTCAGTCTCCTGCAAGGAAAAAATAGATACAGAAGATAAAAGATGCCATAATAACACAATGCTAATATGATGGTTGGAAAATCCTACAGATGGCACAAAATTATAATTCAAAAAGGTGAGAATCAGGAGACTTTCTGGAATAATGGGAATGTTCTGTATCTGTTTTGAGTAGTGGTTAGATAAAATTTTCAAAAGCCACTGAACTGAACATTTAGGATCTGTTCTTTTTTTTTTCTCCCCCAGGTGATTCTGAGAAGAATTGTTCATTCTAATGGGACTATACTGTATCTCAATAAAATATAAAATAAACATGGTACTATATTGGTAAGAAAGAGTTTATCTTTTTATTGGATAAGTTCACAACCTCTGGCTACCAGCAAAGATTCTAACCTAGACGACAGAAGTAAATTCTTATCTGAGAGAAGACAGGGAAGGAGGTAGGCAGGTGAGAGGAGAAAATGAGTGGTCAGGAGCCCTTCTAGGTACTTCATTAACAGTGGACAGCATTACATGTTTTGACATTGGTTATTTTACATTACCTTTCAATAACTGATCAAGGCAATAGAAAAGTATATGCAAAAATAGGCTAAAAGGGGTCAGGTGTGGTGGCTCACGCCTGTAATCCCAGCACTTTGGGAGGCCAAGGCAGAAGGACTGCTTGAGTCCAGGAGCTTGAGACCACCTTAGGCAACATAGTGAGAACAGGTCTCCATATGAAAATAAAACTATTAGCCAGGCGTGGGAGTGCACACCTGTAGTCCCAGCTACTTGGGAGGCTGAGGTGGGAGGATCACTTGAGCTTGGAAGTCAAGGCTGCAGTGAGCCGGGATCATGCCACTGTACTCCAGCCTAGGTAATAGCATGAGACCCTGTCTCAACAACAACAACAACAAAAAAGGCTAAAATAGTATTACCATTTGGAAAAATGAAGGACAAAAAGGTTATAAGTATCTATAGACTACAAGAAAGTCAAACTGGCTTTATCTCGGATGCCTACTTTGATAAATTGGTAGTAGCTGCCTGGTGCTCAGTTTTAAGAAGCCTTCTGGAGGCTAAATCCCAGACTTAGTGGGAAAAGATTCTAAGACCAATCAGCAATGTTCGCTATGGGCACAGCATAGAGAAATTATAGCATGAGTATGACACATCTGCCTTCCTAGTCTAGAATGTTCACGCAATATTATGTTAATTGCCAGAGAGGATATGGAGATGTATAAGATAGATCCTTCCCTCAAAGAGTTTAGAATTCCTTTTGGGAGGCCAGGCATGGTGGCTCACGCCTGTAATCCCAGCACTTTGGGAGGCAGAGGCAGGTGGATCACTTGAGGTCAGGAGTTCAAGACCAGTCTGGCCATCATGGTGAAACCCCGTCTCTACTAACACAAAAAAAATAGCCGGGCATGGTGGTGCACTCCTGTACTCCCAGGTACTCGAAAAGCTGAGGCAGAAGAATCACATGTGAACCTGGGAGATGGAGCTGCAGTGAGCTAAGATTGTGCCACTGCACTCCAGCCTGGACAACAGAGTGAGACTCCACCTCAAAAAAAAAAAAAAATCCCCATGGGGAGACTGTATATAATGACACACATACATATACATTTAGATAATACTATAAAATGATGAAATAATTATCTCTGATCCCTCCCTTCTTGAAAATCTCTCCTCCTTTAAAATCCATAAAAGTACTTTTCTCTTTCTTTCAGTCTACCTTTTTGGCTACTTCTATTTATGCTTCTTTGGGTTCCTCTTTCTCTGTGTGTTCCTTTAAAATCGGTATTTCCCAGGACTCTGTTTTTATTCCTTTTCTCACTCTCACATGCTTTCCCTGGTCAGTCTCACCACACTCATCCTTACCTCGCTACCAAGAATACAATGATGACTCAGCTTATACAAATTTCTACTAGTCTTCCCCTTGGATTTACCACAAACACCTGAAATTCAACAGATCCAAAACAATCTGTGATCTTCCCTCCATTTCTCTGCCTTCAATGAATAAATCCTAGATATCCCCAGTGCATCTCACATCTCCTACAGCTCTTTCTAGCAGAGACTGGTTTCTTTCAGCCGAACCTCCATTCAAGAATTTTGAGATGAGATACCTCCTTGCTCCCCACTGCCATTTACAGACCATTTCTATTTCCCCACCTCCTCTCCTTCAAAACCACTATTTGCCACTTTCTTAAAACTATCTTCACCCCTTCCCTAGTTGTTATCCACTAACATTCTCCAAATCACCCTCTCTCATGCATGAAGACCTTAGCTTCATAACCTCTCTACCTTCCCCATTCCTACTTCTGTCATCATTCTCAGTGGCCTATTTTAACTAGATACACTTGTGTTTTCACATCTGCAAAATGAGAATAATAACTGGATCTATCACAGAATAGTTGTTAAGAATTAAATAATTCACTAAAGTGCTTAGAATAATGCCTGGCACATAGTATGTGCTCAATAAACGCTAGTCACTATCATTATTTAAGTTTAGTAGTGCTTCCCAAACTATCTTCCATAGGGAAAAAACAGGTATTACTTTAAAAAATGCTAATGGTCATGTAAGTTTGGGAAGTGCTGGGTTAAACAGAATAAAATAGGTATCCTTACTAGAGGACTTCTTAGAACTTTTAATATGGTAATATGTGAATTTTCATGTTAGTGGGGACAGGGATTAATGGCGTGCTATGGTTTGAACGTCTGCCCCTCCAAAACACATGTTGAAATTTAATACCCAATGTAACAGTACCAAGAAGTAAGACCTTTAAGAGGTGATTGAGTCATAAGGGCTCTGCCCTCATGAATGGATTAGTTCATTCATGGATTAACGGAATTACGAGCTAACAGATTAATGAGTTATCACAGGAGTGGGTTAGTTATCACCAGAGTGGGTCTGTTATAAAAACTAATTTGGTTCTCTTTTGTAAGGCCCCTGGCAATGTGATACCCTGTGTTGCCTCGGGACTCTTCAGAGTCCCCTCCAGCAAGAAGGCCCTCACCAGATGTAGCCCCTTGACCTTGGACTTCCCAGCCTCCTAGACTAAGAAATAAATTTCTTTTATTTATAAATTATCCAGTCTCAGGTGTTTAAATATAGCAACAGAAAACAGACTAAGAGAGCGTTTCATGTTTCTCAGGACCATGGAACCTTTTCCCTCCATCAAACTGTCTAAGAGGCCTGCTGTTTCCAGAAATATACTTTAGAAAGCACCATATAAAATACTAAATGGGCCTAGCAGCACAGTAGCTCATGCCTGTAATCCCATTGCCTTGGGAGGCCAAGGCAGGAAGATCACTTGAGAACAGAGTTCAAGACCAGTCTGGGCAACACAGTGAAACCCCATCTCTACAAAAGATACAAAAATTAGCAGATGTGGTAGCGTGTGCCTATGGTCCCAGCTACTCAGAAGGCTGAGGTGGGAGGCTCCCTTGAGCCAGGAGGTCAAGGCTGCAGTGAGCTGTGATCATACCACTGCACTCCAGCCTGGGCAAAAGAGCGAGACCCTGTCTCCAAACATAAAAATAAAAAATATATTTTAAGAAATGAAGTAATGTGTTTAACACTTAATGTAGTGTACTAGGCACAGAGTTTAATGTGGACTACAACAGTTACAAAAATTTTCATGAAGGCAAACTGCTTTTCATAATTTCTCCAAAATAGTAATAACATGAAAAAAGTTCCACGAACAAAAATCTTTTTAAAACATTTTTAATCGGGAGGCTGAGGCAGGCGGATCACGAGGTCAGGAGATCGAGACCATCCTGGCTAACACGGTGAAACCCTGTCTCTACTAAAAATACAAAAAATTAGCCGGGCGCGGTGGCGGGCACCTGTAGTCCCAGCTACTTGGGAGGCTGAGGCAGGAGAATGGCGTGAACCCAGGAGGCGGAGCTTGCAGTGAGCCGAGGTAGCGCCACTGCACCCCAGCCTGGGCCAAAGAGCGAGACTCCGTCTCAAAAAAAAAAAAACAAAAAATATTTTTAAAATGAAGATAAAGCAGTATTTTAAAAGAATTATTTCTGGTATTTGGTATACACAAAGAATAAAAAACAGGCCGGGCGCAGTGGCTCACGCCTGTAATCCCAGCACTTTGGGAGGCCAAGGCAGATCACTTGAGATCAGGAGTTTGAGACCAGCCTGGCCAACATGGTGAAATCCCATCTCTACTACAAACACAAAAATTAGCTGGGCATGGTGGCACACACCTATAATCCCAGCTACTCAGGAGGCTGAGGCAGGAGAATCGCTTGAACCCAGGAGACAGAGGCTCCAGAAGGCCAAGATCAGGCCACTGCACTCCAACCTGGGCAACAGAGTGAGACTCTGTGTCAAAAAAAAAAAAAAAAAAAAAGGAATAAAAAACAATTACTCAATGAGTGTCTGTAAAACCAATGAAATCTGAATAATCTGTGGATAGTAAAACAAACAACAATTCCTCAAACTAACATCAAATGTTATCTGACATGAGGGCCACAATAGCCCACTGAAAAATAGTAATAATATGTTCTATTTAATAAAACTATACACTAGAGTTTAACTCTCCCTGAGTACAACCTCCTACACGGCCAGCAGATAGAATTAAAGGAAAGTATCTGGGTAAAGGAAGAAAACAGTTGTGCCTTGCCGGGCGCGGTGGCTCACACCTCCAATCCCAGCACTTTGGGAGGCCGAGGCCTGAGCACAAGGTCAGGAGTTCAAGACCAGCCTGGCCAAGATGGTGAAACCCCGTCTCTACTAGAAATACAAAAAAAAAAAAAAATTAGCCAGGCACGGTGGCGGGTGCCTGCAATCCCAGCGACTTGGGAGGCCGAGCCAGGAAAATCACTTGAACCAGGAAGGCGGAGGTTGCAGTGAGCTGAGATTGCACCACTGCACTCTAGCCTGGGCAACAGAGCAAGACTCTGCCTCAAAAAAAAAAAAAAAAAAAGAAAATAGCTGTGCCTCTTACCAACCAATAAAATGGTTCCCAGATCTTAACATATACCAACAAAGGTCCCAGATCTTTAATTCTAGAAAATCTGTCTAATCTCTCTCATTATTAGATGTAAACAAAGTCAGCATAGTATGCCATTCAAGATAACAAACAGTCACTAAATGCCAATACTGAGCTGACATTTGTAATGAGTCTATAATGAATCCCACTAAAAAATAAAGGTGCATTTCTTACCAACAGGTCTATGACCACACACAGATAGTGACAAATAAAGAACAGAATGAGTAGACATGAAAATATGTGAGAAAACACAGGTAGTTTGAAACGGAGTGTTCTAAACTCCATTTGAGTTTCTAAGGATTTAAAATAATACATACAATCTTTATACATGAGAGAGATTTATCAGTCTGTTCTTTACAGAAAAGGAAAGCATGATGGGATGCATTAAATAACTAACCAATGGTCAAACAGCAAACCTATGGCTGGGGAAAGCTTTAGAAAGCAGGAAGTCTAACTTCTAACCCTGTTCTTCTATCTCTGGTAATAAAAAGATGAAGAAAAACAAAGTGTTGCACAGGAAAGCGGGATGGGGTAGAAAGTCAAGAGAATTTTTCTATAGAAAGAAATGTGGGGTCAGGGACAATAGCTCATGCCTGTAATCCCAGCACTTTGGGAGGCCAAAGCAGAAGGATCACTTAAGCCTAGGAGTTCAAGATCAGCCTGGGCAACACAGTGGGACCTTGTCCATCCAAAAAATAAACAAAATTAGCCAGGCTTGGTGGTTCATGCCTGTAGAACCAACTGCAAGGGAGGCTGAGGCAGAAGGATCACTTGAGCCTGGGAGGCAGAGGCTGCAGTGAAACAAAATCACGCAACTGCATTCCAGCCTAGGTAACAAAGTAAGACCCTGTCTCCAAAAAAAAAAAAAAAAGAAAGAAAGAAATTTGCCACACAGACTCAGAGTATGTATTACCTCAGTTACTTTTCTTTCTACTTCTGTTCCATCCACATAATACACATCTGTAATGACACGAGTGACAAGTGTGCGTACTTCCCGGATTGTTCTCATGTGACGATGTAAGACATGGCCATGTGGAGGCTGAGGCATATCAAACTCTTCTTCTCCCTGTGACAGAAAATACAGAACATAAGCACAGGTCTCACTGCAAGCTGTCAAAATCACAAATCTTATGCTTCATGATGAGAACTGTTTAGAGGCTCCATGAATCTAGTGTGACAGAATCTTCCTACTGTTTTGTTTTATCCACCTATAGGTAAGACCAGGGATGGATGAGTTATATAGCCAGAGGCTAAGAGAAGTTTATATGAGCATGACCTAATAAAATGACCTATTCTTGTCTAAATCAAAATCATTACATCTAGTACTTGTATTTACGGACATTTAGGTGAACCTTTGACCCCTAAAAGTTCATTATTTTTAAACCGTATTTCTTCTAATTCTGATGCTATCTTGCAAATTAGTAAACGAGTTTACATTTGCAATAGCTCTTTAGATAAAAGGAAGGCACTCTTTAGTCCTTTATATAAAACCAGAATGATGTATCTGTTAATCTCAGTTTATCTGTTTTTCCTGTATTAAAGTGAAAACCACAGTTTATTACCTAAAACAATATACACTGATCTCTCCTAGAATTAAATATAAAATATTTCATCTATTCCAAAGAACAGATTATGACTAAAGAGTTGAGCTAGTGTCCAGAAATGGAAAAATTAGCAAATTAAGATTTTATATCTAGTTCTACTACAAGAATAATGTAGGGCTAAATAAGACCCTACTTTTTATGATAACTATTAAATAATATTACTTAGGAGGATTGAGCTTCTTTCATTCAAAAAACATTAAGCAAATATTTATCGAATAACTTAAGGGTGCCAGGTACTATACTAGACAAATAACTGCTGGAAAATTCAGGACAGGTAAAACTCATTCAACACTGAAAAAATTCAAATGCACTATTTCTTATTTACAAAAATACAACAAACTAATAACAACTACTGCTATTCAAAAGAATAACTGAGTTAACTAACATAGCATCCAGCTTCATTATTTCTTGTTCATAATTTTCTATTTACAGACAGCCCGAGTTCATATTTTAGTCAGATCTGAATAATTTTTAAAAGATAACTTCTTAGCAAATTAGGTCTTAAAGCCCTATTTACCACCTCGAATCATTAGTTAGTTTGAGACTTTCGGCCTTTATTACCTAGGACCTGCCTGTGGCTAAAAAAAAGTGCTAGAATTTCAGTCCTGCATTTCTGAAAAAATACATGTTTTCTAATAACAACTATATCACATTTTTTCACATCTTTATCCTCCCTCCTACACCCCACTAACTCCGTAATTCTGAAGAGAAAATGCACACTTTTGTCTCTCACCTTATCTCCCCTATGGTAGGCTGATTTTACTTTCAGCATTCAGTATCAAAGTAGCCAAGTCTTTAAAAAGAATTACATATACAAATGCAATAATGGTAATTCTGCATTTTTTTCCTGACATGTGGTAGTAATTTACCAAAAGCTTTCAGTAATTTCTCCGAATAATCCCCACTCCAATTCCAACTTGGAAACTGGCAGAGGTGAAATATTTACTAAAATGGAGATATGTAAATTATGTGACTAGTTATAAATAATATCAAAGGCATGAAACGCTACTCATCCAATTATTTAAAATACTTCTACATACTTCTACACAGACACAACTCTGTCTAATGAATGGTTAAAGCACAGGTCTGTCCTACCTCAATCATCAGGGTACCCATGCATGAGAACTATGACAGCCTGTACTTCCTGCCTGCACACACAATCAGACTATTCCGCACTAAAGAGAAAGTCAGTCTAAAAGGTTTCAGTGCTTTACATATTCCTGAAATGCAGCCAAGAAGCTTCCCTGTATTCTTCCAGTTACAACAGCCATATGAATGATCACTTCAAGACAGACACTTAAGCGTGTCTGAGAGAATAAGGAGAAAAGGTAAAGAGGGCAGACAGAAAACTATGTTTACTCACTTCAAATACTCTTCTGAAAAGAGGTGTCTGTAAAATAAATAAATTGATGATCTTACCACCATTAAGGGAAGGAAACAAAATGAAAATAAAACCACACTTTCCCTTCCACCTGGTTCCACGTCCTTTTTGACATATAAATGAAAATTTCAGGAGTGTCAAAGTAGGCTGCCTATGCTTTTCCACTAGCACTAGCCTATGTCCTATCTACACTGAAGGGGATTTTTAAAAAGCACCGACACCTGGAAAACTTGCATACAGCCTTTCTCATTTGCTAACCTCTCTTCAAAAGATGGCACACCAATTTCAATTTCTGTTATTCTATACACCATCTATATATTTTTACTATGGTAAAATCTGCATAACATAAAATATATCATTGTCTTGAACACAATGCTCATATCCCATATGTGCCACAGGTGTTCAATAAATAAGAACTGTATTTTATTTTTACAAAACAAACAACTTGGACAATCAAAATGAGAGGTATATCAATAATGAAGATTTCCTAAGTAGATCCCAAATGAAGATAATCTACCACAGCAACTGAAAAAGCAATTTGACCACTACAATATCTCCTTTATCTGAGGGAGATATGTGCCAAGACCCCCAGTGGATGCCTGAAACTGCAGATAATATCAAACCCTATACACTATGTTTCTTCCTATACATACAGACCTATAATGTTTATAAATCAGGCACAGAAAGATTAATAACTAATAATAAGATAAACTATAACAATATACTGTTCACAATTTCATGGATAGATTTGTTCTTACCACAGATTTTAGTAACTTCAGCATATGATTTTTTTTCTTTCCTTATTAAGACCTTTTACCTTTTCACTTAGAGGAAGCACTTTATGACTTACTTCTCTGGCATATTCAGATTGCCGGCATCACTACTCTCAAACTTTGGGGTGAGAGTAAAACAAGGGTTACTTGAATGCAAGCAATGCAATACCATGAGAGTTGATCTGATAACCAAGACAGCTACTAAGTCATTAACAGGCAGGGAGCATATATAGCATATGGATATGCTAGAAAAAGGGAGGATTCATATCCTAGCCAGGACTAAGAGGGACAGCACTTTATCACATTACTCAGAACAGCACAGTATTTAAACCTTAGTATTTCTAGAATTTTCCATTTAGTATTTCTGGACTGCAGCTGACCATGGGCAACTAAAACCACCAAGAAAAAGAAACCACTGATAAGCAGAGACTACTGTTTACTAGTAACTTCCAAATTTTCTCTGCCATAGATCCCACTCTGCCACTCAATGAAATGTTGTGAACTTCTACGTATTTGTTAACACATACATTTCTACGACTTCTTTTCATCTACTCAATTTTTTTTTTAAGAGACAAGGTCTCACTATGTTGCCCAGTCTAGTCTCAAACTCCTGGGCTCAAGTAATCCTCCCACCTGAGCCTCCAAAAGCGCTGGGATTTCAGGCATGTGCCACCAGGCACAGCCACCTACTTAATTTTTACTAGTACCGACACTTCCCTACTCTATTCCCTGGAACCTGATACTCCTCCAGCCTCGTTTTCATCAGCCCCAATCCTTTTCTTCACATTAGCTTCTAGTCTAGCCTCTCTTCTGCAGTTCTTGGTCACCTGGGGACTTTTCCCCATCTCTCTCTCTATTCCTGTTACCATTCTTTCTGTTTCATATACTGAAATACACTATTCTTCGTGCTGCTTCTTTCCCCCTTACCTTCTACTCTCTGAATTCCTGAGAACCATGATGAAATAGACTTAAGGGAGAGAAAATTAGATCTGATGGTTAGAAGGCAAGATAAAAAGTATGGAGAAGGAAAAGAGTGAATGTAGAAGAGTATTACAGGACCCAGGCAGAATCTCTGGCTTTCTTCTCCAGTAAAGACCTACCTAAAAAACTGTAGCAATACTACATTTTCCCTAAAAGACTATCTAATGGCTATAGCTACCCACAATTTCACTACCATATCTGTATCTTAGAAAAGTTGTTTTTGTCTTTTAACCACTGTTCTGTACAAAACTGTCAAGAATTGTCATTAGGCAGACATGCCACAACTTAAATTCTCTGAGAATCCTGAAAGTTAAAAACAAGGCCTCTGATGCACCCTAGTATGTTCTCTCACCTGGCTATGGAGCGACTCTGTATCATCCCCAGGAGCACTGACTGGTTTCTCACCACTCCCCCTCTCAGTCTGAACTGTGGCATCTTGCTTTCCAAAGTTCTGGTCCACTGTACTGGTCCCCTGCTCACACACATTCTTTATAGTCTGGGTTGCTGCTGAAACAGTTTCTGGGACCCTCAAGGAACACTCCATGGTTTGGATTCCTATGTTATTTTGGCTGGGCCTTTCAATCAAGGCCTTACTAGGATTTTCCTTATTAGTACTCCGTCCTTCTTTCTGGTCTTCTAGCACATCTGTCACCATTGCCTCTCCTTGAGGACTGGATGGCCCTTGTATGACCATCTTCTGGGAAGCAGGAGAAACAGGGTCCTTGACAGGACTAATGGGCTTCATAGGCTGTTGACTCTGCCTGATTGTATGGTCACCCTCCAATTTTTCTTTCTCCTCTTCTCCTTGAGAACTTGGAAAGTGGAGCAAGTTCCCCCTGAAAATGCAACATATAAAGAAGCCATGTCAATTAAGCAAGTGTATGTGTGAACGTGTGTGTGTGCGTGTGCATGTGTGTGTGTAGTGGCAAGGGGGGAGCCATATTTTGACAATTTGAGAAATGTAAGGAAGGGAGAAAGTCAGGTAGTCAAGCATTATCACCTTGGGAGGCCTCTCATTATAATTTCACTCCTGTAAAAAAAATAATGGTAGATAGAACAATTCCACCATGATGATAAAAGAGTCATAAAATTTCTTCCCATCACTAGCTATGAACTCTGAAACTTGATGCAGGAAAATGAAGTAAACAAAAAGATGTAAACCCATTACTGAAGTCATAGACAATGAAGGGCAACTTAGGGATCTATTTTGAAAAAAGATCAATTAAGTCAAGATGTCTTATCTGGCCTTATGATGGTTCTAACATTCCTTAACTGATTCCTAGCATTCTAGATACTGTTTATCCCCACCTGAGCAATATTTTTAGGAAAGAAAATCTGACTTACAAAGGATAAAGCTGTAGGTAGATTCTAGTTTTGTCAGCTATACTGATATATCTACAACTAAACATTTCAGAATGAATTGGTTTCTCAAAGACAGTTCTTAAGATACAGCCCATTTTTTTTCATAAGTCATCCCATTTGGGTATCAGTGATTCGTTCCTTTATTCCACAAGCATTTGCTGAATGTCTCCTACAAACCACATACCACGATTTCCGAAGTGACTAGGAGCTTTCTTAAATATCCCTAACAATTCTCCAGAATAAAAACGTCCAGGCTAACTCCAAGTCAACAGAAATTTGACATTCATGTCTTATCTATCTTTATATTTAAAACACCTAACTCACAGCTTAATATAAAATAGATGCTTAATACATGTACTTTGAACAGAAGACTGAATGTTCTCTGAATCAATTAATTGCAAAATCTACTCAGATTAAATCAACATAATGCAGTTTTAGGCTCCATTACACGCACAATAGCCAGAATAAAAATAAAAGGAATCCATTCTGAACTGACCATGCTAAGACCACATCTGGAATATCTGTTTCAGTTCTCGGCATGACAGTTTACAAGGCATAAACTGTAGATAAACTCAGAAGGTAACATGAAGGACGATAAGGGGCCTAGAAACTATGTCATATGTTGATTTAAGTATGTGGCCAGAAAAAGAGTTAGGGCTGTCTCCTATTTGACAGAAGCTCTTATCCTTAGGATCTCAGCTTTCCTACGTAGACAGGGTAAAGGAAGCAGGAAGTGCTCTTCAGGGATTGCTCTGCTCTAGATCTTGAAGGAAAAGGAAAAAAGAAGTTTCTGAGGTTTCTATATTGTTTAGCTCAGCCTACCAGAACAGGAGCTCAAAGAGGGATTTCAAATAGAGTTCTAGCCAAGAAGAGCTTAGTATAAATTTGGTTGTTATAGTGTGTGTCCTATCTCTCAGGAACCTCAACTGAATGAGAATATATGGTCCAATGAAGAAGAAGTAAGAACAAGACCACCAGGAGACACCTACCATGAGTAGCACTTACCTCTTATGAGGTTTATAAATGTTCATATATGTAAAATATTGAGCATAGCAGATGCTCAATCAATATTAGATGCATAAGACAATGCAATTAAACAGACTCAGTTCACCTTCAATATCAACTAAATATTCATATTTAAATCTTTAAGACATCTAACATACCAATGGCTGAGCAAGAAGGAAAGGATTCAAAAGCCAGAAGAGCCAGGACTCGATTTTAGGAATTCAATTATTGTTGTTTCCTATCCTAAACAAGCTTATAAATTTTATCTCATGCTACAGACTAAATGTCTATGTCCCCTCCACCCCAAGACTTACATTAAATCCTAACCACCAAGGTGATGGTATTAAGAGGCAGAGCCCTCATGAATAGGGTTAGTGCCCTTATAAAAGAGACCTCAGAGAGCTCTCTTGCCCCCAACTGCCATGTGAGAACAGCTGTCTACAAACCAGGAAGCAGGCCCTCACCAGACACCAAATCTGCCAGTGCTTTGATCTAGAACTTCTCAGCCTCCAGAAATGAGAGAAATAAATTCTTTTGTTTATAAGCTATCTAGCCTATGGCAGTTTGTTGCAGCAGCCCAAAGAGACTAAGACACCTCAGAAGCTGTTTATTCAGGTTAGAATACCTGAATTGAATTTTACTTCTACAGCAATCCAATAAATTGTAAGAAGTGCCATACCTCTCTCCCTCTCCATTAGTTCCAGCTATGCAATTCTACTCTGGTCACTATATGCCAGACTTAGAAACTGATGCTAAGAAAGTAAATTTTAGGCTGGGCACAGTGGCTCACACCAGTAATCCCAGCACTTTGGGAAGCCAAGACGGGTGGATCACCTGAGGTGAGGAGTTCGAGACCTGCCTGGCCAACACGGCAAAACCCCGTCTCTACTAAAAATACAAAAAAAATAGCCATGTGTGGTGGCATACACCTGTAGTCCCAGCTACTTGGGAGGCTGAGGCAGGAGAATCCCTCGAACCTGGGAGGTGGAGGTTGCAGTGAGCCAAGATCGCCCTACTGCACTTCCAGCCTGGGTGACACACAGACCAAGACCCCATCTCAAAAAAAAAAAAAAAAAAAAAAAAATCCAAATTGAAATAGGGAAGAATACATCTCCATATTTAACAAATGTCTAACTATTCTATTCTGAGTGTAGCTCTGTTTATGAGGCATCTAGAATCAAATCCAGCTAGATTCCCAGATCTTTGCTCCACCAAGGTTAAACAATATAACCAACATCTTGGCACCTCTATTTTAAAACGCTTTAATAAAAAAGCAAGGCAATACAATGACATCAATAAATTTAGTAATAGCTGGGTCATTACTACACCACTGTTAAAATCACATGATTTCAGGATCATCTGATTCCCAAGAATATCAACAAGCTCACACTTATTCAGAATGCCCATTTAATGCACTGACATATTTATTTTAAATATTTCTTTCAATAATGAGCATAGAAATTTAGAAATTATGCTACCTATTAATTTTTTTTTTTTTAATGGATAAGACATAACTCTCACTCTCTCGCCAGGCTGTAGTGCAGTGGCACCATCTTGGCTCACTGCAACCTCCTCCTCCAGGGTTCAAGTGATTCTCATGCCTTAGCCTCCAGAGTAGCTGAGACTACAAGCGTGGACGACCCTGCCTGGCTAATTTTTGTATTTTTAGTAGAGACAGCGTTTTACCATGTTGGCCAGGCTGGTCACTAACTCCTGGCCTCAAGTGGTCACCCCTCCTCAGCCTCTCAAAGTGCTGGGATTACAGGTGTGAGCCACCCCATCCAGTCTTTTTTTTTTTCTTTAGACAGAGTCTGGCTTTGTCGCCCAGGCTGGAGTACAGTGGCACAATCTCGGCTCACTATAACCTCCACCTCCTGGGCTCGAGCCATTCTCCCACCTCAGCATCCCAAGTAGCTGGGACTACAGGGATGCACCACCACACCTGGCTAATTTTGTACTTTTTGTAGAGACGAAGTTTCACCATGATGCCCAGGCTGGTCTCCAACTCCAGAGCTCAGGCCATCCACCCACCTCGGTCTACCAAAGTGCCACCGCGCCTGGCTAAATCATGCTACTTATATCACTGTTACTGATATACCTACTGACAAAACATTATCACATTGTCTAATTACGAAATCACTGAATTTTAGAGGTGAAAGATACTCACTTCATAATGAAAATACAGGTCCTTTTCCACTGCCATTACTTATTTCTCTACACTAAATATAAGTATCATATATTCCATATAAGATACTATTTATTTATTTATTTATTATTATTTTTTAAGACATGGTCTCACTCTGTTCCCCAGGCTAAAGTGCAGTGGCGAGACCACAGCTCCCTGCAGCCTCGACCACCCAGGTTCAACCAATCATCCCACTTCAGTCTTCCAAGTAGCTGGGACCACAAGCGCATGCCACCACATCCGGCTTTTTTTTTTTTCTTTTTTTTCTTGGTAGAAATAGGGTCTCACTATGTCACCCAGGCTCATCTCAAACTCCTGGCCTCAAGTAATCCTCATGCTTTGGCCTCCAAGTGCTGGGATTACAGGCGTGAGCCACCGTGGCCAGCCGCTTCCTTAATTATTTAAATAGAGATAAAGGCCTGTAACTCAAAACTTTTTTCCTGCCTCACGACTGTTCTAAGAGATTATGGAGTAAAGAAATTATGGGGCTAAGCACAGTTGCTCATATCTGTAATTCTAGCACGTTGGGAAGATGAGGCAGGAGGATCACTTGAGCCCAGGCGTCTGAGACCAGCCTGGGCAACACAGTTGAAAAAAAAGTTGAAAAAAAAAAAAATTAGCCAGACACGGCAGCACATGCCTGTAGTCCTAGCCACTCAGGGGGTTCAGGCAGGAGGATTGCTTGAGCCTAGGAATTTGGGGCTGCCGTGAGCTATTACTGCACCACTGCACCTCAGCCTGGGTGACAGAGTGAGACCCTGTCTCTAAAAAGAAAAAGAAATTATGGAAAAATTAATTCCATTAAGTCTGAAAAACTTTAAATTTGGGATGTTAAACATCTCATATTTTGCTCTGTGGGAAACTAAGGAGAAATAAAAAGTCTGTTAAAAGTAAACATGATTCCCAAAATAAGAAAAACTAATCTAAGAAATGAGGAATTATATAAATTATTTTCACCGTAGGGCACGGTGGCTCACACTTGTATTCCTAACACTTCTGGACGCCAAGGTGGGAGGACTGCTTGATCCCAAGAGTTTGAAACCAGACTGGACAACACAGTGAGAAGCCATCTCTACAAAGAATAGAAAAATTAGCCGGTATGGTGGCGCATGCTTGTGGTCCTAGCTACTTGGGAGGCTGAAGCCCAAGAGGTAAAGGCTTCAGTGAGCCATGTTCACGCCACTTCACTCCAGCCTGGGTGACAGAGTGAGACCCTATCTCAAAATAAATTAATAAATACATTTATGAAGTCAGTCATTTCAAATTGATACAACTGGCAGATAAAGACAAAAATGTGTATCTATAAAATATTTAACAAAATTTCTCATGACAGCTCATCAATCTATCCAGAATACACTATAGTCCCTCAAGGTATAAAAAAATAAGGTAAGCTCAAGCTCACAAAACAGTAGCAGTACATCTTAGTCTGTTTTCTGCTGCTATAACAGAATTCCCACCAGACTGGGAAATTGATAAAGAAAAAGATTTACAGGATTTGGCTCATGGTTCTGAATGCTGAAATGTCCAAGGACATGGCACTAGCATCTAGACGGCCAGCTGGTAAGGGCCTTCTAGCTGCATCGTAACACGGTGGAAAGACATCACATGGTGAGGGTGCATTCAAGAAGGTGGAAAGGGGGCCAAACTGCCCCTTCAGCCTTTTATAATTAACCCATGCTCACGGCAACAGCCTTAATGCATACATATGGGCAGTGCCCCCACGACCTAATTACCTCTTTTTTGTGTATGTGTGGTCAACTTCTGTAGCTTTATACCAATACCACTAATTACCTCTCAACACTGTTGCACTGGGGGTTAAGTTTCCAACACATGCCACATTCAAACCACAGCACAGTACATATTAGGATTTGGGCACTAACC
Source organism: Homo sapiens (assembly GCF_000001405.40). Taxonomy (NCBI): domain Eukaryota; kingdom Metazoa; phylum Chordata; class Mammalia; order Primates; family Hominidae; genus Homo; species Homo sapiens. The sequence continues at coordinate 43,438,275 of NC_000015.10, forward strand.
ATTTTGTGAACCAATGGAGCCCAAAAGATTCTATAAAAATAATGCTTACCTGATGGGTGTGGTGGGGGGATCCTCACTTCGAGCCTCATTCTCTTGCCTGGCTTCACAGATACAGCTCAACACAGACATGGTCTTCTGGGGACTAAGACAATATATTAAAGCAATATATTGTTAACTTTGAAAAGAAAAGTACTTTTGGAGATTATCCTTTTATGCACAGAGGAAATAAAATGCTTTCTCTGCATATCAAACTCCAAACCACCTTACACCAAAATGCAAATTCTCCATACTTGTTTTGAATTAGCATAATTTAAAATTCTCAAGGAAGATTCACTGGAAATAAGGTGGACAGAGGACTGTATTAAATACCATAAAGATGCGATCAGCAAAATCCAGAATGTAGAAAACCATACAACAATCTGTACCTTCAACAAATAATTTGCAAGCAAGAGGCAAAAAAAAAAAAAAAAAAAAAAAAAAAAGACTGGAGGGGTACTCTGTATTTTAAAAGACTTAAAGAGATATAATCAAATGCAATATGCAGACCTTATTTAGATCTTGAGTCAAACTGTAAAACACCATTTATGAGACAATCAGAGAAATCTGAACATTGAATATTTCATGATATTAAGGAACCATTGTCAATTTTTTAAAGTATGATAATAGTAATACGGTTAAGTTTAAAATAAGAATCCTTATCTTTTGGAGACAGCACTGAAGTATTTCAGATAAAATTATATAATGCTGAAATTATCTTCAAAATAATTCAGTAGGGAGGGGGGTGCTGGAAATATAAATGAATCAAGACTGGCCATAAGAAATTTTTGGAACTGGGTGATGAATACATGGCAGTCCATTATACTACTCTCTCTACTTTCGTATATGCTTGAAACCTTCTGTAGTAAAATGATTGAGAAATAAGGTGACAGCAAGTAATTTGAACAGAGTACAGTTACAAACAACACTTAAAAGTTTCATGTACGCTGGGCACGGTGGCTTATACCTGTAATCCTACCACTTTGGGAGGCCAAGCCAGGTGGATCACTTGAGCTTCAGGAGTTAGAGACTAGCCTGGGCAACATGACGAAACCCCATCTCTACTAAAAACACAAAAATTAGCCCCTGGTGGCAGGTGCCTGTAGTCCCAGCACCCTGTGGGGTTGAGGCAGGAGGATCGCTTGAGCCTGGGAGGTCAAGGCTGCAGTGAACTGTGATTGCACCACTGCACTGCAGCCTGGTTGACAAAGTGAGACCCTGTCTCAAACAAACAAACAAAAAATCTCCACCTAAATGCAGATGAACCAAGGACCACTTCCAATATTGTGACAGAGCTTACTTTAGATGATTTGTTAGAGTGAACACAATAGCAAACAAGTCGAATTTTTTTAAATTTAGATTCTTATATAGAAAAATTTATTCACAACAATATCAAAAATTTCATCTCATTCTAGGATCCACCATTCCAACCCTCTGCTCAAAGTTTTTCCTTATTTTCTCCTCTCTACTTTCTACCCTAAGAGTTCTAGAAGCTTCAGCAACATACTCTGTTCCCTCTGAATATGCACAAGTACAGACTAATAACAACTTATTCCTGGCCAAAAATTCTGTTAAAGCCAAATGGACCAGATACACACTCCACTTTCTTCAGCTTCTAAGACTATATATCATTAAGGGATCTTCAAATGAAAAAGGACTCTACGGTACTTATGTTTCAGATTAAATATACTAATAGCCCAATGAGGAACTAATCTCTCTAAGACATAGCTAAGAACAGATCAAAAGACTTTGAAAAAGGTCAGAAACTCACAAGTGAGGTCACATTTAGTCCACAGGCCTCTTTTATTTGATATTTTATTTTTAAAAATCCAGATTTCTTTCTAAAAACAAAGATGTGGCAACAAGAAGTTTGCAGTTTCACATGACAACTACTGGCTGGAGTTGAGTGGGGCACACCCTTTCACATGGACCATACATTCAGTTTGCCATTGTCCTCAACACTCTGTCTTGCGGGCGGATCACGAGGTCAGGAGATCGAGACCATCCTGGCTAACACGGTGAAACCCCGTCTCCACTAAAAATACAAAAAAAAAATTAGCCAGGCGTGGTGGCTGGCACCTGTAGTCCCAGCTACTTGGGAGGCTGAGGCAGGAGAATGGTGTGGACCCGGGAGGCGGAGCTTGCAGTGAGCGGAGATCGTGCCACTGCACTCCAGCCTGGATGACAGAGTGAGACTCCGTCTCAAAAAAAAAAACAAAAAAAAAACACTCTGTCTTGTACCTAGCCACTTTAGTTATTAACAGTACCCGCCTAGCCTCTAATTTAAGAATTCTTGGTGGGGCATGGTAGCTCACATCTGTAATCCTAGCACTTTGGGAAGTCAAGGCAGGTGGATCACTTGAGCCCAGGAGTTCAAGGCCAGCCTGGGCAACATAGTAAAATCCTCATCTCTACAAAAAATACAAAAATTAGCCAGATGAGGTGGTACATGCCTGTAGCCCCAGCTACTCAGGTGGCTGAGGCAGGAGGATAGCTGGAGGTCAGGATGTTGAGGTCACAGTGAGCCATGATCTCACCACCGCACTCCAGCCTGGGCAACAGAGCAAGATTCTGTCTCAAAAAATAAAAAAGAAAATAAAAGAAGAATTCTTGCCTATGTTTCACCAACTGCTATTAGCGTTTTCAGGCTGGATGACTCATGCCTGAAACAATTGTATTCTCACAGCCACCAGATGGCAAAGCTTACCAACCAAAACCTCAGTATGGGGTCATACTCGTCCTCAAAGCATTACAACATCCATGACAAAGCAAAAATAACAGCTCAACATAGTAGTTAATTTGGCAGGCAGAAGAGAAAATGACCTGAGGCTGCAGCTGAGTATGCGATTGCAGAAGGAACAAGGTCTGTAGCTATCTCTTGTTAATCCTTCTTTTTCTCATCAATTGGATCAACAATCCTGAGATTGTGGAGACTCTTGTATCAGCAACAGAAAAAAGGGGGGAAAGGAACTCTCACATGAACAAAAGTAAAGACATTTCAATTATCTTAGTTCTAGGTGTAGAAAAAAGCTTCACTGAACTTAAAAAAGTATTAACTAAAAAGTCTATGATCCATTCAAAACATTGCTAAATCCTTTATGAAAGAGTCTCATTTTAACTTTCTCATTTTAACTTTTTTCCTTTGTTGATAAACCATCTACCCTCATCACCAGTAGCTGTGTATTAAACTCTAAATAGCATCCAGCTTTGGTTACCTGGCAACAGACTCAGCAACAGCAGTAGATCCATTTTTTCTTTCACCAGTTGCAGGCTCTGAATAAAAACAAAACCAAGGAGAGAAAGGAAAGAGAAACAGAATTTAGTTAGTATCACACCTAAACCTTCACTCTGCTCTACTAGTATTTGCAAAAAATAACAAAAAGAAATAAAAATAAGTAAAACTAGTAAGTATAAACATACAAACATTTCTTGTAATTTTATTTATTTATTTCTTTATTTTGAGACAGTCTCACTCTATCACCCAAGCTGGAGGGCAGTAGCGTGATCTCAGCTCACTGCAACCTCCGCCTCCTGGGTTCAAGCGATCTCCTGCCTCAACCTCCCGAGTAGCTGGGACTACAGGCATGCGCCACCACGTCCAGCTAATTTTTTGTATTTTTTAGGAAAGACAGGGTTTTGCCAAGTTTCCCAAGCTGGTCTCAAACTCCTGAAATCAAGTGATCTGCCAGATTTCTTGTTTTTTGTTTGTTTGTTTTGAGACAACAGTCTCGCTCTGTCACCCAGGCTGCAGTGCAGGCCAGATTTGTTTTAATTTTTTTTTTTTTTTTTTTTTGAGACAGAGTCTCACTCTGTCGCCCAGGCTGGAGTGCAGTGGCGCAATCTCGGCTCACTGCAAGCTCTGCCTCCCGGGTTCACGCCATTCTCCTGCCTCAGCCTCCCCAGCAGCTGAAACTACAGGTGCCCGCCACCACGCCCGGCTAATTTTTTTGTATTTTTAGTCGAGACGGGGTTTCACCGTGTTAGCCAGGATGGTCTCAATCTCCTGACCTCGTGATCCGCCCGCCTCGGTCTCCCAAAGTGCTGGGATTACAGGCAAGAGCCACTGTGCCCGGCTGGCTATTTCTTGTAATTTAATGGTACAAGTTTTTCTCACTTCCACCAATCAATTTTCTTTCAAACTTCCTATAAAAGACTAATAAGATTGGCAAGAAATACAATACAATGAGTAACTTTTTTTTTTTTTGGAGACAGAGTCTTACTCCGTTGCCCAGGCTAGAGTGCAGCGGCGTAATCTCGACTTGCTGCAACCTGTGTCTCCTGGGTTCAAGCGATTCTCATGCCTCACCCTCCTGAGTAGCTGGGATTACAGGTGTGCACCACCACACCCAGCTAATTTTTGTATTTTTAGTAGAGATGGGGTTTCACCATGTTGACCAGGCTGGTCTCAAACTTCCGACCTCAGGTGATTCACCCGCCTCAGGTTCCCAAAGTGTGCTGGGATTACACATACGAGCTACGACACCTAGCCCTTAGCAGTAATATTCTTTTTTTTTTTTTTTTTTTTTTTTTTTGGAGACAGAATCTCACTCTGTTGCTCAGGCTGGAGTGCAGTGGCATGATCTCAGCTCACTGCAACCTCCGCCTCTCGGGTTCAAGAGATTCTGCTGCCTTAGCCTCCCGAGTAGCTGGGATTACAGGTACCTGCCACCATGTCCGGCTAATTTTTATATTTTTAGTAGAGATGGGGTTTCACCATCTTGGCCAGGCTGGTCTCGAACTCCTGACCTCAGGTGATCCACCCACCTCAGCCTCCCAAAGTGCTGGGATTACAGGCATGAGCCACCACACCCGGCCAGCAGTAACATTCTTAAATGAAAATTAAACTTCTGAATCCAAATTCATCTCTGCCCATATAAGAAGTTAAAAAAGTATGTAATAATACAAAATTAAAAACCAAAAACTTTTTAAAATTTATATCATATTAAAAACAAATTAAAAATAAAAGAACTTAATAAAATAAGTAGAAAATATTTTAGGTTGATGAACTAATTTTAAATAGTTTTTAGAGCACCCACAAATAGAAGGTACCCAAGTTCTTCCCAAAGTGCTTTAGGACAGACACTTCAAAAACAAAGGGTGGCCAGGCACGGTGGCTCACTCATGTAATCCCAATACTTTGAGAGGCCAAGGCAGGAGGATCGCTTGAGCCCAGGAGTTCAACACCAGCCTGGCTAACATGGCGAAGCCCCATCTCTATAATAAATACAAAAATTAACCAGGCATGGGTGGTGGGCGTGCCTGTAGTCCCACCTACTCAGGGGGCTAAGATGGGAGGATCGCTTGAGCCTGGGAGATGGAGGCTGCAGTGAGCTGAGATCACCCCATTGCACTCCAGCCTGGGTGACAGGGAGAAGCCCTGTCTCAACAACAATAACAACAAAAAGAAACAAAAAGGACATTTTCAAGAACATGCAGCAACAGATTAAAGGTCGTACTGAAAAAAATCCCATATTCTCACAACAATGTCACTAATTTCAAGGGATTAAAATTTGTTCATTTACAATTTATACCAGCCTTAGAGAAAACAACCCTTAAATGGTTTTTAATTATTTCTAAAATATTCATGACCCAACATAATCTAAACAGTCCATCAGGGAGGCAGCTGAAATTCAGTTGGAGCCCTGGCTCTGAAATAGAAACCTGGCTCACACCCTGGCTATTGCACTTAATAGTCCAACCTAGGAGTAAACTACTTTGTCATTTTGAGTCTCAGTGTCCTCCTCTATAAGATAAAAACACAACAAACCTAAAAAGTTTGTTGTAAGGATGAAATGATGTAAGTAACACTGAATACAGTCCTTGATACTATGCTCCTGGTATTAGGAAAGGTAGTAAAATTTACTGATATAACCATCCTTAACACTTCGCTAGTTGTAATTTCAGATCCAAAGGTAAAGTAAGATTTAAGGCTATCACATACTCTCTCTCTTGACAAACCCTTTTTAAAATTTTTATTTTTGAGATGAGATGTCACTATGTTGCCCAGGCTGGTCTTGTACTTCTGGGTTTAAGCACACCTCCCACCTCAGCCTCTGGCATTGCTGGGATTATAGAAGCGCACCAACCACCATGCCTGGCAATAAGCCCTTATTTATTCCGGAAAAGATGATAGTAAGGATGGAACCATGTAATACTTTAACTCAGTCTACTGAGTTGCTAAGATTCAAATCAGTAAGTACCACAGCATCAAAGATTTGGAACCAGACTTCCTGGATTTGTATCCCGGCTACTCCATTTACTAGCTATGTTTAGGGAAGGCGCTCAACCTTCCTGTGCCTCAGTTTCCTCATCTGTAAAAGGAGGATAATAATAGGATCTAGTTCATCGGCTTCTTATGAGATTTAATGAGCTATACATGTGAAGTACCTGGTATACAGTAAGAGCTAAAAATGTATTAGCTAAAATTACTTTTCTCTGGTCTCAGGGAAGAAGAAGTCCTGCTTATCCAACCTATTCTGTGTAGTCTTCAATAGCTTCCCCTCCCAACTTCTTCAGGGCCTTAATTCATCAACTGTTTCCCCCAATTCCCTCGTCTTTAATCTATGCCTCCCTCTTTTGGATCCTTCCTTAACCCATTTATGCTGGAGGTTGCAAATTTTTTTTTGTGAAAAATCAGACCTTGGTGATGACCTTGAGCAGCAGGATATAAATAACTCCCGCAAGCTTAGTGTTCCAATAGTGGAACACTAGGCATAAATGGGTTAAAATCTGTAAACTTGCTCAGGCCTCTCCCAGCCTAAAATAACAAATCCTCTCTCAACCCTGCATTTCCCTCTAACTCACCATATTTTCTCTTCTTCTCTCACATAAACTTCTCAAAAGTAGAGAGTACATTTGCAGCCTCATCTCCTCTTCCTCATCCTTCCTCAATTACTTTCAGTATAGCTCCCACCCCAACTGCTGCACTGAAATGGCTCTTGCTAGAGTCACCAAATGGATCCTAATTGCCTCGCCGAAGTCAAAGTATATTTCCAGACACATCTTACTAAACTTGCTCCTGTGCCTGACATGATCTTCTTGTAACTCCCCTCCCCATAGGCTTCCATGGCTTCATATACCCTCCTAGTTCTCCTTCTCTCTGAACGTTCCTTTATAATCTCCTTTATGAGATTTCTTCCTCTTCTAATCCCCCTTAAACAGCTTTTACAAATTACCTGAAATGAAAAAATTATAAGCTTCAGAGTTAGGTCTGACTCAAATTCCAACTCCACCTAGCACCAATTATTGTGACCTTAGACATGTAACTTAAAAACCTCTCTTACTCTGTTTTCTCATCAATAAAATGAAAATGCAGATACCTACTTGGGAGTACTATTATGGAAATGAGATCATACAGTATATGTGAAGAGTCATTCTCTCTTTTTTTCCTCCCCCTTACTTCCATATTCACCTGGCACCATCGTTCTGCCTACTCGCTCCTCAAATTCATCCCTCATCTCCAGCCCCACTACCAATGACCTCACTTTCTGGTTAAAGACTGGGTAGAATTTACCAGGCAGGAGAACAGAATATGGGAAATGCAAGGAAAGGAATCATCATGCACAAAAGCACAAGGTTTTGAAAGACTCAGCTGATGCTTTTTTTTAAAGGCAAATCTGATCATATTACTCCCTTGCCTAAAATTCTTCGGCTTCTCAGCATGATGTAAAAAGCCTTTCAGCATCTGGTCCCTACTTTGCATCCCTCCCTTGTATCTTCTCTTTATTCTAGCCCTACCAAACAACTTCTAATTCATGTGGGAAAGAATCAACATTAATCTGCAATGTGAATCCACAGTCCTAAAGTTTTCTACCCTATTCTGAAGTCTTTCTGAATAGGGAAACCAATTACATAGGAACAGACTTAACAGAAACAAGCTATAATATGGAGATTATAAAACAGAGTATCTTTAGTAACATGACAGGCTGGCCAAAAGCAAAGAATTAAATCTATGAGTGTAAGACTTTACAAATACATTTATAAATATAGAAGTATCAATTATTATAACTAGATTATAATCAATACTCCCCAGATAATCTGCAGCTACTAATTACCCAAGATTAACATAAAACTTACTTTCCAGGTTGAACTGCAAAGACTCTTCACTCGCCTCAGTCTCAGGACTAACCAGTTTCATTCTTAGACATAATTTATCATCCACGTCTGGGGCAGCCCCAGAATCCCCTTTTCCACTCCCAAGTATGGGATCATGGGTCTCCACCATGCTTTCAGACATGACATCACTGGTTGCTATGGTGCTTTCTGGATAGTTGCTAATACCTGAAAGAAGTGAGGCAGGGAGGAAGAAAAAAAGAACACTAAAATACAAACACAAAAAACAGCAATTCAAGGTCATCAATTTGCCTGTTTGGCTCCACAGCTCTGCAGGATTGAAGGAGGTTCCTAGGATAGATCCCTGTCATAAGTATCAACAACTACGAACTAGTATTGACACCTGGTCTTAAGAGGAGCAACAGGATTCAGTTCCACTTCTGCATCTGGACAAAGGATGCTGCATGAGCCCTCAGCCAACCCACATCTGCCAGCATCAGGCATAGGTAGCAGGAGACTCCAGACGGCATGATTGTTACCTCCCAGCACTGACTAGAGAAAACAAATAGGTTAATGTAGAAGACTACTGGCTGCTTCAGGGAAGGAGGATCTAAGTTTTCTTGCCCTGTCAAGCAGCAGACTGACTAATTAGCCAAGGTACTGAATAAATAGTACTTCTACCTTACTTCCTGTTCCATCCTTATAAAACATCTCTACATCACTACTTAGCACTCAGATTCTACTGCCTTGCAAGTAATAAGATAAAATTCTTTTAAGTATTCTCTTTCTTTCTTACTTCCCTCCACCCTTTCTTTCCTTCCTCTCTTTACCCCTCATCTCCTAGTAGTAAAATCACAGAACCAGACTTCATAACCCTATTTTCCCTAAAACAAAAATCAACCTTACCAGCCAGACCCAACTCCTCAGATCTAAAATATCACTTGTGTAGAGAATGATATCTCAGAAATTCTGCCTTAAATATCATTACTTTTTATTCACTCACCAATAGGAGTACTGTGTCTCTTGGGCTCCAATTTTAGGTGCCCAATAAGAGGTGGGGTTGCACCAGTCAATGGTGGGATGATATCACCTTCTTTAGGCAAAGTGAAATGAAATGGGGTTTCTGAAAAAAAAAAAAAAAAGAAAAAAGAAAGAAAGAAAAAATGATTTAAAAAAAACAGAAGTATAAAATAAGCAAAAATAATAAGAACTGCAAGAAATATTTCAATCACTCTTTTCCTTTGCTCCCAAATTCTGTCTCATTGCCACCACCCTCACCAGGCCTCCTGACTAACTCCCTTCTATCGTCTCTGCTCTCTTCACAGCCAACAACTATAGTACTGACACAAAGTAGACAACCAGAGGACAGGCAAATTGAGAAAGCCCGAAGTCTGCAAGACCTGAGGAACCTGGAGTCAAATGGAACACAAACATTTGATCTCCAAGACAGTACATCAGGGGATATTTAGCAATACAAATTTGGACAGTTTCAAATCAGAACAACATAATTTTGTGCAATGCTAACCTAAGGAGTTTGTTTATAAGCCTTAATAGTCTGTAGGATTCTCCAAAGCAAAGTTTGAAGTTAATACTTATAATGTACAATCTAATCAAAGAGATGACAGAGGATCTCACGGGTTAAAGGACTTCAAGATACTGACTGGTTCTAGCATAGAAATCCAAGGGTTTCATGGTTCAGCAGTACGGACCAGCATTCACTCTAGGCCTAAGTGTAATGTTCATACCTAAATCTCTGCACAACAGTAAATCCCTCATATATAAGCATCACCAGTGTACACATTTTAGTTATTAAATTATTATAAATAGAAAATATTTGTCAAGACATAAAGCTACTTTCTACCTAGGTCTCAGTTCCAAATTTTTGCTAATCAGAACTAGAAAACCGTCAAAAAATCACATTTTCTAATTTCCTAATTTATCTCTTTTTATAAAATGATACATTTGGGAGAAAATAAGAATTGCGCCAGACTGCCCTCTTAAAACTAATATATGAAAATTTCTTCTTACTTTCCTGGGATGGCTCAAAATAACTATAATCTGGCATACTTGGACACTACTACTTATGAAAGTAGTTTGCTTCTTTCATCTTTTTCCACTCCTATCTTTAATAGCAAGCACCGTGATAATTTTTTCCTTTAAAACAAAACAAAACAAAAAAATTTTTTTTTTTTTTTGAGACGGAGTCTGGCTCTGTCGCCCAGGCTGGAGTGCAGTAGCTCGATCTCGGCTCACTGCCAGCTCCGCCTCCCGGGTTCATGCCATTCTCCTGCCTCAGCCTCCCAAGTAGCTGGGACTACAGGCGCCCTCCATCACGCCCAGCTAATTTTTTGTATTTTTAGTAGAGATGGGGTTTCAAGAGAAAATGAATTAGTAATCTGAGGAGATAAAGAGAGAAAAAGAAATGGTCTTTAGAAATAAAGGATTAAAGTACATATGCTCAGCTAAAGAAACTGTAAAGAGGGGCCAGGTACCATGGCTCATGCCTGTAATCCCAACACTTTGGGAGACGAAGGCGGATGGATCACTTGAGGTCAGAAGTTCGAGACCAGCCTGGCCAAAATAATGAAACCCTGTCTCCACTAAAAATACAAAAATTAGCTGGGTGTAGTGGCAGGTGCCTGTAATCCCAGCTACTCAGGAGGCTGAGGCAGGAGAACTGCTTGAACCTGGGAGGCAGAGGTTGCAGTAAGCCAAGATGGTGCCACCGCACTACAGCCTGGATGACAGAGCGAGACCGTGCCTCAAAAAAACAAAACAAAACAAAACAAAAACAAACCTGTAAACAGTATGGATGAAGAATCTCAACATTACATCTAACTGACAGACATCCACCATAGTTACAGAAAAGAGAAATGGGTCAGGTAGATAAGCATTCATTCTGTGGTAGCCCCTTATAAAGCAAGTTGTTCTAATAAAGAACTTAGAAGAGATACAGAAACTTAAAAAACACCTTGCAAAGCCTCATATATTCCAGACTTCTGAAAATGTGCATGAAATCTTTAAGCAGACCTTTCTATGTGACATACTATATTACGCAAATGCAATATGCAAGCATTAATCGCTGAAAATATATCCCTGTAACAAGGTTTCCTTTGCACAGTATTACATAAAACTTATGGAAAGTAATTTTAGCACCATTTATCTAACTGCATTACTATAACCTAATGGAAAATTCAGACTTTTACAGGCCCTAGGGACAGCACTGCCACTACTCTCCTCAGGTCTCCAATGCCTCATTCCTGGATTATTACCATAGCCTATCAATCACTTCCTCTGCCTAAAGTCTCCCACTCTCCCTAACCCCCATTCTTTCTGCACACTTTCTGCAGCCTTCCTAGAAAACATGGCTTTGTTAGCTCCTGGTCAAAAAACTTCAAGGTTTTCACTAGAAGACAAATTCCCAACTCTATAGTCAGCATTCAACTAACTAGTAGCAGCCTATATCTCCAGTTTTTCTTTAATTATTCACGTTCATAAAGCTTCTATTCAATGTCCTCCAAAGGTTTCCCATTTCTATGCTTTTGTTCCCTCATCTGGAAAACACCACACATCTACTCAAACTATTGCCAAATCCTTAAAAATACATTTGCTGGTATATTTTATCCTTTTAAACTTACGGAATTTTCCACATATTCCATTATTTCTCTAACATTTAGCAATCCTACATTCTTTAAATTATCAAATCCCTTCTTGTTTTTCCAGATAATCATGGGCTATCATGTTGTAGGTCAGCATACCAAACAATAATGAAGGATATGAATGAGGAAACAAAAGGAAACTCAATACTAATTTTGAAACCACCTGAGTGGGAGTATGTGTCCTTTAAGGACTTTAGAGAATAACTCCAAAGCAATATTTAAAACTCTAAATGTTAAGAAGGTCTCTCCTAACTTTCTGTTATAGTTTTAAACCCATTTTTCTTCTTTGTTCTTAAAAGAACTGGTTACCCCTAAGAATTTATTAAAAGCCATCTAGTTAAAAATGTAAGAATTTATATATCCGGCGATATCATGCATGAAGTCTACCCCAAAAGTCTGCCTCTGATATTAATAGCCAATTAAGATGGCATTCTATCAAGTAAGCAAATAAAGGTTATAGCTAGAGCCTAAAACACATCTAGATCCCCTGATCATTATTAACTATTACAGACTATTACTTATGGATTTAAAGACTTACTGAACTCCTTACAGTTTTTCACATCATCAACCCACCAAATATTTGTTCTGTGTTGAACAAGATTGGGCTTCCAAGTACCATCTTGCTTTTTTACAGGTTTAACAGGAGCTCTCCATAGACAGATACTTGAAGAGGTCTCCAAACTGTTAACAGTGACAAGTTATCTATAAATGGAGACATTTAAAGTAATTCTCTCTCTCCCTCTCTGTACTCACTCTCTCTTTTCCTTCCAACTCCCTCTCTCCCCACACCCTCCCCACTCAGAATCTCTACTTTGTATTGTTTGAATGTTTTTCAAAATTAAGCATGCATTATTTATTTACTTATTTATTTGAGACAGGGTCTCGCCCTGTTGCGCAGGCTAAAGTGCAGTGGTGCAATCTCAGCTTACTACAACCTCCGCCTCCCGAGTTCAAGTGATTCTCAAGCCTCAGCCTCCTAAGTAACTGGAATTACGCGTGCACGCCACCATGCCTGGCCAAGCATGTATCTTTTTTTAAAATCAATAAATCTATTAACAACAAAAAAGTGCTCTTCTAATAGTAGATGAACAAATGCAAAACTCACCCAATTCACACCTTTCATTCTGTCTTTTCAGACTGAAGAACCATTACTTTTTTTCTTTTTTTTTTTAATTATTATACTTTAAGTTTTAGGGTACATGTGCACAATGTGCAGGTTAGTCACACACGTATACATGTGCCATGCTGGTGTGCTGCACCCATCAACTCGTCATTTAGCATTAGGTATATCTCTCAATGTTATCCCTCCCCCGTCCCCCCACCCCACAACAGTCCCCAGAGTGTGATGTTCCCCTTCCTGTGTCCATGTGTTCTCATTGTTCTATTCCCATCTATGAGTGAGAACATGCGGTGTTTGGTTTTTTGTCCTTGCGATAGTTTACTGAGAATGATGATTTCCAATTTCATCCATGTCCCTACAAAGGACACGAACTCATCATTTTTTATGGCTGCATAGTATTCCATGGTGTATATGTGCCACATTTTCTTAATCCAGTCTATCATTGTTGGACATTTGGGATGGTTCCAAGTCTTTGCTATTGTGAATAGTGCCGCAATAAACATACGTCTGCATGTGTTTTTATAGCAGCATGATTTATAGTCCTTTGGGTATATACCCAGTAATGGGATGGCTGGGTCAAATGGTATTTCTAGTTCTAGATCCCTGAGGAATCGCCACAGTGACTTCCACAATGGTTGAACTAGTTTACAGTCCCACCAACAGTGTAAAAGTGAAGAACCATTACTTTTTAGATTACTATCATTTAAATTTGGCCAGGCCCAGTGGCTCATACCTGTAATCCCGGCACTTTGAGAGGCCAAGGCAGGTGGATTACTTGAGGCCAGGACTTCGAGACCAGCCTGGCCAACATGGCAAAACCCTGTCTCTACTAAAAATACAAAAATTAGCCAGGCATGGTGACATGTGCCTATAATTCCAGCTACTCAGGAGGCTGAGGCACAAGAATCACTTGAACCTGGGAGGCGGAGGTTGCAGTGAGCCGAGATCATGTCACTGCACTCCAGCCTGGGCGACAGAGCAAGACTCTGTTCCAAAAAAATAAAAATAAAATTAGTCTCTCAACATTTAGCAACTAAACAACTATATTTTTAAGTACAAAATAATATTTTTCTGTTCTTTTTGCAACGCTCTTCTGAATGATTTATTTTATACAATTTTCTAAGTTAAAAACTATTGTTCTCGGCTGAGCACGGTGGCTCATACCTGTAATCCTGGCACTCTGGGAGGCCAAGGTGGGTGGATTGCCTGAATCCAAGAGTTCGAGATCAGCCTGGGCAACATGGCAAAACCCTGTCTCTACAAAAAATCAGCCAAGCATGCTGGTACACGCCTGTAGTCCCGGCTTCTCGGGGCGGGGGGCTGAAGTGGGAGGATCACCTGAGCCCGGGAGGTCAAGGCTGCAGTGAACATTGATGGTGCCACTGCACTCCAGCCTGGGCGACAGAGTGAGACCCTGGCTCAAAAACAAACAAAAAAAAAGACAAAAAGCTATTATTCTCCCTTCATGTTCTAATTTGTAGTTAAAATTATTTTTATTTAACTTCTCCTCATAAATACTATTTTCCAACCACTGTCTTCATTACTTTTTGTTGTTTGCCCAAGAACTAAAATCATGAAATAAACACGAAATCACTAGCATTTTCAATAATCTGGATATTAATGTTAATAAAATAATAAGTTTTACTACGGCAAAAAAAGCTGACTCTGCCAATTAACAATGTAAACAAGAATTCATGAAGAATACTATTAAAATAATAGAATATCTCACTGTTTTAGAAGCTTCTTTTGCATTTAATTTAAAAGTACTCCAGGCCGGGCGCGGTGGCTCACGCCTGTAATCCCAGCACTTTGGGAGGCCGAGGCGGGCGGATCACGAGGTCAGGAGATCGAGACCATCCTGGCTAACACGGTGAAACCCCGTCTCTACTAAAAATACAAAAAATTAGCCGGACGTGGTGGTGGGCGCCTGTAATCCCAGCTACTCGGGAGGCTGACGCAGGAGAATGGCATGAACCCAAGAGGCGGAGCTTGCAGTGAGCCGGGATAGCGCCACTGCAGTCCAGCTTGGGCGAAAAAGTGAGACTCCGTCTCAAAAAAAAAAAAAAAAAAAAAAAAAGTACTCCAAAATAACTATATTAAAACAATCAAAGAGACCTGATATTTTGTTGGCACAGGTCATTAGCAGTATTTAAACATAATACAATTAGAAAAATACTCTACTACAGAATTTTAGGTTATTCACATTGTTCTTCACTACAGCTCTTCAGAATCAAATAATCTGTATTAAGCAGTTTTACAGGAAGAAAAAGCACAGCTGGGATCAGGAGACCTAGGTTCTAGTCTCACCTCTATCATTAACTAGCCAAAAGACGTTAAGAAGAGACTAAATCCAATAACCCCTCACTTCCTTTTTAGCTCTAACATTTCTTATTCTTAAGATAAAAAAAAAGTGCTAAATATAAAAGCTAATAAATAGGGACTTTTTTTTTTTTTGAGGCGGAGTCTCATTCTGTCACCTAAGCTGGAGTGCAGTGATACAATCTCGGCTTCTCGTGCCTCAGCCTCCAGAGTAGCTGGGACTACAGGCACCCGTCATCATTCCAGGCTAATTTTTGTATTTTTAGTAGAGATGAGGTTTCATCATGTTGGCAAGGCTGGTCTCGAACTCCTGATCTCAGGTGACCCGCCCGCCTTGGCTTCTCAAAGTGCTGGGATTACAGGCGTGAGCCACCGCACCCGGCCAATAGGGACAATTTAAAAACTAAAAAAAAAGTACTATTAATAATCACACTTAGACAATGGGTATAAAATGGGACTGTTCTAGGCTGGGTGCAGCGGCTCACGCCTGTAATCCCAGCACTTTGGAGGCCGAGGAAGGCAGATGACGAGGTCAGGAGATTGAAACCATCCTGGCCAGCATGGTGAAACCCCGTCTCTACTAAAAATACAAAAATTAGCTGGGCATGGTGGCATGCACCTGTAGTCCCAGCTACTCGAGAGGCTGAGGCAGGAGAATTGCTTGAACCCGGGAGGCAGAGGTTGCAGTGAGCTGAGATTGCGCCACTGCACTCCAGCCCAGCAACAGAGCAAGACTCCACATCTCAAAAAAAAGGGACTGTTCTACGCAAACCAAAAAATATGGTCACTCATACTATCATATGTAAACCTGCCAAATACTGTTTTTTCATTTCATCCTAAAAACTTGTTTTCTTAAGTTTGTGTCTTGTTATTTTGTTTTTGGAGCTTGATTTTACATTATAATAACTCTTTTTTTTTTTGAGACAGAGTTTCACTCTTGTTGCCCAGGCTGTAGTGCAATGGCGCAATCTCAGCTCATCGCAACCTCCATCTCCCGGGTTCAAGTGATTCTCCTGTCTCAGCCTCCCGAGTAGCTGGGATTATAGGCGCCTGCCAGCACTCCTGGCTAATTTTGTGTTTTTGGTAAAGACAGGGTTTCTCCATGTTGGTCAGGCTAGTCTCAAACTTCCGACCTCAGGCGATCTGCTGGCCTCAGCCTCCCAAAGTGCTGGGATTACAGGCGTGAGCCACCACGCCTGACCTACATTATACTAACTCTAAGGATTCAGAAAGATTGAATTATTTTCAGCTAATGTCATACTCTACAAATTATTTTATTTTATTTTTGGGAAACAGAGTCTCACTCTGTTGCCCAGGCTGCAATGCAGTGGCGTGATCTTGGCTCACTGCAACCTCTGCCTCTCAGGTTCAAGCGATTCTCATGCCTCAGCCTCCCGAGTAGCTGGAACTACTGGTACACACGACACACCTGGCTAATTTTTTGTATTTTAGTGGAGATGGGTTTCACCATGTTAGCCAGGCTGGTCTCAAACTCCTGAGCTCAGGCAATCCGCCCACCTTGGCCTCCCAAAGTGTTAGGATTACAGGCGTGAGCCACTGCACCCAGCCTGTACAAATACTTTAGAAAGTAATCTACGTTTTCATGCTGAATTTCATAAAATAAAGAACAAGAACTAATACATTTTCCAGTTTCAGGTTTAAGAGATATGTATTTTTTGAACTAAGTTTAGAAACTTTACCTAATGCCCATAAAAAGGAAATAACTAATTAATAGGATACTCATCAACAGTTCTGAATGTGATTTTACCACACAGAGTTAATCAAAAAAGATCCTTCTACTTCAAGGCAACTGTCAAAATCTATACACAGAGAGCAAGGATACAATCTAAGTAAAAAAAAAACAGATTGGTACAATTTCTAAATATTTTTTACCAACTAGTCCCGAGTTACAAAGCTGATAAACCTCAAATATCTTTAATTGCACAAATAATTATAGCTATTAAAAAAATACAATCCAGGTTGGGCGTGGTGACTCATCCCTGTAATCCCAGCACTTTGGAAGGCCAAGGCAGGTAGATCACTTGAGTCAGGAGTTCGAGACTAGCCTGGCTAACATGGTGAAACCCCATCTCTACTAAAAATACACAAAAATTAGCCAGATAGTGGCATGAGCCTATAGTCCCAGCTACTTGGGAGGCTGAGGCACGAGAAATCACTTGAACCCGGGAGGTGGAGGTTGCAGGGAGCTGAGACTGCACCACTGTACTCCAGCCTGGGCAACAGAGCGGGACTCTGTCTCAAAAAAAAAAAAAGGCAATCCAAAAAATTTAATTTCCCAATTATTATTGGTTGTTCATAAACATAAACCAAAGATAGTGTTCACTCCTGACATAAGCATGCAGTTCTCGCCAACTTTCCATTCCAGATTATAATTTAGGTGGAGACAAGAATAATCTACAATCACACTCACCACTAGAACTTTCACAGAAGCTTTGTGAGGCATGGGCAGAGGGCTTCCCCAGCTTCTGGGCCTCTGCATCTGAGCTTAGCTGCTTTGCATTAGCCATTTTTGAGTCTTCTGTTAATGAATTACTTGTTTTCTCCTGAGTTTGGGGCTGCTGCAACTCCTGGTCAAGTCTTAAAGGATCATCTGCTCTCACTAAAGGTAAGGAAGGCTGTGAAGAATCTTGCTCTACAGGTTCTGTTTCTGCAGTCCCTGATTTCAGATCTCCTTCATATTCTACACTCTTTTCTTCCTTGGTGTCTAATCTATTCTCAGCACATGGTTCTATTTCTGGAGCAATATCCTCCCATGACTGGGAATCTGAGCACTTCTCCACTCCCTCCAAAGGTTCACAAGAAACATCAACTCTGGGAGATGGCTCTTTCACATCTACAATGACAACACTGGAGTCCTCTGAAGTAGCTTCTTCCCAAGCTTCCTGTTCCTTATGTTCCAATTCTTGGTCAAGTATTGCCAACTTTTGAGGGGAATCAATACTAATCACACTGGTTTCAACTTCCATAGCTTCTGAGCATTCTTTTTTTGGCATTTCCTTTTGAAGACACAACCCTTGGGACTGAGTTTCAGTCAGAGAAAGGTGCAACGGAACACTCTCCATATTTTCTTCTTTGAGTTCCTCTCCTTGACTTTCACAAGGTGTCTCAGGGATTTCTTCCACCTCAGACCCTGAAGACCCCTCCTCTGGATGGTGTTCTTTAATTTCCATAGCTTCCTCCTGATCTAACACACTAGAAAGTGCCTCAGATCGAGTAGCTGGTGACGGAACTGCCTGACTCCCCGAATCACAAGTGAGATCAATACAAACATCTTCTGCTACCGTTTCTTCTCTGCCCTTGCAACCAGTGGCTAAAATACTAATGTCATCCCTGGTGTCTGTATCATCTCCCTTTGTTTTGTCATCATTCTGACTCAGTTGTACTTCACCATCCTGTGCTGGATTCATCAGGATACTATCATTTTCAGCAGGAACAAATTTAGAATTGAGAACTGGAGACATGGGTTCCGTATCCTCAATCTGTGTGTTTTCTCCATCTTCATCAATTCTGTGAGAACTCAAGCTCTCCATCTTTGGGGACTGACTATATTCACTTGTAGAAAGCATCAACTTGCAAGAATCCCCTGTCAAAGATAGCCCAAGATCCTCAGGGGAATTCTTTGGTTCAATCTCTGAAGTTTTAGAACACTCAACTGTCAAAGATGAACTATGCATATCTCCATCTTTCTTCCCATCATTTGATTGTTCTTCCAGACTTGGGGAAGGAATAAAAATGTCCTAAGGAAGAACAGAAAGAGACAAATTGTAATTTGTACATGATCATATATCTTTTATATCGAATCCTTGGATTCATATAAAATTTCTAAAATCAAATTTCTAAATCAAATTTTTAAATTCATATAAAATTTCTAAATCAAATTTAAGAATTAAAGAACTCTAGTATAGCCAGGAGCAGTGGCACATGCTCCAGCCCATTTCAGTTCTCACAAAGTGGGGATACGTACTCATTTTACTTCACGATTTCAAAATGTGCTAGCATTCAACACGGTGAAACCCTGTCTCTACTAAAAATACAAAAAAATCAGCCAGGCGTGGTGGTGGGCACCTGTAATCCCAGCTACTTGGGAGGCTGAGGCAGGAGAATCACTTGAACCTTGGAGGCGGAGGTTGCAGTAAGCCGAGATTGCACCACTGCACTCCAGCCTGGGTGACGGAGTGAGACTCCATCTCAAAAAAAAAAAAAAAAAAAAAAAAAAAAAAAGCTAGCATTCATAAAGCAGGTATTAAAATCCAGTGGCCAGGTGTGGTAGCTCATGCCTATTATCCCAGCATTTTGGGAGGCTGAGGCAGGTATATCACCTGAGGTCAGGAGTTCAAGACCAGCCTGGCCAACATGGCGAAACCCTGTCTCTACCAAAAATACAAGAATTAGCCGGGTGGGGTGGTGCATGGCTGTAATCCCAGCTACTCAAGAAACTGAGGCAGAAGAATGGCTTGAACCGCGGAGGCAGAGGTTGCAGTGAGCCAAGATCGTGTCATTGCACTCCAGTCTGGATTACAGAGCAAGACTCCATCTCAAAAAATAGTAATAATAATACTAATAATAATAAATAAAATCCAAAGCTTACAAAATATCAATAGTCAACAGAGAAATACAAATTAAAATCACAATGAAATACCACTACACGCAACAAAAGCAACTAACATAGGCCAGGCACGGTGGCTCACACCTGTAATCCCAGCACTTTAGTAGGCCAAGGCAGGCGGATCACCTGACGTCAGAAGTTCGAGACCAACCTGGCCAACATGGTGAAACCCCATCTCTACTAAAAATACAAAAATTAGCCGGGCATGGTGGCGTGCACCTGTAGTCCCAGCTACTCACAAGGCTGAGGCAGGAGAATCACTTGAACCCAGGAGGCAGAAGGCAGAGGTTGCAGTGAGCTGAGATCGTGACATTGTACTCCAGCCTGGGCAACAAGTGAGACTATATCTCAAAAAAAAAAAGCAAACTAATGTTAAAATAGTTCACAAAACAGTCAGGCATCGTGGCTCAGCCAGGGATGGTGGCTCACACCTGTAATCCCAGCACTTTGGGGAGGCTGAGGTGGGAAAACTGCTTAAGCCCAGGAGTTCAAGACCAGCCTGGACAACATGGCTACACCCCATGTCTACAGAAACTTTAAAAATTAGCCAGGCATGGTATTGTGTCCCTACAGTCCCAGCTACTCGGGAGGCTGAGGCAGCAGGATCCTTGAGCCACAGGAGTTCAAGGCTGCAGTGAGCTATTATTGTACCACTCACTGTACACTAGCCTGGGTGACAGAGAAAGACTCTGTCCCAAAAAAAGACAAAAAAAAAAAGGTTCACAAAACCCAGGATTAGCAACGATGTTGAACAACTGCAACTCTCGTACATTGCTGCTGGGAATGCAAAATGTTACACCCACTTTGGAAAAACAGTATGGCAGTATCTTATAAAGTTGAACATTCATTACTATATAACCTAGGCATTCTGCTTGTAGGCATTTACCCAAGAAAAATAAAAATATGTGCCCACAGAAAGATGTGCATCCAAATGATCACAGAATTATTATTCGTAAGATGTGCATGCTGGCCAGGCACAGTGGCTCACATTTGTATTCTCAGCACTTTGGGAGGCCAAGACAGGCAGATCTCTTGAGGCCAGGAGTTCGAGGTCAGCCTGGCCAACATGGTGAAATCCCGCCCCTACTAAAAATACAAAAATTAGCTGGGCATGGTGGTGCACACCTGTGATCCCAGCTACCCAGAGGCTGAGGCACGAGAATTGCTTGAACCCAGGAGGCAGAGGTTGCAGTGAGGCAAAATCACGCCACTGCACTCCAGCCTCAGCGACAGAGCGAGAGTCTGTCTCCAAAAAAAAGATGTGCAAATGATCATAGGATTATTATTCATAAATTCATGGGAAATTATTCATATATTCACTCATATAATGGTCATATATTAATTATAATTGAATAGATTATTCAAAATAACCAAAAACTAGAACCAAATGTCCTATCAATTGGTGAATGAATAAACAAATTGTGGATACACATATTATGGAACACTATCCAACAATATAAATGGAATAAAATATGAATATGTATAATACAAGCAAATCTCAAAAATATGCTAAGTAAAAGAGCTCAAAAATAAAAGACCACACACACTTCCTGATTCCAATTGCATGAAATTCTTTTTTTTCTTTTTTTTTTTTAAAGACAAGGCTTCACTCTGTTGCCTAGGCTCTGGAGTGCAGTGGTGAGATCACAGCTCACTGCAGCCTCAATTTCCTGGGCTCAAGCAATCTCTCACCTCAGCCTCCCAAGTAGCTGGGAATACAGGTGGGCGCCACAACACCCAGGTAATTTTTAAAATGTCTTTTAGAAATGGGATCCTGCTATATTGCCCAGACTTGAAACTACTGAAATACCAAAACTATACTGACAGAAAGCTGATGTGTGATTGCCTAGGGCGGGAGAAGGGAGTATACTGGGCAGCAGGGAGATCAACCACAAAAGGTTATAAGGAAACTTTTTAGGGTGAGGGAACTGCTCTCTACTTTGATGGTGGTGATGGTTACACAGCTGTATACATTTGCCAAAATTCATCAAAACATACACGTAAAATAATTTTATTTTATGTAACCAATACTTCAATATTTTTAAAAAGAGAAATTAATACAAAACTTAGCTGTTTTTATAAGAGATTTTACATTTAGTGTGTTATTTTGCCTAATGTAAATGATGTAAAACTCCCAACATAGATGGTTAGGCATTCATTTCCTATGTTTTGTTTTGTTTTGTTTTGTTTTGAGACAAGGTCTCGCTCTGCCAGCCAGGCTGGAGTGCAGTGGCTTAATCACGGCTCATTGCAGCCTTAATGTCTTGGACTCAACTGATCCTCCCACCTCAGTCTCCCGAGTAGCTGGAACTACAGGTGCGCACCACCAGAGCCAGGTAATTTTTGTATTTTTTGTAGAGAGGGTCTCATTTTGTTGCCCAGGCTTGTTTCAAAATCCTGGGCTTGAGCAATCTGCCCAGCTTAGCCTCCCAAACTGCTAGGATTACAGGCATGAGCCACCACGCTCAGGCTTTTTTTCCTATGATTTTTAAGGGAATGAGGAATCAAATGGGTAGTAAAGCATTCTGTATATTCCATAACTTCTGATATTTCAATGTCTGGTATTATTGTTTATCCTATCAGATTGTAACAATGATCCTAAGTTTGAATCTGTTCATATACTCTCAGACATGACTGAGTATAAACTGGTTCAAGCCAGATGCAGTGGCTCTAACTTATAATCCCAACACTTTGGAAGGCCGAGGCAGAAGGATTACTTGAGCCCAGGAGTTTGAGATAAGCCTGCGCAACAAAGTGAGACCCTGTCTCTACCAAAAAAAAAAAAAACATTAGCTGAGTGTGGTGGCACACGTCTGTGGTCACAGCTACTTGGGAGCCTGGATGGTTAAGGCTGCAGTGAGCAGTGTGATTGTGCCACTGCACTCCAGCCTGTACAACAGAGTAAGACCCTGCCTCAAAAGGAAAAAAAAAAAAAAGGTTCAACATTTCTAAATGGCAATTTAGCAAAACACAACAGCCCTGAAATTCTATACCCCATAATCCAATAATTCCATTTCTGGGAAATTAATCAATGAAAGCACACTAATACTTAGCTACAAAATGGTTCACTGCTATATTATTATTTAGAATAGGAAACAATATGAAATACCTTAAATGGTTACAAATAGGAATTTTATTTTATTTTTTTTTTGAGACAGGTCTTGCTCTGTTGCCCAGGCTGGAGTGCAGTAATGCGATCATGGCTCACTGCAGTCTTGACCTCCTAGGCTCAAGTGATTCTCTTACCTCAGCCTCCCGAGTAGCTGGGAATACAGGCACACACCACCACACCTAATTTTTTAGTATTTTTTGTAGAGACGAGATTTTGCCATGTTGCCCAGGCTGATCCTGAACTCCTAGGTTCAAGCAATCTGCCCACCTCGAACTCCCAGAGTGCTGGGATTACGGGCATGAGCTACCTCGTCCGGCCAAGATAATAATTTTTAAATTGTGATCTATCACATGATAGAATGTTTTGTGGTCTACATAAAAGTATACAGTAGAAGAATACTAAAAGATCAAAAAACATTTGGGCTATAGAAAGAAGTTTCTATTTTAGTAAAAAATTATGTGGATATACATTATATTTTTTTTTTTTTGAGACACAGTCTTGTTCTGTCACCCAGGCTGAAGTGCAGTGGCACCATCTCCGCTCACTGCAACCTCCACCTCCCAGGTTCAAGTGATTTTCCTGCCTCAGCCTCCAGAGTAACTGGGATTACAGGTGCCCGCCACCACACCCGGCTAATTTTTGTACTTTTTAGTAGAGATGGGGTTTCACCGTGTTGGCCAGGCCGGTCTCAAACTCCTGACCTCAAGTGATTGGTCTGCCTCGGCCTCCCAAAGCTGGGATTACAAGCGTGAGCCACAGAACCTGGCCATTCTACTCTTTTTACACATTTTATAATATATAATCTTCATGTAATTTTAGTTAATAAACATATATCAAAAAAAGCTAAGAGGGCCAGGTGTGATGGCTTACACCTGTAATCCCAGCACATTGGGAGGCTGAGGCAGGTGGATCACCTGAGGTCAGGAGTTCGAGACCAGCCTGACCAACAAGGTGAAACCCCATCTCTACTAAAAACACAAAAATTTGCCAGACACGTGGAGAGCGAGACTTCATCTCAAAAAAAAAAAAAAAAAAAAAAAAAAAAAAAAAAAAAGCTAAGAGTTGTTATTTCTGAGGTAGAATAACTAATGATCTTATCTTCTCTTTTTTCTTTTCTTCAAGATGGGGTCTTGCTTTGTCACCCAGGCCAGAGGGCAGTGGCACAATCATAGTTCACTGCAGCTTCAAACACCTGAACTCAAGCAATCTTCCCCGCTCATACTGCTCCCCAGCACCAGGAGCTGGGACTACAGGCACACGTCACCACATCCGGCTAATTTTTTTTTTCTTTTGGTGGGTAGAGACGGGGGCCTCACTATGTTGCCCAGGCTGCTGTCACACTCCTAGCTCAAGCTATCCTCCCACCTTGGCCTCCCAAAGCACTGGTATTACAGGTGTAAGCCACCAAGCATGACCACATCTTCTGCAAGACATATGTATTTTTTCCCTTGTTGCAAAAAATAAGTCATTTTACAAAGTCTCATAGATAAAACATCACTAACGTAAAGCTATAAATACCTTTTTTTAAATGAAACTCACAATATAAAATTAACCCATTTTAAACTAAACAATTCAGGCCAGGCGTGGTGGCTCATGCCTGTAATTCCAGCACTTTGGGAGGCCAAGGCAGGCAGATCACTTAAGGTCAGAAGTTTGAGAACAGCCTGGCCAACATGGTGAAACCCCATCTCTACTAAAAATACAAACATTAGCTGGGCATGGTGGTGTGCACTTTTTGTCCCAGTTACTTGGGGTGCTGAGGCAGGAGAATCACTTGAACTCAGGAGGAGGAGGTTGCAGTGAGCTGAGATCATGCCACTGCACTCCAGCCTGGGCGACAGAGTGAGACTCCATCTCAAAAAAAACACAAAAACAAAAATAAAATAATTCAATGGCATTTGGTGCATTTACAATGTTATGCCACCACCACCACTATTCTAGTTTGAAAACATTTAATTGTCTAATTTGTCCTCACCAAAATTAATACATATATCAAGAATGAGAAAATGTTAACTATCAAACTGTGTTCTACTAATCCTCTCCCCATCCCTCATATCTTGGTAAAGGGTCAAAGAGGCTATGCAATTGACAAGTTTATTAGGAAAGAAAGAAAAAAATAGACAAAATTACCTTTATCCCAATTTTCTCTTGAATAGTACTAATCTCTTTACACATATTTAAATCTTACAACATCAAAATTAGGTTGACTTGGACTCCAGTAACCAAGGTACAAAAGAAATAACAGATGAACAAGGGTTACCCATTAAGAATAACAAGAATAAGTTTGACATATAATGAAAAAAGTAGGGAACTTAATAGAAATGGAGAACTAAATATACACATATTCAGAGTTTTCTGAAATCCCATTAAGTAATGGTAAAGGGATTTTTCTTAAGCACAAAACTTCAAGAAAAAGAGAACAGAAGAAAAGAGAACTGCAAAAAAAATCTGGAAAAGGTAATCTATTTAGCAGAAGAGTGAAAGCTGAATTCCTAAGCCAGCAGTGGAGAAAGCCAACAAACCACCAGAGTTACACCACAGTTCCAACACCCATAATCTCACCCTGCCCCTCCTCTGCCCTGGAGAGAGTAAAACAGAGTGTCCCAGGACTGGCAGACAAGAGGCACAGTTATCAGGAAGTACAATACTGAAAATACGGAGATTAAATGAAAATCTACATATTGAATGAAACCTGCACCTGCCTCCCAACCCCCCTTCCCACCCAAAGCCCGCTTCCATTAATAGACCTCTAGTACAGCCAGGCCAATACCCTGCAAATAGGAGATCAGACATTTTCCTAAGGGATCTGACCAGGCCAAGATGAATCAAGATACTGACATTATGGGACTCCCAATAAAATGTCTCAGCGGATCACATTACAGCAAATCCCAAAAACAATAAGACCCAACCACCCACTCAGAACTACTAATCATCTGTCTGATATTTCACTCTTGAACATCAGCAAATAATCAAAGATTACCAGACATCTGAGGAAAGCCTCTAATTTGAAAGAGATCAAAACAAACAAAACTAAAGTCCACCTGGAAGAAATAGGACTATTCCAGACAGAAGAAAACTGTTATTAATACTGTTACAGAGATAAGATAGTATATCAATAAAACAAGAGAAATGGTATTTAAAAATATATTCTGAAAAAAGAATTTAGAAATTAAAAACCCAAGAGTAGAAATTAATAACTAAGAGAAGAATTAAAAGATGGTTGAACTGGGCAATGGCACCTGTAGGTATACATAAGAGAAATAAAACCATGTTCACACACAAACTTGTCCATAAATGTACATAGCAGCATTATTCACAATAGCCAAAAGGGGAAACAACCCAAACGTCCATCAACTGACGAATCCATGAGTAACTGTGGTATATCCACACAATTGTATTATTCAGCAATAAAAAGGAATGAAGGCCAGGCGTGGTGGCTCATGCCTGTAATCCCAGCACTTTGGGAGGCCGAGACAGGCGGATCACCTGAGGTCGGGAGTTCAAGACCAGCCTGACCAACATGGAGAAACCCCGTCTCTACTAAAAAAAAAATACAAAATTTGCCAGGCATGGTGGTGCATGCCTGTAATCCCAGCTACTCAGGAGGCTAAGGCAGGAGAATCGCTTGAACCTGGGAGGCGAAGGTTGCAGTGAGCCAAGATCATGCCATTGCACTCCAGCATGGGCAACAAGTACGAAACTCCATCTCAAAAAGAAAAATAAATAAATAAATAAATAAAAAAGGAATGAAATTCTTTTTTCCTTTATATTTTTTATAGACAAGGATAGATCAATACAAAAAAAGGAATGAAAATCTGATACATGCTACAACACAGGTGAATCCTGAAAACATTATGCTAAATGAAAGAAGCCATTCACAAAGGCTATATATTTTATAATTCCATTTATATGAAATGTCCAGAATAGGCAAATCTATAGAGACAGAAAGTAGACTGGTGTCTACTTTCCATTTGTAGACTGGTGTCTACAAATCTATAGAGACAGAAAGTAGACTACCCTCGAAGGGCCGAGGGTAGAAGAAATGTTGAGTGAGTGCTAAAGGGCATGGGTTTTGAGGAGGTGATGAAACTATTCTGAAATTAGATCATGGTGATGGTTGCACAACTCTATGAATATACTAAAAACCACTGGATTGTGCACTTTAAATGGGTAAACTGAATGGTATGTGAATTACATCTCAATATAGCCACTGTTTTTTTAATGATTGAAGAAATCACCCAGCAAGTTGAACTAAAAGAGACAGAGATGATCAAAAGTAGGAGGCAAAATAAAATTAGAAGACTATTCTAGGAGTTTCAACATCCAAACAACAGATAGTCCATTAAAAAAAGAAGAAGAACAGAGAAAACAAAGGGGAAGAAATTAAAGAAATAAATTTCTTTGAACTGAAGGACCTGAGTTTCTAAATTGAGAGGGCCTGCCAAGTACCCAATACAATGAATGAAAATAGACGTATCCCAAAGGTCTGGAAATTTCAGAACACTGGGAACGAAGAGAAAATCCTACAGGATTCCAGTAAAGAAAAACCAGATCACCTATTAAAAGTCAAGATCAGACTGCCTTCACACTGTTTTGTTTTTTGTTGTTGTTGTTGTTGTTGTTTTGTTTTGTTTTGGTACAGACAGGGTCTGGCCATGTTGCCCAGGCTGGTCTCAAACTCCTGGCTTCAAGTGATCCTCCCACCTTAGCCTCCCAAAGTGCTAAGATTACAGGCATGAGCCACCATGGCTGACCTGACCCTCACACTTAACAGCAGCACTGGAAGTTGGAAGACAAAAGAGCAATGCCTTCAAAATCTTTAAAGGAAAATTATTTCCAATCTAGAATTCTATACTCCTGCAAACTACAAATCAAGTGTGATAGCAGAATAAAGGCTACTAAACAATGTCCCCCACCAAAATGAGGGAGTAAACCAAGCAAGAAGATATGAAACCCAAGAGGTATCCAACACAGACAGGTAAGGAGAATCTCCACGGATGACAGTGAACGGAGGTTAACAGTTATGCACCAGGCATAGAGGGCAACAGTACAGATTAGAAATCAGGAGGGTCCAAAAGAGGTTTCTCCAAAAAGATGAAACAGAAAGTCTAAGGCTCCTCAACATCCTGAAAGGAGTTTCTGACAATTGGTGGAGAATCTAGGGTTGATTTAATGAGAGTCAAAGAAAACTAAACAAATAAAAAAAGACAATTACAATTTCAGAGAAAAGAAACATGAAAAACTATTAATAATATGTCATAGGCTCTGCTGTGAATTGTTTACATAGTTATAATGTAAACTCAGTAATAATCTAAACAAAATTACGATGTAACTATACTTGGAAAATGGCTAAAATTTTTTTATGAAAATAGGCTGGGCACGGTAGCTCACATCTGTATGTAATCCCAGCATTTTGGGAGGCCAAGGCAGGAGGTCTGCTTGAGCCCAGTAGTTCAAGACCAGCCTGGGCAACATAGTGAGGTCCCATCTCTACAAAAAAATTTTTAATTAGCCAGGTGTGATAGTGTGTGCCACTAGTCCTAGCTACTCAGGAGGCCGAGGTGGGAGGATGGCCTGAGTACAGAAGTTCGAGGTTACAGTGAGCTATGATTGCTCCACTGCATTCCAGCCTGAGCAACAGGTCAAGACCCTGTGCCTAAGAAAAAGAAAATATAATCATGCTATGTAGAATTATGGAGGTAAATACCAAAAGAAAAAGCATAAAGAACGAAAAGTGGTTATCTTTGGGTAGGAAGAGGAAGAGGCCTTGTTTTAACTATCTGACTTATTTTTGGGGTTTTACACATGCTTATTAAGTAAAATCAAATCTTTAACTTAAAAGCTATGTTGTAAAGGTATTCTTTTTTTTTTTTGAGACAAGGTCTCACTCTGTTGCTCAAGCTGAGTGCTGTGGCATGATCATGGCTCACTGCAGCCTCAACTTCCCAGATTCAAGCAATTCTCCAGGCAATTCTCCTGCCTCAGCCTCCTGAGCAGCTGGGACTACAGGCACACACCACCACTCCTGGCTATTTTTGACCATTTGTAGAAATGGGGTCTCGCTATGTTGCCCAGGCTGTTCTCAAACTCCTGGGCTCACGTGATCCTCCCACCTCGGCCTCCCAAAGTGCTGCAATTATAGGTGTGGGCTACTGCGCCCGGCCTACTAAAGGTATTCTTGAGAGACTTTTCAGGAGGCATGGACTGCACTGGCTAAGGCATCTTATAAAATATGAGTTCAAAGAAACCTGATTAGAGTCATCTTAGGTTCCAAGAATCTCTGAACTATGTTCAGAATCACTCATTTGTCTCAAATTTTCATTGCTGATTTTTTAGCTAATTCTGAAGGTCTTTGGTAAATGTTGAAAATAGAGCAATTCCTTCAACAGTGCCTTGTTTTTCAAAACGTCCATTCTCCCTTTGTGGCCAGGCATCATCTCCACCCCCCCAACCAGCAGGAATACCTTTCCAAAGACCATAAAAGTCTCGTTTGGTCACTGATAAACATCTGTAACCATTTTCTTTAAATCAGTGTTGGAAGAATCTTCTCAGTGCTCTGTGTCAGTGTTTATAGCTCATTCTTAAACTCTTTTTTTTTTTTTTTAAGACAGGGCCTCACTGTTGCCCAGGCTGCAGTGCAGTGGCGCGATCTCAGCTCACTGTAACCTCTGCCTCCTAGGTTCAAGCGATTCTCCTGCCTCAGCCTTCCAAATAGCTGGGACTACAGGTGCGTGCCAGCATGCCTGGCTAATTTTTGTATTTTTTGGTAGAGACTGGGTTTCACTGTGCTGGCCATGCTGGTCTTGAACTCCTGGTCTCAAGTGATCCGCCTGCCTCGGCCTCCCAAAGTGCTGGGATTACAGGCATGAGCCACCACACCTGGTCAGATTTATAACTTTTTTTTTTTTTGAGACAGGGTCTTGCTATTTTGCCCAAGCTGTTCTCAAACTCCTAGGTTCAAATGCTCCTCCCACCTCAATCTCCTGAGCAGCTGAGATTACAGGCATGCCCCACCATGCCCAGCTATGTTCACATATAACTTAGAAAAATAAAAGCTAAAGAAGGCCAGGTACGGTGGCCCACACCTGTAATCTCAACACACTGGGAGGCTGAGAGAGGAGGATTGCTTGAGCCCAAGAGTTTAAGAACAGCCCTGGCAACATAGTGATACCCCGTCTCTATAAGAAAAATTAAGAAATTAGTTGGGCATGGTGCCATGTGCCTGTAGTTCCAGCTACTTGGGATGCTGAGGTGGGAGGATCACTTGAGACTGGGAAGTCAAGGCTGCAGTGAGCCATGGTCGCACCACTGCACTCCAGCCTGGGCAACAGACCAAGATCCTGTCTCAAAAAAAAAAAAAAAAAGCTAAAGAAAATGATGTATGGTTCGAACATCCATTTCACCTCTAGGTAACCTTGTTTTTAACCCTTTCACTGCCAACAACAGCTACCCTTATATGCAGTACCAAGTGCAAGGCACTAGTCTAAGCATTTTATATATATTAACTCAACCTTTCATAAACATCCTACGAGGTAGACAGTATCAATATCCCCATCATTTGACTGATGAGCAAACTAAGATTCAATTTCAATTGGTCACAAAGGTAGTAATGACAGAGCCAGGAGCGAGTCCAGGAAGTTCTGACTCTAGAGTCCTCATTTTTAATAACGCTACCAAATTCTAATGAACTGCATAAAATGAAATCCTTTAACAAAACAAGTTTTAAAACTCCAGAAAACAAATCAATTTCTTCCTACTGTCCCCTCCTCACTAAATTTACAGTTCATTACTATTCATTTTCAAATTTTACTTTTAAATACAAACTCTTGTTATAACACCTGCAAACTGAAAGGGGTAAAATAAGTTGTCCCAATAAAACTACAATAATTCCCCCACTTAAGGTCTTATAAGAATAGGTATTTAGATTGAATATATAATAGTCATTTAGATTTAAGGATTTTCAACTCAGTATGAAACCTGAATTTCATTTCTTTAAATATTTAAATTTAAAATTATACAAATTAATAGTTTTCCCTCGCTTTTAGAAGAAAATACACATTGGAAAACTAAAAACCATCTTGATACCCTAAGTATAGGATGATCCTGTACTGAGATCACATCTACTTAGAGAAATAATACATGACTTTTGAAAGGATAAGTGAAGACAATATAACACTGAGAATTATTACGACACAACATTAACTGGAAAAAGAAAATTAAAGTTGTGCTATATAAACACCTTTTTTAAAAAACATAAGCATGTGGGGGCACATATCGTCAGGACCTCCTGAGGCTGTGTCATAGGCAAAAAAATTTATTAAAAAAAACCATAAGCATGTAGAAAGACAAAAATTACAGTAACAGTTGTGTTAAAGTAGAATAATGATTTATGTCACTTCGCAATTTTGCAGTAACATTTTCAAAAAGTTTAAAGACATTGTAAAAAGTTTAAACATAAAAAAAAATCAAGATGTTAGGTGACTTTGGAACTGTTCTAAAACTGCTTTGTGACGACAGCTTCACAACTCTGTAAATTTACTAAAATATCACAAAATTATACATTTAAAACGTGTGAATTTTATGGTATGTAAATTATACCCCAATAATGCTGCTTTAAAAAAATATGTTAGGAGAAACAACTCTTTTTACAATACTCACATGAGAAAACTGAGGCTGGGATGGGATAGGAAGTGACCCAGGAGGGAAGACTGGTGTGCTCTGAGATATTGGTGTTGAGGCTTGTGGTGATACAGTGGACTCAGGCAGGAGAGGGGGGTTTTCTAACTCCACTGGTTCACCACTTTGAAGTTTCTTCTGAAAAGGCTCTCCTCCTTCTTCAGATAACACTGACGTGTCCATTGGCTTATCTGGTTTAAAACAGGAGAAACAAATTGAGAAATATCACTCATCAATATTACTCATGTTCCAAAACCACTAAGAACAATTACACTACAGACATTTTCACTCTAAAAAAATAGTGACGTAATTTTTCAGAAAAGCTGACAGAATAATAGTAGACTGGGTCCTAGCAATCTACCAATACTTCCTTTGGTTGGCGGAGCAGTCCAAGCTCCTATTTTTAGGTATAGATCAAAACTGGATGCATCTGGGGCTACCCACCCATTCATAAAAAATGTTAAATTAACTTGGCTCCTTTCCTGATTTTATAGCTCAGTTTTTCACATTTCCTGTAGAAAAGCCCAAACTACTGGTACCTAATTTAACCATCATATATTCTACCACAGGCCTTGAAAGACAGTGAATTTGTCACCACTTTAGGTAAATACAGTATCTATAATTCATATTTACGAACTGATTATATTTGCATTAACAATTGCTAACTGCAGAGAGATGGATGCCTGTACAAATACAGATGAAGAAAAAAAATCTATCAATGCCAATCAGCACTGATTTATCAAAGAACTAAGAAAGAGAAGACACTAATCCTGACACACATTAGGAGGGAACACACACACACAAAACACAAAACACTGCTTTCCCATAGTATACTACCCACCTGTAGGCTATCAGGAACTTGCTTGGAGTCAGCCCAGCTAGCTAAGTATTTGATTCATCATTTGTATCCCCTATCTTACAACTTGACCCCAACCAGGCTTCCTCTAGACCACTCACAAACTACTAACAACATTTACCTTTTCCCCATAATTCACATTCATGCTACCAGCTACCCAAACTGCAACCTCAATACCCAGCTTTGCTGCTTAGCTTAGTCTCAACCTTACCAGTCTACACCTAATTTGGGATCCAGTGCTACAGGCCTTTAATATACTACCATAGCTGTGCTAAGTATTTTTGTTGCACCTTTTGAACTTTCTTGCCATGACAAAGCACATTAAAAACCTGCTGTTATAGGCACTACATACAAAAAAGGCTTTAGGTTAAGAGAAAAGCAAAAAAACAAATAAATACAAAAAGCACATATAGTTTCACAAACACTGATGTACATACATATTAAGCAAATGCATTAAATCTAAAATATAACTGACAAGGGAAAATACACTGTTACATAAAAAAAAAAAACTGAGTCATATACACAACATGCCAATTATGTAAAACTACTTTATGCATTGAAAACTGAAATATATCCAAATATACTAGTTGTAGCTATATCTGGAGTGTAGTATCACAGGTGATTTTTATTTTCATTAATTTCCTATATACTTAACAAACTTTCTACAATAAATATTGACTGTTTACAATCAGGGAGAAAGCTTTTTTTTTTTTGAGACAGGGTCTCGCTCTGTTGTCCAGGCTGCGACGCAGTGGTGCCACCTTGGCTCACTGCAACCTCCGCCTCCCAGGTTCAAGTGATTCTCCTGCCTCAGCCTCCTGAGTAGCTGGGATTACAGGCACCCGCCACCACACCCAGTTAATTTTTTATATTTTTAGTAGAGATGGGGTTTCACCATGGTGGCCAGGCTGGTCTCAAACTCCTGACCTCAGGTGATCTGCCCACCTTGGCCTCCCAAAGTATTGGGATTACAGGTGTGAGACACCGTGCCCAGCCTGAGAAAGTATATTTAATATAATTATTTTTATATTTTTTCAATGTTCACACTACAGATAAAAGATAAAAGAAACTGTTTTAAGAATTAACCAAACTTCACTTGTATTACCTGGGTTTTTGTAGAATTAATTCACCTAATCATGTTATACTTAGATTGATATCAGTCACTAATCATGTTATGCTTAGATTGATATTAGTCAATTTGGATACCTACAACTGATTTTAAGAGAAACAGCCAGAGACAAACTTTGTAGCAGAAGAAAGCCTAAGATCAAATTCTATCACTGATAAATTACATTTGAAAAACTGTTAAATGTCTATGTTTTATGTTACTCAAGAGCAGAGAAAGGATATAATAGGAGGCATATACATGACAGATGAAGGCACAGGCTCTGGAGGCAGCTGCCTGAGTTCAAATTCTGCTTCTACATCTCATTAGTTGAAAAATCTCTCTATGCCTCCATTTCCTCATCTGTAAAATGGGGATAAAAATAACACCTCCTTCTTAGGATGTTTGTGAGGATTCAATGAGAAAAACCACAGAAATGCCCTTAGAACAATGCCTTGCCTATACTAAGTGCTCAATAAATAAAACTATTATACCATTACTTGTATATGAAAGAGTGAAAAGATGAAAATCATAGAATTTATTAGAAAAAGCTTTGTAGAAATCGTAAGAACTTAGAAACATCTTGAATGACTGGATAGGAGACTAGGTCAGAGCAAAAGAAGCTTAAATAATGAGATAAATTAGGTAAGTGAAAAGGAAAGCTTTCTTGTGAATAAAGTAATATAAAATCTCTAAGTCGTCAAAGGAGTAAATGAATGAAGTTAAAATTTTTACCACCTACTCTTAACCATTCTTATGCTAAAACTATTTTAATAGCAAAAATAACCTATAAGGACCACAAGAAACAATTGCTGGTTCCTTCTCACCAGAAATGTGTTCACGTGTTGCTAGAAACAAGTAGGCCATTATTAATAAGTCCAGTTCTTCCCCATACTAATTCATTTCAGTTCAACTTTAAAAACAAAAATTTTTCCTTCAGAGCCTTTTTAAAAATTGAGCCAATACAGAAATCTCAATAGAATTAGTGCTAGAAAAGCAAAGAATGGGGGATGGTGTGTCCAGAATTGGTGGGTTCTTGGTCTCACTGACGTCAAGAATGAAGCCGCGGACCCTCACGGTGAGAGTTACAGCTCTTAAGGTGGCGCGTCTCGAGTCTGTCCCTTCTGATGTTCAGATGTGTTCGGAGTTTCTTCCTTCTGGTGGGTTCGTGGTCTCGCTGGTTCAGGAGTGAAGCTGCAGACCTTCGCGGTGAGTATTACAGCTCTTAAGGCAGCGCGTCTAGAGTTGTTCGTTCCTCCCAGTGGGCTCGTGGTCTCGCTGGCTTTAGGAGTGAAGCTACAGACCTCGCAGTGAGTGTTACAGCTCATAAAAGCAGCGTGGACCCAAAGAGTGAGCAGTAGCAAGATTTATTGCAAAGAGTGAAAGAACAAAGCTTCCACACTGTGGAAGGGGACCCGAGCGGGTTGCCACTGCTGGCTCGGGCAGCCTGCTTTTATTCTCTTATCTAGCCCCACCCACATCCTGCTGATTGGTAGAGCCAGTGGTCTGTGCTGACAGGGGGCTGATTGGTGCATTTACAATCCCTGAGCTAGACACAAAGGTTCTCCACGTCCCCACCAGATTAGCTAGATACAGAGTGTCCACACAAAGGTTCTCCAAGGCCCCACCAGAGTAGCTAGATACAGAGTGTCCATTGGTACATTCACAAACCCTGAGCTAGACACAGGGTGCTGATTGGTGTGTTTACAAACCTTGAGCTAGAAACAGAGTGCCGATTGGTGTATTTACAATCCCTGAGCTAGACATAAAGGTTCTCCACGTCCCACCAGAGCAGCCAGATACAGAGTGTGGATTGGTGCATTCACAAACTCAGAGCTAGACACAGGGTGCTGACTGGTGTGTTTACAAACCCTGAGCTAGATACAGAGTGCCGATTGGTGTATTTACAATCCCTGAGCTAGACATAAAGGTTCTCCACGTCCTCACCAGACTCAGCAGCCCAGCTGGCTTCACCCAGTGGATCTCGCACGGGGGCTGCAGGTGGAGCTGCCTACCAGTCCTGTGCCGTGCTCCTGCACTCCTCAGCCCTTTGGGTGGTCGATGGGACTAGGTGCCGTGGAGCAGGGGGCAGTGCTCATCAGGGAGGCTCAGCCACACAGGAGCCCACGGAGGGGGTGGAAGGCTCAGGCATGGCGGGCTGCAGGTCCCGAGTCCTGCCCCACTGGAAGGCAGCTAAGTAAGGCCCGGCGAGAAATCAAGCGCAGCGCCGGTGGGCTAGCACTGCTGGGGGACCCAGTACACCCTCCATAGCCGCTGGCCCGGGTGCTAAGCCCCTCATTGCCCGGGGGGCCGGCAGGGCCGGCCGGCTGCTCCGAGTGCAGGACCCGCCAAGCCCACACCCACCAGGAACTCCAGCTGGCCCGCAAGCGCCGCGCACAGCCCCGGTTGCTGCTCGCACCTCTCCCTGCACGCCTCCCTGCAAGCTGAGGGAGCGGGCTCCAGCCTTGGCCAGCCCAGAAAGGGGATCCCACAGTGCAGCGGTGGGCTGAAGGGCTCCTCAAGTGCCGCCAAAGTGGGAGCCCAGGCAGAGGAGGCGCCGAGAGCGAGCGAGGGCTGTGAGGACTGCCAGCACGCTGTCACCTCTCAATGGGGTTAGACAAAAAAAAAAAAAAAAAAAGGAAGGAAGGAAAAGCAAAGAACTGAGGACAGCACTTTACAGTAGGTCACATCCCTAAAGGTTAGACAAACATGAGTCC
This sequence comes from Homo sapiens, assembly GCF_000001405.40. Lineage (NCBI taxonomy): Eukaryota > Metazoa > Chordata > Mammalia > Primates > Hominidae > Homo > Homo sapiens. The sequence continues at coordinate 43,474,554 of NC_000015.10, forward strand.
TACCGAATTGTGTAGGTCACAAGCATTCTAAAGTACAAAGAAGTAGTACATTTTGCAAGGCAGAAAAAGTGTTGCTCCTCTTCTAATCTGAGATCAACAGACAGATCAAGAGAGCTCACCTTGTCTCCCTTCTTGCTCTGTGGGACTGCTAGGAACGATAAAAGGAGTAGATCGGAAAGCATCAGGAGAAGGAGCAACAAGATCTGAAGAATTCCTTTATATAAAGAGAGAATCACAGGTTATTTTACCATAGCCACAGTTTTGCATTTCTGTATTTGCTTTTACTTTTTAACAGGAAAAAATATCTAAGGCATTCAGATAAATACTTATCAGCACTTTTCCCCAACAGCAACCTGAGGCTGGTGGAAGAACCAAAAATACTTCAATAACTATTTCCCACACCAGACATTTCTGTTGTAAAATAAGAACTTTTTCAAAAAGAGAGTAAGGGCAAAGTGAATGATCAGACACAAGGACATCATGATTTAAAAGCAAAATGAGCAGTGCTAGGAAATAAATTCATTTGCAGATTTGAGACATAAAAAAAATTATTCCATTTTTTTGCCTAATAATAGTCAGACCATGAACATTTTCATCAGAAAACTAAAACTAAACAAAAAAAACCAACAAGCGAACCTCTTTGCCCTAACATAAAGAAATCCAACTACTGTCAACTTAACAACCTATTCTCCACCCTCTGCTATTAAATGAGAAGAATTGCAAGTAAAACAGAGGAGCAGAATGCTTGTTTTGGATGTGTAACATTTTCTAAATAACTGCGCCTTTTCTTTCTTAGTGAAACGTTTGGGCTACTATTATAAAATTTTCAAATGGGACAACAGATTTATCTGCCTTCAACAGTTCTTCATCCCCAAAGCTCTAATGCATAGGTTCTACCATTTGGTTTCAAAAAGAATTCTAGACTAGCAGATAAGTTTAGCCTCTTTCAGCCTTAGCCTAAGACTCTCAGGCACATACTGCCTTGGCATAAGCTATTTTAGGCTTACTTACGTGGAAAGACTGTCCTGAACAAGGGACCTCTGACCAGAGAGCTGCAGGAGATGCAGAGTGGTGGCAGGAGTGGAAGCCAAAGAACACCCACCTTCCTCCCTTGAAGGAGTAGAGCAACCATCAGAAGATACTGAAAAAAAGAAATTCCAGTTGCACTTCTCAGATTGACACTACTGAGCTGCCAAAAACCATTCAGTACTGCAAAGAGTAATATCCATATTTCCAACATATTTCCATATTTCCAAAAGGGCAGAAATTGTTTTCTAATTATAGTACAACGAATGGACTACTACAATAGCACAAATCTTGAGTGAACATTAACCACCCCCGCAATGGGCTTCTTGAATAAAGAACTGATGAAGAGTTCCTTAGTCCTTTCTGTCATGATCTAAGCTTGGAGATTAAAAGCCAGAATCCTGGATGGGCGCAGTGGCTCACACCTGTAATCCTAGCACTTTGGGAGGCTGAGGCGGGTGGATCATCTGAGGTCAGGAGTTCAAGACTAGCCAGACCAACATGGTGAAACCTCATCTCTACTAAAAATACAAAAATTAGCTGGGCGTGGTGGTATGCGCCTGTAATCCCAGCTACTTGGAAGGCTAAGGCAGGAGCATCACTTGAACCTGCTAGGCAGAGGTTGCAGTGAGCTGAGATTGCACCACTGCACTCCAGCCTGGGCAACAGAGGGAGACTCCGTCTCAAAAAAATAAATAAATAAATAAAATAAAAGCCAGAATCCTTATACTTCTGCTTAGCTGCTCTTCTTTCTTGTGATGCTTCTATTAAAAAACAGCAAATGAGCCTTTTATTCCAACGTCTACCTTAGGTGAAGTCAAGCTCATGCCATGATACAGATGGGAGAAGTCAAAAAAATGCACATGACACTTGATGTTATAAATGCAGCAGTTTTCAAGATTTGGGCCTGCTCAAAGGAGTAAAAGGATTTATGAGCAGCCATTACTGTTTTATACTATGAAGAGTCTCTTGTTGGTCCCTTCCCCTTAGCAATAGATGGAGTATCAACTATATTAATCCCAGTGTAAAAGAATTTCTTAAATAAAACCTTACAACTTTAGTAAGAGACCAACAAAGGTTCCTCGGTGACCCTCTGAATGTCTTGCACAGCAACCTGTATCACAGCATAGCAAAGGAAGATAGCCTTCTTCCCTTCCCGCCTTACAACCAACATAATATGTTTTGCTGGTAATTAACTCAAGCTTTCTAGCTCTCTGAGGCTGTGGAATGAAAGATTGGTGGAGGTTAAAGAGGTGTGAAACAAATTATATCCTTTTAAGTTTTATGTCCTTTCCGCTAGATTTTAAATTCCTATCTGTGTCAGATTAACTAATAAACAGATTAAGTTAGTAAACTGTTACCCAGATGAATATGAAAAACCTAGGCTTAATATCATATTGAAGATTTGAAGACATAGTAGCCATGTAACAGAAAATGGCAGCCAGGTGTGGTGACTCATGCCTGTAAGCCCAGCACTGTGGGAGGCCAAGGCAGGCGGATCACAAGGTCAGGAGATCAAGACCATCATGGCTAACACAGTGAAACCCCATCTCTACTAAAAATACAAAAAATTAGCCAAGCATGGTGGCGGGTGCCTGTAGTCCCAGCTACTAGGGAGGCTGAGGCAGGAGAATGGCATGATCCCGGGAGGCGGAGCTTGCAGTGAGCCGAGATTGCGCCACTGCACTCCAGCCTGGGTGACAGAGTGAGACTCCATCTCAAAAAAAAAAAAAAGAAAAAAAGAAAATGGCTAGTATCCATAATACTAAATTTACTGTATTAGCTATTCTTCACCATCTCATTTCCAAAAGAGAGAAAATTATGTCAAAATATTAAATGGAAATTATTCCCAAAAAGCCCTTCTCACTAATTACTAGAAACACGTTTTCCTTCCATATCACAAACAAGTCTGCAAACCTATAAAATGCTTTGTAACTTAACCAGTAGCCTCAGAACTAAAGTAAAAGTTTAGATCTTTGGAGAAGAGCTGTAACGACAAATCACTCTTGGTACCTGTTTTATTGCTCTGGTCAAACAAGTCTTCCTGAGTTGACAAAACCTCAGGCTCTGGTGACTTCTGAATCTGCAGTCCACTTTCCATAAGTTCTTGTGCAGACAACTGTTCTTTTGCTTCCATAGCAGCAACAGATGCTTTGGGGCTAAAAGGCATGTCCTCTGACCTAGGAAATTCATATCACCAGGAGAAAAAGTTCCTAAGTTCAAATGTTTTTAAATAAAAAGCTTTTCCTGTTTTGTGTGTTTTTCTTTAATAATTTCAAAAATTCCAGTGGCTCTAATTTACATAATTATATATTAAAAAGGAAATAAACTACTCTTTATAGTGATAAAAGTCCTCAGCCCATTTTAAAACCTGTCTCACTCTCTCTCACAGCCAATACCTGTCTTCAACTCTGCTCAATACTGTGCTTCATGCTTTCTAAGATTTCTGATGAGTAACTTGGGGAATTTTTGTTACATATAATGTTATCTAGACCTGTATAAAGAATTCTGATCCAGACCCCAATGATGCCAGTAAGGAGAACAGTCCAAACCATGACATTCCATGGAAAGCATTTGATGTCAATTATCCTCCTTACTAGTGCCACACACATCTTCTGCTGACCTTTTCCATTTGATGTACCCAAACCCCAAACCAATTCTCCTTCAGATCAATACTAACATGTATAAGACATTCATCCCTGGCCCCTTTCCAGAGACTTATGAGGTTCACCTGTTCTACCACTCCCCAGGGTAAACAGAATAGCATAACTAGATGGAAGGCAGCATCTAAAAGAAAAGCCTAAAAAGTCACTGTTATGCTGAGTGTTTTACATTAGAAAGACAATTTCTCTTGATATTCAACTTTGCTTAGGACACTCTCTCCCCACTCTTTCCATTGAAGGAAATAACAAAACAATACTGTTTATTTATCCCCTATCCCAAACTGGAAGCATCCCAGTTTTCTTCTGCCATATTCAAACTTCACTTACTGGCCAGAGGTAATGAAGCTTTGGTTATAAAAATCACGAGAGATGAAGCAGAGGCACATTCCCCAATTCCTACCAAGTTAAGAGCCTAAAGAACCTGAGAAAATCCCTACATCTATCGATACCATAAAATACCAGATGCAGGATACCTAAGAACCCAAAGCAATCTGGGTGCTCCTCAAGTATAGAAACAGTAGGCTTTCAAATAAAATAGTCATGTTACTCTTCATAACACCAGAGAGGCTAAGAAGACCTCCCACAGACAAGCAGTGTCTCTGTAGACAAAGATCACAAAGGAGGAGTGGCAACCAAAGATTACGGAGTCATGCTTATAGTTAGAGCAGCCTTAAAACATCATTGCAGGCTAGGCAGAGTGGCTCACGCCTATAATCCCAGCACTTTGGGAAGCTGAGGCAGGAGGATTACTTGAGCCCAGGAGTTCGAGACCAGCTTGAGCAACATAGCGAGACTCCATTTCTACAACAAAAAAATTTTTTTAATCAACAAAAAAAGGTCTTTGTAGAATGCCTAAAGATAAGATTAGTAGTCAAGTGTGGCCCCAGTACTTGGGAGGCTGGGGCAGAGAATCACATGAGCCCAGGGCAACATAGTGAGACTTTGTTTCAAACAGACAGACAGACAGACAGACAAAAAACAATTCTTGAGACTTCATAAATAATCAACGTTTCCAATGGACCACAAGTATGCCCAGTACAAGGGGAAAATAATTTAAAAATCAACAATTTCTAAAAATGTTTTCATCTGGTAAAATGACATTAGTATAACCCTACAGCAAAACTCGTAAATCCTTTTTAGAAAGTTCGGCTTACCTTGCAGGTGGTGGATTTTGCTCTTTTACAACATGTACATCCTTACTGGGCTGTGCTGTCACAGGGATGTCCTTGCTGGACTGTTCTGCTATGGGGATATCTTCGTTGGACTGTTCTTCATGCTTAATTGCTGAGAGTTTTATAAAATGACAGGAAGGAGATAATTAAGTTTTCAAAATACTAGATACAGTCCCAGATGTTTTTTAAAAAGCAAAGATTTTAACAGAAGTCCAATTTAAAATATATACAGGCATCAGTCTATAAAGGAAAGTAACCAATAACTTAAAACCTCAGCCCACAAACCAACAATTGACAAGTATTTACCAGAAAACTCTTCAACCTTACTAAATTACTTAGATTATATTAATTTGGATAGCTGCAAAACTTATCAAAGAAAAAATAACTACCTCTAATATGGGAGAAAACACAACAACTCCAAATGCCAGAAAACATGTTTCATACCAGTATTAGCATCCACATCAGACAGCCTGGTATAACCAGAGTTGGTGGTTACTGATTGTAGCTGCTCTTTGTCCACTTCATATGGCACAGTATTTTCCTCAACATCCTGGCTCTGGGAGAGTTCCAGAACCCCAAAACCCAACTGTGATGAGGCAGTATCTAGGAACAAAATGCCAAGAAATTAGGTATCATCCCACAACATTATGCAATGTACAAGCTGCTGTCCTCAGCAAAGGAGGGTCCCGTTAAGTCCTTCACATCAAAGCCCTGTGCACCCCCCAAATTTTTCAAAAATAAAAAATAAATGTGGCCGAGCACGGTGGCTCACACCTATAATCCCGGCATTTGGGAGGCCAAGGTAGGTGAATCACTTGAGGTCAGGCGGTCAAGACCAGCCTGGCCAACATGGTGAAACCCCATCTCTACTAAAAATACAAAAATTAGCCAGGTGTGGTGGCGCACACATGTAATCCTGGCTACTCGGGAGGCTGAAGCACAAGAATGGCTTGAACCCAGGAGGCGGAGCTTGCAGTGAGCCAAGATTGCGCCACTGCACTCTAACCTGGGCAACAGAGCAAGACTCCGTCGCAAAAAAATAAAAAATAAATTTAAAAAAAATAAGTGCATTAAAGATGAAGGGGGAAAATGTGTAATAAAGTAAAAATACTTCATACTATAAAATCTTATAAGGAGACTACGTCTGCTTTCTAAAGGTACATCATAAACTACACCCACAGTCACAGCAATTCAGACTGTACTTACACCCCACAAAGTACACATTACAAAAATATTTGAAAAACAAATGAATACAAGAGGAAGAAAACTCAATATGCAGAAAGGGGCTAACCAATGAACTACAAATTCCTGAATACCAAATCAGGTGGAACATTTTAAATTACTAGCAAATTTCTTAATGACTCTCAATTTAATTATGAGAAATCTGCAACCTAATAAAGAGGAGAAATTTAGACATCTGCACAATCATGTTAAAGGGAAGTTAGAACAGTCTATTATTCTGAAAAAAGCACAAGGCTACCTTCAGCACCAAGGGAATGTGTAGTATTGCCTGAAGTATCTTCTTCCTTCTCTTTCTCCTTCTGTTCCAACTCTTCTCCCTTCTCTTCCTCCACAGCAGGAGCAGATTCCACTGACATTCCCAGAACACTACACAGCAGAAGGATATAATCATGTGTTCCCAGATAGTTTGGGACACTTTAATCAGAGCACTCTGACCCCCAACACATACCAACCATCTCTTAGCCAAACTTGAAAAAGTAAAATACCTCACCTTTATAGTGCTTCTTTCTACAAAAAGCACCTAAAAGATTAACAATTCAACATCCTACACAGAATTAAGTAAAGAAAAAATAAGGCACCAACATACTCGAATTTTATATTTTTGAGAAGAGGCAGAAAAATCTTGCATTCAGGAGAATTACTGACAAGTGACAAGAGAAGATATGCATTGGATGAGCACAGAAAGGGCTCAAAAAACTTTTTAAAAGTTCACAGAAGTATTTTAGTAAAAAATCTTAAAATACATATATAGAACCACAGAGTCCAAACAAAATTCAGGTAAGGAGCTTATATATGTATATAAATACACACACACACACACACACACACACACACACTTTTTATTTTTTACTTATTTTTTTTTTAAGAGACAGAGTCTGGGCCGGGCACAGTGGCTCACACCTGTAATCCCAGCACTTTGGGAGGCAGAGGCAGGCAGGTCACGAGGTCAAGAGATCGAGACCATCCTGGCTAACATGGTGAAACCCCGTCTCTACTAAAAATATAAAAATTAGCTGGGTGTGGTGGCATGCGCCTGTAGTCCCATCTACTCAGGAGGCTGAGGCAGGAAAATTGCTCGAACCCAGGAGGCGGAGGTTGCAGTGAGCCGAGATCGCGCCACTGCACTGCAGCCTGGTGACAGAGCGAGACTCTGTCTCAAAAAAAAAAAAAAAAGAGAGAGACAGAGTCTGTCTCCCAGGCTAAAGTGCAGTAGCACGATCACAGCTTACTGCAGCCTTGAACTACTGGGCACAAGCAAACTCCATATATTTTTAAAATAAGTTAACACCGACCAGGCACGGTGGCTCACGCCTGTAATCCCAGCACTTTGGGAGGCCAAGGAGGGCGCATCACGAGATCAGGAGATCGAGACCATCCTGGCTAACATGGTGAAACCCCATCTCTACTAAAAAATACAAAAAAATTAGCTGGGCGTGGTGGCAGGTGCCTGTAGTCCCAGCTACTCAGGAGGCTGAGGCAGTAGAATGGCGTGAACCCGGGAGGCAGAGCTTGCAGTGAGCCGAGATCGCGCCACTGCACTCCAGCCTGGGCGACAGAGCGAGACTCCACCTCAAAAAACAACAACAACAACAACAACAACAACAAGAAACAACCTATAAATTCAGCATTAAGGAAATGATTACATAATTTCACAATCTATTAATAACATATATCACCGTTAAAAATGTTTGAAACAAGGCCAGGCGCAGGGGCTTATCCCTGTAATCCCAGCACTTCGGGAGGCCGAAGTGGGCGGATCATTTAAGGTTAGTTCAAAACCAGCACGGCCAACATGGTGCAACCCCGTCTCTACTAAAAATACAAAAATTAGGCTGGGCGCGGTGGCTCATGCCTGTAATCCCAGCACTTTGGGAGGCCGAAACAGGCGGATCACAAGGTCAGGAGATCGAGACCATCCCGGCGAACAAGGTGAAACCCTGTCTCTACTAAAAATACAAAAAATTAGCCGGGCGTGGTGGCACGCACCTGTAGTCCCAGCTACTGGGGAGGCTGAGGCAGGAGAATTGCTTGAACCTGGGAATCGGAGGTTGCAGTGAGCCAAGATCACGCTACTGCACTCCAGCCTGGGAGACATGGCGAGACTCCGTCTCAAAAAAAAAAAAATTTAACCAGTGTGGTGTCATGTGCCTGTAGTCCCAGCTACTTGGGAGGCTGAAGCAGGAGAATCGCTTGAACCCAGGAGGTGGAGGTTGCAGTAAGCCGAGACTGCCCCACTGCACTCCAGCCTGGGCAACAGAAAAAGAGTCTGTCTCCAAAAAAAGAAAAGTGTGAAACAATCAAATACAAAATGTGAACCTGAATTGGATCTTAGATGCTATCAACCAACCAATCAATAAAACAAGACAAAAGACATCTTTGAGACAACTGGGAAAATCTGAACTGTATACTTAAATATTATGGAATTATTACTTTAAGTGTGATAACGGTACTATGATTATATAGAATAATGTACTTATTCTTAGGGGATGAATGCTGAAGTATTTAAGGGGACATTATATTAAGGAAAAATCTGATGTCTGCAACTTAAACAATTAATCCTCCCCAAAAAAGTACAGAACACACACACACACACACACACACACACACACACACACAGAACAAATGTATACTCTTTCATTTCTTCTGTGGGCTTAAACTTTTAAAATAAAAAACTTGGGGAATATGTTAAGTTTTAATTGTCATGAGAAAAATTTTCATGTTTTTAAGCAAAACATCAGCAAACATACACTTTTACTTTCCACATGATGTCAACCATATAAATCAAATGAACAAAAAAAGAGAGAAAAGATGCCAAAATGTTTACAGCAATTAGCCTCTGGGTGGCAGGATTACAGATGACATCTTTGCTTCCTTGCAACTTTCTACACAACTAATATTTCATAAAAAGAGCATTAAGCGTAACTGTAATAAACACAAAAGAGGTGAAAATATAAATTTGCAAAGTTGGGAACCGTGACCCAAGCAAGTGAAAGAAGACTAAGTAAAGATTTTTACAAAAGCAAAATAGAACATTATCTATATAACTGGAAGGACCAGATAAATGACTTTGGGAAACAGAGGGAAAGAAAGTTCAAGAGCAAATATTGCAAATGGTAGAAAAGAAGCAATGAAGGACGACAGCACAAAACAACACACTTTGAGCTCTTCTTAGTTTCTTTTGGTGTTTTTACCTCATGTCCCTGATCTCTAAATGCTGGTAGGCTCCGTGAGTCCTTGGACCTCTTTTCTAGCTACATTCACCCACTTAATGACCTCATCCAGACTCATGGTTTAGAATACTACCTATCTGCTTATGAGTCTGCAATTTAAATCTCTGGCCTAGACTTTTCCCTCTGAGCTCCAGGCCTCCTTGTCCAATTACCTCCTCAACACATCCAGCTGGTTGTTGAAAAGATAGCACAATGTTTCATATGTTTAAAACTGAACTTCCCCTCCTGCAGTCTTCTCTATCTTAACTGTCATTCCATTACTCTAGTTGCTCAAATCAAAAACTTGGAATCTGCCAGGCACGGTGGCATACATCTGTAGTCCCAGCTACTTGAAGCAAAACAAACCTGGAATAATTATTACTTCCTTCTTGTCTCTCACACTCCACATCTGATCTGTCTTTGAATCCCCTTTTCAAATACTCAGAATCTCACCATTCTTCATCTGCTTCAATCCTGGTCCAGCCACTATCACCTTTTGCTAAATTATGTCAATAGTTTCCTTGTTGGTCTTCCTGCCTCTAGCCTTGTCCTGCTTTCAGTCTATTCTTAATCAAGCAGCCAGAGTGACTCTGTTAAAAATCTAAATCAGATCATGTCCTTCCCCTGCTCAAAACCCTTAAATGTCTTCCTATCTCACTAAAAATAAGAGCCAAATTCCTCACAATGCCTTACATAATCTGGTTCCCTTCTGACTTCTCTGACCTCTTCTCTCACTTCTCTTAGTCACTCCACTACAGCCACACTAACCTCCCTGCTATTTCTCAAATATTCCAGGGACGCTCATGCCTCAGGGTCTTTGAACTTGCCATTCTCCATGCATGGATTACACTTATCCCAGATAACAGCAAATACACACTTACTTGTTTTTTGTTTTTTTTTTTTAAGATATGGTCTCACTCTGTTACACAAGCTAGAGTGCAGTGAAGCAATCATGGCTCACTGCAGTCTCAACCTCCCAGGCTCAAGCGATCCTCCCACCTCAGCCTCCCATGTAGCTGGGATCACAGGCGCACACTACCATGCCTGGCTTACTGTGTATTTTTTGTAGAGACAGGGTCTCACTATGTTGTCCAGGCTGCTCTCAAACTCCTGGGCTCAAGAGATCCTCCTGCCTCGGCCTCACTTAGATTTTTAATCAAATGTCCTATCAATGAAGCACTCCCTAGACACCCTATGTAAACTTGCAACCACTTTGTTGCTTCCTCTCCCCTTCCCTGCTATATTTATCTCTTCAGCCCTTATCAGCATCTAACATACTACATATTTTACTTATTTATCATATATTGCTATACCCTACACAAGAATGTAAGCTACATTAAGGTCTAGGATTTTTATTTCTTCTGATCACTTTGTATCCCCAAAATCCAAGAACACCTGGCACACAGAAAATACTCAATAGAAGGTACTTTGGCCGGGCACGGTGGCGCATGCCTGTAATCCCAGCACTTTGGGAGGCTGAGGCGGGCGGATCACGAGGTCAGGAGATCAAGACCATCCTGGCTAACATGGTGAAACCCCATCTCCACTAAAAATACAAAAAATTAGCCAGGCGTGGTAGCAGGTGCCTGTAGTCCCAGCTACTTGGGAGGCTGAGGCAGGAGAATGACGTGAACCCAGGAGGCGGAGCTTGCAGTGAGCCGAGATCGTGCCACTGCACTCCAGCCTGGGCAACAGAGCGAGACGCCGTCTCAAAAAAAAAAAAAGAAAGTACTTTGGGAGGCCGAGATGGGCAGATCACTTGAGGTCAGGAGTTCAAGACCAGCCTGGCCAACAAGGTGAAACCCTGTCTCTACTAAAAATACAAAAATTAGCCAGGCATGGTGGCACTTGCCTGTAATCCCAGCTACTCAGGAGGCTGAGGGACAAGGATCGCTTGAACTCAGGAGGTGGAAGTTGCAGTGAGCCAAGATGGTGGTGCCACTGCGCTCCAGCCTGGGCAACAAAGCAAGACTCCGTTTCAAAAAAGAAAAAAGAAAATACTCAAAAAAATTTGTAGAATGATTAGACAAATCAGAAAAAGCATGAAATAATTCAGATTACAGACAAAAAACAGTACTTTAGTTAAACTTTTCTCCACTGTCTAAAGTTGATGGAAAGAGAAAACAAAGGTTTAAATATATTATTTAGAAGTGTAAACGGAGCCAGAAGAATTAAAATAATTACCATCAAAAATTGAGAGGGTGAAAACAAACAAAAAAAAAATTGGGAGGGCCGCGGAGGTGCCTCACGCCCGTAATCCCAGCAGTTTGGGAGGCTGAGGGGGGTGGATCACCTGAGGTCGGGAGTTCAAGACCAGCCTGACGAACATGGAGAAACCCTATCTCCACTAAAAATACAAAATTAGCCGGGCATGGTGGCACATGCCTGTAATCCCAGCTACTTGGGAGGCTGAGGCAGGAGAATCGCTTGAACCCAGGAGGCGGAGGTTGCCGTGAGCCAAGATCATGCCATTGCACTCTGCCTGGGCAACAAGAGCGAAACTCGGTCTCAAAATAAAACAAACAAATAAACAAAAATTGGGAGGGTGTTGCTGAGTTACCCCATCTTTCATTATCAGAACTCAATTGTATTACTTTACATATAAAACACATTTATAGTTTTACAATAGTATTAGAGGTAGGAAGATAACCTCCCAAAGAAGTAAAACCATAAACAGTTAAAGAGAGTTGCCTTTGTGAAAAGGGAGCAAGGGTGAGGAAGGACTCTCTGCTTTTCATTATAAGCCCTTTTTACTATTATTTATTTATTTGTTTTTGAGGCAGGGTCTCACTCTGCCACCCAGGCTAGAGTGCAGCGGTGCAATCACGGCTCGCTGCAACCTCTGCTTCCCAGGCTTAAGCGATCCTCCCACCTCAGCCTCCTGAGTAGCTGGAACCACAGATGTGTGCCACCATGCCCAGCTAATTTTTTTGTATTTTTGGTAAAGACGGGATTTCACCATACTGCCCAGGCTGGTCTCAAACTCCTGAGCTCAAGTGATCCACCCGCCTTGGCCTCCCAAAGTGCTGAAATTATAGGCCTGAGCCACTGCACCCGGCCTATAAGCCCTTTTTAAAGTAAATGACTTATATTATTCTGTTAAAAATATTTAACAGCTCTCACCAAAATTAAAAATTGCTCCGTGAAAAACCCTATGAAGAGAAAGAAAGGATAGAGTGGGAGAAAATATTTGCAAAATACATATTCTACAAAAGACTAGTATCTAGAATATATAAAGAACTCTCAAAACACAATAGTAAAAAGACAATCCAATTAGAAAATGGACAAAAGATATGAAAAGACATTTCCCTGAAGAAAATGACAGGCAGCAAGTAAGCACATGAAAAAATCCTCACCATCATTAGCCATTAGGGAAATGCAAACTGAAACAACAATGAGGTATCACTACAGACTTGTAATGGCTAAAATAAAAAATACTGAAAACACCAAATGCCAGTAAGGATGAAAAAAAATTAGATCACTCATACATTGCTGGTGGGACTATAAAACAGTACGGCCACTCTAGAAAAGTTTGGCAGTTTCTTAAAAAAACAAACATGCAACTACCATGACCCAGCAATTGCAAATCTGGGCATTTATCCTAGAGAAATGAAGACTTATGCTCACAGAAAAACCTGTACATATGGCCGGGCACAGTGACTCACACCTATAATCTCAGCACTTTGGGAGGCTGAGGCAGGCAGATCACCTGAGGTCAGGAGTTCAAAACCAGTCTGATCAACATGGTGAAATCCCGCCTCTACTAAAAATACAAAAATTAGCCAGGCGTGATGGTGCACGGCTGTAGTCCCAGCTACTCAGGATGCTGAGGCTGAAGAATCACTTAAACCCTGGAGTGGAGGTTGCAGTGAGCTGAGATTGCATTCCAGCCTGGGCGACAGAGCAAGACTCCATCTCAAAAAAAAAAAAAAAGAAAAGAAAAACCTGTTCATAAATGCTTATAACAGCTTCTCAATAGTAGTCAAAAACAAGAAAAAAAAATGCAGATGTCCTTCAACAGATGAATGGTTAAACAAACTGTGGTACATCCACGGCATGGAAGACTACTCAGCAATAAAAATGAACTATTGATACATGCAAAAACATGGATGGAGCCCCAGAAGTTATGCTGATTGAAAAAGCCAATCCCAAGGATGGGCATGGTGGCTCATGCCTGTAACCCTGCATTCTAGGAGGATGAGACAGGAGGATTGCTTGAGCCCAGGCATTGGAGACCACCCTGGCCAATACAGCAAAACCCCATCTCTACAAAAAGTTAAAAAATTAGTTGGGTGTGGTGGCATGTGCCTGTCGTCTCAGCTACTTGCGAGGCTGAGATGGGAGGATTGCTTGAGCCCAGGAGGTGGAGGCTGCACTAACCATGACCTTGCCACTGCACTCCAGCCTGAGCAACAGAGTGAGGCCCTGTCTCAAAAAAAAAAAAAAGCCAATCACTAAAGGTTACAGACTGTATGATCCCATTTTATATAGTATTTTGAAATGACATTTTACACATGAAGAATGGATTAATGGCTGCCAGGGGTTTGGGTGCAAAAGACGGAGGTAGGTGTGGCTATAAAAGGGCAACAATAAACATCCTTGCAGTGTTAGAACTGTATCTTGACTGTTGTGGTGAAGACACAAACCTACGCAGGTGATAAAACTATGTAAAACTTAATACACACACGCATACACACACACATAAAAAGAAGTAAAACAGGAAATGTGAATAAATTTGGTGGATTTGGCCAGGCAAGGTGGTTCACACCTGTAATCCCAGCACTTTGGGAGACTGAGGCAAGTGGATCACTTGAGGTCAAGAGTTTAAGACCAGCCTGGCCAACATGGGGAAACCCCATCTCTACTAAAAATACAAACATTAGCCAGCAGTGGTGGTGGACACCTGTAATCCCAGCTACTCAGGAGGCTGAGGCAAGAGAATCGCTTGAACCTGGGAGGCAGAGGTTGCAGTGAGCCAAGATCACACCATTGCACTCCAGCCTGGGGAACAAGAGTGGGACTCCGTCTCAAAAAAAAAAGTGTTTTGAAGAGATTTCATTCTTTTGGAATCAACTCCAAATTCTTTCCAGCTTCATGGCCTATGCACACACAGTTCATTCTGTTTGGACAGCTCCTCCTTTCATACTGCACATAGAAATGTGCAGCTCTTCAACTATGCCCTCCAAGCCCTTCAACTATGCCTAACAAATTCATATTTATTGTTTAGATTGTATTCCACAAAGAGGTGTCCCCTTATCCTTCTGATTACGTTATATATATTTTTTCTCCTCTTTGCAATGATCACAGTTGTAATGGAATAGCTACTGATGTAATGACTCATTTAACATCTGTCTCTCCTATTAAATTATAAGCTCCACAATGGCAAAAGCCCCTTTAAAGCACATGCCACAGTGCCTGCACATTTATTTAACATGAAAAGAAGTAGCATGAAACTTCTCAAATAGCATTGCTTCATTCACAATGAGGGACGTGCATACTTCCTGTCCCCACTGGCTCAAACCAGGATGCTGAGCCACAAAAACATAGATAAGCCTGGCACATGTTCTTAAAGAGGTACCATAAACTTAAATGCCCACAGAAATCAAAGCAAGATAACATAGATGAGTGAAGCAGCTGGGTGTAAGAACAAAAGCACAAGCACTATGATAAATGACAAAAGAACACCTGGCCTCAGTGTCCAAGTACAATAATGAATTGTAGTGACTATGGCAAATCATAGCACTAATGCTCCATCTAAGCAGAGGCTGACTGCTACTCATAACTCCAGCCAACTGTTGCCAACAGAAACAAGAAATGCCAGAAGCTGGAAGTCTAAGTTTTATGAGAAATTTCCCCATTCTAAAATTCTGTCAATTAATTCAAATATATTAACATTTTACCACCTATGTAGGCCAAATAAAACACTTCTGCAGGCCACAATGAGCCCATCGGTTTGCAGGTTGTTCTAAAGCATTTATTTTACTTGATGATTTGTGAGAAAAAAAAAATTACGTACAGACACAGAGTGTAAAATAAAACACACCTCCAAAAAAGCTTTTCTTTTTGAGACAGGGTCTCACTCTATCAACCAGGCTGGAGTGCAGCGGCACAATCACGGCTGACTGCAGCCTCAATCTTCCAGGCTCAAGTGATCCTTCTATCTCAGTCTCCTGAATAGCTGGGGCTACAGGCACGGACCACCATGCCCTGCTATTTTTTTTTTTATTATTTTATTTTATTTTGAGACAGAGTCTCGCTCTGTCACCCAGGCTAGAGTGCAGTGGCACAATTTCGGCTCACTGCAACCTCTGCTTCCCAGGTTCAAGTGATTCTCCTGATGCAGCCTCCTGAGTGGCTGGTATTACAGGTACCCGCTACCACACCTCGTTAATTTTTGTATTTTTAAGAGACCGGGTTTCACCACGTTGTCCAGACTGGTATCAAACTCCTGACCTCAGGTGATCCGCCCACCTCAGCCTCCCGAAGTGCTGGGATTACAGGTGTGAGCTACCACACCCAGTCCTTTTTTTTTTTCTTTTGTAGAGACAGGGTCTCACTAGGTTGCCCAGGCTGATCTCAAACTCCTGGGCTCAAGTGATCCTCTTGTCTGAGCCTCCTAAAGTGCTGGGATTACAGGTGTGAGCCACTGCGCCCAGCCAAAAACCATTTCTTTTTAAGAAAAAACAATAGTCTTTAACCATCTCAAGCTAACATTCTCCTCTCTAACCACCTCCCCTTTCTACCACCCCAAAACTCCTGAAGTTCTCTACATTCTCCTTGGACCTTAGAAATATTGGGGCGGAAGACTGAGAAGCACTGATTAGTTAGAATGAAAGAGGAGGCATTAGAGTCATTAGGACCAGGTTCAAAGCCAGCTCTGCCACTTACTAGCAATGTACTCTAAAGCAAGTTATCTAATTTCTTTGTCCATCAATTTTCCCGTCTATACAATGGAAGTAATGTAATGTCTTCATCGTACAGCTGCTTTAAGAATAGGATTAAATAACATTATACTATATGCCAAACGTCCAATACAGGACCTAACACAGAGCATGAACTCAAAAAATGGGTATTATAAAGATATGCAAAAGACATGGTAACAATTGAATCTTGTTTAGGGTAAGAATTAAACATTCTAGATCTAAAACTGGTGGGGTACTTCAGTTGATAGATGGAAAACATGCCTAATAGTTCTGATAATACTCCTAAATTTTTTTTTTTTTTTTGCTGAGACGGAGTCTCACTCTGTCACTCAGGCTAGATAAAGTACACTGGTACAATCTCAGCTCACTGCAACCTCCGCCTCCCAGGTTCAAGCAACTCTCCTGCCTCAGCCTCCTGAATAGCTGGGATTACAGGCACGCACCACCAGGCCCAGCTAATTTTTCTGTTTTTAGTAGAGATGGGGTTTCACCATGTTGGCCAGGCTGGTCTCAAACTCCTGACCTCAAGTGATCCATCCGCCTCAGCCTCTCAAAGCGCTGGGATTACAGGCATGAGCCACCATGCCTGGCCCCTAAATACTTTTTAATAATTTTTTTCTACTAGGAGGAATGCTTATTTTGTTTCACATGCACAAGACAGATCATGATTTGAATAATGTAGGTATAAAAATTATTACCTTCACAAAACAGTTTCCAGCTATCAGTACTATTACAATACTATCTAATACAACCCTCAAGTCCCATTTCCTAATCCACAAGAAAGAGATTAATCCTTTTATCCTTGGGATGAGGCAACAGGTACAGATAAAAGAACAAATCTGATAATACATTTAAATAAACCCCTTCAAACACTGTATACCTGCTTGTCCTGTTTGGCTGAGGTAACTGCTCAATGACCTGACTGATGGAACCACATGTGTCCAAGTTAGAAGAATCCACAGGGTCTGAAAAAAATAACTGGATATTAGCATGAAAGACATTTACCAACAAACCTTAATACAAAATCAGGAATACAGACAATACCAATCTAATCAGTGACACTAGCACATCAACTTTTGAGTGACTACTACGCAGATACCACAGTAGGCTTCCTTACATACATTCGACACAACCACATAAAGTTTAAATCCACCCAGCACCAACAAGAGCACCCAAAAAATGCAAAGGGGACAGATAGCTTTAAACACCTCACCTGCAACCTTGTTTTCTTTCAAATGTTCATTGAACCCACTATTACCGTCTCCTCGTTCTTCTCCAGCTGTTTGTTCAGGATTGGACACAACATCCTAGAAAATACACATACAAAATATCCCCATTATATATGAAATAGTTCAAAATGAAACCTACTATTTGTGAACAATTTTTCCAATCAACTTTATTGAGAAGGTAATGATCTTCTAAATACTTATGTTTGCTGGTTTTCGGTTTAAAAAAAAAAATCTGCTCAATCTTCTTCAAACAAGGTATCACTCACCAACACAGGATTTTCTTTGTGCGTCTGGAGATTAGGAAGGTGTCGAGATAGCATACTGAAGTGAGAACCAGAATCATCCTCTAGAACCTGGCTTTCAGGCTGAGAATCTTCAATTATCAGGCAAGGAGTATCTTGCTGAGAGAAATCTGAATCCAACTGACTTCCAGTAGGGTCCATCTGCTCCCCTGGAATGGAATAACAAAAGATCAGTTCCGTGTAACCTACTAGCCTTGCTCACGCAGTCTAAACCTAAATAATGGGGCGGAAGTACAAGAGCTGGGAAACGGGACCACTTCAGGACTCCTCCAATTAGAATATTATATTTATAATTGCTGCAAGCACTTTCCTATCATGCCTACCAAGTCACCATTCCTCGTTATTTACAATAAGCCTGACTATCCCTCCCTATTTTTCATCACCTTCTCGTAGACACCCTTTCCCCTCCTTCCTAACCTCTTCTCTCCCCGCCCCTTTTTCCATCCCCCCCGCCACGTCCTTCTGGCGCCTCTACCTCCCCCCAAAAGAATGTTTTCTAAAATCTGTTCGCCAGAGGCCCCACAGCCTTTCAGCTTTCCTCACGACCACCAAGCCTTCTTAGCTAACGTTTCCCCACCCCCTCCTTAGGGCCCTCCAACCCCTTCCCCGTCACCGCCGCCATGCTTGCCACCCCGCCCCCTCCGGTCAGCCATCCCTTCAGACCCGAAATCCAGGCCTTCAGAGCCCACTGCACTCCCATTTCTCTCCAAACAGTACCAGGCATCCCGGCGGGAGGTCCCTCGCGCTCGAGCTAGAGGTCTCTGCACGCTCCCCAAGTCCCTCCAGATCGATCCCTAGGTCGCCGCTGTCGCCACCGCCGCCACCGGCCGCGAACTCCCCCTTTCCCGTCACGTCACACAATATCGGATCGTCCATTCGCTGCCGCCGCCCGCCACTCAAGAAATCCCGTGGATGATAGGTAGCTGCGGCAGAGTGCCCTGCCCCACGTAAGAAAAAGGAACACGGCGGCGCGTTTCCATGGCAGCATGGACGTTGCAGGCCCTCCCCTTTAGTAGAGCCGGAGAATGACGGTATCCTTGAACCGAAGGGACCTTGAGAGGGCGTGAAATACCTTCCCCTGCTTCCAGGACGATTGCATTTACCACTACTCAGACATTTCAGTACCTCTACCTGCTTTTTCTCGTTCACGCCCCTTAATCCCCGTCCCTCACCCTCTTTCCTGGAAAAGGAGAGAGTTTCCCAGCTTTCTCATAACAGGGCAAAGAAGAAGCGGCTTGAGGATGGCTAGGTACTTCAGAGCTGGTGAACCCAACAGAAGAGACTCTTTCTTCTTTGACACAGGGTTAACCTGTGTCAATCAGGATCCCTTTTGTGGGCCTCTACCCTGAATCCAAGGGCCTGACATTACATCTCTGCCAGGGCGTTTTTAGTATTTGTTTGTTTTTACATTGTATAAGGGCTCCAGTAAGCCATATTTCTTCCCATTGCCCTTTTCCGCCTAGGACGTATTTCAAGCTTCACACTTGTTTATCGTTGCCTTATCTTTTATGGGATTGCCTGCAGAGACTACAGCCCCAGACATATTTTGCACCTCCCATTGAGAGAATTGAGCACTGTCATTCTCAAACTCCATGGTAAAGAGAACAGCTGCCACCCCTTCTAACTAGATGACCTCAAAGATACTTCCAAACCCAGAGATTCTATTATCCTAATTATGGTGCCAGGGTCTTAAAGAGGGTGTGGCAGCTGTGACGAGTCTTAATGAACTAAGCCCCATGTGGCATATGTGTTTGTTTTGTTGTTGTTGTTGTTGAGGGGTGGGGGTATATTATTTAAGTGGCAGTTGGATCCAGGATAGAATTCTAGCCAGAGCAGCTGTCAATAGGGAAAGCACCTAGCACAGTGCCAAACATATACATAGTAGGCATTCAATATGAGGCAGTTTTCTCTTTCTACCCCAGGCTCAGATTTATTTCGGCACAGCCCAACCATGATTCTCCATTTCTGTAAATGCCCAATTCAGCACGTGATATAGGCAAAGCTGAAGTGGAGCTTCCTACCAGTCTTCTCACTGCTGCTATAAATTACAGTGATCCTATTTTCCAAACCAAATTCAAAGCATGTTGTCTGAATACACGTTACTTATGGGAACAAAAGGACTGACTCCTTGAAACTGTCCTGAAAAATCTAGAATCTATTACTGCTATAACTGGAATATAATTATGGTCGCCAGTATGTTTTATTAGTGGAGCTAAAATGAAATGGACCACACAGAGATGCATCTCACTTCTTAATCTTAAAATCATTTATAATTGACTCTTTTCATACTCCACTCCTAAAGCTGCAGAACACCAGTGACTAAACAAATCTAATACTTAAAGACCAGGTTAGAGCAATACTAACTACACTAGCTGGACAAAGTGAGTTCATCTGCTCTATTTGAGAGGGCACAACCAACCAGGTCCTGTTATGAGTAAATCATGACCTTGAGTCCCATAAAAATCCCCCAAAAGTTACCATTTTTTTGCTTTTCTTCTCCAGCCTGCTTCTGCTTCCTCCCCAAGTGAGGCACAAATAAACAGATCTGTTTGATTACTTGACAAGTGTGTTTGTCGAAACATAAAATGGCTGGGCGCAGTGGCTTACACCTGTAATCCCAGCACTTTGGGAGGCAGAGGCAGGTGGATTACTTGAGCCCAGGAATTTGAGACCAGCCTGGGCAACATGGCAAAAGCCCATCTCTAAAAAATATACGAAAAAAATTAGCTGGGTGTGGTGGCATGTGCCTGTAGTCCCAGCTACTCAGGAGGCTGAGGTGAGAGCATCTCCTGAACTAGGAGGCACAGGTTGCAATGAGCCAAGATTGCAACACTGTGCTCCAGCCTGGGCAAGAGAGTGAGACCCTGTCTGAAACAACAACAATAAAAACCTAAAAACCGCCAGGCGCAGTGGCTCACACCTGTAATCCCAGCACTTTGGGAGGACGAGGCGGGCGGATCATGAGGTCAGGAGATCGAGACCATCCTGGCTAAGATAGTGAAACCCCGCCTCTACTAAAAATACAAAAAATCAGCTGGGCATGGTGGTGGGCGCCTGTAGTCCCAGCTACTCAGGAGGCTGAGGCAGGAGAATTGCTTGAACCCTGGAGGCGTAGGTTACAGTGAGCCGAGATCGTGCCACTGCACTCCAGCGTGGGCAGCAGAGTGAGACTCCGTCACACACACACACACACACACACACACACACACACACAAAAGCCAGGTGCGGTAGCTCACGCCTGTAATCCCAGCACTCTGGGAGGCCAAGTCGGGCAGATCACGAGGTCAGGAGATCGAGACCATCCTGGCTAACACGGTGAAACACGGTCTCTACTAAAAATACAAAAAATTAGCCGGGTGCGCGGGCAGGCGCCTGTAGTCCCAGCTACTTGGGAGGCTGAGGCAGGAGAATGGCGTGAACCCGGGAGGCGGAGCTTGCAGTCAGCAGAGATCGCGCCACTGCACTCCAGCCTGGGTGACAGAGTGAGACCCCGTCTCAAAAAAAAAAAAAAAGCCTAAAAACCTCAGCCTGACTAAAAATAGATAAATAAATGAGTGAGCCATTTGCATTACTAAACAAGAATCTTAAAAAAAACTGTTAAGAAAAACTATTAATTCCTTGTTAGGCAGTGTGGCAATTAAATTAATCATTAAATTATCCAGAAAAATAAACTACAGGCAGAATGGTTGCAGCTAGATGAGCCAAAGGCCTTTATTGACTCCTAGACTGCAAAGGACCAACAGCACATCTACCTGTCTACAGGTAACATCTTTTCCTAAACCACCTTAGACAGAGAAATCTAACTTACCTCTAAAGCCCTCCCAGAGAAGGCTCATCAGATCTTAGGTTAACTTGCTTTAAAGTTTAACAAACCTCATTGTCAGAAATTTTTCTTCTAATATTAATCTTCTAATCTTCTAACCTAAATCCTTTATTATAGAATTTAAAGCCATTTCCTCTCATATTGTCTTTAACTGCTATCTTTAAAACCTAGATAGATGTCATTAAGTTGGGATCATCTCATTTGGTCCTATAATTATATAATAAATTTCAAACCATCAAACAACAAATCTAAATACTATATGACTTAGTTTGTGAGTATTTTTCTGAAGCCTCCTCAAAGACTTCTTAAGCAAAAGAACCCTAGCCCAGCTTATTCTTCCCTCACAGGTATTCCACCAACCTTTAAAGTTGCTTCACGATCTTATGAAAACTCATAGTTTTGGAGCTCAGTGGCAGAGTACTCTACTGAGGAGAATTGACAAGTGCCAAATTTAATGATAGGAAAACAATCATATATTCCTTTTTTTTTTTTTTTTTTGAGATGGAGTTTCACTCTTTTTGCCCAGGCTGGAGTGCAATGGTGTGATCTCCGCTTACGGCAACCCCTGCCTCCTGGGTTCAACTGATTCTCCTGCCTCAGCCTCCTGAGTAGCTAGGATTACAGGCATGTGCAACACACCTGGCTAATTTTGTATTTTTAGTAGAGACAGAGTTTCTCCATGTTGGTCAAGCAGGTCTCGAACTCCGGCCTCAGGTGATCCGCCCACCTCAGCCTCCCAAAGTGCTGGGATTACAGGCATGAGCCATAGTGCCCAGCCTCTCCCCTCTTTGTATAGAAGTAATCAAATCTTCACATCCAAGTATCATCTCCTGTCCACTCTACTTCTCTACGTTTGCAGTCTGGCTTCAACCTCCATAAATCTAATGCCTAGCACAATGCCAGACACAAAGTAGTTACTCTAAACATGTTAATGACTGATTCTAAAATTTTCTTGTCAAATTACCTCATTATCAGCCAGGTGCGGTAGCTCAAGTAATCCCAGTACTTTGGGAGGCCAAGGCAGGCTGATTGCTTGAGCTCAGGAGTTCAAGACTAGCCTGGCCAGCATGGTGAAACCCCGTCTCTATTAAAAATACAATGGTGGTGTGCACCTGTATTCCCAGCTACTCAGGAGGCTGAGGTGGAAGAATCACTTGAACCTGGGAGGCAGAGGTTGCAGTGAGCCGAGATCGCACCACTGCACCCCAGCCTGGGCTACAGAGTGAGACTCTGCCTCAAAAAACAACAACAAATTACCTCATTATCTTTGACGTCTGTAGTGTCTGATGCTGTTGCCATTCCCTCCTCAAAATTCTCATCCTGTGACTCGATAAATCCTGGCTCTTCTCTACCATCTCAGCTTTCTTTCCAATTCCTAACTTCCTGGAAGCCAGTACTATAGAATAAAAATCGAGAGTGATATGAACATGCTCAACACAGATGAACCTTGAAAACATTATGCTAAGTGAAATAAGCCAGACACAAAAGAACAAATATTGTGTGATTCCACTTATACGAGGTACCTAGAGTAGGCAAATTCAGAAAGAGAGAAAGTAGAATGGTGGCTGCCAGGAGCTAGGAGGAGGGAGGAAAGGGAATTTATTGTTTAATGATTTACATAGCTTCAGTTTGGGAAGATGAAAAAGTTCTGGAGATGGATGGTGGTGATGGTTGCACAACAATGTAAATGTACTTAATGCCACTGAACCATACACTTAAAAATGGTTATAATGGTACATTTATGTTATGTGTATTTTACTACAGTAACAAAAGTTTTTCAATGAGACTAAACTTTAATATTTAAAGATGTGTACTTAGATCATAAAAAATTTTAATAACAGGATTGCAATAAAAGAATGTATGGTTAATTGTATAGGTAACAGTGGGGTTGTAATTCATTAAGAGGCATGTGAGGTGCTTGGAAATGTTCTATTTTTTATTACCAGAGGCATTACACAGGTATACTATTTATAATTCATAAATTTGTACATTTATATTTTATTTTATTCACTTTATGTGTGCTATGTTTCACAATAAAGATGATTCAAAATAAATATCATTAATGCTAAAACTCATAATATGGTGAAAGAGGGTATATACATGATCTCAAAGTATCTCCCTAAAATGTACTGAATTATTACAAAGAGAAAAGTGGTAAATTTGCAGTGAAGAAACCTGGTATTCACCAACTCAACCAAGTGATCTCAGTTAATATACCAGTAAGGGAACAAAAAGCCATCTGTGTCACTTGATATAATGCACTGAGGATATATCACACTTTAATTGTATTCTTGCCAAAAATCTATAACCTGAATCTGATCATGAGAAAAAATCAGATAAATCCACATTAATGGGTGCTTTACAGATAAACAGCCCATATTCTCCAAAGAGAAAGAGAGAGAGAGAGAAAGAAGTGCTGCCAAGGTCAAGAATGACAATCAAAGTCTCAAGAAATGTTCTAGATTTGAGAAGACTACAAAGACAAAACCATTAAATGTAACAGATGATCCAGAACTGAATCCTGGACAAGAACTTGGTTTCCCTTCTTCTATAAATAATTCTAATGGGAGCACTGTTGATATCTGAATAAGGTCTGTAGATTAGTAACGAATCAATGTTATTTTCCTGATCTTGATAATTATACTCTGGTTATTAAATAAAAAATAAAGAAAGAGAATGGTACCAAATTATCCAAGATTGGAGCTGGGCAGTTTGGTACTAAGCAAAACTAAAGAAAAGTTAACCTGCACCTGACATAGGAACAGCATGAGGACAAGAGAAGGAATATACTTAGAGACTATGGAAACTGCCAGAAATCAGACCCAGGATGGTAGAAGGTGAGAAAAGTTCATTTTGCAAATTAAAAACAACAACAACAAAAAAAAAAAAACAAAACAAACCAGTTACTCCTAAACTCTTATGTTTCAATGGAAAGAAGGGAGTTTTTATGTCCTGGGGCTGAGAAATCTAAAAAGAATATAAGAGAAGACTTCAGTGGACAAGGACACCACTGTGTCCTAGTGGCTGAGCTGTGAAATAGTTACTCATATTCTGAGGTAGTGTGTGTACATAAAGTAACGTCTACGTACAAAGAAGGGAACAACAGACTCTGGGGCCTACTTAAGGGTGGAGAGGGGGAGGAGGATGAGAATCAAAAACTATCAGTTACTATGCTTGTTACCTGTGTGGCAAAATAATCTGTACACCAAACCCCGTGATAATGCAACTTACCTATTTAACAAACCTGCACATGTACCCCTGAACCTCAAATAAAATTTAAAAAATAATAATAAATAATAAAGTAAAAGTAACATAGCATGAACACAGTGCCTACTCTTGGATCCTACTTCCTGTGTCATTATTACACTTTCCCATTCTACTCTGAGCATATCCCTTCTGCAGTGTCTTCAGTACAGCTAGGTCTCAAAGGCTGATCTGGACTTGTACAGAGCTAGTGTGCTAACTAACAAGTGGCAAGAATAGCAGTAATGCATCTTGGCTCTACTCACATATAAGCACATCACACAGAGTCTCAAGAACTGAAAGTCAGAGCAAGTCAGAAAACCCATAAAACTGACCAAAAATTTCTTCACAAACTCAGGTTCATTTATTAATTTCAATTCACTTAAATGCAAGGTACCATTTTGGCTCCATGGTGGTGGTGGAGAGAGAGCAGTGTATAAGGATGAGTAATATCTAGTTTCTAGCTTCAAAGAATTTACAATCTAGGAAGGAGATAAGACATAGAAATAATGATAGTACAAGATACAATAAAAGTTCTGTAGGAATTGTGAGACAAATCGAAATAATTTTAGTCATGTGGTTATAATGAATACTTCTTGAGCACTTACTATGTTCTAAGTTCTATTTACTCTCACTCCTTTCTTGATTTCATCCAGTCACATTGCTATAAATACAATCTATATGCCAATGACTCCTAACTACGTCTTTGACCCACACCTCTCTCCCAAATTACCAATTTATGTATCTAACTGCCTATTCAATATCTTCATTTTGATGTCCAATTGACATCTCAAATTCAACATGCTTAAAATTGAACTCATCTCTTCTACCAAGTCTACTCCACCTGCAGCCTTCCCCATCTCAGTTGATGGCAACTTCACCCTTCTGGTTGCTTATAACAAAAAGCTTGAAGATACTGTCTTTTTATTAACAGAAAAAATTTTAAAAGCTATGTACTTATATAATACACCTTCAACAATTAGCAACAAATGCTCAATCTTCTTTTGTTGAAATTTTTTTTTTTCAAACAAATGCTCAATCTTATTTCATCTATATCCACCCACTTCCCCCAAACTGATTTCTAAACAAATCCCAGACATCATATAATTTTAACCAAAATACTTCTGTGTCTAAAATATAGAGAATATTTTAGGCCAGGCTTGGTGGCTCACACTTAAAATCCCAGCACTTTGGGAGGCTGAGGTGGGTGGACCACCTGAGGTCAGAAGTTTAAGACCAGCCTGGCCAACATGGTGAAACCCCATCCCTATTAAAAAATACAAAAATTAGCTGGGCATGGTGGCGAGCACCTGTAGTCCCAACTACTTGGGAGGCTGAGGCAGGAGAATCACTTGAACCTGGGAGGCGGAGGTTGCACTGAGCCGAAATCACGCTGCTGCACTCCAGCCTGGGCGACAGAGTGAGACTCTGTCTCAAAGAAATAAAATAAAATAAAGAGAATATTTTAAACATAAGAACACCGTCAACACACCCAAAGAAAATGAACAGGCCAGGCATGGTGGCTTACATCCCAGAACTTTGGGAGGCCAATGCAGGAGGATCACTTGAGCTCAGGAGGTCAAGTCTGCAGTGAGCAGTGATCATGCCACTGCACACCAGCCTGGGTGACAGTGACAGTCTGTCTAAAAAACACATATATATAAAGTTAAATTACTGTATTTTAAAATCACTTAAAACAATACTACCAATTCAATAGTTAGGCTTGTTTCTTTCATTTTGTTTTTTATTTTTAGTGACTGATATTTTTATTGAGGTAAAATTTACATACAGTGAAATCTATAGCTCTTAATTGTGTAATTTTTTTTTTTTTTAAGAGACAGGGTCTTGCTCTGTGGCCGAGGCTAGAGTGCAATGGCTTGATCATAGCTCACCACAGCCTTGAACTCCTGGGCTCAGCTCCTGGGCTCAAGCAATCCTCCCAGCTCAGTCTCCTCGGGGCTGGGACTACAGGTATGCACCACCACACCTGGCTAATTTTTCTTTCTTTTGTAGAGATGGGGTTACACTATGTTGCTCAGGTGGGTCTTGAACTCCTGGGCTCAAGCAATTCTCCCACCTCGACCTCCCAAAATGCTGGGAACACAGGCATGGGCCACCGTGCTTGGCCAGTAATTTGATGAGCTTTGACAAACATATACAGCCATGAAACCTACATATCAATCAATATATAGAACATTGTCATCACTCCAGAGAGTTATTCATGGTCCCTTCCAGTCAATCCCCATTCCACAAGGCAGTCATATTGTAACTTCTAT
This sequence comes from Homo sapiens, assembly GCF_000001405.40. Taxonomy (NCBI): domain Eukaryota; kingdom Metazoa; phylum Chordata; class Mammalia; order Primates; family Hominidae; genus Homo; species Homo sapiens. The sequence goes on from NC_000015.10 coordinate 43,501,662, forward strand.
GACCATAGATTAATTTTACCTGTAATACTATTTTATATAAATGGAATCACACAGTACGTGGTCTTTTGTGTCCAGCTTCTTTTGCTCAACATTTTGCATGTTGCTGCATGCATCAGTACTTCATTCTTTTTCATTGCTCAGCAACATTCAATTGTATGCAACACAACTTGTTTTATTAATTCTCCTATTACTGCATATTTGGGTTTAGACTATTATAAATAAAGTTGCTATGAACATTTATAAACAATTCGTTTTGTGAACATTTGTTTTCATTTATCTTGGGTAGATAACTAGAAGTGGAACTGCTGGGTCATAGGATGTGTGCTCCTTTCACTTTATAAGAAACTGCCAAAAACAGTTTTTGAAAATGACTGTAGGCCACCTGCAGTGGCTCGTGCCTGTAATCCCAACATTTTGGGAGGCTGAGTTGAGAGGTTCGCTTGAGCCAGAAGTTCAAGACCAGCCTGGGCAATACAGGGAGGCCTTATCTCTACAAAAAAATGTTTTAAAAATTAGTCAAGCATGGTGGCACCAGCCTGTAGTACCAGCTACTAGGGAGGCTGAGGTGGGAAGATCAATTGAGCCCAGGAGTTCAAGGTTGCAGTGAGCTATGATCGCACCACTTGCACTCCAGCCTGGGCAACACAGCAAGACTATGTCTCTTAAAAACAAATTAAAAATAAATAAATAAAATGATTGTATAATTTTATACTTCCACTAACAACATATTAGTTTCAGGTGCTCCACATTCTCACTAACATTTGGTTTGTCAGTGTGAAGTGATATCTCATGTTTGTTTTTTTTCTCATTTTTTTTTGAGTCTCACTCTGTCACCCAGGCTGGAGTGCAGTAGCGCGATCTTGGCTCACTGCAAGCTCCGCCTCCCGGGTTCACACCATTCTCCTGCCTCAGCCTCCTGAGCAGCTGGGACTACAGGCGCCCGCCACCACGACCTATTTTTTTTTTTTTTGTATTTTTTAGTAGAGACGGGGTTTCACTATGTTAGCCAAAATGGTCTCAATCTCCTGTCCTCATGATCTGCCCACCTTGGCCTCCTAAAGTGTTGGGATTACACGCGTGAGCCACCGTGCCCTGCCATTTGTTTTTTTCTTGAGGCAGAGTCTCACTTTGTCACTCCAGCTGGAGTGTGATGGCATGATCTCAGCTCACTGCAACCTCTGTCTCCCGGGTTCAAGCGATTCTTGTACAACCTCCCAAGTAGCTGGGATTACAGGCGCACACCACCACCCCCAGCTAATTTTTGTATTTTTAGTAGAGACGGGGTTTTGCCGTGTTGGCCAGGCTGGTCTTCAACTCCTGGACTCAAGCGATCAACCCGCCTTGGCCTCCAAAACTGCTGGGATTACATGCGTGAGCCACCTTGCCCGGCCTATCTTGTGTTTTTTAGTCAACTTTATATATCATTTATGTACAATTAAAATTGGGCCCATTTTAAGTGTAGAGTTTGATGAGTTCAATAAATGGGTGCGTGTGTGTGTGCGCGCATGCGCGGGTGTGTGTAGCTATGACTCCAATCAAATATAGAACATATCAATCACCCAAAAAGTTCCCTGTGCCCTTTGCAATCAATTCCCAGCCCTGGGCAATCATTTAGTTGCTTTCTGTCACTGTAGATTAGTTTTGCCCATTCTAGAATTTCAGATAAACTTATTCATGCAGTATGTACTGTGACAACCATGAAAATGTACCACTGGGCTGGGCAGAGTGGCTCACACCTGTAATCCCAACACTTCAGGAGCCTGAGGCAGGTGGATTACCTGATGTCAGGATTTCAAGACCAGCCTGGCCAACGTGGCAAAACTCTGTTTCTACTAAAAATACAAAAAATTAGCCGGGCATGGTGGCCAGCGCCTGTAATTCCAGCTACTCGGGAGGCTGAGGCAGGAGAATTGTTTGAACCCGGGAGGCGGAGGTTGCAGTAAGCAGAGATGACGCCACTACACTCCAGCCTGGGCAACAGAGCAAGACTCCATCTCAAAAAAAAAAAGATTCTTCCTTTCCAATCCTCCTTCCTTCCCTCTCTCCTTCCACAGATGTCAGGCTTACATCTTAGTCTGAAGTCTCACCCTGCCTTCTCCTGATTCTTCTTTGCAGTGTTTTAAAATATAGTCAGCCTTCCCTATATGTGGATTCTGCATCTGTGGATTCAACCAACCATGAATTGAAAATATTCAGAAAAAAAGGGTGGTTGGTTCCGTACTGAACATTCACAGACTTTTTTTTCTTGTAATTATTTGCCAAACAATACACCTATATACATAGCATTTACACTGTATTAGTTATTACAGGTAATCAAGAGACAATTTAATGCATACGGGAGGGCCAGGAATGGTGGCTAAAGCCTGTAATCCCATAGCTTTGGGAGACCAAGATGGGAGGATTGCTTGAGGCTAGGAGTTCGAGACCAGCCTGTGCAAAATAGCAAGACCCCCCTCCTCATCTCTACAAATCAATCAATAAATTAAAACAAAAATTTTTTGAGACAGAGTCTTGCTCTGTTGCCCAAGCTGGAGCGCACTGGCACGATCACAGCTCACTGCAACCTCAAGTGATACTTTTGCCTCAAGTGATCCTCCTGCTTTAGCCTCCCAAAGTGCTGGGATTATAAATGTGACCCACCGTGCCTGGCCATAAATACTATTGAATGAATGAATGAATTCCAGGCATTGTGCTAAGCATATTTAAAAGGTTGTTCCACTTAATTCTCAAAATAATCCCTATAAGGTGGGGTGCTATTATTTTAATTTTACAGACAAGGAAACTGAAGCACAGAGAAGATAAGCAAGTTGCCAAAGTTCACATAGTTGGTAAGTAAGAAAGTCAGTTCTGCAGAAGTAGTTGGGTTTGAGTTCGGTCATATCCCTTAAATCCTTTGTGGAATGAGATGAATCTTTATTCCACAAATAAGGTAAAGGTAAATAAATAAATCCTTAGATGAGTTAAGGAAAACAGAGTATTCAAGGAAAAATGAACAGCCTAAACAAAAAATACAAGAATGAGAAAAAGGCAAGTGGTTCAGACTGACTGAATAAAAAGGTTGATACAGGATATTTGCGGCCAGGCACGGTGTCTCACTCCTGTAATCCCAGTACTTTGGGAGGCCGAGGCGGAGAGATCACCTGAGGTCAGGAGTTCAAGACCAGCCTGGCCAAATGGTGAAACCCTGTCTCTACCAAAAATATAAAAAATTAGCCAGGTGTGTTGGTGCACACCTGCAATCCCAGCTACTCGGGAAGGTGAGGCAAGAGAATTGCTTGAACCTGGCAGGCGGAGGTTGCAGTGAGCCGAGATCGTGCCACTGCACTCCAGTCTGGGTGACAGAGCGAGACTCCGTTTCAAAAAATAAATAAATAAAATTTTAAAAATAAAATAAAAACAGGATATTTGCAGGAGGTAATGTTGGAAAGGGAAGTTAGGGCATATTATGAAGGATCTTTGAGAAGGAACTGATGAGAAGAAAGACAAAGTATTTGTGATTTTGTGATATTGTAAAGGGAATAATATTTCTTCAACCCAAGCATTCCTTGAAAGGAAATAACTCCATTCTATGAATACTTTGGGGAAAAAAAAGATGCAAAATATAATTCACACACAGGTATGGCCTGAAAACTAAGTTATATAGTTAGGTTTGAATCCTCTTTACCACCATCATCTCTACCACCACAAAGAAAATCCTTAAGAGATCCCTGCAGTAAGAGGTAGCTTTGCTCAGATTAAAAGAAAAGATGGTATCAGAGGTCACAGCCAAACACTACCTTCCATTTCACAGGCTAATGAAATGGATAAGGGAAGATGGTATTGATAAATTATTTTTTTCGCTTTTGGGAATCACTTTCTTAAATAAAAGAATGTGGGAAGTGAGGGAAGAAAAAGGGGAAATTTCTTCATTGTCCTTTGCAATGCTCTGCAGGGGGAAGGTAAACCCAGTCCCATTGCTCTGCCCATTTACTTAATGTGAACAAATAATAATTAGAAAAATATTTATTGTGGGCCTCCTCTGTGGCCCAGACATAGTAATAAATGCAGACTTCTTCCCCATCTCAACCTTTTTAGATATTATTTTACTCAGTGCCTTTTTAAAGGTTATTTTACTCCATGCCTTTGCAGACAAACCAGCTGTTCAGGCTGAGGTGACCCTATGGCTGCTGGTATGCATTATGATCATAGTATTTCCCCCAAAAGCCAAGGATAAGCCTCTGACACAGCACTTCTGTAATCCAACACGCCTCTCTCTGGGTAAGAATGCTTTACAGGCAGAACTGAGTGCAGGGAAGGAATCTGAGCTGTATGCAGCTCCCTTGGATATTTTGGTGGATAAAACCATGCAATCCAGCAGAGCAGGGCTGGAGTTCTGCCAAATGAGCTCAGACCCCCAGAAAAACTAATGACATTCATCAGGCTAGAAGAGAAGGCCCAGCATCTTTTCTTTATGAATTGCCAGAGCTGCCTTAAATCTTATGGAGACTTTAAGCATTGAAAGAATTATGATGTTCTTCTCTCCTATGAACACCTAATTCAAGATGAGTGCAACTAATTGCAAGTAAAGCTCTGATTTTTCATGGGGACAACTTTAATACTTTAAATGCCAAATATGAAATTATTTCCAGAAAAACTTAGAGATGCCCTTCCCACTTTGTTAAGAGTGTGCTTAATTTACCTATTGGATAATTTATCACTATACATTATGAAGGCCTGGGGGTTGAGAATTCCCTAACTGGTTTAAACTTAGCCGATACTTTTCAAACCATTTGAGATTTATACTATCTTTTGCCTTGTGCTGACTCCAGTGCATAACCAAGGAAACAGCCTATAATAGTGCCTTCCTCTTGCACCTCTTCTAACCTCCTCTTTCAGTGGTGGATCCTTAGACACCTTCGACAATTCAAGGGTCCTTCATCACAGTTCAAAAGCATTGGTGTGCCACTATATCTGCCAATTTTGCTTGACAAGACTGTGGAAGAAGCTACAGAATTGGAGAGCTCCCAAAAGATCATACTTGGTCATTCCAGGGGGTCAATAGTTAAATGAAACAAAACAGGAGGCTCCATAGCCATCAAACACTACTACCTGTGTCTGACAATCATGCATATCACAGGTCCCTAATAATCCCCTTGAGGCAGGAGAATAGTGTCTGGAGACAGGGAGCCTTCACTTCAGCCTCTGATTGGTGGGAGCCAAGTCTTCATTTGCAAAGGGTGTAACTTCACTTCAGCCTCTAATTGGTCACAGGCCAAGCCACCACTTCAGCCTCCAATAGGTCGCAGGCCAAGTCTTCATTTACATAGGATGTAATTAATAGGAAACCTCTAAAGGGTACTTAAACCCAAGAAGATTTGTGCAACTGGGGCCCTTGAGCCACTTACTCGAGCCCACTCCCACTCTGTGGAATGTACTTTCACTTCAATAAATCTATGCTTTCATCTTCCATTGGTTTGTTTGTGCATTTTGTCCAATTCTCTTTTTTTTTTTTGAGATGGAGTCTCACTCTGTCACCCAGCCTGGAGTACAGTGGCACAATCTCCACTCACTGCAACCTCCACTTCCTGGGTTCAAGCAATTCTCCTGCCTCAGCCTCCCGAGTAGCTGGGATTACAGGCACCCACCAACACGCCCAGCTAATTTTTGCATTTTTAGTAGAGATGGGGTTTCACCATGTTGGCCAGGCTGGTCTCGAACTCCTGACCTCAGGTGATCCACCCACCTCAGCCTCCCAAAGTGTTGGGATTACAGGCGTGAGCCACTGCGCCCAGCTAGTCCAATTCTTTGTTCAATATGCCAAGAACCTGGACAACTCGTAGTCAAGACCCTCCACTGGTAACACCCTTGGAAGGGCCTTTGAATTGCATCGTTTTACTACCAGGCTTCTGCCATAGCACACTTCCTAAATTCAATATAGATTTTTAAATACTTTATAATTCATATATGTATTTAATTTTTTATTTAGCTTTCTAAGTCTTATACATATGTATCAGAGCATTTTCTGTCTTTGCTTATAAAATTCTGGGACACAGATGCTAATGCTCCACAGTTTTCTTTTTTCTTTTTTTTTTTTCTGTTTGAGATAAGAGGCTTGCTCTGTTGCCCAAGCTAGAGCGCAGTGGCGAGATCTCGGCTCACTGCCTCCTGGGCTCAATTGATCCTCCCATCTCAGCCTCCTGAGTAGCTGGGACTACAGGCACACACCACCACACCCGGCTAATTTTTGTATTTTTTGTAAAGATGGGGTTCCATTATGTACCCCAGGCTGGTCTTGAACTTCTGGGCTCAAGCAATCCACCCGCCTCAGTCTCCCAAACAGCTGGGATTACAGATGTGAGCCACCACTCCTGTCCAGTTTTCTTTATAGAGCACTTTGGACAAGTGCTATGTGCAATTTAACACTTAAACATATTTTCTGGGCCGGGCACGGTGGCCCATGCCTGTAATTTCAGCACTTTGGGAGGCCGAGGTAGGTGGATCATGAGGTCAGGAGTTTGAGACCAGTATGGCCAACATGGTGAAACCCCGTCTCTACTAAAACTACAAAAATTAGCTGGGCATGGTGGCGCACGCCTGTAGTCCCAGCTACTCAGGAGGCTAAGGCAGAAGAATCGCTTGAACCCGGGAGGCAGAGGTTGCAGTGAACCAAGATCACGCCACTGCACTCCAACCTGGGCAAGAGAGCAAGACTCCGTCTCAAAAAAAAAATTTCTGGGCTGGGAACAGTGGCTCACGCTTGTAATCCCAGTCCTTTGGGAGGCCAAGGCAAGAGGACTGCTTGAGGCCAGGAGTTTGGGACCAACCTGTGCAACACACAAAGACCCTGTCTCTGTGAGACCCTGTCTCAAATAATCCTAGCTACTCCAGAGGCTGAGGTGCAAGGATCACTTGAGCCCAGAGTTTGAGGTTACAGTGAGCTACAATCATGCCACTATATACCAGCCTTGCTGACACAGCAAGACTCTGTCTCTAAATATATATACGTATATTTTGACAATATAATCATACTGGAATCATCACCCAGTGGAATGGCTGGAATACTGTTAACCAAGGAAAGAGGAGGATAATTAACAGACACCTATAGCCAATCTTTCTGTGACATTGTCAGACTTTGGCAGTGAGCCTGCAAAATACTCATCCAGCACACATAAGCAATTTTAGTACTATCATAATCTACATTTGCACTGTAATTAATAAAACCCAATTTTAGCAGGGCCTGAGATCACAAGGCTGAGTTTCTGCCCCTACCATCTAATCAGTGTGTGATCCTTCCCTATACCATTCAGATCTATTGTCTAGTCTCTTTGTGAGACTTGATGAAAGCAGAATCTTTGGTTAACTACTGCTGACCTTTATACTGAGACCCTGTGCTAGTTAGCGGCCTCATCTCTGCAGTTGCTATGGAAACTGTCCCTTTCTCCCCACAACCTATTCTGGCTCTCTGCCTCCACATGGTACTCTTACTGATTGCAGAAGAGGAGGCCTGTAAATCTCTCCAAGCTCTTTTCCAGATTCAGATCCACAAACGGGGGGGGGGGGGGCAGAGGTACAGCGGAACACCGTCTCATGTGTCATAGTCATGAGACTAGAGGGTGAGGCATCCCCAGCATCTGACATTCTGCCAGTACTCTTATTTTCCCCTTTCTGTGCAAAAAGGATTTTCAGGGCCATGTCCAAATTGGTTGCAGAGTGGACTGGCTGTTTTCCTGTAACACATGCTCCATGGTAGGGACCAGGATTGCTGTAAAGTTTTTTGTTTTGTTTTGAAACAGAGTCTCACTCTGTCACTCAGGCTGGAGTGCAGTGGTGCAATCCTGGCTTACTGCAACCTTCGCCTCCCGGGTTCAAGTGGTTCTCCTGCCTCAGCCTCCCGAGTAGCTGGGATTATAGGCGCCCAACACCACGCCCAGCTAATTTTTGTATTTTTAATAGAGGCAGGGTTTCTCCATGTTGGCCAGGCTGGTCTTGAACTCCTGACCTCAAGTGAACCACCCACTTTGGCCTCCCAAACTGCTGGGATTACAGGCGTGGGCCACTGTGCCCGGCCGCTGTGAAGTATTTAACATGCAGACACTGCCCAATCAGAACGTGGCTCACAGGCAGCCTTGCTGAATCTGATACTGTGTTCCTTTCTTTCCTGTACTATCTCCAAAGCAAAGGCAAACGGGACAAAAAAAAACCCAAAAACCCAAAAAACAAAACAAAACAAAAAAACAAAAAAACAAGTGCTGCTGGAGCCCTAGGGTGAAAGATAGGCGCTCCCATACATACATGTACAGAATGATTCGGTATCCTGGGTAAAAGACTACTCTGGAGTGTGGAGTAGGTGGAGACACACTGAGGAATGGGGGAGGCTAGACTAACAGCACTTTTTTACAAAGATGTTCCAGTCAGTCATAAAACAGTGCAAGGCCTCCTCAGTCCTTTCCCAACCTCTGGTTTTGATCTTAGAACTGTCAACCCCTTCTTTGGTGCAAACACTGCTCCTTCTGTTTTAAGAACTCCCGGGGGGTGGGAGGGGGGGAAGTAATACAACAGTCTCCTGAGGGAGACCCATCTCACTGTCACATCACTTGAAGATGGGAAGGTCTTTCCTAGGTTTTACTCAAATCCCCCTTGCTGCAGTCTGAGCTCATTGCACTCGAGTCCTGCACTCAGCAGAGATGGAAACTAGCCAGCCAACTGCTATCTTCAGAATAACAACTCACCAGGGACTCAAGGCCGGAAGGTCATTCTGTCCCCTCCAATACTGCGCAGCCTTCCAGAGCACTCCCAGGGCCCGGGGCAAGGACAGGGAAACCGAGGATGGAGACCTCGGGCAGGACCCAGGCAGGCAGTGACAAAAAACAAAAAAAAAAAAAAACACGCCAAACAACGATAATACAGACACACAGACACAGATGGAGGCAACGATACAAACTCGGAGGCAGAGAGGGACAAGATGGCTCCCCTCAGTTCGGGCGAGGCTGCGGAATTGCCAGACAGTACTTATCAGGGATACATCTTAACTAGAAGCTTCTTCCGGCGCCGAGGCAACCGCCTCGCCCCACCAATGGGTCCCCCAGAGACCCCACCCCCGCTCAAGTCTAAGTGGAAGCTCCCGCTGGTACTGGGGAGGGCGTGGTGGGAGGAAGGGGGCGGCCACCACCCTCTAGCCTGGCGAGACCGCAGAGCACGAGCTTCCAGCTCCGGCCCGCCCCTGCGGCGCCTGTGCCACGCCCCCTGACAGGCAGCAGCCAATGAACTGCACCTGCCGCCGGCCTTTAAGAGCCGCGCGCACTCTGCCTGCAGCGGAAGCTGCCGGACTAACACTCCGCGGGTGTTTCCATGGAGACCGAGGCCGAGCCTGCGCGGCCTCACGGCGTTGCCATGGAGACAACTCCGGGGCTGGGGCTCCGAAGTCCCGGCGCACCGCTGGCTCAGAACCCCGCGGAGCTGCTGTGCGAGGCCGGAGCCGCGGTGGCGGCTGCACGCTGGGACCTGCAGAAGCACTCTTTGCTAATTGTGATCGGCGATATCGGTACAGAGAGTCAGCTGAGGGCCGTGCGGGCCCACCTTGAACAAGGTGAGCCACTGTTCTGGCTGTGCTTCAGGCATCTCTACCCTGTGCTTCTCCGCCTTCTGCATTCAACTACCAATGCATACGTCTGCATCTCCATCCCTAGTGTGCACTTCCTGAGATCTGCGCCCTTGTCACCTGCATCTTCCATGCCATGTGTCCGTATCCTCTCGCTCTACTAACATCTCGCTTGCCCATCCTTACTGCACACTCCATGGCGTTCCGCAGTCTCCCTGAGGCAGCGGAGCTCTATGCAGCCCCTGGGGCCCCTCTGGTCACACCCTCCACCGCAGTGTTTTGGACCAGGTGTCCTGAAAGTCCTCACCATCCCTGGAGAATCCACGTCCCTATCTTGCTGTATCTTCTTTATGGTCCCTGAACCAGCACGGGGAGCTTTCTGAACGCCCCGTACAAATCTCAAATCTCTGAATGCCAGTAGCCAACCACTAAGTGACCTTCGTGGCTACCAGCTCCTAAGTCCTCACCTCCTTCCCCAGTGCTGTGCCTGTGGCTGTGGTGCAGTGCTGCGGAGCCACCTGCGGGTGGAAGCAAGCTGTGGAGGGCTGGGGACAAGGAAGGGAACACAGAAGGCGAACCTAGAATCCTACTTAGCTGTAAATGTGGGGAAGGTAGCCCTCAGTATCTGGGAATAGGCCCTTAGGTGTCACTTCCACCACAACTGGGGAACCTTACAAGAAAATTCCTACCTATAGACTCATTAATGACCGAGTTTAGTCTAAACTCTGTCCTTCTCCCTCTGGCTCAGGCAAAGCCTAGAAAAGCTGTAAACTGGGAGAAAGACACCATTACTAGCCACCTTTCTTTGAGACATCACTGAGGCTGATCATGGCAACTATCCATATACCCTCCCTCTCCTTACCTGTTCTGTGAACTTGAAAGTGTTCCTGCAGTCTCACCACCCTACAACCTGCAACCTTATCCAGAACCTTCTTTGTTTTTCTCCCACAGGGATTCTCTCCTGGAACATTGACCTGTCATCCTTTGACTTGAACCAACAGTTGAGACTCTTCATTACCCGGCACCTAGCTCACTTCTCCTCAGAGGTCAAAGGTTAGGACTAATGTTTTATTTCAGTCCTTTGGGTAAGAGCTGGTCACAGAGGTCCAGTCTCCCTGGGAGAAGTGGCCTTGCGGGAGGTTTGAGTGGAGGAGAAGGGAGGAACTTTATAGAGGAGGAAAATCATGGAATTCCATAGCTGTCCCCACATACCAAATATACTTTGCAGACATGGTTTGATACTGGAGGGAGACTGGAGAACATAACTTCTCCTTGAGAAGAGGGTTGTTTGTGGATAGCTGTTGACATGCACTAAAGAAATGAGGGACTCCTCTTAGTGATCAATCATCTCTCACGCAAAAATTCACTCTCTTCATTTGTGTTCCCCTTTCTGCATACCCCGGGTCTCCCTGCTTCCCTTTACAGACACCCCAGAATCCCCCATTCATCTTCCTTGACCCTTGTTTAGCATTTTTATTTAGGCTGCACAGGTTTCAGGGTTTCTGGTTCCTGCTTCGGCTTAGCCAACAGATCTCCAGGGCAGAGCAGAATCTTGGTACTTACATGATGATGGGCACCATCAAATCCAGAGTGGAAGGAGGGGCTCCTGAATTTACTGCTACAAGATCAAGTTGTACTCTGAGATTTGGCCCAGATCAAAGCTCACATAATGCAGTTTCCCATTCTGCTGGGTGGGAGGAATGGGTGGGTTAGAGATTTGAGAAAATAAGATGTTAGGCACTACCATTCCATGACAGATGTCTGTGAGGTGACTACGGAAAGCTCTACATGCTATTATAAAAGAACTAAGGCCGGGCACAGTGCTCACACCTGTAATCCCAACACTTTGGGAGGCTGAGGCGGGGAGATCACCTGAGGTCGGGAGTTCGAGGCCAGCCTGACCAACGGAGAAACCCCGCCTCTACTAAAAAATACAAAACTAGCTGGGCGTGGTGGTGCATGCCTGTAATCCCAGCTACTCAGGAGGCTGAGGCAGGAGAATCGCTTGAACCCGGGAGGCAGAGGTTGCAGTGAGCCAAGATCGTGCCATTGCACTCCAGCCTGGGCAACAAAAGTGAAACTCCATCTCAGGAAAAAAAAAAAAAGAAAAAGGAGCTAGGCATCTAGTCATGTTACTGGAAAATGTTGACACACCAATCCATCAGCTTAGTGGAATATAAAATCCATCCAGGTCAACAGCCACTGCAACTGAATGATTGAATTCATGTCTTATACAGATAATTCTCAATTACTCAGTATAGTAGTCACCTTTCCTTAATTATCTCTCCTCCTTTTCCACTGCTCCTAACTGCCAAATCTTTGATCACTTCCTGATCACTGATACTTATAGATGCTGCTAGGAAGTTGGAGAAAATAAGGCTAATATGACTAAAGCTCCATTAGCCTAGGAATATATACAGCAATTTTATATTAATATATGTGAGGCTGACATCTTCCTGATGTGACTGGCTTCCTGTAAAGCAGGCTACTCACTCTTTTGAGAATGTTTCTGTTTAGAATTACTCATGTCATGGCTTCCTCCATTTATCCCTAATGATGAAAATCGGCAGTTTTACCACTTAGTACTCCTAGGAGCTTTGGTGAAAGGCCAGATACAGGGATGACAGAGGATGAAATTAATGACTGAACAGAAGTTTGGGGATTATCTGCTGATGTTAATAATTCACACTGAATGCTCTAACCTTGTCCTTTTGGCTACAGAGACTTGAGAGTAGGCTGCTTTCTGGAATAATGTAAGAAATGAAAAGAAGTTAAACCAAAGTACTTAGCCATTCTTCAGATTAAGATGCAGCGATACTTGGGAAGACACTTACAGAGAGAACATAGTTATTCTCAGGCACTTCTTAGAAATGAGCATTGATATATAAACACCTACTAGGCCCTTTCCATCAAAGAGTTTGTCTGTGGTGTCCTCAAGGAGCTTAGGGCCATGTACCCTAGATCAGAGCTTACTTTGGCATACTGCATATTTTTAGGTTTGGACATTTTTATCATGGTCTGTCTATGTCACAGGAGAATAGTAGAGAATTTCCTGGAAAAACCCACACAGCTCAAGACAGCCACAGCCCCACCCCTGCTGGCTCCTCTTTCAGCTGTCCCCACAAACAACAGTCAGCCCAGAGCAGCTGCAGACACTGCCCCTCCCTCCAGCCTTCTGTTAGTGAGGACGCAAAGGGGACCAGGCAGCTGGGATGAGCTCAAGGGGATATGCTAGTGCCTTATGGCTTGACTACCCCACAGGCTGGGCCACCATTCCTATCACCTATCCTCAAGCCCTGGGCCAAAATGCTGAGAAAGCAGACAAAAATGTATCCTACAGTGACAAGGAGAGTGCACTTATTCCTAGGCACTGCCCCCTCCACATTGACATACCCACACACAGAAAAGAAGGGACCCTCTGATAAAGAGTCAGTGGCCCAGCTCCTTCTAGTGGTCAAGTCTGGTAAAAGCTTTCAAAGGTGATTTTTGCACCAGGTAGTCTCTCCAGTGGTGACTTTCTAACCCCTACAAAAAATCTGGATCTTCCGAGCATTCTAATACAAATTCAGAAACAATTAGGACAGTGGAAAACTGAGTTTCAATAACTCTCTGATTCTTTTACTATTGGATACCTATAGGAAATAGAAGGGGGCTTATAATTCATAACTAATATTCTAAGACTCTAAAAAACACAGGGCCGGGCATGGTGGCTTATGCCTGTAATCCCAGCACTTTGGGAGGCCGAGGTGGGTGGATCACTTGAGGTTAGGAGTTTGAGACCAGCCTGGACAACATGTTGAAACCCTCTTCTACTAAAAATACAAAAATTAGCCGAGGGTGGTGGTGCACACCTGTAATCCCAGCTACTCGGGAGGCAGGAGAATTGCTTGAACCCAGGAGACAGAGGTTGCAGTGAGCTGAGATCATGACATTGCAGTCCAGCCTGGGCGACAGAGCTAGACTCCATCTCAATAAATAAATAAATAAAAATACAGGCTGAGGGACCAGTCTGGAGGCCTTCGGTCTGACTCTCCATTTCCACTGACGGACTTAGGAAGTGATAGCTCTATTACTTCTACCAATACAACAGTTACCCTGAATTAATACAGCAGCTCATTAACCCCTGGAACCGGGGTCTGCATTGCTGTCTGAAATGGGAAAGCAAGGACATGAATAGGACTTCAAATCTCATACTGCAGGCATCTTTAGTTCTGGGTTTACCTGGGAGCTAAGAGTACTCCAGAGTTGATCTGGTCTGAGATCCTGATTTATGATTTCCTTGATCACCTAGATGACCTCTCAGAAATCTTCCACAAAAGGGAGAAAGACTTCCAGTGGCATTTGTACATTGCAGATTTGGAAGTCTAGGAATGAAGAAGCTTTTTTTTCATCTTTTATACAATTCAAACCTCACAGCATTATCGGAGGATGGTACTAATATTATACTCATTTCATAGTTTATGAAGTAGGCTCTGAGAGAGGTTAAGTCTCTTGTTTAGCAGCATGATTAGTAAAATGGTGGATCAAGTCTCAAATCCAGGGTTTCATATCTTACTTTGTAGCTCAGCTCAAGCCTCTCTTTCTTCTTTGGCATCTCACCATTTCATTGCAGCAGAGCCTAGGAATACAGCAGGTGGAGAGTTGGTTGTGGTGGGTAGCTGTTCAGAGGGTGAAGGCTGAAGGAAAACTCCACTGTGAGTTGGCACCATGCCCAGGGTGTGGCCCTTGGGGGTGGCAGCTGAGAATATGGGTGGGCTCTGTATTGGTCTGGGAAATGTTATTTTGTTCGTAAACTAAATGTCTACTTAAGTTTCCCTCCTAACACACTCCAGAAAGCCCTAGAAAGCAGGGAGGAGATAGAAGGCTTGAGGTGGGAGGAAATAAGAACGATGAAGTTGCAGAAGAGGGGTATTTCCCTTTTGTGATGCTCAGAACTCAGCCTGGTTTTCCCTGTGTATCTCTGCAGATGGCCGCTTCTACCCAAACGGGGTTGTTGCCATTGTCGCAGATTTGCATCCCCGGATCTAAGCAAGGATTGCTCCCCTTTTGTCCCCTCAACCCCCAAGAGTACTAGTGACTCAGCTCCTCCTCTCCTCTGGCTGCAATTAAGGGGGGATGGGGGATGCTGAGAGCACAGACTATTTTGGCTTCTCTGACCTTCAAAAGTAACTCTTGGCAGCCTGGGGCAAGGGTGGGGCTAGTGTTTGGGTGTGAGTGGGTGGCTGTGATTGTGAGGAAGGCCTTAGGAGCTGGCCAAACTGGGGAGGGTGGATGGGAAGAGGGCAGGGAAGGACTATGTAAGAGCATGAGCATCCTCGGGTTGGAAGGAAGTGCTACCACTCTCCAGATTCTTCCTTTGAGTCCTAGAGCGCTTTACTAAATCTGAGATGGAGGTAGAGACTAAGGGAAACAGGATCAACATTAGAAAGATCCAAATAATATAATATAGAAACAGCAAAGAGACAAGGAGAGAGCAAGAACCCAATCACCCTACAAAGTCATTATAGGGTTTTTTTAATCTAAAGAGTACTTCTGTTACATTTAATAATTGGCCTACAACCTTGCTTGGGCCGGAGGCCCTGGTGATCCTTCTTGGTCCTTGTTAACTCCTTCACTGTAAGGCAGAAAGCTCCCTGTCCCTTCAGGGACTTGTCTCTTCATATCCAATGACTCAAGAATCCCAAGAATCAGTGCCTGTGTGGTTACTGTGTTATGCTGCATTCCCATGAAACTTCATGTAGCTCTCAGGGTCCCTGTGCCCCACCCCAACAGGCTAGGGACCATGTGTCCACTCCGGAATTTCAAACTACCCTCTAACCCTAAAATAAGACTTATTTCTGCCCTCCTTGGTTTCTGTAGTGCTGAGGTTCAGAAGAAGGCAGCACATCTCTGCATCCCCAACCTTTGTCTTAAGCAGTTCCCCACACCTACCCCATGCTTTTGGGCCCCCAGCCTTTGTCTCCTGCTCCTCCAGGGACTGAAGGTCACTCCCTGGATCCATCTGAGGAGAGAGGCAGCAGATGGTTTCTAAGAGAAGGGGGAGAGCCCACGCAGCCCATGCCTCCTATAGCCTCGCTCTGTGCCCTAGCATGGGGCTTTGGTCTTTTGGCTGATGCCAAAAGAATATTTCCTAACTAAGCAGGGTTGGGAGAGAAAGGTCCTATGGGCCATAGGACATTGCAGAGGCTCCTTGAGCTGCTAGACAATCCCTCAGCCCCACAGAGCCAAGCAAAAGCACTGGAGCTCAGACGTCGTGAAGGCAAAGAAACAGTTAAGTCTCCAGTGCCTCGTCACGGACCAGCCCCTCTTCCCCGCCCTGGCGCCGCCCTCCTCATCAAGCACCCCCCTCCCCCCCCCACCGCCCGCCCCACTCCCACCCTAAGTGCTGCAGACTCTTCCCTGAAGCTGCCGGCTGAGGCCGGAGCTGCCGCCTCCATGAGAGGCTTCCTCCTACACCCCAGGGTAAGAACCGAACCAAAGGGCTTGGCATGTGGGGGTACACTGTGATAGGGAGGTGGGATGGGGGTCATGGAAAGGGTGCTGGTACCTAATCTGGCACATCTAGAACTAGCCCAGTGGCAGTAGGCAGGATGGGGAAATGGAGAGAGAAGATGAACGTTACTGGCTGTGGGCCCAGCCTGGACCCAGAACCAGAGGCCACCAGGGGCTGTGACAGTCCACCTCTCCAGCTGGGCGGGGATGGGAGAAATCAGCCTGGGACAGCAGCAGAGGGTGGTGCCACTGGCTCTGCCTGACAGCCCAGGATGCTGGAGGAGTTTGGGGGCTATGTTTCTGGTCAGAGGCAGAAGAATCTGAGAGAAAGGGGGATGTTATGGGAATGTGCCTAATAGGAGGGCCCCTGGGTGTCAGCTGCTGGATTGCTCAGCTGCTCCTATGCTGGGGGTGAGCAGGGCAGTGAGTTTTTGCCAAGTAAGGGAAGGTGGGGGACACTATGGAAAAGAAGGGAGGAAAGGGTCACTAAGACGTGGCACGCGCCTCCTTACAGACCAACCGGTTTGCAGTGGGCTCCCCCACCCTATTCCCTGCGGCTAGCTTTAGAATGGGACTCTAAACCCCCCTTTCTGGCCCTGCCGAGGCCACTCTGGAGACGGAGAACTCCCTCCCCAGCGGCTGCCCTGCATTTCCAGTCGTGTCAACCCCACAGGTTCCCAGTCTCAGCCCTACCCCCACCTCATCTCTGCTTCTCTTCCCAAGATGGGGGCTCTTGAACAGAGGAGCCAGTTTCTTCTCTCTCTCTGCATCCCCCCATCCCCACCCCCCATGCAGAAGCAGCCAAGAAAATGACTTGTCATGCTGGGGTGGGGGGTGGGGGCGGAGCTGGAGCCGGAGCTCAGCGCGCACACTCACACACTGCGGCAAACTGCAGCTGCCCAAACGGTCCCCCTCCCCTTCTGCCTCACTGCGGAGACACCTGCCCTCCTGCCTGCTCAGCCTCTGCACCGCAGCCCACCCCCCCCCGCAACTCCAGCACTGGCTGAGCACTGTGTGTCCCTGCCTCACAAGATGGTCCTCTCTAAAGAAAAAGGAAAAAACGAGTCAGTTCCCTTCAGTGAGAGAGCCAGGGGAGCAGAAGAAACGGCTTTCTCCCAGGCCTGAAAAAGAGAGGCACAGGATATAAACCATGTAATTTCAAGTCAGAACCACTCCCAGGGATAGAGTGAGGAACAGGACCTTATGCCAGGACAGGAACTGGGATCATAGAAGTCTTGTGGTGATAAATGGGGACCGTGAGGAATGGTTGGGGGCAGGGAGGGGTAGATAGAAAGCAAATCAGTGTGTGCTATAGATATTTGTCTTTCTGACCCTCCTACCTCAAATTTATGACCTTATTTGTGTGGAGGGAGCTCTTGTCTTTCTAAATCTGAACGACTTAAGGCTGGCAGCTTCCCGAACCTTGATATCCCTCACCTGCCCCAAGCCCTGCCCTTGCCTACATCTGAGGTGGCTCTTGTCCTCTGAATTTATCTCAAATGTTCCCTCAATTCTCAAGTAAATAGAAGGGAACCCTTGAATTCCCCTTTGGCCCAACCCACGCTGTATGGGGTTTGGTCTTCTGACACCATCGTTCATTTCCCCCACAGCTGCATCTGCAGCCCTGTGCTGCCAGATCTGCCTGATCCTGGCACCATGGCTCTGCCTCTTAACAAAGGCCCTGGCCCCAGGCTTCTCTTGTCCAAGCACCAGAAAGAAGAGAGAGCTGGGTCACAGAAGAGGGTCTAAGGGACAAATTATGGACCCTCCCACCAGTATCCTCCAGACAGCCCACTGCCATCTGTTGGATGCTCTGTGAGGTTAATGCCACTATGTACTGCAATTGGAAAGGGGATTTGGCAAGGAAGGGCGGGTGCAGGGGATGGCAGCATTCTTCTTCAGCATCTTCTGTCTCATTTGCCACTTTCTTTCTTTGCTGAATTGTTTGGTGTTTCATGTGAGGCTGGAGAAGGGAAATAGGGGATTTGGGGATGCCTTATCTTTCTCCATGGCCTGGGGAACACCCTGAATCTCTCCTTCCTTATTAATGTGTTTCTTGTTCAAGAACCTTTCACTCCCCATGCCCGTGGTAGAGGCCCCTAGGAGCGGGGCAAAGATGAGAGAAGAAACTGTTCACAATGAATAGGTTGTGGGGTAGTGAATCTGGCCTCTCTGAAACTTTGGGACATGAAGATCAGGTTGGAGAGGGTGTTGTGAAAACTTCCGAGCAGGAACAATATGATTGTGTGCATGTGTATTAGTGCGGGCTTGGCCTCTGAGGAACCAGAGGACAGAAAATGAAGTTATAGTCCTATGTCCATTCTTTGAATCATAAAACCCCAAAAATTTAGATAGCACAGGCTTCTCCGGGTCTTCTGGAACAGGAATTCTGGCCTTGGATGGCAAGAAGGGTGGGGAGTCTGTACCACACAGAAGCTCCTATTTCCTTATTTCTAGACACTCTGCGGGCAGGAAAGCCCAGGGCAGAGGCAAGCCAGGAAGGAGAAAGGGAAGTGAGGGTCATCATCCCAGGGGCCCTCTCTCCAGCTGAGCCCCCCATCCCCAGGCAGCACCAGGAGCTTAGTGCTCGAGAAGGACAAAAGCTTCTTGTCAATAGGGCAGTCTGAGGCCATAGTTCCAGGCAGAGGGATGGGGGCACAGGCAGCAGAGGGTGTGGTAGATGAAGGGAAGGAGAGGACAGCCAGTGTGGGAGAGGGGAGGTGGAAACCCTCTAAGGGAAGGGCTGGATGAGCCAGTTCCTAGACCTTACTCAGCAGTATCCAAGGTGGCAGGGCCTAAGGATACCTTCTCTTTCGTCTAAGCCCCATTTCCTGATAGCACATTCTTTCCTCTCCTGCACCACAATTTCTATACCTATTCTCAATATAAATTCCTACATCTCTCCCTCAGGCCAGAGGACCCTTTGCCACCAGAGTGAGATCCTAGAGACCATCATCCTGGTAAATCCCAGTGCAGACAGCATCAGCTCTGAGGTAAGGCCAGGGCCTGTGCCTTGCCAAACAGGCCTGGTGCAAGTGCTATACCCACCCTTGCCAGTGCTACCACTATTAGGCCAAGAATTCCTCTCTCTGCCATCTAAGCTGACGTATTGTCTCCAGCCCACTCTGGAGGTGTTATGAGGGACATAAGTTGGGAGCATGTTCTTGAGGTACTGAGGGGCCATTCATTGCCTTTCCCTGGATTTCCTATATCTGTGACCACTCCCCTTCTTCCATTCCAGGTTCATCATCTTCTTAGCAGCTCATCAGCTTATAAACTACTAATCTTGAGTGGGCAAAGTTTAGAGCCTGGGGGAGACCTCATCCTACAGAGTGGCACCTACTCATATGAAAACTTTGCCCAGGTCCTTCACAACCCCGAGGTAAGTTCCATGCCAGAGTGTCTGGGAGAAAGGGTAGCACTAGAGCTGTGGGAGGGATCTAAGGGAAAGTCTCATATTGCATGACCATGGGGGGCCCTGGCAGAAAGGTAAGAGTCCACCTTGGAAAGAGGTGAAGATTAGGGTACTGAATCTAAGTCAGACCAAAACAACTCTAGTGACCTGATCAGGTTTCTATCTCCTATTCTTCTAGATTTCCCAATTGCTCAGCAATAGAGACCCTGGGATACAGGCCTTCCTTACCGTGTCCTGCTTAGGGGAAGGTGATTGGAGCCACCTGGGATTATCCAGTTCCCAAGAGACCCTGCACCTCCGGCTAAACCCTGAGCCCACTCTGCCCACCATGGACGGCGTGGCTGAGTTCTCCGAGTATGTCTCTGAGACTGTGGACGTGCCATCCCCATTTGACCTACTAGAGCCCCCCACCTCAGGGGGCTTCCTCAAGCTCTCCAAGCCTTGTTGCTACATCTTCCCAGGTGGTCGTGGGGACTCTGCCCTCTTTGCTGTCAATGGTTTCAACATCCTGGTGGATGGTGGCTCTGATCGCAAGTCCTGTTTTTGGAAGCTGGTACGGCACTTGGACCGCATTGACTCGGTGCTACTCACACACATTGGGGCAGACAACCTGCCAGGCATCAATGGACTACTGCAGCGCAAAGTGGCAGAGCTAGAGGAGGAGCAGTCCCAGGGCTCTAGCAGTTACAGCGACTGGGTGAAGAACCTTATCTCTCCTGAGCTTGGAGTTGTCTTTTTCAACGTGCCTGAGAAGCTGCGGCTTCCTGATGCCTCCCGGAAAGCCAAGCGTAGCATTGAGGAGGCCTGCCTCACTCTGCAGCACTTAAACCGCCTGGGCATCCAGGCTGAGCCTCTATATCGTGTGGTCAGCAATACCATTGAGCCACTGACCCTCTTCCACAAAATGGGTGTGGGCCGGCTGGACATGTATGTCCTCAACCCTGTCAAGGACAGCAAGGAGATGCAGTTCCTCATGCAAAAGTGGGCAGGCAATAGTAAAGCCAAGACAGGCATCGTGCTGCCCAATGGGAAGGAGGCTGAGATCTCCGTGCCCTACCTTACCTCTATCACTGCTCTGGTGGTCTGGCTACCAGCCAATCCCACTGAGAAGATTGTGCGTGTGCTTTTTCCAGGAAATGCTCCCCAAAACAAGATCTTGGAGGGCCTAGAAAAGCTTCGGCATCTGGACTTCCTGCGTTACCCTGTGGCCACGCAGAAGGACCTGGCTTCTGGGGCTGTGCCTACCAACCTCAAGCCCAGCAAAATCAAACAGCGGGCTGATAGCAAGGAGAGCCTCAAAGCCACTACCAAGACGGCCGTGAGCAAGTTGGCCAAACGGGAGGAGGTGGTAGAAGAGGGAGCCAAGGAGGCACGTTCAGAGCTGGCCAAGGAGTTAGCCAAGACAGAGAAGAAGGCAAAAGAGTCATCTGAGAAGCCCCCAGAGAAGCCTGCCAAGCCTGAGAGGGTGAAGACAGAGTCAAGTGAGGCACTGAAGGCAGAGAAGCGAAAGCTGATCAAAGACAAGGTAGGGAAAAAGCACCTTAAAGAAAAGATATCAAAGCTGGAAGAAAAAAAAGACAAGGAGAAAAAAGAGATCAAAAAGGAGAGGAAAGAGCTCAAGAAGGATGAAGGAAGGAAGGAGGAGAAGAAGGATGCCAAGAAGGAGGAGAAGAGGAAAGATACCAAACCTGAGCTCAAGAAGATTTCCAAGCCAGACCTAAAGCCCTTTACTCCTGAGGTACGTAAGACCCTCTATAAAGCCAAGGTCCCTGGAAGAGTCAAAATAGACAGGAGCCGTGCTATCCGTGGGGAGAAGGAGCTGTCTTCTGAGCCCCAGACACCCCCAGCCCAGAAGGGAACTGTACCACTCCCAACCATCAGTGGGCACAGGGAGCTGGTCCTATCCTCACCAGAGGACCTCACACAGGACTTTGAGGAGATGAAGCGTGAGGAGAGGGCTTTGCTGGCTGAACAAAGGGACACAGGACTAGGAGATAAGCCATTCCCTCTAGACACTGCAGAGGAGGGACCCCCAAGTACAGCTATCCAGGGAACACCACCCTCTGTTCCAGGGCTGGGACAAGAAGAACATGTGATGAAGGAGAAAGAGCTTGTCCCAGAGGTCCCTGAGGAACAAGGCAGCAAGGACAGAGGCCTAGACTCTGGGGCTGAAACAGAGGAAGAGAAAGATACCTGGGAGGAAAAGAAGCAGAGGGAAGCAGAGAGGCTCCCAGACAGAACAGAAGCCAGAGAGGAAAGTGAACCTGAAGTAAAGGAGGATGTGATAGAAAAGGCTGAGTTAGAAGAAATGGAGGAGGTACACCCTTCAGATGAGGAGGAAGAGGACGCGACAAAAGCTGAGGGTTTTTACCAAAAACATATGCAGGAACCCTTGAAGGTAACTCCAAGGAGCCGGGAGGCTTTTGGGGGTCGGGAATTGGGACTCCAGGGCAAGGCCCCTGAGAAGGAGACCTCGTTATTCCTAAGCAGCCTGACCACACCTGCAGGAGCCACTGAGCATGTCTCTTACATCCAGGATGAGACAATCCCTGGCTACTCAGAGACTGAGCAGACCATCTCAGATGAGGAGATCCATGATGAGCCGGAGGAGCGCCCAGCTCCACCCAGATTTCATACAAGTACATATGACCTGCCCGGGCCTGAAGGTGCTGGCCCATTCGAAGCCAGCCAACCTGCCGATAGTGCTGTTCCTGCTACCTCTGGCAAAGTCTATGGAACGCCAGAGACTGAACTCACCTACCCCACTAACATAGTGGCTGCCCCTTTGGCTGAAGAGGAACATGTGTCCTCGGCCACTTCAATCACTGAGTGTGACAAACTTTCTTCCTTTGCCACATCAGTGGCTGAGGACCAATCTGTGGCCTCACTTACAGCTCCCCAGACAGAGGAGACAGGCAAGAGCTCCCTGCTGCTTGACACAGTCACAAGCATCCCTTCCTCCCGTACTGAAGCTACGCAGGGCTTGGACTATGTGCCATCAGCTGGTACCATCTCACCCACCTCCTCACTGGAAGAAGACAAGGGCTTCAAATCACCACCCTGTGAGGACTTCTCTGTGACTGGGGAGTCAGAGAAGAGAGGAGAGATCATAGGGAAAGGCTTGTCTGGAGAGAGAGCTGTGGAAGAGGAAGAGGAGGAGACAGCAAACGTAGAGATGTCTGAGAAACTTTGCAGTCAATATGGAACTCCAGTGTTTAGTGCCCCTGGGCATGCCCTACATCCAGGAGAACCAGCCCTTGGAGAAGCAGAGGAGCGGTGCCTTAGCCCAGATGACAGCACAGTGAAGATGGCTTCTCCTCCACCATCTGGCCCACCCAGTGCCACCCACACACCCTTTCATCAGTCCCCAGTGGAAGAAAAGTCTGAGCCCCAAGACTTTCAGGAGGCAGACTCCTGGGGAGACACTAAGCGCACACCAGGTGTGGGCAAAGAAGATGCTGCTGAGGAGACAGTCAAGCCAGGGCCTGAAGAGGGCACACTAGAGAAGGAAGAGAAAGTTCCTCCTCCCAGGAGCCCCCAGGCCCAGGAAGCACCTGTCAACATTGATGAGGGGCTTACAGGCTGTACCATTCAACTGTTGCCAGCACAGGATAAAGCAATAGTCTTTGAGATTATGGAGGCAGGAGAGCCCACAGGCCCAATTCTGGGAGCAGAAGCCCTTCCCGGAGGTTTGAGGACTTTACCCCAAGAACCTGGCAAACCTCAGAAAGATGAGGTGCTCAGATATCCTGACCGAAGCCTCTCTCCTGAAGATGCAGAATCCCTCTCTGTCCTCAGCGTGCCCTCCCCAGACACTGCCAACCAAGAGCCTACCCCCAAGTCTCCCTGTGGCCTGACAGAACAGTACCTACACAAAGACCGTTGGCCAGAGGTATCTCCAGAAGACACCCAGTCACTTTCTCTGTCAGAAGAGAGTCCCAGCAAGGAGACCTCCCTGGATGTCTCTTCTAAGCAGCTCTCTCCAGAAAGCCTTGGCACCCTCCAGTTTGGGGAACTAAACCTTGGGAAGGAAGAAATGGGGCATCTGATGCAGGCCGAGGATACCTCTCACCACACAGCTCCCATGTCTGTTCCAGAGCCCCATGCAGCCACAGCGTCACCTCCCACAGATGGGACAACTCGATACTCTGCACAGACAGACATCACAGATGACAGCCTTGACAGGAAGTCACCTGCCAGCTCATTCTCTCACTCTACACCTTCAGGAAATGGGAAGTACTTACCTGGGGCGATCACAAGCCCTGATGAACACATTCTGACACCTGATAGCTCCTTCTCCAAGAGTCCTGAGTCTTTGCCAGGCCCTGCCTTGGAGGACATTGCCATAAAGTGGGAAGATAAAGTTCCAGGGTTGAAAGACAGAACCTCAGAACAGAAGAAGGAACCTGAGCCAAAGGATGAAGTTTTACAGCAGAAAGACAAAACTCTGGAGCACAAGGAGGTGGTAGAGCCGAAGGATACAGCCATCTATCAGAAAGATGAGGCTCTGCATGTAAAGAATGAGGCTGTGAAACAGCAGGATAAGGCTTTAGAACAAAAGGGCAGAGACTTAGAGCAAAAAGACACAGCCCTAGAACAGAAGGACAAGGCCCTGGAACCAAAAGACAAAGACTTAGAAGAAAAAGACAAGGCCCTGGAACAGAAGGATAAGATTCCAGAAGAGAAAGACAAAGCCTTAGAACAAAAGGATACAGCCCTGGAACAGAAGGACAAGGCCCTGGAACCAAAAGATAAAGACTTGGAACAAAAGGACAGGGTCCTAGAACAGAAGGAGAAGATCCCAGAAGAGAAAGACAAAGCCTTAGATCAAAAAGTCAGAAGTGTTGAACATAAGGCTCCGGAGGACACGGTCGCTGAAATGAAGGACAGAGACCTAGAACAGACAGACAAAGCCCCTGAACAGAAACACCAGGCCCAGGAACAAAAGGATAAAGTCTCAGAAAAGAAGGATCAGGCCTTAGAACAAAAATACTGGGCTTTGGGACAGAAGGATGAAGCCCTGGAACAAAACATTCAGGCTCTGGAAGAGAACCACCAAACTCAGGAGCAGGAGAGCCTAGTGCAGGAGGATAAAACCAGGAAACCAAAGATGCTAGAGGAAAAATCCCCAGAAAAGGTCAAGGCCATGGAAGAGAAGTTAGAAGCTCTTCTGGAGAAGACCAAAGCTCTGGGCCTGGAAGAGAGCCTAGTGCAGGAGGGCAGGGCCAGAGAGCAGGAAGAAAAGTACTGGAGGGGGCAGGATGTGGTCCAGGAGTGGCAAGAAACATCTCCTACCAGAGAGGAGCCGGCTGGAGAACAGAAAGAGCTTGCCCCGGCATGGGAGGACACATCTCCTGAGCAGGACAATAGGTATTGGAGGGGCAGAGAGGATGTGGCCTTGGAACAGGACACATACTGGAGGGAGCTAAGCTGTGAGCGGAAGGTCTGGTTCCCTCACGAGCTGGATGGCCAGGGGGCCCGCCCACACTACACTGAGGAACGGGAAAGCACTTTCCTAGATGAGGGCCCAGATGATGAGCAAGAAGTACCCCTGCGGGAACACGCAACCCGGAGCCCCTGGGCCTCAGACTTCAAGGATTTCCAGGAATCCTCACCACAGAAGGGGCTAGAGGTGGAGCGCTGGCTTGCTGAATCACCAGTTGGGTTGCCACCAGAGGAAGAGGACAAACTGACCCGCTCTCCCTTTGAGATCATCTCCCCTCCAGCTTCCCCACCTGAGATGGTTGGACAAAGGGTTCCTTCAGCCCCAGGACAAGAGAGTCCTATCCCAGACCCTAAGCTCATGCCACACATGAAGAATGAACCCACTACTCCCTCATGGCTGGCTGACATCCCACCCTGGGTGCCCAAGGACAGACCCCTCCCCCCTGCACCCCTCTCCCCAGCTCCTGGTCCCCCCACACCTGCCCCGGAATCCCATACTCCTGCACCCTTCTCTTGGGGCACAGCCGAGTATGACAGTGTGGTGGCTGCAGTGCAGGAGGGGGCAGCTGAGTTGGAAGGTGGGCCATACTCCCCCCTGGGGAAGGACT
This sequence comes from Homo sapiens, assembly GCF_000001405.40. Taxonomy (NCBI): domain Eukaryota; kingdom Metazoa; phylum Chordata; class Mammalia; order Primates; family Hominidae; genus Homo; species Homo sapiens. The sequence continues at coordinate 43,527,199 of NC_000015.10, forward strand.
ACCGCAAGGCTGAAGGGGAAAGGGAAGAAGAAGGTAGGGCTGAGGCTCCTGACAAAAGCTCACACAGCTCAAAGGTACCAGAGGCCAGCAAAAGCCATGCCACCACGGAGCCTGAGCAGACTGAGCCGGAGCAGAGAGAGCCCACACCCTATCCTGATGAGAGAAGCTTTCAGTATGCAGACATCTATGAGCAGATGATGCTTACTGGGCTTGGCCCTGCATGCCCCACTAGAGAGCCTCCACTTGGAGCAGCTGGGGATTGGCCCCCATGCCTCTCAACCAAGGAGGCAGCTGCCGGCCGAAACACATCTGCAGAGAAGGAGCTTTCATCTCCTATCTCACCCAAGAGCCTCCAGTCTGACACTCCAACCTTCAGCTATGCAGCCCTGGCAGGACCCACTGTACCCCCAAGGCCAGAGCCAGGGCCAAGTATGGAGCCCAGCCTCACCCCACCTGCAGTTCCCCCCCGTGCTCCTATCCTGAGCAAAGGCCCAAGCCCCCCTCTTAATGGTAACATCCTGAGCTGCAGCCCAGATAGGAGGTCCCCATCCCCCAAGGAATCAGGCCGGAGTCACTGGGATGACAGCACTAGTGACTCAGAACTGGAGAAGGGGGCTCGGGAACAGCCAGAAAAAGAGGCCCAATCCCCAAGTCCTCCTCACCCCATTCCTATGGGGTCCCCCACATTATGGCCAGAAACTGAGGCACATGTTAGCCCTCCCTTGGACTCACACCTGGGGCCTGCCCGACCCAGTCTGGACTTCCCTGCTTCAGCCTTTGGCTTCTCCTCATTGCAGCCAGCTCCCCCACAGCTGCCCTCTCCAGCTGAACCCCGCTCGGCACCCTGTGGCTCCCTTGCCTTCTCTGGGGATCGAGCTCTGGCTCTGGCTCCAGGACCCCCCACCAGAACCCGGCATGATGAATACCTGGAAGTGACCAAGGCCCCCAGCCTGGATTCCTCACTGCCCCAGCTCCCATCACCCAGTTCTCCTGGGGCCCCTCTCCTCTCCAATCTGCCACGACCTGCCTCACCAGCCCTGTCTGAGGGCTCCTCCTCTGAGGCTACCACGCCTGTGATTTCAAGTGTGGCGGAGCGCTTCTCTCCAAGCCTTGAGGCTGCAGAACAGGAGTCTGGAGAGCTGGACCCAGGAATGGAACCAGCTGCCCACAGCCTCTGGGACCTCACTCCTCTGAGCCCAGCACCCCCAGCTTCACTGGACTTGGCCCTAGCTCCAGCTCCAAGCCTGCCTGGAGACATGGGTGATGGCATCCTGCCGTGCCACCTGGAGTGCTCAGAGGCAGCCACGGAGAAGCCAAGCCCCTTCCAGGTTCCCTCTGAGGATTGTGCAGCCAATGGCCCAACTGAAACCAGCCCTAACCCCCCAGGCCCTGCCCCAGCCAAGGCTGAAAATGAAGAGGCTGCGGCTTGCCCTGCCTGGGAACGTGGGGCCTGGCCTGAAGGAGCTGAGAGGAGCTCCCGGCCTGACACATTGCTCTCCCCTGAGCAGCCAGTGTGTCCTGCAGGGGGCTCCGGGGGCCCACCCAGCAGTGCCTCTCCTGAGGTCGAAGCTGGGCCCCAGGGATGTGCCACTGAGCCTCGGCCCCATCGTGGGGAGCTCTCCCCATCCTTCCTGAACCCACCTCTGCCCCCATCCATAGATGATAGGGACCTCTCAACTGAGGAAGTTCGGCTAGTAGGAAGAGGGGGGCGGCGCCGGGTAGGGGGGCCAGGGACCACTGGGGGCCCATGCCCTGTGACTGATGAGACACCCCCTACATCAGCCAGTGACTCAGGCTCCTCACAGTCAGATTCTGATGTCCCGCCAGAAACTGAGGAGTGTCCGTCCATCACAGCTGAGGCAGCCCTCGACTCAGATGAAGATGGAGACTTCCTACCTGTGGACAAAGCTGGGGGTGTCAGTGGTACTCACCACCCCAGGCCTGGCCATGACCCACCTCCTCTCCCACAGCCAGACCCCCGCCCATCCCCTCCCCGCCCTGATGTGTGCATGGCTGACCCCGAGGGGCTCAGCTCAGAGTCTGGGAGAGTAGAGAGGCTACGGGAGAAGGAAAAGGTTCAGGGGCGAGTAGGGCGCAGGGCCCCAGGCAAGGCCAAGCCAGCGTCCCCTGCACGGCGTCTGGATCTTCGGGGAAAACGCTCACCCACCCCTGGTAAAGGGCCTGCAGATCGAGCATCCCGGGCCCCACCTCGACCACGCAGCACCACAAGCCAGGTCACCCCAGCAGAGGAAAAGGATGGACACAGCCCCATGTCCAAAGGCCTAGTCAATGGACTCAAGGCAGGACCAAGTAAGTATATCATGAAACTTGGCAGAGAGTGTGGGTTAGGGCTGGGTGTGGGCTGGTCAGACTTCAGGAGTGGGACAGAGGGGAAGGTTGCCAAAAGGGTTCTACTTTTCCTCTACAATGAATCCTGGCTTGTCTCTACAGTGGCCTTGAGTTCCAAGGGCAGCTCTGGTGCCCCTGTATATGTGGATCTCGCCTACATCCCGAATCATTGCAGTGGCAAGACTGCTGACCTTGACTTCTTCCGTCGAGTGCGTGCATCCTACTATGTGGTCAGTGGGAATGACCCTGCCAATGGCGAGCCAAGCCGGGCTGTGCTGGATGCCCTGCTGGAGGGCAAGGCCCAGTGGGGGGAGAATCTTCAGGTGAGTAGCAAAGGACACCAAGGAAGTAGTCTGGTCAACGCTCACTCAGAGGCAGTAGTGGAACACAGTCCCTATTTATTAAAGGATGGGCCTTTTCTAAGGGCAGCAGAGCTGCTTCTGAGACCATGAGGTGCCCCTTCCCCCTCACCTACCTTCCCTTTATGTTCTCACATCAGACATATCTTATCTCCCTTCTAGGTGACTCTGATCCCTACTCATGACACGGAGGTGACTCGTGAGTGGTACCAACAAACTCATGAGCAGCAGCAACAACTGAATGTCCTGGTCCTGGCTAGCAGCAGCACCGTGGTGATGCAGGATGAGTCCTTCCCTGCCTGCAAGATTGAGTTCTGAAAGAGCCGCCCTCCCTTCCCCAAGGATCCACTCCCCCAGCTCCTTTAGAGAATGGCTACTGCTGAGTCCTTTGGGGTTGAGGGAGATGGGAGCTAGGGGGAGGGGAGGGAGATGTCTTGTTGTGGGGACTTGGGCTGGGCTAAATGGGAGGGGTTGTCCCTCCCCATCATCCATTCCTGTGAGGTGTCTCAAACCAAAGTTAACAGGGAGAGGATGGGGGAGGGGACAAATTAGAATAGGATAGCATCTGATGCCTGAGAACCCTCTCCTAGCACTGTCAAATGCTGGTATTGAATGGGGACTGAGGATGGGTCTCAGAGAGCAACCTCCTCCCTCGTAGAGGGAGATTATATCCCCAACTCCAGGGACCTCTTTATCTCAATCTATTTATTTGGCATCCTGGGAGGGATTTCCAATAGTAATTTATGTGACCTGGGGCAGGATACCGTCAGTGAGGTGCCCAGAGCTGCACCCTTTCCTCCATTTCCCATCCCCCATCTCCTCAACCACCAGGGTCTGAGTTCTAGCAGGGTCCTGGGGGTATCCCACTGCTATACTGTTCTACTGCTTCCCTCAGTATCTGAATGTCTCAATTTAAAACTTGAAGCTCTTTAGACCAATAGACTGGTGAGAGGAGAAAGGAGCTTATCCCCCAGACCCTGCTTTATACCATTCACATCCCAGGGCTGTGTCCAGACAGCACAAAACGGCAAGGAGAGCCCAAGCCCCAATGCCAGAATTCTTCCAAACTCCCTGACTCTTTGAAGTTTTTACTCACCCCATTTCAATTATCCTGATCCCTTCTCATCCCCTGCTTGGCTTCTCTGCATGTGGTCATCTGCTGTGGCTTGGTGTTTAATGGGTTAAAAATAAGCCACTGCCTGACATCCCAACATTTGACACCCCAGCAATGTGTGACTCCCCCAACATTCCACTATGCCATCCTGCAGCTGAAATGGGAACACTGGCTGCCTCTCCAAACCCGCTCTTGGACAGAGGATCTGGGAGGTGGAAGCCAGGCCAGAGGACTTGGGGAAAATGAGATGGAGGAAGGAAAAAGGGAGAAGCTGAGCCACAGCTTAACTCCTACAGAGTGAAATGAAAACGGGCTGAAAATACCACCCCAGGAGAGGACCTCGCCCCAAGCAAGCCAGTGAGCAGCCCTGCCAGACTACTGCCAGACTGAGAAACCCAGAAGCTGGTAGTCATGTGGGCTTGCCTTCTCTGCCAAACGACTGGGAAACCAAAATGAGCCCACCTTGTGTTCTTCCTAGCTCCACCCTCCCCGTGCTGCTGTGTTCTGCTCCTCCCCACGCTTCCCTGCTATAGTTCCCAGCTGCTGTAACGGAGCCACCTCCAACTCTAACAATAAACCAAGTTCATTGCAGATAGTGTAGTGCTGCTTAGGCTTTTTCTGACTCCATACATGCTTAGTTACTGGGCCCTGGCTTCTACCTCTCTGCTTCAACCAGTATTGAATTTATCTTGGAAGACTCCAATGCTTTTGATTACTGGAAACACTTGTGCCTGAGTATGAAGAATAGGAGCCTAGGGTGGATACATACATCTGGTCTGGGGGAGGGAAGAGGGGCAGAAGGCCTCCTGGGAAGGGGATATGCATTCCGTGGGGTCAAGAGTTGAGGACCAAATAACCAGGATCAGCTACCCTGGACAGCCTCTTGGGCTAAAGGGGTAAAAAGCTGAAGGACCCTAAGAGATCCAGAGCCTAATGAGGTTGGAAACAACTCTCCTTGTGCAGTCAGGATTTCCATGGAGTAAAACGGTCGACTTTCCTCCTCCATGGAAACCCTTTATAGTCCTAAGTATGTCAGAAGTGGCCAGGTTATGAATGTGTATATTTGGGGAGGGGCATATTCTAGCCCTCCCACTGTTCTGGGCTCTCTCATGGTAAAGATGTCAAAGGAGCAGAGAAAGGGCATAGCCCCTTTATATAAACTCCTCCTGACACTCCATCAGAGTGAAAAATTAACAGGATGATTCCAAGAACTTGGTGAGAAGGCATGTACCCTCTGGTGCTTCACAGAGAGGGAACCTCTTTCCAGTCCCCCATCCAACACTCTACTTACTCAATAAAGACCTTTTGGGGACCGGGCGTGGTGGCTCACACCTGTAATCCCAGCACTTTGGGAGGCCGAGGCGGGCAGATCACCTGAGGTCAGGAGTTCGAGACCAGCCTGGCCAACACGGCGAAACCCCGTCTCTACTAAAAATACAAAAAAAATTAGCTGGGTGTGGTGACGGGCATCTGTAATCCCAGCTACTCAGGAGGCTAAGGCAGGAGAATCGCTTGAACCCAGGAGGCGGCAGTTGCAGTGAGCTGAGATCGCACCACTGCACTGTAGCCTGGGTGACAGAGCGAGACTCTGTCTCTAAATAAATAAATAAATACCTTTTGAGATAGTGGGTTAACTGCCATAGGCTCCTCTTGGGATGCCTGATCTCTCTTTTTTTTTTTTTTTTTTGGAGACAGAGTCTCATTCTGTCACCAGGCTGGAGTGCAGTGGCGCGATCTTGGCTCACTGCAACCTCCACCTCCTGGATTCAAGCAATTCTCCTGCTTCAGCCTCCCGAGTAGCTGGGATTACAGGCATGTGCCACCATGCCCAGCTAATTTTTATATTTTTAGTAGAGATGGGGTTTCACCATGTTGGCCAGGATAGTCTCAATCTCTTGACCTCATGATCCACCCACCTCGGCCTCCCAAAGTGCTAGGATTACAGACAGATGTGAGCCACCACGCCCAGCTGATCTCTATATTTTTATAGTCTATTTTTGGATGCCTGATCTCTGTATTTTTACAGCCCATTCCTGCTCAACTATAATGGCTTTTGACCGATTCAGATTAATCAGTTACAGACACAATTGACTCATAGTCGTATTCCTTTTTTTTTTTTTTTGAGACAGAGTCTTGCATTTTTGCCCAGGCTGGAGGGCAGTGGCGTGATTTTGGCTCACTGCAACCTCTGCCTCCAGGGTTCAAGTGATTCTCCTGTCTCAGCCTCCCGAATAGCTGGGATTACAGGTGTCCACCACCATGCCTGGCTAATTTTTGTGTTTTTAGTAGAGACAAGGTTTCACCATGTTGGCCAGGTTGGTCTCCAACTCCTGACCTCAAATGATCTGCCCGCCTTGGCCTCCCAAAGTGCTGGGATTACAGGTGTAAGCCACCGTGCCCAGCCTATATTCATTCTTGAATTCACAAGGACATCACCATCATCCATCACCACCATTCTCATTAGTTTATATTTATTGAGCACTCATAATGTTCCAGCCCCCGACTCCAATGACCGCATTACCCCTCCTACCCACTCCCATTCCCATCCCTGGATCTTTGGAAAAAGCTTCATAATCATATCTGGCCCTCAGACACAATGATATAAGGACAAATTTCTTGGGGACCCTGCAGTGTTTGGTCTTTGGCCAGTCTGTCCCTGGCACAACTACAGAAATAAATATATATATATATATTTATTAAACCTTTGCTTGTATCTGTACAATATTGATCTCTGCTGATTGCTTAAAATAGAACCTGATTATCTCTACTACTACAGCATCTCCTAAGCCAAACAGCCCCACCACAGAGGAGGCCCACTTTCACAGACTGGCTAAGAATCCTCTAGAGCATTTTAAGTAGTTGCTCTGAATTTTGCACAGCAGTCTAATACCTACTTTTCCCTAGAGCTATTGCCCAGAGGAACAGGACTGAGGCAGAAGGGGCACTTGGGGATGATATGGAAGGATCTATAAGGCAAGTCTAAAGATTTAGTGGCCATGTCAGATGTTTGGGGAAGGGACTCTATTTTCCAGACATTTCAGATAGCCATCCCGGGCTCACCTGAGGAGTGCTGGCAAAGACAAGAGTCCCCTGAATGCACATATGGTCTAAGCGTACCTTGAGAAGTCGTGAACATTTCCCCAGAAAAGTGAAGACCCTAGAGTCCCCTCTTTTGCATTTGCTGTCGCCAGATGGTGTCTTCAGCAGTGAAGCGGCATTTCCTTTAACAATCTGTGATTTCCTAGGATGCTCAGAGAAGGCTGGGTAATGACAGACCAACCCACCCCAAGGAAATCCTATTCAAGTCTAATGGCTAAGTGAGGAGCCAATGGCTTCTTCGAACCTAAAACTGGCTCCTCCTCAACCACAGCTCTGGCACAGGTATGCTTCATACAAAGAGAACTACTTCCCCAGACACCGCTGGTGAGAGCTGGCCAGTGAGTTAGCCAACAGAAAAGGTTGCTGGCTCAAATGGCTGGTATAGTGTGATACCACTAATGAGAAAATTAATCACATGTTGCTGGTGGAAGGGGTGAGTGCTGGTCATGGGCTAGAGACTGGCTCTGAGGGTTTGGATCACCAGATGGATGCTGGGCTTGAGGAATACCCTCTCCAGGCAGCTGATCAATCACTTCAGGGACCACCCAGGACTTCTAATTTATCTCCTCAGGGACCTCCTGGGCCTGCAGATCAATCTCCTCAGGGAACTCTTGGGATGGTTTATCAATCTCAGGGATGCCCTGAGATAACAGATTGATCGCAGAAGTCTCCTGGGCCAGCCTGCCAACCTCCACAGAGAACTCCTGGTATGGCTGGATGACCTCCTCAGGGATCTCTTCAGCTGGGCTGCCAACTTCTACAAGGGTTTCCTGGACCAAGCTACCAACCCCTACATGGAACTTATGGACCAGCTTGCCAACCTCCACAGAGACCCCCTGGCATGGCTGGCTGACCTCCTCGGAGTTCTCCAGACATAGCTGGCAAACTTCCTCAGAGACTTTCTGGCACAGTTGGCTGGACTTCTGGCATGGCTGGCTGATGTGAGGGACCTCCTGGCATGTGTGGTTACCATTGTCATGGTTCTCCTGGCATTGCTGGCTGATGTCAGGGACCTTCTGACATGGCTGGCTGAGCGCCTCAGAAATGTCCTGGCATGGCTGGCTGATGTCAGGGACCTCCTGACATGGCTGGCTGACCTCCTCGTATGGCTGGCTGGTTTCCATAGGTGGCACCTGTGGGGACTGATTTGGTTCAAAAAGCTCTTGCTCCCCTTCTATGGAGAGCTCTTGTGCTCCACTCCCAGGGGTCTCCTGGAGCAGCCCAAGGCCTTGATGTTCTTCAGCCACGTGTGAATTTAGGGAGGGTTGATCACTGAAGCCAAATTGGGAGTTACCATCTACTGTAGTAGGGGAAGAAGGACCAGCACTGGACACAGTGCTAGAAGGGCCACTGCTGTCTGTAAAGCAAAGTCAAGAGATCAAGTTAGAGAAGCTGGAAGAGTAGGCTCTACCCTGTGCAGATAGTTCAAATGCTAGAATTGTTGGCCTATGCTACTTATGTCTTGAGGGAAGAGTGTCCAAATTCTTCCTAAGTTAAGCAGAGACTCCTAAGTTTGCTTACCTCAGGAACTGTCACCCTGGCCTAATGTATACTTTGAGAGTAACAATAAGGTACATCTAAGACTTCAGGAGAGAGTGCTAAGACCCACTTCATCTGGTTCTTTCACAAATACACTCCCATCCCAATTCCAAGTTCCCAAGGCCTCTCATTCCTACTTTGGAAGCATATGAATACTTTAGCCCAGTGGTTCATAAACAAAATCATGAAAAAATTTTTTAAAATACTAATTTCCAGTTTTCAACTCCAGAGATTCTAATTCTATAGGTTTAGCGTAAAGGTGTAGTTTGGAGGAGGGAGGAGGAAGAAGGCAATATAATTTTGTTGGAACACTCTCATTTGAATCTGATGTACACCTTCTGTTAAGAATCATTCTTTAAAGCAATCAATGTATTTCTGGGGCAGAGGTAATCATTATTTATAGCCCAAATGATAAGTTGGCAGAAGAATGTAGAAAAACCATGTAAATCAGAACAATAGGAAAGAAAATGGTTTACCTGGCTGGGTGCGGTGGCTCACGCCTGTAATCCCAGCACTTTGGGAGGCCGAGGCAGGCAGATCACTTGAGGTCAGGAGCTCTAAACCAGCCTGGCCAACATGGCAAAACCTTGTCTCTACTAAAAATACAAAAATTAGCCAGGCGTAGTGGCGGCTGTCTGTAATCCCAGCTACTCAGGAGGCTGAGGCAGGTGAATCACTTGAACCCCAGAGGTGGAGGTTGCAGTGAGCCGAAATTGTGCCACTATACTCCAGCCTGGGCAACAAAGCAAGACTCTGTCTCAGAAAAAAAAAAAAAAAGAAAATAGTTTACCCAAAAATGGAAGATGGCCATGGAATTTCTACATGGCAGTTCTTAACCTTTCTAGGGGTCAGTGGCCCCTTTGAGGTACTAAGTCAGATATCTTCCAGGAAAAATCTATATAAGAATATTCACACTAATCTTTACATGTGATTCCTGAAGCTCACAGACCCTACCCTGAAACCACATCTATGGATCCAGAGTTAAGACGCTTGTAAGTCTTGGGACATACAATGTTACAGGCTTGTGCATATTATATACACGGAAAACATTTAAAAACTGATTTCCTACATCCTGACAGTAGTGTAATAAAGACCTCAGAGTCTTCAATTACACTGTGGGATGATTCCTACTCCATCCTCTACTGCTTCATCGCCCTCTAGTACTTGACTAACCTACTTTTCCCTTGGTAAACATCATTTTTGTTGATAATATTATAACGATATATTAAAGCACTATGGTATCAATAATGACAGATTCTGGGAAAAGGGAACATCAGAACATATTGCCATTGAAGAAAACCTTGAAAAGTTGGTAAACCTGAGCCTACAAAGGCTCAATCCATCATTGAGTTGAAGGTATGCTAGTTATCTCTCTTCTGTAAACAATCAAAGGAGGGGCTGGACACGGTGGCTCATACTTGTAATCCCAGCACTTTGGGAGGCCGAGGTGGGCAGATCACAAGGTCAGGAGTTCGAGACCAGCCTGACCAACATAGTGAAACTCCTCCTCTACTAAAAATACAAAAAAAAATTAGCCAGGCATGGTGGCGCATGCCTGTAATCCCAGCTACAGCTACTCAGGAGGCTGAGGCAGAAGAATCACTTGAACCCAGGAGGCGGAGGTTGCAGTGAGCCGAGATTGCACCATTGCACTCCAGCCTGGATGACAGAGCAAGACTCCACCTCAAAAAAAAAAAAAAAAAAAAAAAAAAAAGAATCAAAGGAGGCATGCTTCAAGCAGAAAAAGAAGCCAGACGCGGTGGCTCATGCCTGTAATCCCAACACTTTGGGAGGCTGAGGTGGGTGCATCACTTGAGATCAGGAGTTCGAAACCAGCCTGGCCAACATGGCAAAACCCCGTCTCTACTAAAAATACAAAAATTAGCCAGGTATGGTGGCACGTGCCTGTAATCCCAGTTACTCAGGAGGCTGAGGTAGGAGAATCACTTGAGCCTGGGATGTGGAGGTTGCAGTGAGCCGAGATCGCGCCACTGTACTCCAGCCTGGGTGACGGAGCAAGACTCCATCTCAAAAAAAAAAAAAAAAAAAGAGAGAGAGAGAGAGAGAGAGAGAAGATCATGGTTTTGAACCAACAAGGCTTTAAGAGATGTGGAGCCTATTTCTGATGCAGACATACAGACCCTAAAGAAGACGTTTACCAGTGAGGCTACACACCTGATACTGAGTCAAAAATCTGATACTAGATGGAAAAAAAGAAAAAGAAAAGATGTAAGCTGAGCTTTACCCAAGTAAAGAAGTAGCCTTAATATCCTGCTAGTGGTCTGATTCAGGCAAATCAAAAAGGTCAAACAGAAACAGAAGAGGGAGAAGGGTAAGATTTCCAGGGGCACAGAAATCATAAACACTCCAGGAAACAGGTAAAAAGGGCAATGGCCCTACAAAGAGTGTAGGATAATCTGAAATTCAGGGGAGGAATTCTTGGTGTCAGAGAGGAAAGTTTCTTCCTCAAACAGGATGCCAGAAAAAGGGCAAAAATTCTACAACTGTTAAGTCCAATGCTGAATGAAGTAAGAATCTTTACTTCGGTCCTATCCAAATAAAATAATGAAAGGCATATTTGATTTCAGTTATTCCCCGGAGGCAGGATGATACTTCACCAGTGCCTCTGGCCCATATTCCCACCTCCAATTACCACCAGTAGCTCCTCCTCTCTATAGTCACTCTAACAACTCTGTGTGGCTCCACTGTTCACATTGTTACCAAAAATAACTAGTGATAGATTAGAGATAATAAACAAGATGGGAAAAAGCAGCATCTCAACTTAAACTAAAAATTGAAAACAGGCAACAGAGAGAAGGGTTATGTAGAAATAAGTAGCAGATTCTAGTCTCTCCTGCTCCCAGCCTTTTTTGTTTGCTTGTTTTTGAGACGGAGTCTCACTTTGTTGCCCAGGCTGGAGTGCATTGGCGCCATCTCAGCTCACTGCAAGCTCTGCCATTCTCCTGCCTCAGCCTTCCGAGTAGCTGGGACTACAGGCACCCACCACCACGCTCGGCTAATTTTTTGTATTTTTAGTAGAGACAGGGGTTTCACCGTGTTAGCCAGGATGGTCTCAATCTCCTGACCTCGTGATCTGCCCGCCTCGGCCTCCCAAAGTGCTGGGATTACAGGCGTGAGCCATCATGCCCGGCCTCCTGCTCCCAGCTTTTCTAAATATCTAGGTTGTCTGCTAGTCATCTTTACTGGAGAAAACTGTAGAGATCAAATAGGGATGAAAGGGGAATGAAGTCTCCATTCTTTCTTCCCCAAAGAGCGCTTTGAGGAAGAACTTCTCTCCAAATTAGAAATTATTCCTCTGAGGCAGGCGGGTCACCTGAGGTCGGGAGTTTGAGACCAGCCTGACCAACATGGAGAAACCCCGTCTCTACTAAAAATACAAAATTTAGCTGGGCGTGGTGGTGCATGCCTGTAATCCCAGCTACTTGGGAGGCTGAGGCAGGAGAATCGCTTGAACCAGGGAGGCAGACGTTGCAGTGAGCCAAGATCGTGCCTGGGCAATAAGAGCGAAACTCTGTCTCTCAAAAAAAAAAAACAATTATTCCTAATACTGCAGAAAACCTTCTCTCCAATGAAATAGAAGGAACATGGAGAACAGAGGTAAAGAGGTAAAGAGAGAGAATAAACAGATTCTCCTTTCATCTTAGAAATGGCAGATGAGACTGCTTCCCAGAATGGATATTCCTGGTCTTTCAAGCCCCACCTTCTTTGACCTCATGCAACAGGCCCCTCATTCACCAATCACTCCAGTCTTCATGACTTTTGTCTAGGCAGTTCCAAAAGGATTACTTACACCAAGGGGGCTTCTCAGAGCGCTGCTGGAGTTGCAGGGGAGGTGAATGAAGAGTACGTGGTGGAGAAAATGGGTTATCTGAGGCCTGGCTGCTGTGCATGGAATCAAAGAGGGCTGGAAAGGAGGTAGGGTGAAGGGAGAGGGAAGAAAAAAAGACATATGAGGAAGAATCCAGGAGCCACACGTTCTCAACATAAGTCAAAGCCAACTTACCCTTCCTTGGCTGAGAAGTAGCATTTCCTGGGGACCCTTCAACCAAACCATTTTCAATTTTTTAAACGTTATATTATGAACATTTTCAAACATATATTTTTAAAAAGTAGTTGAAAGACTGCTGCAGTCAATGCCCATATACCCGTCTCCTAGATTTAACACACTGACATTTTTGCCATACTTGTTTCATCTATTTCTGCATGCTAAAGTGTTTTAAAATAAATGACAGACATTATGAAACATGTCACCTCTAAATACTTCAAAATGCATCTCTAAAATATAAGAAATGGCTGGGTGCAGTGGCTCATGCCTGTAATCCTAACACTTTAGGAGGTCGAGGCAGGTGGATCACTTGAGGCCAGGAGTTCAAGACCAGCCTGGCCAACACAGCAAAACCCCATTTCTACTAAAAATACAAAAATGAGCCGGCATGGTGGCACATGCCTGTAATCCCAGCTATTTGGAAGGCTGAGGCTTGAGAATCGCTTGAACTTGGGAGGCAGAGGTTGCAGTGAGCTGAGATCGCACCACTGCACTCCAGCCTGGTGGCAGAGTGAAACTCTGTCTCAATAATAATAATAAAATATAAGATATTTTTCCAGCTGGGTGTGGTGGCTCATGCCTGTAAACCAGCACTTTGGGAGGCCAAGGTGGGTGGATCACTTGAGGCCAGAAGCTCAAGACAAGCCTGGTCAACATGGAGAAACCCCGTCTACTAAAAATGTAAAAATTAAGGCCGGGCACAGTGGCTCACGTCTGTAATCCCAGCACTTTAGGAGGCCGGGGCAGGCAGATCACGAGGTCAGGAGTTCAAGACCAGCCTGACCAACATGGTGAAACCCCGTCTCTACTAAAAATACAAAAATTAGCCGGGTGTAGTGGCACATGCCTGTAATCCCAGCTATTTAGGAGGCTGAGGCAGGAGAATTGCTTGAACCCAGGAAACAGAGGTTGCAGTGAGCCGAGATCGCATCATTGCACTCCAGCCTGGGCGACAGAGCAAGACTCTGTCTCAAAAAAAAAAAAAATTAGCTGGGTGTGGTGGTACATGACTGTAATCCCAGCTATTTGGGAGGCTGAGGCATGAGAATCACTTGAACCCAGGAGGCAGAGGTTGCACAGTGAGCAGAGATTGTGCCACTGCACTCTACCATGGGCGACAGAGAGAGACTCTGTCTCAAAAAAAAAAAAAAAAAAAAGAGAAGAGAAAAGATATATATAAAGAAATTTTTCCAACATAGCCAAACACCATTAACAAGCTAAACAAAATTAAAAATTATTGCCTAGTATCATTCAATACCCAGTCCATATTCAAATTTTCCCAATTATTCCCCCAAATGTCTTTTATAAAAGCATCCAAACATGAACCATGCACTGCATCTCGTTATGTCTTTGAAGTGTCTTTTAATCTAGAATAGTGCAGCCTCTCCTTTTTTCATAGTAACTTTTTTGAGACAGGGTCTCGCTGTCACCCAGGCTGGAGTGCAGTGGTGTGATCACAGCTCACTGCCGTCTTGACCTCCTGGCTCAAGCGATCATCACACCTCAGCACCTTGAGTAGCTGGGACTACAGGCACATATCACCACTCCTGGCTAATTTTTTGTATTTTAGTAGAGATGGGCTTTTACCATGCTGCCTAGGCTGATCTTGAACTCCTGGGCTCAAGCAATGTGCCCGCCTCAGCCTTCCAAAGTGTTAGGATTACAGGCGTGAGCCACCATCCCCAGCCCATAGTAACTTTTTGAAAAGAAGGTCAGGCACGGTGGCTCATGCCTGTAATCCCAGCACTTTGGGAGGCCGAGGCGGGTAGATCACCTGAGGTCAGGAATTCAAGACCAGCCTGGCCAATATGGAGAAATTCCATTTCTACAAAAAATACAAAAACTAGCCAGGCGTGGTGGTGGGCGCCTGTAATCTCAGCTACTTGGGAGGCTGAAGCAGGAGAATCACTTGAACCTTGAACCCGGGAGGCAGAGGTTGCAGTAAGCCAAGATCATGCCACTACACTCCAGCCTGGGCAACAAAGCAAGACTCCATCTCAAAAAAGAAAAAAAAAAAAAGAGAGAAAAGAGAAAAGAACAGGCCAGTTGTCTTTGCAGAAGGTCATGTCCCACATTCTGGACTTGTCTAATTGTTTCCACATAGAATCATTTAACTTATTTCACTATCCCTTGTATTTCCTATTAACTGGAAATTGATCTAACTTAACTGATTTATGTTAAATAATTTTGTTAAGAATACTTTAAGAGGTGATCCCATGTGCTGTATATTGCATCATACTGGAGGCATATTGCCTCATTGTCCCATTATAAGTAAGGCTAAGTTTACTAACTAGGTTAAGGTGGCACCAACAAGATCTCATTGTGAAGCTTTCCCCTTCTGATTAGGGGTGATCCTTTGAGGAATGTCTAGTTCTCCACCATCAACTGGCATATTCTCTGTAAAGAAGAGCTTTCCTTCTGCAAATGGGACTATTTGATTATACTGAACTACAGTTCTCACTGAAAAGGCAGAATGTTTATTTCCCTTTAATTGGTTTTCAGAGTAGAGAGTTAGTGAAAAATATTTTCCAATAGTGCTGGATGAGTATTAATTTGTCTTATTTACTTAATTTTGGCGGGGGGGGGGGGCAGAGTCTTGCTCTGTCACCCATGCTAGAGTGCTGTGGTACGATCACAGCTCACTGCAGCCTCAAACTCCCAGGTTCAAGCGATCCTCCAACCTCAGCTTCCTGAGTAGCTCAGACTACAGGCGCATAGCACAATGCCTAGCTCATTTCTGTATTTTTGTAGAGATGGGGTTTCACCATGTTGCCCAGGCTGGTCTCGAACTCCTGAACTCAAGTGATTCCCCTGCCTTGGCCTTCGAAAGTGCTGGGATTACAGGTGCATGAGCTACCTCACCTAGCACCCAGCTCTTGTTTTCATTCATTATGAGCTTGTGGATTTTTATTATATATATTCAGTGTGTGTGTGTGTGTGTGTGTGTGTGTGTGTGTGTGTGTGTGTGTGTGTTTTAGAGACAGGCTCTTACTCTGTCAGTGGCTGGAATGCAGTGATGCTAGCACAGTTCACTGCAGCCTCAAACTCCTGGGCTCAAGCAATCCTCCAACATCAGCCCACTGAGTAACTAGGACTATAGGTGTGTGCCATCATGCCTGGCTAACTTTTTAATTTTCTTAGAGATAAGATCTAGCTATGTTGCCCAGGCTGGTCTAAATTCCTAGGCTCAAGCGATACTCCCACTTCAGCCTCCTGAGTAGCTACATTCAGTGTACTTCAATCAACTACATAATTATTCTTTTTAATGCCCAAATTGTCCCAATTTTGGTCACTGGGAGCCTCTTTGGGCTTGATTGTTTCCTTGCTTTCCTTTACAACATGCTGCAAGATCATCCTGGGCTTTCTTTGCCCTCAGCCATGCATTCCAAACAAAATTGGTTCTTGGTGGGGGTAACAAAATCTTAGCTATTCCAATGGTAAATGGTCACAATACATAAACAGATATATGATATATCTGTGGTGTTAAAATTTCATGTGGTAGGAGGTAATTAGGAAAAAAAATTCTAAACAAACTGCTGGTTGGGTGGGGGGAGGGGGCAGGGATAGCATTAGGAGATATACCTAATGCTAAATGACAAGTTAATGGGTGCAGCACACCAGCGTGGCACATGTATACATATGTAACAAACCTGCACGTTGTACACATGTACCCTAAAACTTAAAGTATAATAAACAAACAAACAAACAAACAAACAAAACAAAAAAAAAACTCCTGGGATGGAGAGTAATTTCTACAAAGCTTTAAAAAAACCCTGCTCTAGACCAAAAATCAAGTTATTTCCCCATGGAATCCTGGTTACTTTTAGTGGATAATGGTACATAGAGACCAAAATCTAGTTGCTAAAGGAGCTCATGCTACATTTGCCAATGCATAGTACTAGAAAAAGCACTTAAAAACCAGAATTCATATTGATATTGCCAATTCATATTTATCATTACAGTATTTTAAAAGTCTTTTGAATTTATACTTTCATCTAATTTATCTTACTTTGAAAATCCTCGTTCCTAATAACAGGAACATAATTCCTTATTTGCTACTCTGTAATGCATATATATATATATATAAAATATATATTCACACACTATATACATAGTATCAATATCACTGTAGTATCAATATCACTATTAACAATTAAACTACTGAATAAGGATTACAATTATAGTTCTTTTTGTCCCACCAAAGAACTGATAAAGTATTCTAAAGTTATTGAAAAATTATTTTACCCATGTGGTTATGTTACTATTTTGATATACAGTTAGGGTCATTTCTTTCTTTTTTTGCAATTTTAGGTTTTGTTTCTTTTCTTAACTTTATATTTTGAAAAACATTTACAGGCTCACAAGTCAAAGCTATACAAAAAGGCACACTCAGAGAAACTGCATTTCCTTCATGCCCTTCAGCCCCATTCCCTATTGTTAAATCTGAGGTAATAAATTTTGTTTCTGGTTTATACTTCTAGCAAGTATTTTTTGTAAATATATATGTATTTTTTCTTTATTTCCCCTCTCTACTTACAATATAGGTAACATACTATTAACACTATTCTACATCTTGTTTTTTTCACTTAATAATATATCCTGGTGATTATTTCATATTAGATCATATAGAGCTTCCTCATTAGTTTTAACAGATGCATAGTATTCAATTGAGTGGACACACCACAGCTTTTTCAACTACTCTTGCACTAAAGAACTTCTGAGTCATTTCCAATATTTTGCCACTTTAAATAATGTCCCAATGAATAACTGTATATAAATGTTATTTCAGGCTGGGAGCAGTGGCTTACATCCATAATCCCAGCACTTTGGGAGGCTTAAGCAGGAGAGTCATTGAGGCCAGGAGTTCAAGACCAGCCTGGGCAATAAAGTGAGACTCTTGTCTCTACAAAAAATTTTAAAAATTATCTGGGCATGGTGGCACATGCCTGTAGTCCCAGCTATTTGGGAGGCTGAGGCAGGAGGATCACTTGAACACAGGATTCCAGCCTTCAGTGATCATGCCACTGTTCTCCAGGCATGATCATACCACAGTACTCCAGCCTAGGTGACAGAGCAAGACCCTGTCTCTAAAAAAACACATAAATAAGCAAATGTTATTTCAACTTTGCATAGAAATGGCTTCAGAATAGATTCTTAAAAGTGGATTATTGGGGCCGGGCGTGGTGGCTCACGCCTGTAATTACAGCACTTTGGGAGGCAGAGGTGGGCAGATCACGAGGTCAGGAGATCGAGACCATCCTGGCTAACACAGTGAAACCCCGTCCCTACTAAAAATACAAATAATTAGCCGGGTGTAGTGGTGGGCGCCTGTAGTCCCAGCTACTCAGGAGGCTGAGGCAAGAGAATGACGTGAACCCAGGAGGCAGAGCTTGCAGTGAGCCGAGATGGCACTACTGCACTCTAGCCTGGGCGACAGAGCAAGAGTCCGTCTCATAAAAAAAAAAAAAAAAGTGGATTATTGGATCAGAGGTTAACTATAATTCTGTGAGATACTACAAAATGTACCTCCATAGAGATTGTACCATTTTGTACCCCCACCAACAATGTACAGGATTTCTAGTTTCACCAGACTTGCCAAGAGAGTATATTGTCAAACTTTTGGATTTTTTCCAATCTAACAGGTGAGAAATAATATCTCAGTGTAGTTTTAATTTGCATACCTCTTATGGAAGGTTAAGCATAATTTCATATGTACAATGGCTATCTGCATTTCTTTCTCTGTACACTTCTTTTTTTTTTTTTTTTTTTTAGTGATGGGGTTGTTCAGGTAGTAGTAGCTGATTGTGTAGTAGCACAATCACAGCTCACTCCATCCTCGAACTCCTGGGCTCCAGTGATCCTTCTGCCTTGGCCTCCCAAAGTGCTGCTATTACAGGCATGAGTCACTGCACCTGGCCTAATTTGTCAATCTTTTTTTTGCTTCACAAGTTTGACTTTGAGTCAGAATTAGGCTTTCCTTACTTTCAGATGATAAAGGAATTTACCACTAACACCCTGCTTACTTTTAGTACTTGCATGGTTTAATTTTTTTTATTGAGGTGAAATCCACATAACATAAAAGTTAGCCATCTTAAATTGTATAATTCTGTGGCATTTAGTACACCCACAGTGCTGTGCAACCACCACCTCTATCTAGTTCCAAAACATTTTCGTCACCCCAGAAGAAACCCCATATCCATTAAGAAGTCAATCCCGGCTGCTCTGCCTATGGAGCAGCCATTCTTTTATTCCTTTACTTTCTTAATAAACTTGCTTTCACTTTATGGGGAAAAAAAAAAAAAGAAGTCAATCTCCATTCCATCCTACTCCCAAACCCTGGAAACCACCAATCTGCTTTCCGTCTCTATGGATTTACTTATTCTGGATATTTCATATAAATAAAATCATACAATATGTGACTTTTTGTGTTTGGTTTCTTGCATTTGGCATAATGTTTTTAAGGTTCATCCACATTTTAATATGTATCGGTACTTCATTCCTTTTTATAGCTCAGTAATATTCCATTGTATGTACATACTACATTTTATCTATTCATTGACATTTCAGTTGTTTTTACCTTTTGACTTTTTGAGAAAGGGTCTTGCTCTTTCATCAAGGCTGAAGTGCAGTGGTGTGATCGTAGCTCACTGTAACCTTGAATTCCTGGGTTCAAGTGATCCTCCCGCCTCAGCCTCCAGAGTAGCTAAGACTACAGGTGCACACCACCATGACTGGCTAATTTTTTTATTTCCTATTTTGTAGAGATATGTTGTCCAGGCTGGTCTTGAACGCCTGGTCTTAAGCAATCCTCCTGCCTTGGCCTAACAAAGAGCTGGGATTACAGGTGTGAGCCATCATCCTCAGCTTTGATTATTGTGAATAGTGTTGCCATGAACATCTGTGTGTATTTGTTTGAGTACCTGTTTTCAATTTTTTTTTTTTTTTTTTTTTTTTTTGAGTCTCACTCTGACACCCAGGCTGGAGTGCAGTGGCATGAACTTGGCTTATTACAGTCTCAACCTCTGGGGCTCAGGTGATTCTTCCACCTCAGTCTCCTGAGTAGCTGGGACTACAGGTGTGCACCACCATGCCCAGGTAACTTTCTGTATTTTTTTGTGGAGACAAGGTTTCACCATGTTGCCCAGGCTGGTCTTGAACTCCTGTGCTCAAGTGATCCGCCCACCTTGGCCTCCCAAAGAGCTGGGATTACAGGCATGAGCCACTGTGCCCAGCCTATGTTTAATTTTTTGAGGAACAAACTGTTTTCCACAGTAGCTGTACTATTTTATACTTCCATTAGCACTGTATGAGAGTTCCAGTTTGTCCACATCCTAACTAACACTTTCTTTTCTTTATTTTTAATGGCTATCCGGTGGGTATGAAGTGGTATGTCACTGTGGTTTAGATTTGTATATCCCTAAACTAATGAGAGTTAGCATCTTTTCATGTGCTTCTTAGCTATTTACATGTCTTCTTTGGAGAATGTCAATTCAAGTCCTTTGCTCCTTTTTAAACTGTGTTGTCTTTTTGTTGTTGTTATCATCTGTACGTATTAGATATAATATTTGTAAATATTTTCTCCCTTTCTGTAGTTGTTATTTTACTTTTTGATAATATCCTTTGATGCACAAATATTTTTAGTTTTGGTGAAGTCTAATTATTTTTTCTTTTGTTGCTTATGCTTTTGTTCTACAAATCCATTGCCAAATTTAAGGTCATTAAGATTTACTCTACGACTTCTTCTAAGAGATTTATAATTTTAACTCTTATACTTAGGTCATTGATCCATTTTGAGTTAATATTTTCATATGATATGAGGTAGGGGTGAATGAGTTCTTTTGCAATGTGAATACCTAGTGGTTTCAGCACCACTTATCGAAGAGACTATTCTTTCTCCATTGAATAGTTTTGACATCCTTGTTGAAAATCAACTGGCCATAGATGTTTAATTCTGGACTCTTGATTCTATTCTAGTGGTCTATATGTTTATACTTACAGCAATACCACACTGTTTTGATTACTATAGCTTTGCAATACATTTGGAAATTAGGAAGTTTGAGTCCTCCAGTTTTGTTTTGCTTTTTCAAGATTCTTTTGGCTGTTCAGGCCCTCTTACAGTTCCCTATGAATTAGAGGAGTCAGCTTTTCCATTTCTGAAGAAAAGACATTAAAATTCTGATAGGGATTGCATTAAATCCATAGATCGCTTTGGGGAATACTGCCATCTTAACAATATCATGTCTTCAACATGAACATGAAATGCCTTTCCATTTATATAGGTCCTCTTTAATTTTTTCTTTATTGAGACAGGGTCTCACTTTGTCACCCAGGCTAGAGTGCTGGTAGCTGGGCTACAGGCATGCATCACCACACCCAGCTAATTTTTTTTTTCAAGATGGAGTCTTGCTCTGTCACCCAGGCTGGAGTGCACTGGCGCGATCTTGGCTCACTGCAACCTCCGCCTCCCGGGTTCAAGCAATTCTCCTGCCTCAGCCTCCTGAGTAGCTGGGACTACAGGCACCCGCCACTGTGCCTGGCTATTTTTTTTATTATTATTATTTTTTAATAGAGACAGGGTTTCATCATGTTGGACAGGCTGGTCTTGAACTCCTGACCTTATGATCTTCCTGCTTCAGCCTCCCAAAGTGTTGGGATTACAGGCATGAGCCACCACACCCAGGCTTTTTTTTTTTCTTTTAATTTTTTGTAGAGACAGGGTTTCTCCATGCTGATCAGGCTGGTCTTGAACTTGTGAGCTTAAGCAATCTGCCTGCCTTGGCCTCCCAAAGTGTTGGGATTACAGGTGTGAGCCACCGCACCCTGCGTTGTTTTTTTTTTTTTTAAGCAAGACAGGGTTTCACTCTGTTGCCCAGGCTGGAGTACAGTGGTGCAATCATGGCTCACTGCAGTCTTGACCTTCCAGGTTCAGGTGATCCTCCTGCCTCAGCCTCCCAAGTAGCTAGGAATAAGAGGCACATGCGACCACACCCAGTTAAGTTTTCTTAAAAATTATTTGTAGACCCCGGGTGCAGTGGCTCACGCCTGTAATCCCAACACTTTGGGATGCCAAGGCGGTGGATCACCTGAGGTCAGGAGTTCGAGAGCAGCCTTGCCAACATGGTGAAACCCTGTCTCTACTAAAATTAGAAAAAAATTAGCTGGGCATGATGGCAAGCACCTGTAATCCCAGCTACTCGGGAGGCTGAGACAGGAGAATCGCTTGAACCTGGAAGGCGGAGGTTCCAGTGAGTGGACATTGCGCCACTGCACCCAAGCCTGGGTGACAGAGTGAGACTCCATCTCAAAAAAAAAAAAAAAAAAAAAAAAAAAAAATATATATATATATATATATATATACATATATATAATTTGTAGAGACAGGGCCTTATGTTGCCTAGGCTGGTCTTGAACTTCTTGGCTCAAGCAATCCTTCTGCCTCAGCCTCCCAAAGTGCTGGAATCACAGGCATGAACCACTGTACCTGGCCTTCCTTAATTTCTTTCAGCAATGTTTTGTAGTTTTTGGTGTACAAATCTTTCAACTTCTTGGTTAAATTTGTTCCCAGGCATTTTATTCTTTTGAATGCTATGGAAAATAGAATTGTTTTTATTATTTCCTTTTTCAGTTGTTCATTGCTGGTGTATATAAACACAATTGGGCCAGACACCGTGGCTCATGCCTGTAATCCCAGCACTTTGGGAGGCCGAGGTGGCAGGATCACTTGAAGCCAGTTCAAGAACAGCCTAGGCAATATGGCAATACCACATCTCTACAAAAAATTAGCCAGCCGTGGTGGCACATGCCTGTGGTCCTACCTACTTGGGAGGTTCAGGTGGGAGGATCACTTGAGCCTGGGAGGCAGAGGTTTCAGTGAGCTGAGATCATGCCAGTGCACTCCAGCCTGGGCAACAGAGCAACAACCTGTCTTAAAAAAAAAATCTTTATACAAATTTTAAAAAATTTATTTTGTAAGCCTGGGCTCATGCCTATAACCCCAGCACTTTGGGAGGCTGAGGTAGGAGGATCACTTGATTCCAGGAATTCGAGACCAGCCTGGGCAACATGGCAAAACCCCATCTCTACAAAAAATACAAAAATTAGCTGGATGTGGTGGTATATGCCTATAGCCCCAGCTATTTGGGAGGCTGAGGTGGAAGGATTGCTCCAGCACAGGAGGTCAAGGCTGCAGTGAGCCATGATGGCACAACTACACTCAAGCCTGGGTGACAGAATAAGACCCTATCTCAGCAAAAAATTACTTTATAGAGACAAGGTCTTGCTATGTTGACCACACTGGTCTTGAACTCCTGGCCTCAAATGATCCTCCCGCCTTAGCCTCTCAAAGTGCCAGGATTACAGGTACAAGCCACTGAGCCCGGCCCACAAGATTTTTGTGAGTTGATCTTTCTTTTTTCTTTCTTTTTTTTTTGAGACAGGGTGTTGCTCTATCACCCAGGCTAAAGTACAGTGATGCGATCACCAGTCACTGCCACCTTGACCTCCTATGCTCAAGCCATCCTCCTCCCTCAGCCTCTCAATTAGCTGGGACTACAGGTGCGCACCAACATGCCTGGCTAATTTATTTATTTATTTATTTTTTTTGTAGAGAGAGTGTCTCCCTATGTTGTCCAGGCTTGTCTCAAACTCCAGGGCTCAAGTGATCCTGCCACCTCAGCTTCCCAAAATGCTGGGAACACAGGCGTGAGCCACTGCGCCCAGTCTGAGTTCATCCTGTAACCTGCAACTCTGCTAAATTTGTTCGTTAGCTTTAATAGCCGCTTTTTTATTGTTGTTTTCTTTTGAGACTTCTTTGTGATTTTATATTTGGGACCATGTCCTCTGTGAACAGAAATACTTTTATTTTTTCTTTTCCAATTTGGATATTTTTTTTTCCTTGCCTAAAACTCCTGGTACGAATGTTGAATAGCAGTGGTTGAAGCCGGCATTCTTGTCTTGTTCCAAATCTTAGAGGGAAAGCCTTCAGTGTTACACTACTGAGTATGATGTGTGCTTTGGCTTTCATAAATGCCCTTTATCATGTTCATTAAGTTCCCTTCTATTCCTAGTTTGCTGAGTGTTTTTATCATGAAAGGGTGTTGGATTTTGTCAAATGTTTTTCTGTGTCAACTTAGATGACTGTGTTTTTTTCTCTCTTTCTAATAATGTAGTGTATTACAATGACCAGTTTTCTTGTATTGAATCACTC
The DNA here is from genome assembly GCF_000001405.40 of Homo sapiens. Taxonomy (NCBI): domain Eukaryota; kingdom Metazoa; phylum Chordata; class Mammalia; order Primates; family Hominidae; genus Homo; species Homo sapiens. Next base: position 43,550,931 of record NC_000015.10, read on the forward strand.
TTGCATTCCTGAGATAAATCTCATCAGCCCTGGTGTATAATTCTTTTATTGTGCTGTCGGATTTGGTTTGCTAGCATTTTGTTCGGGACTTTTGCCTCTATAATTAAGGGATATTGGTTTCTTCTCCTATGGTGTCATCTGAAATGTGTTATCTGACCTCAAGAAAATGTTTCCTTCTCTTCAATTTTTTTGGAAGAGCGTGAGTAGACTGAGTTACTTCTTTAAATATGTGGTAGAGTTCACCAGTGAAGCCATCTGGTTTTAGACTTTTTGTTTTTTGGAGGTTTTTGTTACTAATCTTTTTTGGCTGGACGCAGTGGCTTACACCAGTAATCCCAGCACTTTGGGAGGCCAAGGCGGGTGAATCACTTGAGGCCAGGAGTTCAAGACTAGCCTGGCCAACACGGCGAAACCCCGTCTCTACTAAAAATACAAAAATTAGCTGGGTGTGGTGGGCAGTGCCTGTAATCCCAGCTACTTGGGAGGCTGAGGCAGGAGAATCGTTTGAATGTAGGAGGCAGAGATTGCAGTGAGCTGAGATGATGCCACTGCACTCCAGCCTAGGCAACAGAGCAAGACTCTGTCTCAAAAAAAAAAAAAACCCACAATAATAATAATAATAATTTAATTTTTTCCTTGTTACAGGTGTGTTTAGACTTTCTACTTCTTGATTCAGTTTTTTTTTTTTTTGAGACGGAGTCTCGCTCTGTCGCCCAGGCTGGAGTGCAGTGGCGGGATCTCGGCTCACTGCAAGCTCCGCCTCCCGGGTTCATGCCATTCTCCTGCCTCAGCCTCCCAAGTAGCTGGGACTACAGGCGCCCGCCACTACGCCTGGCTAATTTTTTTGTATTTTTAGTAGAGACGGGGTTTCACCGTTTTAGCCGGGATAGTCTCGATCTCCTGACCTCGTGATCCGCCCATCTCGACCTCCCAAAGTGCTGGGATTACAGGCGTGAGCCACCACGCCCGGCTCCTTTTGCTTTTTGAGTTTAGTTTACTCTTCTTTTTCTAGTGTCATAAAGTATAAATTAGATTATTGATTTCAGATTTTTTTTTTTTTTGAGACAGGCTGGAATGCAATGGTACAATCTCAGCTCACTGCAACCTCTCCCTTCCAGGCATAAGCTCTCCTCCCACCTCAGACTCCCAAGCACCTGGGATTACAGGTTTGCACCACCGCACTTGGCTAATTTTAAAGTTTTTCTGTAGAGATGAAGTCTCACTATATTGCCCAGACAGGTCTTGAACTCTTGGGCTCAAGCAATCCTCCCACTTTGGCCTCCCAAAGTGTTGAGATTACAAATGTGAGCCACTACACCTGGCCCTTCTTTTTTTAAATTTAAATATTTATAGCTATAAAGTTCTCTCTGAGCACTAATTTTGCTGCATCCCATACCATCTGGCATGTTTTCATTTTCATTCATCTCAAAGTATAATCTAATTTCCCTTGTGAGTTCTTCTTCGACTCATTTGTCATTTAAGAGTATGTTGTTGGCTGGGCGCAGTGGCTCATGCCTGTAATCCTAGCATTTTGGGAGACCGAAGCCAGCAGATCTCTTGAGCTCAGCCTGGGCAACATGGTGAAACTCTGTCTCTATAAAAAAAAAAAAAAAAAGAAAAAAAAAAGAAAAAAGCAAAAATTAGCTGGGTGTGGTGGTGTGTGCCTGTAGTCCAGCTACTCAGGGGGTGAGTAGCTGGAGGTCGAGGTTGCACTGAGCCATGATCGTACCACTGCACGCCAGCCTGGGTGACAGAGTGAGACCCTGTCTCAAAAAAAACAAAAAAAAAAAGTATGTTGTTTCACCCACAAAAATTAAAAATAAAAAAGGAGTCCAGGCGTGGTGGCTCACACCTATAATCCTAGAACTTTGGGAGGCCAAGGCAGGTGGATCACCTGAGGTCAGGAGTTTGAGACCAGCCTGGCCAACATGGTGAAACCTCGTCGCTACTAAAAATACAAAAATTAGTTGGGGATGGTGGCACGTGCCTGTAGTCCCAGCTACTCAGGAGGCTGAGGTGGGGAATCGCTTGAATGCAGGAGGTTGCAGTGAGCTGAGATCATGCCACTGCACTCCAGCCTGGACGACAGAGTGAGAATCTGTTTCAAAAAAATAAAAAAGAAAAAGAATATGTTGTTTAATTTCTATACTTGTGAATTTTCCAGTTTTCTCTTCTGTTATTAATTCTAGCATCATTCCATTGTGGTTGGAGAAGGTCTTTTGTATGACTTCAACTTTTTAAAATTTATAGATACTTGTTTTGTGGCCTAACATATGGTCTATCCTGGAGGATATTTCATGTACATGTGAGAAGCATCTGCATTCTGCAGTTGTTGGATGGAATGGTCTACATATGTCTGTTAGGTCGAGTTGGTTTGTAGTGTTCTATTTCCTTACTAATTTTCTTCTTCTTTTTTTTTTTTTAATAGAGACAGGATCTCACTCTGTCACCCAGGCTGGAGTACAGTGGCACAATCACAACACACTACAACAGCCTTAACTTCCTGGGCTCAAGGAGTCCTCTCACCTTAGCCCCTCGGATAGCTGGGACTACAGGCATGTGCCACCATGCCCAATTAAATTTTTAATTTTTTGTAGAGACAGGGTCTCACTATGTTACCCAGACTGGTCTCAGATTCCTGGGCTTAAGCGACACTCCTGCTTATCCTTTCTTGTCCTCCCAAAGTGCTGGGATTTCCTTACTAATTTTCTGTGTGTTTTTTTTTTTTTTTTGAGACGGAGTATCACTCTGTTGTCCAGGCTTGAGTGCAGTGGCGCGATCTCGGCTTATTGCAAGCTCCACCTCCCGGGTTCATGCCATTCTCCTGCCTCAGCCTCCCGAGTAGGTGGGACTACAGGTGCCCGCCACCACGCCCGGCTAATTTTTTTGTATTTTTAGTAGAGATGGAGTTTCACCATGTTAGCCAGGATGGTCTCAATCTCCTGACCTTGTGATCCACCCGCCTCAGCCTCCCAAAGTGCTGGGATTACAGGTGTGAGCCACCTCGCCTGGCCACTTCCTTACTAATATTCCGACGAGTTGTTCTGTCCATTATTAAAAGTGAGTATTGGCTGGGCACAGTGGCTCATGCCTGCAACAACAGCATTTTGGCCGAGGCAGGAGGATCACTTAAATCTAGGAGGTCAAGGCTGCAGTGAACTATGATCACACCACTCCAGCCTGGGCAACAGAGCAAGACTCTGTCTCTAAAAATAAAATAAATAAAAGTAGGTTTTGAAGTCTGCAACTACTATTGTAGAATTCTTCCTTCAATTCTGTCAATGTTTGTGTCATGTATTTTGGGGCTCCGTTATTTGGTATGTGTTTATAATTGTTTTATCTTCCAATAAATTGACCTCATTATCAATATATGACTTTCTCTTACTTGTAACAACTTTTTTTAAAGAGACAGGGTCTTGCTATGTTCCCCAGTTGGAGTACTGCTGGGCTCAAGCAATCCTCCCACTTCAGCCTCCCAAGTAACTAAGACTGCAGGTATGCACCTCTGCACCGCTCCTCTTGTAACAATTTTTTTACTTAAAGACTATTTTGTCTAATACTGGTATAGCTACTTCAGCTCTCTTTTGGTTACTATTTGCACAGAATATGTTTTTCTATCCTTTTACTTTCAACCTATTTGTGTCTTCGGACCTAATGTGAGACTCTTCTCAAATATAAGACACCTGGCATACACACACACACAGACACACACACACACACACACACACACGCAGGCACGCACAAGGAAAGGTGGAATCTGTTAGAAAACAAAACAACATGAGAGAATATTACTAAAATTACAGTTCAAGGTATAAGTTGGAAGTCTGTCTTATTAGACTTTTCATTTGTTTATAATTATAATTGATATTATAATTATAATTAAATATTGACATTGTTAGAGTAAATAATAATTTTTTTTTTTCAGATGGAGTTTCTCTCTTGCCATCTACGCTGGAGGCCAGTAGCACGATCTTGGCTCACTACAAGCTCCACCTCCCAAGTTCAAGCAATTCTCCTACCTCAGCCTCCTGAGTAGCTGGGATTACAGGTGCCTGCCACCATGCCTCGCTGATTTGTGTATTTTTTAGTAGAGACAAGGTTTCCCCATGTTGGCCAGGCTGGTCTTGAACTCCTGACCTCAAGTGGTCCACCCTCCTTGGCCTCCCAAAGTGCTGGGATTACAGGCGTGAGCCACCATGCCCAGGCGTTAAAAGTATAAACTATAAATTAATAAATTAAAAACACAAAACACTATTATATTTTCCTAAATCTTGATTGCTTTTCTTCTGCTCACCTTATTATAATAGTCTTTCAATTAGAAAACTGTTGGAGTTTTCTATTTTTATTTATTTATTTATGTTTTGAGACACGGTCTCAGTCTATCACCCAGGCTGGAGTGTGGTGGCACAATCTCGGCTCACTGCAACCTTCACCTCCCAGGCTCAGGTGATCCTCCCACCTCAGCCTCCCAAATAGCTGGGACCCCAGGTACATGCCACCATACCTGGCTAATTTTATTTTTATTTTTATTTTTTTGTAGAGGTGGGGTTTTGCCATGTTGCCCAGGCTGATCTTGAACTCTTGAACTCAAGTGATCTGCCAGCCTCAGCCTCCCAAAGAGCTGGGATTACAGGTGTGAGCCACCATGCCTGGCTGAATTTTTGTTTGTTTGTTTTTATTATTACCATTTTTTAGAGATGGAGTCTCGCTGTGTTGCCCAGGCTGGAGTACAGTGGCACGATCTCAGCTCACGCAACTTCTGCCTCCCCAGTTCTAGCAATTCTCCTGCCTCGGCCTCCCAAGTAGCTGGGACTACAGGTGCATGCCACCATGCCCGGCTAATTTTTTGTATTTTAGTAGAGACGAGGTTTCACCGTATCACCCAGGCTGGTCTCGAACTTCTAAGCTTGGGCAATCCACCCTCCTTGGCCTCTCAAAGTGTTAGGATTACAGGCGTGAGCCACCATGCCTGGCCTTAAAATTTTTACTTTAAGTAATATTCTATTTTCTATAAAAATATTTAAGAACAGCAAATTAGAAAATAAACCAATTCAACACTAAATAAATAAATAGAGTCTCTTGTGGACACTTTAAAAAGTGCATTCTGGGCCGGGCGCAGTGACTCATGCCTGTAATCCCAGCACTTTGGGAGATCAAGTCAGGCGGATCACGAGGTCAAGAGATTAAGACCATCCTGGCCAACGTGGTGAAACCCTGTCTCTACTAAAAAAATACAAAAATTAGCTGTGCGTGGTGGTGCGCACCTGTAGTCCCAGCTATTCGGGAGGCTGAGGCAGAAGAATCACTTGAACCTGGAAGGCAGAGGTTGCGGTTAGCCAAAATCGTGCCACTGCACTCCAGCCTGGCAACAGAGTGAGACTCCATCTCAAAAAACAGAAAAAAAGAAAAAAAAAGTGCATTCTGGCCAGGTGTTGTGGCTCACACCTGTAACCCTAGCACCTTTGGAAGGCCGAGGTGGGTGGATCACCCAAGGTCAGGAGTCCAAGACCAGCCTGGCCAACATGGCGAAATCCTGTCTCTACTAAAAATTCAAAAATTAGCCGGGCATGGTGGCACTCCAGCCTGGGTGACAGAATGAAACTCCATCTCAAAAAAAAAAAAAAAATGCATTCTGAGGCCAGGCACAGGTTGTTCATTTGCCTTACAATGTTTTTAAGGAATGCTCTCTGCACAGCCACTTTTCTGCCCTGAATAAGTTAGAGTTAGGCAAAACAAATGTAGGCACTTTGTGTCAATCCTTCAAGTAGCCCACCAACAAATTAGAACAGAGAAAATTCTTTGAGAATAAGGTCTTCTCCGCTCCCTCTGGAACCAGGAACCAGGGTCCTACATTGAGAACGTGGGCTGTCATCTTCAAGAGCACAACAAAGCCAGGGAGGCAGGGTGGGGCAAGAGTGAGTAAAAATGCTGCAAAGCTTTTCTGCCATTTTTAGGTTGCCTCTTTCTGGATTCAGCATTTTCCTGGTTACTGAAAATCTTTTACTATTCTCCAGAGTTCTCACAATGTTGGTTCTAGCAGTTTTTTCTTACTTTTTGGTGTTTCTGTGGATGAACAAGCCCTTGGAGCTACCTACTTAACACATGATTTAATTTTTACGTTTAGATTTCCGATCCATATGGAGTTTATCCTGGTATACAGTGTGGGTTCAATTTCAATTTTTGTCAAATGCCTATTCAATTTACCCCCCGTCCATTTACTGAAAAGTCTTTCTGGCTGGGTGTGGTGGCTCACACCTGTAATCCCAGCACTGTGGGAACCCAAGGGGGGGTGGATCACCTGAGGTCAGGAGTTCAAGACCAGCCTGGGCAACATGGCAAAACCCCATCTCTACTAAAAATACAAAAATTAGCCAGGCATGGTGGCTTGTCCCTGTAATCCCAGCTACTCAGGAGGCTGAGGCAGGGAGAACTGCTTGAACCCAGGAGATGGAGGTTGTAGTCAGCTGAGATCCTGCCACTGCACTCCAGCCTGGGTGACAGAGTGAGACTCTGTCTCAAAAAAAGTCTTTGTGTCACACCTGTAATGCCAGTGCTTTGAGAGGCCAAGGCAGGAGGATCGTTTGAGCCCAGGAGTTCTGGGCTGCAATAAGCTACGACTGCAAAAATCAAAACTAAAATGAGATTTTATAGAATGATTTAAAATGTGGTAGGGCTAGTATTTGCTCACTGCTCTTCTTTTCAGGGTTTTTTCTCTCTCTCTTCTCTTTCTCTCTCTCTCTCTCTCTCTTTTGTGGTAACATCTTGCTCTGTCCACCCAGGCTGGAGCGCAGTGGCGTGATCATAGCTCACTGCAGCCTTGAACTCCTGGGTTCAAGTGATCCTCCCGTTTCAACATCCCAAGTAGATGAGACTACAGGCACACACCACCATGCATAGCCTTTTTTTTTTTTTTTTTTTCTGGAGAGATGGGGGTCTCACTATGTTGCACAGGCTAGTCTTGAACTCCTGGACTCAACAATCCTCCTGCCTCAGCCTCTAGAGTTGCTGGGATTACATATGTGAGCCACTGCACCCCACTCATTCTTCACTGTTCTTGGTTGTGTATTTTTCAATGAAAACTTTAGAATTCAGGAGTGATATTTCTATGATGTTTAGTTGGCCTATGCAATTATCCTTTTTTTTTTTTTTGAGATGGAGTCTCGCTCTGTCACCCAGGCTGGAGTGCAGTGGTGCGATCTTGGCTCATAGCAATCTCCGCCTCCTGGGCTCAAGCAGTTCTCCTAGCCTCCCAAGCAGCTGGGACTACAGGCACACACCAACATGCTCAGCTAATGTTTGTATTTTTTTTTTTTTTTGAGATGGAGTCTCACTCTGTTGCCAGGCCGGAGTGTAGTGGTGTGATCTCGGCTCCCTGCAACCTCTGCCTCCCAGGTTCAAGCGATTCTCCTGCCTCAGCCTCCTGGGTAGCTGGGACTGCAGGCGCACACCACCGCACCCAGCTAATTTTGGTATTTTTAGTAGAGGCAGGGTTTCACCATATTGGCCAGGATGGTCTCCATCACTTGACCTCGTGATCCACCCGCCTAGCCCTCCCAAAGTGCTGGGATTACAGGCATGAGCCACTGCGCCCGGCCTTATTTTTTTTCAGTAGAGACAGGTATCGCCATCTTGGCCAGGCTTGTCTCAAACTCCTGACCTCAGGTGATCCACCTGCCTCGGCCTCCCAAAGTGCTGGGATAACAGACATGAACCACTGCGCCCAGCCAGCAATTATACATTTTTAAGTGTACTTTTGTGTCTTTGTGGATTGCCTAACTAGCTTTCTAATTTACTACTTTCTTATATTCTAGGAAGCATGGGCATGGGGGCAGAGAGAAGGGTAAAAAAATAAGAATATCCCTACCTGCAGATGCCTGTGCCTGGGCATCAGTGTGGCGCTGGCAGACTCTACTCAAGAATTCACTCACTTGACGTAGGGAAAGGGCATTATGCAGTGTTTCCAGAGGGTAGATGGTAGGCACCATGGAACACCCTTCAAACCCTGTTTGAAAAGAGATGGGCAAAGTCAATGTTACTCCTGCCAGATATACCCCAACTGGCCAAGGAAGCATGGAGAGTCCCTGAGAGCCATCAGGAGAGTCCGTGGCTTTTGGAGTGTTGGGTATCCAAGACTCTTAGGAGAGGGAACTCTTTAGAGCCCCTAGGGAGTCTGTTTTTCTCACCTTCAGATTTCCTAAAACATCTACCTGCTAAGGCCTCAAGGTGAATCAAATCACCTTTCATGCTACCTATGGAGAGCTTGCAATGTCTCATGGAAAAATAAACAGAATCCCAGTAGGGTAGGCACCAACGTTGTTCTCACACTTTCTAGGGGAATAAAACAAGGATCCAGAGGTAAGGGGTGAAACTGCAGATCTAACATGAGATAGGGAGGTCAGGGAGCTGGGAAGAAACAGCAGATTTTGGGTATCATGAATAAGAGAACCAGATTAAGGAGAAGGACATGGAATCTGAGAAGGGGTTCATGCAAATTTAGGATGTCGGCAGAAAGGCTAGAATACTTGGATGCAAACTGGAGGGCATGCAATACACATGAAGCTCAGCCCAGGAAAACCACATGCATGAACAGGATGGGGATGGGAGTTCTTTCTTGGTAATTTCCATCACATCAAAGCTTCACTCTTCTGATCTACTGGAAAACCCCAGACTTGCTAGGGTCTTTCTACTTCATCAGAAAAATGAGGCAAATGCCCTAGAAAAAAGAAAAAGTACTGATTCTCTGCTCTAAACCCAAGAATTCCAATGTAGGTCTATCAGTCTGGGTAGGGTCAAGGATAAACATAAATATGTAACCCTAATACTAGGGACTGGTGATGGAAAAAATGTCCCCATTGGAGGATGAAGAAAAACACATCCAAACCACTATCTCAGTCCCCAGTCTTTCCTATGCCTCTTCAACATCTCCTTAAAGGGACTAAGGATACACGGGACAACGAAGTCTATGCAAGACAGCTTCCTGTTCACCAGTGACTAAAGCCCGTAACTCAAAAGGATTATAGCCTGACCATCTTCGAAGCTCTGGACTTTGCCCCAAGGATACAATTGAGGCTTCTGTGCCTCAATTTCTCCCATGATCTAGTGGCAGGAGGGCAGGAAAGTTACTGTCTCTAGCTCCTCAGAGTGGCTAGAAAAACATTTGGATTTGAAGATGGTGGTAGTAGAGGGTTAGAGTGATAAGAACAGATTCCAAGGCAAGAGATTACTCCTGTATTGAACAGAACTGGGGAATGAGTAACATTAGGGGGTGGTGAGAAAGGAGAATAGGAAGGGGATGAGCAGCCAATGCTACAGCTACCAGGCAGTCTGGCCCCAATCCCATCCAAGTGACTAAATGCAAGTTACATAAACTTAGGGCAAATAGGAGAAAGAAATAGGTGGGCTCTCCTGCCAGAAGTGCAATAAGCAAAGCAGTCAGACCCAGCCAGGGTAGTGGCAGCAGCCAGTTTGGTGGCAGGGGGTACCGTAGAGGCACTCGGGGTCATCCTGGCCTGAGCGCAGCCAGTTCCGGAAGAGGCGCAGGTGGTAGGAGCACTGGTGCAGGTGATGCGCCAGCGTGGCATCCAAGGAGACTGGCCGGCCCCCTGTACAGTCAGAGGAAAAACTGCGCAGCAACCGGACCACAGGGTGCTGGTCATCCAGCAGCTCTGGACGGGGTGAGGGGACCACGGCAGGAAGCACAAAGATAGAGAAAGAGAAGAGGGAGAGACAATGAGGGGGGCACTGACTAGCACAAGCATTACTGGGAGGTGGGGGCACTCAGATCCAAGGTGAGCTAAGAGAGAAGCAGAGATGGTCAGAGCCACTGGGCATCTCTTGCAGGGAAGAACAGTGGTGTCATCATACAATGAGTCTGAAAGAAGGGATAAGTGAGATCTCATCATACAGCAATGCCTTCCCCTTGCTCCTTGAGCATAATTCCGTCAGTGCTTGTAGACATCAGTCACATCATTGTGAACAGGGGTGAGCTGGCAGTTTTGCGGCTGGGAGTCTTGACTGCAGCTTCAGGATCCCTCATCATTGGATGAACCCTACTTAGGGCCTGCATTCTCAGGTGAATGGATTTATGTAGTAGGGATAAAAATGAAAAAGTGATGGTATTGTGTATCAAGACAGTCAAGCTAAAAAGGCTCTCTTTTAGGGCAGGCCTTCTGGACCACACTCTAAGATAGCTGAAGACAGGAATGGTATTAGGCAGTTGGCACAGGAGACTGGCAGGAAACCAGGTGTAGAACTCCTTTAAAACGGTATGTGTGGAAAATGGAATCAGTATGTGAAAATACCAATATTGACTAACCATCCTGTACCTTACTGTTGTTTAAACAATCAGTTAAAAAAAAAAAGTACACTAAAACTCCGGACTTAGAGATACTGTATCCATTACACAAGCTGAAAGTTAGATAATTTTATATTTTCTTCCCACTGCTGGTGAGTCTAACTGCACTTTTTTCAGCTGGTGAGTGGAAAAGCTTTGATTCTGAACCCCTCATTTTAGCTACTTGGCAAACTTTGTGGATGATGTAATTCAGCTACAAAAGGTTGAAGGCAGTCAAAGCCATGTGGAGAGGGGTGTAAGAGGAACAATAGTGAAAAGATCTTAGAGAAAAGATATGGGATCTTAAGACATGATGTGAGGATGGACAAGAACTTGAGTACAGGATGTTGGTATAGAGAAGGTAGAAACAAGGCAGCTCAGGATGACTGCTCAAAACTCCCAGACCAGAACTGGCTCCACAAGGTGATCCCATGAGACTGTGGTCTTCAGAGACCTTAGCTTGGATGTCAGGACAGATTTCAGCTCTACCTAGGCTAGTCTTGTGAGCACTAACTGTATATACCAATGGTCACATAGTTATATGGGTCCCTAGAAGATAACGGGCTTGACAAATCCAGTGGTCACACCCTGACATTCTGGATGAGCGTGAGCCACAGTCTTTCCCACTTTATTAATTTACTTTGGTGAATTCAGTGTGCAGCTTAGTAACAGGCTATACTTGTGTGCTGGATATAGTTACAGGATATAAGAGCAGCTTATTAGGAACAAAGGCAGAGAAAGGCTGAGGGCTGCTCTCCCATCAAAGTGTGAAGACACACTGCCTTGCCTCTTTTCCAAAGCCAGGTCCAGTATTTCCAGCTGCTGTTTCAAAGCCAGATATCATGGCAAGGAGATGGTGATGACGGAGCTGCTGTGACTTACCTGCAACTACAGACAAAACATCCACTTTGTAATTGCTGGTCAGTCAAGCAAGATCTTGGCCATGGAGAAGAGCCTTCATATTTCTTGAGGGTCAAATTGAATCTAGATAATCTTCCTCAGCAAGTGACATACAGCTCCAAATTTCTCCTATTGTCAACAGGTAGAGCCCAGATTCTGGCTTCTTAAGCATGTTAGCCTCCAAGCTCCAGCACAAGAAAAACAAAGGAGGCCACAAGGCCCCTGAGGAAGTGTGCAGGGCATTGGAGATCTTAAATTTGTTTTCCTGCACAACACCTGCATTTTCCAGCTCTTTTTTCCTCAACTCCTTTTAGCAGAATTAAATCTTCTTCAACGGGTGAGGCTGCTGAACAGTACTTCGGGGAATTGGAGGTACATACGTCTGAGGGTCTGTTTAATGGACTTGGGTCTTTTCTCATGGCACTTAAGAACTAGGAGATACGTGATTTAGCTCTGATTTCAGGAGCCCACGTTCCTTGTACTATATTGTGGACCCTAAGTCCAAGTCCCAGGCTATGCTATTCATGCATCAGGTTCTATTCTGGAGATGGCTGTGGCACATGAAGGCCAGAAGAGCTTGAAGCTAAATGAGCCGGCACACCCATGAGGCTCTGAACGGGAACTCCTGCCACAGGCACAATTGGGAGCCTGGGGGCAGGGATAAACTGAGCCAGCATAGGCTGGTCAACCTAGGGAGAGATTTCAGCAGTGCCTTGTGAAGATGTACAACCTGACTGGGCTAAAATCTAGCAGCTGTCACTTGCTAGCCAATAGGAGATTAGCACGTAGAGGTTTTCTAGTCAGGAAGCCAGCCTAGTTTTACTTCCCTCAGAGAGTCTTAGCTCTTGAATAGAAGAAAACCATACCTAAAAAACCTAGATTTACCCTGAAGACAAAATATAATACAGAGAGACAAATAAGGATACCAAGGATAAAACTTTGAAAGAGAGTGAGCCTGGGTTCTCCTGCTATACCCTACAAAGAGACCATACCCTTCAATTTATGGTTTACAGAGATCTCCAAGCTCTCCCACCTTAGTGTGGGCAGACCCAGTTCTTCAATGTTCTTAAAATATTATTCCTTCCTAAGCTCCCCCAGAATCCCCAGCAGACATCTCCACTCTTCAAACTTCTCTGCAATAGCTTTATCATAGGTAGGCTGGTGCCACATGGAAACTACACTTAAAAACTCAAGGTACAGTCCTTTTTCTTTTACCTACTACCTCCTACTCCTTTCTTTTTATTTTTATCCCAAAGCAACCTGGGCTCTTGTTTTCTAGGCCCAGGCAATAGGTTAGTAGTAACATAAAGCAAATGTCAGGAGCACAAGAGCCACACAAAATACACATAATGACAGGAGAAAGAAATACGGAGATGGGAAACTATATACTCAAGACTAACACCCATATAAGTAGGCTTAGGAGCTGGGAACTGCAGCATTGCTCCGAAAGAGGAACAAACTAGTCATCCACATCCACCCCAACAAGAGTTGGAGAAAACACAGAAAGATCAAAGTTATATCAGCTGAGGAATTGGGGGTATGGGGGAAGAGAAGAAATGGAATCAATCTAGGAAACACTATTCCCATCCTAAGAAGGGGAACCATCATATCTGTACACAGCCTGGCAGTCATGTGATAGGAAAGGGAGAGGTTTAATCAGTGTTTTGGTGGTGATGCTGACAAAAGTGACATAATGGTGATGATGGTGACTATGGAATTAAGACCCTGAGTTGCAGGGATGGGGCAGCCAGGCTGCAGCCAAGACTAAGGCTGTCACAAGGAAACCATCCCAGGAGGGACACTTAGTGAGTGACTCATTCAGAGACAGCAGGGTGTCAACACAGTGGAAGGAGAGGCAAAGTCAGTGTCGAAACTCAGAGTTAAGTGTCTAGAGGTGACATGGTGAGGAGGAATGACATTGAGTCAGAAGCAAACGTACCGTTAGTCGGATGCTTTGCAAACGACACAGAAAATCGTTTTACGGCCGGGACAAACAAGAGCTCTGGGGAGAAAAGACATCATGGGGATTATACCCACCCTTGTCCCCACCCTCTGCTCTGGAGTTTGCCCGCAAGATATTCTGTTCTTTAAAGTTAGTTATCTGACCTGCTCCCCTCCCCATCCCTTGGATTTCTAACTAACACACGTCAATCTCTTTTCCTTTGATAAATCTCTTAGGAATCAATGTGTCATCTCTACCACAATACACCCCTACAAACAACCCTAATTTTACCACTGTGTCTTCTTTCTGGTCATTTGGAAATAAAATCTTCACAGAAATATTCATCCCTTCCCCTAGTCTCTTTCCACATTATCTTTTCTCCCTTGGTTGAGTAACATTCCCTTCCCTAAACCCAATTTGCTGGATTTTAATCGAGGTTCCACCACTTTCTTCCCAACTATGCATCATCCTCCTTGGTCCTTACCCCTACAGGCCAGAATCCAGGAAAGAGTACAAACTGATGCAGCAGGACTGTATGTGGGAGATTATGAAGGGATAAGCATAAATAAGTAGTATTTTTATGGCAAGAGGAAATGCAAATGGAGGGGTGAAAGGGGTCCTGGTTCCTTCTCCCATCTATTACTGATGAAGAAAACTTGTTATAAGGCCAGTGTCATCTTAAGCATGAATAGTTCTTGAGCTATGTCCTTGCTGAGAGACAAGTGAAAAAAGGAGTTATCCCCCAAAACCCACCCACATACCATCTCGGTGCTTCAGACTGGCAGGTGGTAGCTTTTTGCCATGGCTGCGGGCGTAGTCCTGAAGATTCGGGGCACTGGAGGAGCCACCCAGCACTGTGGTGCTGAACAGCCCTGTGCACTGTGAGCCTGCAAGGCCGGGAGTGCGTTAGTAGCCACGTAAAGCCACAACTATCACACAGAACTATACACAACTTCACATGATAACATCAAGACACACATGCAGCCATTCAGAGCCACCACCATGTGGCCATTCCACATAACCACAAATGGCTTTACACTTCTCCATAGTCACAGTGGGCAAGCAAAAGGGGGATTCTTCTGAAGAGCTACATGGCAGAAACAACAGGCCACTACAAATGCAGGGTTAGTCATATTAGGGGATTCAAAGCTACTGGAAGGGATAGACTGTGCTCTTCAGGTGGCTCTCAGAAATGCCAAAATAACAGGTAGGTCCCTCTAGATTCCCCTCAGATTTAATTCGGCACCCCTTACCCTGGATATATAGCTTGAGAAACCCAGAAATCTAGTCCTTGTATATTTGAAAGGAAAAGGCTTTGACTGAAGCTAGAGACTATATTCTGAACACTCAGCTGGCACCCTTCCAATCCTTCCTAAGTTTTTCATCCAACATCCCCTCCCTTCAGGCCTTTTGACCTTTCCCAAGAATGAAAGTATGAGGCTCACAATTTTTTTTTTTTTTTAAGACAGGGTCTCACTCTGTTGCCCAGGCTGCAGTGCAGTGGCACAATCATAGCTCACTGCAGCCTTGGTCTCCCAAGCTCAAGTGATCCTCCCATCTTAGCTTCCCAAGTAGCTGGGATTGCAAGTACACACCATCATGCCTGGACAATTTTTTTATTTTTAGTAGAAATGAGGTCTCACTATGTTGCCCAGGTTGGTCTCTAACTCCTGAGCTCAAGTGATCCTCCCACCTTGGCCTCCCATAGTGCTGGGATTATTGGTGTGAGCCACAGCCCCCTGCCTCATTGAATTTTTTAAGCTAGAAGGGACTCATAGATCATCCAGTCCAACTTTCTTATTTTAGAGATGAAGAAACTGAGATCCAAAAGGGACCTCCTTTGCTCAAGGTCACATAGTTTTTTAGAAGCTAAGCTGGACTAGAATCCAGGTCTCCTGACTCTGAGGACCAACTGTATTGTTAGAAAATAAATAACTATTTTTTTTTAGGAACCAGCAGTTTCTAAAGTCAAGATGGACACAAATTGAAGGGCATGTGAAGAATCAGTTGATTATATGTAGAGCATGCCTATTATGTGAGGAGCACCCTACTAAGAAGGAATACAGGAAATAACAACAAAAAGACATGTTTGTTCTGCTTGCAAAAGTGTATTATCATGTAAGCCTATGCTCAAAGCCAGTTGCCCACACATATAAATTCTAAGAAAACAAAGAGAATTCCATTGCCAATGAGAGGATTAAATAAAATCTGAATAATCTCTGAAGTATGAAATAAATCAGACCAGTCACTGTCCCCAACAGCTGATCTAGAGGAGGGTTAGGACTCCACGGTCCCTTCTCCTACTATAGCCTATAAGGACAGAGTGGTCAAGAAGAAACAAGACTGATACCCAAGTTCTCAGGATTTGCCTCTCTACTTCCAAATCCATCTTAGCCAAGACCCTGGGTTTGGCTTGGGACTTAACATTCATAGGGGAAATGGATGGAGTGGAAAGGAGTTCAATTCCCTTGAGGCCACCAAGAAGGGACCATGGTTTCAGGGGTCCCAGGATTTCGGGGTCACCAGAGCAATCAGGAAGTTCAGATGCCTGATGATTCCCACCCTGGAATTCAGGACCTCTCCCCTATACAGCAACTTCCTCCACCTTTCATGTTCAAACAGGCTCTGGAATGAGATTCCAGAGAGTAATAACAGTTGCTAAATATGACTGCTTTTCTTCAGAGAAGCTAAAACTAGCTGGCTCTATCCCAGACCACCCCAAGCTTTGTCCTACATACACTTCCTCCACTGAATACTTTTCTGGTGCAGTCATGCCAACTCTGTTCTGCCCAGTCCTCAGATCATCTCAGAGGGTGGTCTCTACCTTACCACCACCATCTGCCAACCAGTTCCATGTCCATACCTCTGCCTTGCTCTTGAAAGCATTCCCACGGCCCACTTAACTGGGACAGACACACCTATCCTCTTTTCTAGTCTGTCTGAAACCTATTCTTTACTGGGACTTCTGGGAAGAGAGGTTCATTTCTTAGATCTACACTATTGTTGTTTCGGGTTTTTTTTTTTTTTTTGAGACAGAGTGTCACTCTGTCACCCAGGTTGGAGTACAGTGGCACAGTCTCAGCTCACTGCAACCTCCATCTTCTGGGTTCAAGCAATTCTCGTGTCTCAACCTCCCAAGTAGCTGGGATTACAGGCATGCGTCACCATGCTCAGCTAATTTTTGTATTTTTAGTAGAGATGGGGTTTCACTATGTTGGCCAGGCTAGTCTCAGAACTCCTGACCTCAAGTGATCTGCCTTCTTTGGCCTCCCAAAATGCTGGGATTATAGGCATGAGCCACTGCGCCTGGCCAGATCTACACACTTGTCATTTATTTCTCATGCCCCATACCATCTTCCTCATTTCAGGAATCTAGAAGGCAACTTATTCTCATAAAATTAGCCTGGAAAGTTACCAAAACCTTTCTCCCCCTTGCTAGTCCAAAAGCTGACCATTTTGGGGCCAAGAAAATGGCTGCCAAGGACAAAGGCAACAGAACAATTAGAGGCGCTAAATAGAGAGAATAATAGGACAAGACAGAAACAGCCAGAGGACCAAGACCAGACCCCACACAACCATGTCTGACCTCCAGTTCTAATTACTGGCTCACAAGGCACTGTGCTCAGAGATAGTTCCTCCCAAGGACTGCCCCCCACCCAAAGAATACAATACCCTCTGAGGCTTGGTCCTTCCTGCCGTCTGTGCTCTTAGAAAAAGCTGAGTGATGTTCTCTACCCCTTTCCAGGGATCCAAAAATCAAGAGACATTTCCTCAAAGTCCTGAGAGATGCCTCTGCCACTACACCAGTCTCAGACTGGTCAATTTTCCAGAAGGAAGGGGAAAAAGTTACAGGATTAGGAGATGATGGAGGAAAGGGCAAGGTGGTAAGAAGGGCAAGAGCGGGGATGTGAAAAACACAGGTTTCAGGGGAAGACGTGGCACATTTCTTCAAATGAGGAATACGACATTTATGAGGGTTGCAAGTACCTCTATTTATAGCTCTGTCTTTGATAACTCTGAAGGTTCAGAGTCTCCATGGCCCCTTAAGGTCTGGGCTAGACTGGAGGGACAGATAAGGAATGAGAGGGAAAGCCAGAAAAACGCCCTTTGGCCAGGGAAATGTGGTTGGTATAGAAAACCAAGAGATAAACACCTTCCTGGGATGGAATAATCATCTGAGATCCAAGTTCACATCTAACTATGGCTTCTCCCACTTCATCCTCCCTACCTCCACCTGATGATATTCCACTGATTGGACGGTCCCAAATCCCATGACAAAGGTTTCCCACAATAAAACTCTGAAGAACAGACAGACAACTTTTCCAACAATAGGTGAGAAATGCTGGCAAAACCATACCTAGGCCACTCTGCTTCATTTCTGTGGGTGGCCGTGAAGATGAAAAGAGCCGGTAGCCACCAGGCCTCGAGGATGAAGTCTCAGAAAGTACCTGCAGAAAAAGGACTCTATATTAATCATTTTGCCACCTCAACCCCAAAGTATAAAACTCAGGTCCTGGATTCCTGTCCCTACAAAGCCAAGCAATGTTAGAAAGTTTGGAAGTACCAAAGGATTTATAGGGGAAGAGGGATGAAAAGGGAACAGAGAATGTACTTTATGGAGGGAACTGTCCGGGGCATCTTTCTATACTAGAAGGCACTTCTATTTTCAAGATGCCTTTCCCCACAGCCCTCCCATTCCCAATCTGAGTTTGAGAAATCATTATTCAACCCATTCCTAGTTCTCAGCAGAGCAGAGTTTCCTAATTGTATCTATCCCCCCACAGACTCAGAAAGCCAATCACAATGGCTCAGCCACAGATAAGAGTCTGGCCACCCTCTCTTCTTTGCATGGGAGAGCTGTGGCTACTGCAACCATACTACATTCCTTGTTAGAACCAAGAAGCCCACCCCTCCACTGTCTCACCCCTAGAAACATGAAACAGAATTTTTACAATGCCCACAAGGGCCCAATCACACAACCCCCAAAACACACACATCCCACCCAGATAGTGTCTGAGCCCCTAGATCCCAAAAGGCAAAGACAGAAGGCAAGACAGGAAGGTGAGGTAGGGAGGGACACCTGTGTGCAGGATGCCAGGTGAGTGGTGGACACAGCCCGGGGCTGTAGGCCAATGGCTAGGGAAGGCTGGGGGAGGTCTCCCGACCTCCTGCAGCGCCGTCCCCGCAAGGGGATGAGGTCCAGGTTCCCCGTGCACTGCATGTTCATGACCTGCAATCAGACCGGGTGGAAAGCCGGTCACGGCTCCTTTAAACCCCAGGCTCCCAAAAGCCCCAGGGCCCACAGGGCAGAGCTAGTTACAGGGCTAGAGAGGATGACCAGCTAGGGCATAGCTGCTATAAAGGTCGTAAGTTTTATAATCTAAAATAGTTAAAAAGTATGAGATGACAAGAGGAGAAGAAGGGATGGAGGGAAGGATAAGTTGTATGCCTATATTTATAGAGCAAGGAAGATAAACATTAACATTAGTATCATAAGGCTTTGTGACCAAGGAGCAGAGAGATGATTTTCTTGCAAAGCTGAGGAAAATATCCTGGACAACCATCACCCTGGATAAGCCAGGGTCTAAGCAGCACTAGTAATTGAAAAGAAAGCCTGTGATTACAATAGGAAGCTTCCCATAGGCCTGAAAGAAGTCAATCTTATCAAGTCTGAGAGATGATACACAGAGCTTTCCTTTACCTGTGCCTTTTTTTTTTTTCCATCTTATAATGTTTTAAAATTTTTTGTAGAGACAGGATCTTGCCATGTTGCCCAGGCTGGTTTTGAACTCCTGGCCTCAAATGATTCTCCCACTTAGGCTTCCCAAAGTGTTGGGATTACAGGTGTGATCCACCACACGCAGCTGTCTATGTCTTATGACTGCATAAACCAGAAAAAAATGGTTGGGGGATGGGGGACGCGGTTCAGGCACAACAGCACCAGGAGAGACTAGCAGACCATGTGAATAGGAAAGACATTTGGAGGATCAGTTTATTGATGGAAGATTATGTATCATTCTATCCATGTGATCTATTGGATGTGAGTATAAAGGGTAATAGAGTACTACGGATACCAACCGACACCTACACCTCAAAGAGAAAATAATGTATATCCTACCTAAAGAAACTCTGCATATTACCAATGGCAATTTCACCTTAAAATAATCAGGAAGTAAAGGATGAATCAAAAGAAGAGACTGCAGTTCATCTTCTCAGCTTTCTCCAAAATCTGAATTGCAAAACTTTTGCTGAACCTAGGTCAGCTTGTTATAGATTCTTCTGATATATCCCTAAAATGGAAAAACCAATTCCTCTAAGATAGAGACCTGGCACCGAGCCAGGGTGAACACGGTCATTAGGACAGAGCAGAATCTAAATCAGACAGTCAAAGTCTCTGAGACAGGGATAAATTGTGGTGTCAAAATGAATGTAAGTGATACAGAAAGAGCAAGATAGGGGAAAAAAAAAAAGGATATAATTAGGCCAAAGACAGAAACAGTTTTTCCAGGAAAAAGACCAAAACAAAAACCTCAGATGGTTAGCTGGACACAATATGAGATTAATAACACTTACTGCCTTTAGGCTAGAGAGCTAGAACCAGAACTAGAAACAACCTCCAAGAACAGCAGAATATAGGCCCATGCTGATAAAGATCCTCATTAGAACAAGAGGAAGACAGACAGAGCTCTTGACTGACCCACTTTCTGGAATGACAGTACAGATAAAGTGCCAGGTATTTGCTCCTATCTGAGCTATAATTTTTACCCAAGGTGACCAAGAGCTGGAGAGGGCTGGACCTTTAATATCAATTGCATTGTTAATATATTACTGCTTGTTGAGCATCTATAAAGTGGATACTACTCACATTTTAGAGGTGAAAAAAAATTGAGGCTTAGAGAAGTTAAGGTCAGAGAAATGTAGAGAAGTTACCCAGCCAAAGTCACACAGCTTCCAAGTATTACACTGGGATTTTGGCCCGGAGTTCAAGCTGTTTCCACTAGATTTCCTTTTAAAGAACTACCTTTTCAAATTCATCCAGAGGCCTCCTCCTTAATCTTATCTCTTTAAACCCTTATCTCTCAGGCATCCCTCAATGGCAACTCTTTAATCTGAGAAGTAGCAACCAGTTAAAGAAGCACTACTGGGAGACCAGCTGTGAAAGAGAGATTAAGTAAAACATATCAATCAGAGCAGGAGGACTCTGCTTCAAGTCCCAAGAGACCCCCCAAGGGGATCTAGTGGATCTGTGGATATAGTCCTATGAGCACTGCCACCCCTTCATTTCTTCCCAAGGCCCTCTCATTACCTCCATGGAACCAGCTTTTCGGTTACGAATGAGGGGTGATCTCCTCGGAAGGCCAGGGCCCTCAGGAGGCTGGGGTGAAGTCTGCAATGCCCGGTCTGGTTCATCTGATGCCTTTCCTGGACACAGGTTCTCCATACTGCCTTGGTTGGTTTTCATCTCCTCATTCTATACAACAAAAGGCAGATAAGAGAGGTGTTAATGGCCTCCAAAATCCTAATCCCAGACTACCTAGCCCTTTTACTTCTCCCTGTACTGCTTCCCACCACTTGGTTCCTAAGTCCTTCAGTCCCAAATCCCAGCACTCTGACCCACCTCAGAAGAGGCTGGACGGAATCCACAGCCAGCCGGGGCACTGCCTTCTTCCTCAACACCTTTCACTCCGGGGCTGAAGTGTAGCTCCACATGGAACCGTTCCTCTGATAAGGGATCCTATGGAGCATAACCACAAGAGGGGGAAGTTGGGAGAAGCTGGATATTGTGGTGGAAGTAGAGAGGAACTCAAGGGGATTCATCCTCCCAGGAATTCAGGGTCTTGTCCCACTCCGGGGCTGACCTGTTATAGCTTCCTTTCAACTATATATTGTCTCTTACAGGATCCTCATTCCCTCATCTCTACCATTTGTGATTTCACCATTGCACATGACTTCTGAACTTCCAGCTTTACAACGCTTCCCATCACCTTCCACAATAACTCAGCTTGGCTGTGGTGCATATAGCAGAACATTTAAAGATACCTTGTGGGCCAGGAGCAGTGGCTCACACCTGTAATCCTAGCACCTTGGGAGGCTGGGACAGGCAGATCACTTGAGTCCAGGAGTTTGACACCACCCTGGGCAACATGTTGAGACCCTATCTCTACAAAAAATTAGCCGGGCATGGTGGCACATGTCTGTCATCCCAGCTACTTGGGAGGCTGATGTGAGAGGATCACTTGAGCCCAGGAGGCAGAGGTTGCAAGGCTGCAGTGAGCTCAGATTGTAGCACTGCACTCCAGCGCGGGTGACAGAGTGAGACCTTGTCTCAAAAAAAAAAAAAAAAAAAAAAAAGTATCATTGTGGAGCCGTATGCAGAAGGTATATGTATAACCATGTTTGAGGAAATAAGACTCATAACATTGTCCCAAATTCCATACTCTTCTAATGCCAGAGCTGTGTTCTAGGTTACCTCTCTGGCTCAACAACATCCCAGAACATATTTTCCATTCCAGTAGGAACCTCCTGGATGCTCTGTGTCATGCTGTGCGTAAGTGCCACACCTAGCTGGATTCTCCAAATTATAAGGATAAGCAAGTTTTTTTTTTTTAATAGAATTCAAAAGAAGGGGCCTTCCTCTCATCTCCCACCTGCTAGCTCCTCACCTGTGTGTTGTCCTCATAAAGCATGATGACAATCTGGGTCATGTAGTTAAGCTCTGAGATGGCACTAAGATAATCCAAAGCTCGCTGCCATTGTGCATCCTGGGTCTCCTACCAAATGCAAAAAGAGGTAAGCCATTGCTTAAGGAAATGGGAGTCAGAGAATGAGCAGGGAGCCAATGAGAATGGAGAAAGCTTTCATTTGAGAAGAGTAAAAGAATGCTGGGAAAAAGCTGTTCACAGGCTAAAGAAGAAGGAGGATCCTTACATCAAGAAGTCCTCCATAACGGAAGACACTGAGCAGGGAGTGGACATGGCTCTCACTGGTGAAATAGAGACGCGTTCGAACGTGGCGACCTGGGGAGAGCACGCCTCGGGAGTACCTGAGATAACAGCTAAATCACTCACACAGTCAGTTAACCCTGTTCCCACCCTTCTGCAAACTCCCTCCTCCCACCTCAAAGACTTCTCTCCTTTCCATCCCAAAATCTTGTCTATTCTTGGTTCCCCAGGCTGTCCCAGCTTTGATTCCCCCAAGGCTCCCTGACATGCCCCTCCCTCCATCCAACACCCCTCCCAGCCCTCCCTCACAGGGGATGCAGCTTGTTGACAGACTCATCCTCGTGGGTTCTCTGCAGGTCAAGTAGTATCTTCCGCAACAGTGGAAGACAGAAGCCCACAGCAATTTCCAGTTTCTCCTCCCGACTGATCCCGTACTCCTAGGGGCCACAGGCCAGGAATAAATACCTCAATAAATCTTGTTTTCTCATGCCTCATATTCCCAGGACCAAGATCATGCCTGTCTTCACCTCACGTCTAGGGCTTCTTTCATATCCACTACATTCCCCCTCTTCCAGGTGTCTCCTGAATTAGCCTCCTGTACTTACCAAGAGCCAGAGTGGACCCTGAGAAATGTAGCAACTCAACCTATTCCTTCTCTGAGTTGCTTTCCTCTAGTCTCAAATCACCCTTCCTTTCCACCTTTTCTCTCTTTCCTTCCCAACACCCTCATCCCCAGGCTAGGTCCCTTATACAAGACACACCTGGGGAATGACCACATCAGCCAGTGCCTTAGAGAGACGGAGCAACTCTGCTGTGCCTTGAAGTCCCAGACTCCCATTGTGCTGCACATCATACTTGACACAGTCATAGATGTCAGGGATCTTACTGATATCATAGCGCCCACTCTTCTGTCGAAAGTCACGCTCCAGCTTGCTCCAACGCTGTAGCATTAGCTCTAGTGTCTCACTGTGGTAGAGCTGCAGGTCTGGAAGAAAGGCAGGAATCAGATAAGAATCAAAGATTTTACCTCCAACAAAAGACCCTGACAACTCTGAAGTACAGCCAGAGGGAGGAGGAGGCCTGGTCTCTGACATTTAGGAGAGGACACCAGAATGCCTGAGAAACCCATCCATACCTGAGACCTTGAAGGGAAGATAGTAGTATTCATACCCACCTACAGACCTGGGGTCCTGCATTCGTTCCCGGATCTGGTGGGTGAGGTTTTCGATCAGGGCAAATACCTGATCACAGACCTTCACAGGATTCTGGATGATAGTCATGGAGTTGAGCAGGGAAGTACTTCTGGTGGGAGCCAGCTATGAAGAATAGAGAGAAGAAAAGCAAGACAGGCTCGGCACTAATTGCCCAGATTCCTGTGAGTTTATTACACAGAGACTACTCACAATACAGCTCTGTATGTTGGTTCACTCCAGTGAGCATTCTTAGGTTACTGGGCATACTAGCAGTTCTAGGCCTTCAGGTAAGGGCACTGCTCTAGCATATAGTCGTCTAAGAGGGATTGATTTTAAGAGTCCAGAGAAAATAAAACAGACCTAAGTTCTTTTCTTGAGGGCTCTAGAATACACATGGAAAATACTGGAGAATAAAGATTGAACCAAAATCCCTCAAAATCTCCACAGAATGTTTTCATGAGTAGAGATCACAGATAACATTATCTTCTTCCTCTAAACAAGATGCTAGCCTGAGCCTAGAGTAGAAATGCTGCCTCAAAACTGGGTTCTGACTCAGGCTTGTAGGACAGTAACAGTCAATGAGAAATGTGGAGGCAGAATCAAGACTGTGGCTGAAAATGCACAATTCTGTTTAGGTCCTCACAAGTTTCATTCTTGCTCGCAAAAGAAGGCAAGGCAGAAAGGAAAGCTGCCTTAGCTTTTTTGAGTTTGACAGTGAGCAATGGATTGGGAAATAAAGGAGCAAGGTCCTGTTCCTTATCAAGTCCTACTCAGAGAACACAGAAAATCCTATGGGCTCACAGCAATGTGCTTAGCTACTTAACTCATTTAAGAACCAATCAGAAATGTTACACAACAATGTAAATACATGTAATGCTACTGAACTGTAAACTTAAAAATGGTTAAAATGGTACCACAATTTTAAAGTTTTAAACATTTTTTTAAAAGAACATATCAGAAATGAGGAGTGGGAAGAGTAGAAAACCACTGCCTGGTCATTTGTGGCCTAGATATGCAGGAAAAAGAACGACCATATTGGGTAATGGCATATAGTGGGATTAATACTATAAAGCAATGTAACAGCCTGGGCGTTGGAGTTAGACCCCTTCGGTTTGTATTAGCTGGATGACATGAGGAAAATTGCTTAGATTCTTCTGAGCCTAGGTTTCCTCATCTGTAAAATGGGAGGAAAGTCCTTGTGGTCTACAGTCCTTGTAGTGCTTTAAAGATGACCATCAATTCTTTGTCTTCCTTTCCTTCCCTTCCCTTAAATCTGGCTGGCCCTGTAACTGTTTAACCAATAAAAAATAACAAAGTTATGTTGTGCTATTTCTGGGCCTACACTTTAAGAAAGCTTCTAAGCTTCTGCTTTTGAATATCCCTAAAGCTACCATTTAATACTTCTGGCTATCATGCTACGGAAACCATATGAAGAACCATGTGGAGAAAAGAGGCACTGAGGTTACAGGGAGAGCATGAAGAGGGAGAGAGCCAGCCATCCCACAGTCCCAGCTGAACTTCCAGATGGTTCCAGCTCCAGTCAATATCTGACTGCAATTTCAGGAGAGACTCCAAGCAAGATCAGATGAGCCCAGAACTGTGAGAGATAATAAAATGGTTGCTGTTTTAGGTTACTACGTTTTGGGGTAGTTTATTATGCAACAATGGATAACTGAAACGTTCTTTTGTTCAGGATCCTTGGGATCAGAGCTGTGCTTTGGAACTGAGAATCTGTGGGACTTTAGAAGTTAATACAGTACATATGCCATATGTATATAATACCTCCATCAGGGCCCATGGCATAACCAAACACATTAATATTTCTGCCACAAAATGCACGACTATTTACACTAAGTGGGAAAACTAAGGATTATAAAAGTCTTATGACAGTTCGTGTCAGGTTTAGCTGCCAAATGAATCTCAATGTCAAGAAAAAAATCTTTTTAATTTTCAAAATTATGCATAAGAGATTGTGGACCTGTACTTATCTCAAAGGGTTGCTGTAAGGATTAAATAATATATGTGTAAAATAACTAAAACAGTGCCTGGCATGCAGTAAATACTGTTATTATTGATCCCTACTATTTAGAATTCTAGGAATTGGGGATCCAGGCTATTTTTGAGCCTGACCTGATCGTAGTCCTCAGGGCCAAAGGGCGCATCCTGCTGTAGAATATGGTGCAGCCGAGCCTTCACCCGGTGCTGGCAGCTGCTCAAGGAATCCCCATCGCTGTCCAGTAGCCCATTCATGTTGGCACTCTTCACCATTTGCACCAAAATGGGTGTCAGCTCCCCTTCTAGAGCCAGAAGGCCCTAAAGAGAAAGCACAAGGTCTATTTGTTTCCCTTGCAGGTTAGCATCCCTAGGCCTAGATGGTCCCAGGGATCGAACGGGAGCTGGTTGAAGAGATGGGGCCTACCCTCACTAATTATTCTCAGCTCATTCTCGGTAGTACAGAATGGGTCCGATACATGCAGAAACTTCTCTGAGTTGGCCTACAAGCACCCTGAAATGCTCCAACTGGTTCTCCAAACTCTCTGCTTCTCTACCTAATGGAAACTGGGACTACAGAACTGTAGTATGCACCTTGGCGAAGGCAGCAGCAGTCATCTGAACACGACCCTCATCAGAGGCATAGATCTTGAGATCGTGGCGGAAAGTGCTATGGAGACGAAGCAGCCCACAACCAGGGAAGCCAGCATAGTCACCTGGGGACAAAGGTGGGGGACCACAAATGGACTGCTATAAATACTCGTGGAAGAAAAAATATTCATTCCCCCACTGTCTCTGTCCCTTCATTTTCCCCAACTTACTCTCTAATCATTTTATCCTGGCCCTGCTATGCGTTCACTCCCCAAAACACTCACCCTGTCCTCCAGGGTACATGCAGCGAAAAGCTCGCCCCAGCTCCTCAGCCTGAACACGGCCAGCAGGAGTCAGTTCTCCACCCCACTTCAGTACCAGCAACAGAGATGGGGCCAGAGTTTCCCTCTGTGGATCTGAAGGAATAAGAGGCAGTGAATGGTCTAGATCTAAGAAAAATAGTGGGAACATCTAAACCTTAGGTCTTCTGAGGAGACCAGAGATGTAATTTGGGGTAAAGGTCATCTATAGGCTCAAGAAAAAGAGATCTTGTGGGGAAAGAAGATGGACAAAAAACATAAAAAGAACACAAGATCTGAGAGGTAGTGGTAAGGGGGACTACATCTTACCTTGCCCCTCATTAGAAGCTTTTACTCCATGAGGGTAGTAAGTCAATTGTACCTTCCGGTTTATACCTGAGAAGTGACCATACCTGCAGGATAAAGTCACAGTTTATGTTCTGTTCCAGCACCCCAATTCTCACTGTTATTGGCTCCCTTTTGCTATCCCCTTTCTCACATCTCCAGTACAGACTTCAGCTGCTCTAGTTTTCCAGTCTTCTCCTCGATCTCACCACCTGGTTCTTTCTCCAGTTCAGCCAACAACAGCCTTGTGATATCCAGCACCTCCTAGAGGAAATAATAAGGTATCCATGCAGAAGGCCAAGTCCTAGACAGTTACCTTTCCATCCTAGTCTTTTATCAAGACTCCCAATGCCATATCCTCTATCTCTCTCATGGCACTGTTCCTCCTGGTCAGATTCACTACCTTACCTGGAGCTGCTCAGGTCGCTTGAGTTTTAATTTCCCTGTCTTGTAGCCACCATGTTTTTCAAACAGAGCAAAAAACCTGAAGAAGTAACGAGAAGCTTCAGTGTGGCATGAGACAGTCAAAGCCTCCAGGACTTGCCCCCCATGCAGTCTTCCTCACAAAAACCTATTTATGTAAATTAGGACACTCTTCTGACCTTGGGTGTTTCACTTCCATCTTCATCTTCTGCTTGGGAGTACGATCCCCATGACGAATAATTGCAATGACACAACGAAGTTCCATCCTAAGATCATAAATGTTATCAGAGCCTCTCCCACACCCCCATCCCACCTGCTGTCATCACATTACTTGACATGTCAAAAAAACAGAGGGGCTGAGCAGGGCTCAGGCCTGTGATCTCAGCACTTTGGGAGGCTGAGGTGGGAGGATCACTCAGGCCCAGGAGAAACATAGGGTGAGCATGAGCAACATAGGGTGAGTCTGTCTCTATAAAAAAAGTTAAAAGAAAAAAAATTATCCAGGCATGGTGCCACACGCCTGTGGTCCCAGCTATTTGGGAGGCTGAGGTGGGAGCATCACTTGAGCCCAGGAGATAGAGGCTGCAGTGAACCATGAGTGCACCACTGCACTCCAGCCTGGGAGACAGAGCCAGATCCTGTCGCAAAAAAAAAAAAAAAAAAAAAAAAGAAAGAAAAAGAAAAGGGAACTGAGATTAGGAATATAAATGGAGGCTGGGCATGGTGGCTCATGCCTGTAATCCCAGCTCGTTGGAAGGCCGAGGCGGGTGGATCACTTGACGTCAGGAGTTCAAGATCAGCCTGGTCACATGATGAAACCCCATCTCTACTAAAAACACAAAAATTAGCCAGATGTGCTCACCTGAACCCAGGAGGTGGAGGTTGCTGTGGGCCGAGATCATGCCACTGCACTCCAGCCTGGGCAACAGAGCTAGACTCTGTCTCAAAAACAAACACAACAAAACAAAAAAAACGGCGGGGGAATATAAGTGGAGTTAAGAAGACTGTGTATAAGAGGCCTAGGCTCCGTTAGTCAGATAGTGTGGGGTCAGGAAGTAACCATTAGCCTGGCTTAAGGAATCCCATGGGTCTTAAGTAGGTTACTCCAGATTTTTTGCTTTTGCTTACATAGTGCCAGATGTGGTGGGAACAATGGGAATGTCCTCAGCCTCCGTGGGGATGGACCATGGAATCTGGAACTGTGGGGCAAGCTCCCGCATTATGGTGTTCCTAGAAAGAGAAACAAAGAAGCCCTGTAAAAATGAATAAACCAGAACTACTCAGAGGAATGAAGCTCACAAAAACAAGCAGGCTGCAGGCAGAAGAATACCTTAATATAAAGTCTAAAAACATACAAACAAATACCCATATTTATGTAGTACAAATATAAATAAATACAAGGAATGACAAACACCAAATTATGGATTGTGGTTCCCTCTGGGGATGGGGAGGGGATGTTACTAGGGAGGAGTACATAGGGGCTTCGATTATATACACACACACACACACACACACACACACACACACACACACGTATGTGTACATACACACACGTATGTGTACAGTTTGTGTATATACACACATGTATGCGCATATAGATACACACATATGTGTATATAGATGCACATATGTGTATATAGATGCACATATGTATGTGTATATATACATATATACGTACATATATACACATATATACATATATGTGTACGTGTGTGTGTGTGTGTGTGTGTGTGTGTGTGTGTATATATATATATATATATATATTTTTTTTTTTTTTTTTTTTTTTTTTGAGATAGAGTTTCACTCTTGTTGCCCAGGCTGGAGTACAATGGCATGATCTCAGCTCACTGCAACCTCCACCTCCTGGGATCAAGTGATTCTACTGCCTCAGCCTCCCAAGCAGCTGAGATTATAGGGAACCACCACCACGGCTGACTAATTTTTTTTTTTTTTGGGTTTTTTTTTTTGAGATGGAGTCTCACTCTTGTCACCCAGGCTGGAGTACAGCGGCATGATCTCGGCTCACTGCAATCTCTTCCTCCCGGGTTCAAGTGATTCTCCTGTCTCAGCCTCCCAAGTAGCTGGGATTACAGGCGTCCACCAATATGCCTGGCTCATTTTTTTTTTGTATTTTTAGTAGAGATGGGGTTTCACCATGTTGGCCAGGCTGGTCTCGAAGTCCTGACCTCAGGTGATCCACGCACCCTGGCCTCCCAAAGTGCTGGGATTACAGGCGGAAGCCACTGAGCCTGGCCAATTTTTTGTATTTGTAGTAGAAACGAGGTTTCACCATGTTGGTCAGGCTGGTCTCAAACTCCTGACCTCAGGTGATCTACCCGCCTCGGCCTCCCAAAGTGCCAGGATTACAGGCGTGAGCTACCGCACCCGACCTATATTCCTAATATTTTATTTCTTAAGCTAGGTGGTGAATACATAGATGCTCACTATAGTCATCATTCCTCATATATTTCTGAATGGTTTATACATTACGTGACGAATTTCTTGGAAAGTCAAGTTGCAGAGCAGTATTATAGTATGACCACATTTAGTAAAAGAAATACAGTTTGGATATGGCAGAAAAAGATAAATTGTTATGTCTAAAACTGTTAACAACAATGGTCTCTGGGAGGGGCAGTGTTAGAAAGGCAAGGAGCCTGAGGAGCCCTTCCTTTCTTATTTTTATTTTTTAATTTAATTAATTAATTAATTTATTTATTTATTGGGACGCAGTTTTGCTCTTGTCACCCAGGCTGGAGTGCAATGGCACTATCTCAGCTCACTGCAACCTTCACCTCCTGCGTTCAAGCGATTCTCCTGCCGCAGCCTCCCTAGTAGCTGGGATTACAGGCATGCTCCACCATGCCTGGCTAAGGTTGTATCTTTAGTAGAAACAGGGTTTCACCATGTTGACCAGGCTGGTCTCTAACTCCTGACCTCAGGTGACCCACCCGCCTCAGCCTCTCAAAGTGCTGAGTTTATAGGCATGAGCCATCGCGCCTGGCCTGCTTTTTCACTTTTAAATCATATTTGTGATATTTAAAATAAAGCAAAAACTTTCAAATATTCTTCTGTAAGCCCATTCTCCCCAGCGCAGACCACTATGTCTCTTACCCCAGAATCTTGGCACAGTCATCGTAGTATTTCATCGAGTTCTTGACAAAACTAAAGCCATTGACATCACACACAAAGGAATGACCATTGGCACGAAGAAGGTCAAATCCACAAACTGTTTGCTGCAAGGAAAAGAAGAAAGATGAGAACAAGACAGTTACTCTTCCCGGACCCCTGTTCCTTCCTTTCTCCTTCATTTCACAACCTCCCTGGGCCCTCCTCTACCTTGAAAGCTACGCAGACTTTCCTGGCCACCAGCTTTTCCATGGCAGTCAGCATGACTGGATATCGAATCTCTTTCCCCTCACTGTCTCGTTCAACCTTCCCATCCAAAGCTGGAGATTTTCTAGCTTCAGCATGGGCATAATCTGGCCCCACTGTATACACCTGCAGGTACATAGCATCACTGAGTATGCCCACAGCTCACCCTGTATATGAGAAGACAATATGAGCACTAGGTCTGTAGACGAGTTTCAGAGTAAAACAACAACAACAAAAACAAAACAAATCCTGAGCATTAAGGAGACTGACCAACATTTTTCCTACTGAGCCTTACTGAAGTATCATTATGAATTTCTCCTCGGGACTCCACTACTGTCAGGTAGTCCTTATTAAAAAATAATTTACAAACATTATACCATTTTTCTAAGTCAGCCTTGCCCTTGCTCTGATAGTGAAAATGTGAATGTCTGTATCCTCCACTCATTATCTTCACCTGAATATGAAAGCCAATCACATTCACATCATGTTATTTTCTAGGACCTCCTCCCCATATACTTCCACCTGCTTCCCAAGTACCCCATCCCCACCCACACATTTGTAACCTCTTAAATCCCTATATCCACCATAACCTTGACATCTGTGCCATCTGTTGGCATAAACTCCTCATAGATGTACGACCCCGTCTTTCGGACGCTGCTCTCAGGAGAGTAAACACTGCTTCGGCTGCCAATCTTCAAGAGAAAAAAAGAAGAAAAAGCAATGTTGCCTCAACTCTCTGTTCTGTCCCCAAATTCTCCATCTTCCTTCCCCACAACCTCATCCTTGCCCTTGCACCTCTCTGACTCCCCAGATGCTCAAATATCCCCCCTACCTTACGAAAGAGACGCTGGCTTCCTCCTCCAGCTGAGCTGGGGTAGTAGATGTAAACATTGTGGTCTTCTGCACTCACTGGCTTCTCCACAAAGGGCTTGGGAAAGACAGCTCCATTGACCTCTACTTGGTCTTCACCTTCTATCAGGTTGCATTCTGAAAGGTGGATGTGTAGTCATTCCTATGGCCTAAGGTTGTGGAATATTACTAATTCTCATTTCCCCAGGTTTTCATCTCTATAACCCTCAAATTTTTATGACTATATCTTTGTAATAGATGAGGTAAAATCTCTATATAACAGGTCCAACCCTCTGTCCGAAGACTCATGGCTCTAACCCCACCCATAATCCAATAACCAAAACCCCACATAGATAGGTGGTATACAGGAGATGTCTAGAAGATGGAAACGTGGCTAAGTCATAGAAAGCAAGGAAAGGCAGGACTAACCCTCCCTCAGGCCAGGTACTCACCCTCAGGCCGGGCAGGATCACGGTTGAGCACAGCATATCGAGGCAGATCAATACCCTCTTCCTGCAGGATCCGGTACACCTCCCTCCTGTCACCCCCAAATAAAATAGCTGGGAGAGGTGGGAGTAACTAAGGGGAGAGGCTGGGGATTTCATTTGCACAGGATTAAAAGACACCAGGGCACAAAATTATGGTACAAAAATTAGGCATGTTGGTTTGACTCTGCCCCTCTCACAGTGGGTTCCCCGAACACGCATGATCCCAAAGCCACCCATCTCACTGGTCAACAGGAAGTTATACCTATCTTGGATGTAATACTGCATGGCCAGATCATTGATAAGAAAGGGGTTTCGAAGCTTGGAGTAAGCAACAGCTTTGTCCAGAGGAAAGCCTGGGATGGAGACAGGAAATAAAGAGACCAAAGGAAGGGAGAGAAAGAGAACGAGAAAAGAGCAAGAGAGATACAAAGACATATTAAAGCTATTAGCTGCCACTGAGCTCCTCTACCCATTCAACCCATCACTTATTCTTCTTCCCAGCTCCCCAAGTCTAGGATATTTATCAAGAAAAAGTAAAACAGAAGTTATTTTTACAGTCCTTCCAGAGACCCAATTCTGTCAGAGATCCTAAGACACTTAGAGTTGTCCTGAGGTTAGACTATAGGCTTTAAACCCCCGGCAACTCCTCCAAGATGCAGGGAAAGCAAACTCCTTGGCACCATTCTCTAGTGTGTCACAAGTAGCTGACGGCTCTTTACTAAGGAAATAAGACAATAAGAACCTCATTTCCCGAACCAGTATTCCCACCACCATTCCCTCCCATTTTCCTTCATAGACCCCAACCTTTGGAGTGGAAAGAGATGAGGCAGTGGCAGGATGGCCAGTTTTCCACAGGTTCATTAAGGATTACATCTTCTCCCAGAATGACAACAGTCAGGTAGTCAAATCTGCAGAGTCGCTCTAGGATTTGAGTCATTGGCTTGGACTTGGATTTCTTGGTCATGGCACAGATGCCAACAATGATCTGAGGTTCAGGAGGCTACAGAGAGGAAGTGCTATCAGAAACTCAAGAACTTCCCACCAATATCACCCCCTTCTGGGAACACTGTCTTATCTTCTTAGGGCACAGAGTTTCTTGCCAGGACTCTGGACCTATGGGATAAAGGGTGCCTCCTAACTTTGATCGAGGTTGAGGCACAGCTAGGGATTCCAACTGCCTACAGAATAGGAGCCTTTCCACAGTAGGAAATATGTGCTCAAGCAGGAGAGCTAGAGAACCAACAACCATGAGACGACAGGAAGATCCTAAGGGCAGGGGTTTCTTTTTTTTTTTTTTTGGAGATAGAGTCTCACTCTGTCGCCCAGGCTGGCATGCAGTGGCACGATTTCTGCTCACTGCAACCTCCAACTCCCGGGCTCAAGCGATTCTCCTGCCTAGACCTCCCGAGTAGCTGGGATTACAGGCGCCCACCACCACACCCAGCTAATTTTTGTATTTTTAGTAGAGACAGGGTTTCACCATGTTGGACAGGCTGCTTTTGAATTCCTGACCTCAAATGATCTGGCCGCCTTGGCCTTCCAAAGTGCTGGGATTACCCACGCCCGGCCAGGGCAGGGATTTCTAAGAGAGGCAACCTACCAATCTCTACTGCCCCTCCCCTAAACTAGGATAGGGCCTGTTTATGACAGGGAGTCTATGCATTCGGAAAGAACAGAGAGGTATCTCTAACCAATAGAATCTTAACTCTTTAGGACAGAGGCTCCAACCCCAAGTTACATCATTTTCCCCATTCTTACCACTTCATCCTCCTCATCCTCAAGGAGCTCGCTGTCACTCTCTTCTGGCCTCATGCCTATTCCACGGGTGCCCAGCCCCTCATCTCCAGCTCCAAGGAAGAAGTGGGCCGTGGTACTCTCGCCCTCACTGGCCGTCAATGACCACATCCCTGCCGGAACACCCACTCATCCCGCTCTGCAGAGGGGGGTACCCCATCAGCTCAGAACCCAAGCCCCCTGGCTGTGGGTGGGGCTGGGGATGGAGATGAAAAGCATAAGAGGGAACTATAAGGGGAAACAAAACAAAGCTATAGGAAGAAGGATCAACAAGAAAGGAGGCATATGGGCTATGACTTGAGATGCTAAAAGAGCCATAAAAGAAAAGCAAGGTATCCCTTTTCCTCCCTGCTCACCCCACCCCAACCAATAAATTAGTAAGAGGATCAGATAATCAGCCCTTACAATGCCGGCATGTCCCTGATTTGGCCAGCAAGAAACATTAACTTCAGGCAGCAAATGGGAAAGGCAGGTCCTCGAGGAAGGCTACTCTTGAGTCCTACCAGAAGAGAAGGTTAGAGTGACATTTCAAACTTTGGACTCATTTCACAATGTTCCTAGCCCTTTTCCACCTCCTCACAGTAGTGTTGAATTCAGTAATTTAATTCAAAGGCAGAGGAATGAGAGAGCTCAGCTGCCTTTCCCCTTAAACCTCTTCTTCATTCTTCCCAAAGATTAACTCAAAAAATATTTATTGAGGGCACCCTACATTCTAAGCATTATATCAGAACATTAAGGCCAGGCACACTGGCTTACACCTATAATCTCGGCGCTTTGGGAGGCTGAGGAGGGTGGATCACTTGAGTCCAGGAGTTCAAGACCAGCCAGGCAACATGTCAAAACCCAGTTTCTACAAAAACATTCAAAAATTAGGCAGGCATGGTGGTGCATGCCTGTAGTCCCAACTACTTGGGAGGCTGAGGCAAGAGGATCATTTGAGCCCAGGATGCAGACGTTGCAGTGAGCTGAGATCACGCCATTGCACTCCAGCCTGGGTGACAGAGTGAGACCCTCTCTCAAACCAAAAATTTAAAAAATAATAAAACCCCCATGCTCTCTCTCTCCTTCATCTACTCCACCTTAAAAGACAGTTGCACAGCCAGATACCATGGTTCATCCCTGTAATTCCAGCATTTTGGGAGGCTGAGGCAAGAGGATCGCTCGGGCTTAGGGGTTTAAGACCGGCCAGGGCAACATAGCAAGACCTCATCTCTACAAAAAAATTTTAAGGCTGGGTGCAGTGGTTCATGCGTGTAATCCCAGCACTTTCGGAGGCTGAACCAGGATGACTGCTTGAGCCTCGGAGTTTGAGACCAGCCTGGGCAATATAGGTAGACCTGACCTTTACAAAAGCTTTTTCTTAAATTAGCCATGCATGGTGGCACGTTGCCTGTGGTCCCAGCTACTTGGGAGGTTAAGCTGGGAGGACTGTTTAAGCCCAAGAGGTCGGGACTGCAATGACCCGTGATTGTACCACTGCACTCCAGCCTGGGCGACACAAAAATACCCTGTTTCGGCCAGGCACGGTGGCTCACGCCTGTAATCCCAGCACTTTGGGACGCCGAGGCGGGTGATCACGAGGTCAGGAGATCGAGACCATCCTGGCTAACACGGTGAAACCCCGTCTCTACTAAAAATACACAAAAAAAATTAGCCGGGCATGGTGGCCGGCTCCTGTAGTCCTAGCTACTGGGGAGGCTGAGGCAGGAAAATGGTGTGAACCCGGGAGGCGGAGCTTGCAGTGAGTGGAGATCATGTCACTGCACTCCAGCCTGGGCAAAAGAGCAAGACTCCGTCTCAAAAAAAAAAAAAATACCGTTTCAAAAGGAAAAAAAAAAAATTTCTTTTCTTGAGATGGAGTCTCGCTCTCTTGCCCAGGCTGGAGAGCAGTGGCATGACCTCAGCTCACTGCAACCTCCACCTCCCGGGTTCAAGCAATTCTGCCTCAGCCTCCCGAGTAGCTGGGACCACAGGCACACCCCACCATGCCTGGCCAATTTTTGTATTTTTTTTTTTTAGTAGAGACGGGGTTTCACCATGCGGTCCAGGCTAGTCTCGAACTCCTGACCTCATGATCCACCTGCCTCGGCCTCCCAAAGTGCTGGGATTACAGGCGTGAACCGCCATACCCGGCCAAAAAGTTTTTAAAAATTAGCCAGGCATAGTGAGTGGCACAAGCCTGTGGTCCCAGCTACTCAATAGACTGAGGTGGAAGGTTTGTTTAAGCCCAAGAGGTCAAGGCTGCAGTGAGCTGTGATCGTGCCACTGCACTCCAGCCTGGGTGAGAGCAAAACCCTGCCTCAAATAATGATGATAATAATAATAATAATAATAATAATAATAATAATAATAATAATAGAAGACAAATGCCCAAGTTCAGAAAACCTGTTCAGGGAAAGAGGTCTAGTGTGGTTGGGAGGTTGAGAATACAGGCATCCATACAGTAGTCTCCAGCCCACTCTCAAACTGAAATCTCAATGTTCTCTCTAGTGTCCCCTGGTACTATAGAACCAGTGCTAGTCTAGGCCAAGGTCCCTCACACCAGGAGCTACAGTGAAAAAAAAAAAAATCCTGCCTAAAACTGTACCAGTAAGAATATCTTAAGACTTTAACTTGAACCAGCAGTTCCACTTCTGTGTACACACAAGTAATGTAGTTGTTCTCAACCAGCTGTGATTTTGCTACACAGGGGACTTTTGGCAGGAGACATTTTTGGTTGTCACAATTGGAAAGGTACTATTGGCGTCTAGTGAGTAGAAGCCAGGGATACTGCCAAACATTCTAAAATGCATAAGATATCTCCTCACAACCAAGAATTATCCAGCCTTAAATCTCAGTAGTGCTGAGGTAGAGAAACCCTGCTGTAGAGAAATTCTCCTACATAAGACTTTTGTGAGGAACTTCTTAATCCTCTTCATCTCTCTGTTGGTAATGAGAAAAACTGAAAACAGTTCAGAGGTTACAAGTAGAATCCATAAATATAATGTCATATATAGAAATGATAGACTAATAGCAATGTAAAAATAAAAGCTATATGTAATAAATGGACAGTTTCCAAATACAAACTGCAGAAATATACCTGCAGTACATCGCTATTGTATAAATACAAATGTTACATATGGTTTATGACTGCATATATAATTAGTAGAAGTATAAAAACAGGGACTGGAAAGAAAGACATCAAATTCATGATAGTGGTTACCTTTGAGAAGGGAGAATGGAACTGAGGATTCAAATGGTACTCCACAACCTTATCTACAATGTTTATTTCAATTGTAAAAAAGATCTGAAGCAAATACACAGGTTAACATTTGTTCCTATGAATTGTAAGGATATGAATATCTGTTATTATTTTCCAAAAATAAAAATTGAGTCACACATCAGCAATTTTCCGTGGTCTCCAAAAGTTCTCAGAAACACTGACCAATGACTCTAGTGAAAGCCACAAACTCCTTAAGTAAATGAACTTGTCTTACAGAAATAATATCTTATATATGTAATTAGTCTCATAGATTTTGAAAACAGTCTTGAACAATTATTTTCTCTATCTTTATTTCAAACTCTTTCATTACAACTGGGGTTTGCAGTTTTGACTAGAAAGTTCTAGCTGACCACCAGGCACAGTGGCTCACACCTGTAATCTCAGCATTTTGGGAGGCCAAGGCAGGCAGATCACTTGAGGTCAGGAGTTCAAGAACAGCCTGGCCAACATGGCGAAACCCCGCCTCTACTAAAAATACAAAAAATTAGCCGGGTGGGGTGGCGCACGCCTGTAATCCCAGCTACTCAGGAGGCTGGGGCTGGAGAATCGCTTGAAACCAGGAGGCAGAGGTTGCAGTGAGCCGAGATCACGCCACTGCACTCCAGCCTGGGCAACAAGAGTGAAAATCCTGTCTCAAAAAAAAAAATAAACAGAAAGAAAGTTCTAGCGGACCTTTATATAGACCTCGACCTCTCGACCTTTCCAGTTTTCATTATCTGCTGTCTTTATTTCTCAACTGCCACGGGGGTGCGACATTCTCCTTAGGCTTAATATTTCTTGTTGTGCACTGCAGGTCTCACACACACACTCTTACCCCTGATAAAAACGCTATTTTTTTGAATTCCTTTTCAGTGACCTGACCCAATTTCCCTGACTTGGGACATTCCCAAGGTCCCTGTATAGTTTGAGCAAGTAGAATTTTGTTGCATTCTTTATCTTCGCTCTGAAGCCGGGACTTTCTCTCAACTCTAAGATTCCTAACCCTTTGCCCTTTCTTCCATTGAGTCCTTCCTCGTTTTCCACTGAATGTACACTCATGTTCTTGAAATTCTACTGCAACTACATAACGGGGCATGGTAACTAATAGAATAGGGAAGAGACTGTTTACAAATATGTGGCTGAAGAGAGACGAAAGGTCTAAATTCCCAGTTAACAAAGCAAAAATAGAAGCCTGACAGAAATAGCTATGAAATAAGCCAGGATTTATTTAGATGCACCTCTGGGAGAAGATGGGCTTTAATGTGGTGTTCCCAGAGCCGCTTCCCTGTTTTCCATGCTCTTCTCCCCATCCGCCTCTCCCCCAAGCTTTGTTGTGAAAGAAAAGAAAACTTCACACTCCACACTGGGCTAAAGGGCAGTCTTACTCTGACAGGAATCAATGTGAATGGAAGGAAAGAAGCAAGGAGATAGGCGAGTAAGGTAACGAGGGAGGGGCAGGCAGGCAATCTTCTCAGGAACATCTATGTTAGATCTGGAGAAGGGGTAGAAGGGAGGGTAAACGGTGTAACTTCTTTAACCCTTAGAATTTAGGGCTCCTTGCATAGTCATCTAATTTCCTAAATCACTATGCACTTGATGGTGGACTCCATTGGTAGCGAAGAGGAAATATCAATACAAATTCC
Organism: Homo sapiens; assembly: GCF_000001405.40. NCBI lineage: Eukaryota > Metazoa > Chordata > Mammalia > Primates > Hominidae > Homo > Homo sapiens. Next base: position 43,589,278 of record NC_000015.10, read on the forward strand.
AGGCAGGAATACTTCCAACACAGAAAAACTCCTCAGGCCACCAACACTATTTTCTGCCCACCTTGAACAGTGGACGCCTCACTTCCTTCTTAATGCAATTTTTAATTCTTCAGACACACTCCTCATTCCGACTCTGATCAACTGTGCTCCTCTCCCTGTTCTCAGTATCAGCTGCTTCGTTTCGCCTTCTTTCCCCAACTTGCTATGACTCTTGCCCCAATACTGACTGCAGCCTCCCCATCCCACCCCGCATCATTGGTCAACTAATTCCATTAATCCAACTAATCCTCGCACTCACTGATTGCCCAGTATTAAACTCCTTCACCCTCTCGCACGAGTCATCATACTTGGTAACATCTTTATATTGACCCCTCAGTGACCCCCCACAATGACGACCTGCCATCCATTCTTTCCTCACATCACCCCTCCCTCCAGGCTGTCTTCTCTCAGCCGCAACCCATTCCTCAAGCTACCCCCTTCCTCCTGGACTCCAGCCCCACCCCTCCTGGCGCAGATCCCTTCCACCTTGATCCTCTCCCCTGTACGACTCCGCTCCTCCATCCTCCCACAGGACCCCCTCTTCCTCACGCAGACCCCCACATACCTATCTCCTCTCCCGCCGACCCCCTCCTCGGTACTCTCCTCGCACAGCTCCGGGTCACGAATACCGCCCTCGCATCCCGACTCCACTAGCCTTTGCCCGCCCCCGCCTTCGCCGCCTCACTCTCCCTACGCTGACACTAAGGCCCCTCCGCTGGGCCTCTTCCCAAAGCGGAGCCCACCCGGAACGAACCCCAGCCCTGGGAACCCACCAAGCCCACTCTACCGCGCCCACCCGGTCCGATACCGCCCCCAGCCCCAGCCACTCCCCCACCGCCCCCGGCCTTCACTCACCCGCCTCCCTCCGCTCGCGCAGCCGAACCTGCAGGCAGCGACACCTGACAGCGGCCCAATCAAAGCGCGACTTCTTTGCGGTTCCACCAATCAGCGAAGGGCGCGCACCGGTAACAGAGTCAGGCTGCGTTGGCCGGCGCTTCTGCGCGGAGGAGCGTGACCCCTAGTGGCTCTGGGAGGGAATGCAACTTGATGCTCCCTTCCTTTGATTTCTTAGTGTGTCGCCAAAGTCCAGAAGCGTGGTCTAGACAGAGACGTTTCATGAGACGACGGGGTGGGTGGGAAGCCTCATGCTGAGAAAGAGGAAGAGGCAGAGTTTGTGCCATTGCTGTTCCTTCAGAGCAAAAACCAGGTCTTCCCTTTGTCTTATGAGACAAAACAGGGTCTCATATATGTACAGATCCAATAAATAAAGGTTGAAAATTTTAACAGATGTAAAGAGGACTGATAGGGAGACTGGAGACAAAAAAGAGACAAGGAGAGAAGCAGATAAGAAAGTTAAGGGAAGGAACAGAGAGACATTTACAGAGGAGGCAAGAAAGTGGATGGACCTGGAACTCTAGACAAATTGATTCCTATCTCCACAGCCTGCTTTTTCTCTATGCTCCAGACAAAGCTGGATTTGAATCCTGGCCTTACCTCTAATAGCTGTGCAGCCTTGAGCGACTCACTTAATTTCTCTGAGCCTTTATTTTTCTCATCCATAAAAATAGGATTAAAAACCTAGGGCTGGGCTCGGTGGCTCACGCCTGTAATCCCAGCACTTTCGGAGGCCAAGTTAGGCGGATCACTAGGTCAGGAGGTCGAGATCATCCTGGCCAACATGGTGAAACCCCGTCTCTACTGAATATACAGAAATTAGCCGAGTGTGGTGGTGCGCACCTGTAATCCCAGCTACTCGGGAGGCTGAGGCAGGAGAATCGTTTGAACCCGGGAGGTGGAGACTGCAGTGAGCCGAAATGGCGCCACTGCACCCCAGCCTGGTGAGAAAGCCAGACTCCTTCTCAAAAAAAAAAAAAGAACCCAAAAAAACCCCCCAAAAACCTAATTAAGGCCAATTGTAGTGGCTCGCGCCTACAATCCCAGTACGTTGGGTGGCCGAGGCGGGCAGATCGCTGGAGTGCAAGGAGTTCAAGACCAGCCTGGTCAACATGATGAAACTCTGTCTCTACAAGAAATGCAAAAGCTAGCCAGGTGTGGTGGCGTATGCCTGTGCTCCCAGCTACTTAGGAGGCTGAGGCGGGAGGATCACTTGAGCCTGGGAGATGGAGTTTGCAGTGAGCCAAGATCACCTCACTACATTCCAACCTGGGTGACAGAGCGAGGCCCTGTCTCAAAAAACAACAACAACAAAACACCTCACTTAAAGGTACTGATAATATGAAAGCATTTTGTATTGTATATGTTATTGCTCTTATTATCCTCGCATCTTCACTTGGGTTTCCCTGGTCAAGACAGTTGTTCCCTTTTCCTTCTCTGCAATATTAGGGGTCTTGCCACTTTTCCAGTCGTGCCTCATTGTACTGACCCCACAAGGCCTCCTGAATGGACATAGAAATGATTCTAATGGCTTGAATAGATTATTCTAAGAGGAATAGATGCCTCCCTAGTTCATGCTCAGGCTCATACCCCCTCCACCACTCTAGCCCTTCAAACTAGCTATTACAGCATCTTCCAGGTATTTAACTCCCCTTACTATCCCCATGAAAATGTAGACTCTGTCCCCAGTAATCATTGGAACAATCCAATTCAACTCAATGAAATAATACATATAAAAGTTCCTTGTAATTGTAAAGTGCTTTAAAAATATTAAATACTATTGACAACAATAATTCTTATTAAATAAATGAAATACCATATAACAATACCATATATTGATTACTTCCATATGCTGCAAAATAATTTTTTAAATGAGCATTAATATATTATGTGCTTGTAAAAGGCACACAAGGGATAAGAAAAGTGCATAAGTACATGTGTTTTCTCAGTGGAATTATTGTTCACATTTGGGAAGCTACTCTCTAAACTTGGGTAATTTCTCTACTCCTCTGGCTGTCTTATTTCTCCTTCGGTAATTATCTCTTCCCACTTCCTATTCCTTAGTAACACCCTCTCAATCAAATAGCAACCCTACTGCTCTGGAAGATTATCTCCCTATTTATCTGGATAAATACACGCTATTCTAAGAAATTATATTTATTTACTCATGGCTACTTTTCAACCTAGGTAAAGAGGCCCCACAACACAGGTAACATTTTCCACACTACAGCTGCATAACTCTGTTCTCTAATAATTGATGTCTTACCAGAAGAAGAAGGGATGGACCCAAGAGAGAAGTGGACACTTCTAAGAATACCCACAAATGACAAAGGTAGAATAAAAGGACACAAGGAAGGCCTAAGGAGAATGAAGGGAATGAGAGTAATATGGGGGAATTTTCTATGTAAAGGGAATTCTCTTTCCCAAATACTCTCTGTTAAGATTTCCAAGTATCTGTCTTGTGGGTACACCAGGATAGCAGAGGGAAGGGACTAATGCCACGGTGCTACTCCACCTTAACTGACCCTCCACGCTGAAGCCCCTCATCTCTATTTCAACTCTAGCATTCATTCTCCTTGCTACCAGGACAAAGGTCAAATCATACCTGGAGCTGGGAAACAAAGCCCTCTCAAATCTGAATATGTGTTTCACGAGGAGAGAGAGAGCAGCAGAGGGGACCACGAGGAAGGCAGAGATTCCCTGACGACCTCATGCCTTTGTACACCACTCGCCTTTACTCTCTGGATTAAACAGCATTAGGGAGACAAGAGAGGAAACACATGTGGTGTCTGGAGACCTGTGCCTGCCTGTTCCAGTCCCACACCCAGTCATCTCACCACACCCTTCACCTCACTTTACCTTCTCCTCCAGCACAGGAACTAGGAACTACGGAGAGAGAAGCCAAGGGAGAGGAGGAGGAGGAAACTAACGATTCCCTGCCCACCCCCACACCCAGCACCACCAACAGGTGGGCAAGCTTGCCGAGAAAACGCAGAGGGCATCCTGTGAGCAGCAAACACATCTGAGCCTGGAAAAGACGCAGAGAAGTAAAAGATCAAAGGTGAGGTAGGGGACGTGGAGGAAAGTGGGAGAGACAAAAGGAAAACAAAAAGTGGGGGATCATGAGAAGCAGAGGCAGGAAATAACAGGGCTTCAGACTTGGGTGCAGAATGGAGGTGGAGGACACAGCACAGATGGCATAAGAATTAATATTTCCTTGGTTCCTCCCAGGGAGTCCTTTCTCAACTTTGTAAGGCGTGCACAGAGGTGGCAAGGAAGCACCTTGCTCCTCTTCCTGGTTCTAAGGAAAAGGTGACCTTGAGCCAGTGGGTGTCTTTCCCAGTGCCTGCCTCTAACCCTGTGCTTTCTCCATATCCTCCTCTGGTATCTGTGTTTATTCCGCGGTTTCCCCGCGGCTGCCCCCGGGAGACCGAAGAGGTGGCTGGGGCAGGCCGAAAGCAGAGGAAAGGTTGGGCAGTGTCACCCTTGCACACCCACAGGGTAGACGGATCGAGTTTCAGCTTAAACCGAGGGGTGTGGGGGAAGGGTGTTGGGTTCAGCTAGTCCACGTGGGTGCTGTCCTCCACTTGGTGCTGAAATCTGGGCGGCCACATCCCCGGGGCGGGAGGGGGCTACATCCCCGGCTTTAGACGCGCGAGTCTCAGGTCCCGCTAATTACCTGGCGGGTGCTGCCCACCCCTGCCCTCGCGCACCTAGCGCGGTGGCAGGCGGGAAGGCGGGGCCTGGGGGAGCCCCACCCCTGGAGACTGCGGCTGGGGCCTCCCTCTCCTCCGCCCGCCCGCCTGCCACTAGCTCATTGCGCCTCTCCTGCAGTCTGATTGGCACCGGCTCCCATTCCGGCTCCAGCCTCCAATCCGACCCCCATTTCGGCTGCAGCCTCGGACCTAGCTCCGGCCCTCGGTCTATCCGGTTGCATCCTCCCTCCCTGTTCCGGATCTTATCTTGCGCCAGCGCCTACTCCAGGATCCCGTAGCCAGACCTCAAGCCATGGCTGGTCCCTTCTCCCGTCTGCTGTCCGCCCGCCCGGGACTCAGGCTCCTGGCTTTGGCCGGAGCGGGGTCTCTAGCCGCTGGGTTTCTGCTCCGACCGGAACCTGTACGAGCTGCCAGTGAACGACGGAGGCTGTATCCCCCGAGGTAACAGTGCCTGAGGCGCGGGAGGAGGCGGGGGCAGGAGGTGATGGGAACGAAGGTGCGGGTAGAAGTGAGAATCCGGGCAACAGAGAAGGGCTATAATCACGAAGGCCCTGGAGCTGGAGGGCTGTGCAGTCTGCAGACCTCAGTGGGGTGGGGGTGGGGGCCAAAACCATAAAGCAAGAACATTCCTGGGGACCTGCCAAGACCAGCTCTGGCCCTACGAGTTCTAGCTGCACTGGCTGCCCAAATCCCTAATTGTAAAGCCAGGAACTATCCTTTTCGCTCCCCTCCATCTCCTTCCCTCATTTCCTCAATTCCTCTCCTTAGGCTTTTCCCCTCCTCCATCCGTAGTGTTGTGTCATGGGAGGAAAGAACTGAGCAGATCTGAAGAAACTGAGCTGGCCAGCCAGAGGCAACTAGAACTATTAGGAAAGCATAGACTCTGAAAGTCCCTAAAGAGATTACCAAGGTTTACCCTCTTTCTAATTCCCCCTCCTCCCGCGGAGCAAAGCCAGACATGGCCAACTGGACAGCTCCCAGGTAACTGCACTAGGTCTAGGCGTCTGTGCCCTCCCTCCATGGTTACTGGGTACCCCCTCCCCAGCGCTGAGTACCCAGACCTCCGAAAGCACAACAACTGCATGGCCAGTCACCTGACCCCAGCAGTCTATGCACGGCTCTGCGACAAGACCACACCCACTGGTTGGACGCTAGATCAGTGTATCCAGACTGGCGTGGACAACCCTGGCCACCCCTTCATCAAGACTGTGGGCATGGTGGCTGGAGATGAGGAGACCTATGAGGTAGGGGGTCCCCAGAGTCTCCCTGATGATCCAATTCATCTTCCCAGTAATCCCAGCTCCTTTCCCCTAAAGACCTCTCACTTTCCCCCAAGACTCTGAGCCCCCCATACTTAAGTTTTCTGAACCAGTGAAATCAATGCACAATTGAAGTCTGGGGAGGGATTCCCTCTCCTTAACCATCTCTCCCTCTTAACTCCCCTTAGGTATTTGCTGACCTGTTTGACCCTGTGATCCAAGAGCGACACAATGGATATGACCCCCGGACAATGAAGCACACCACGGATCTAGATGCCAGTAAAGTGAGTTCAAATATCCCACTTCTGATTTGCATTGCCTGTGTACAACACTCTGTATCTCCAACCCCTTCACCTTATTTCCTGACTCATGGTCATTATACAGCTGAGCTTTTAATCTTAATGTAAGGAAAGAATCATATCTTAAGGGGCAGCATATATGGAGATGGAAGGATAGATAAGAATGACCATGACCCAAGGTGGGTGGTTTGGGGAAAGGTCTGCAATGCCCCCTTCAATTCCAGTGCTTTCCCAAAGGGCCTCTTCTTCCAATGCATGCAGGAAGAATGCACAAAGAGTCCTCTAATGCCTAAGGAAGGTCTCTCCTTTCCCAGGGGCCCTCAGTTCCCACCGTGTTTCTGTGACTTACATTCATTTCCCTTATCTCCCAGATCCGTTCTGGCTACTTTGATGAGAGGTATGTATTGTCCTCTAGAGTCAGAACTGGCCGAAGCATCCGAGGACTCAGTCTGCCTCCAGCTTGCACTCGAGCAGAGCGACGAGAGGTGGAACGTGTTGTGGTGGATGCACTGAGTGGCCTGAAGGGTGACCTGGCTGGACGTTACTATAGGCTCAGTGAGATGACAGAGGCTGAACAGCAGCAGCTTATTGATGTGAGGGCCTTAAGAGGGTGCTGGTTGGTGGGAGCAGATGGGGAAGGCTGGGCCAGATGAGACATGGGCTCTGAAAGGCCCAGGGGCCACCATGAAGATTCTTAACCCAAGTCCCGTTACTCTTCCCAGGACCACTTTCTGTTTGATAAGCCTGTGTCCCCGTTGCTGACTGCAGCAGGAATGGCTCGAGACTGGCCAGATGCTCGTGGAATTTGGTATGAAGCTGCTCATTACCTCTTTTGTCTTCATGCCCTCATAAATGCTTTTTTTCCCTCTATCTCTCCCAATTCTTGCCTTGCCTCTTGATCACTGTCCCTCTCCGGCCCTCAGGCACAACAATGAGAAGAGCTTCCTGATCTGGGTGAATGAGGAGGATCATACACGGGTGATCTCCATGGAGAAGGGTGGTAACATGAAGAGAGTGTTTGAAAGATTCTGCCGAGGCCTCAAAGAGGTTAGAGAAGACTATGTAGGGGAGCTAGGTGGGAGGACATAAGGAAAACCAAAGAGTAGCATAAATAGATTATGTAATTTACCAACCAACCCAGGACATGTCTTATAGTAAAAAGGACTATCTAGGACTCACTCCAGGACTAAAGGTGTAAACCAGCTGGGACCATACTGGGAAAACCAGGACATGTGGTCACACTAAGATTAGGAAAAGAAAGAGTGTCAGGAATCTTAGGAAGTGAACAAGGCTGTTGACAGAGAGTGCAAAGAAGGAATAAATGAGATGGCACGTCAGTGCCTGGGATGTGTGCAGTGGGATGGTGAGGTGTGCAGATAAGGAAAACATTCGAGCTTAGATTGATGTTGGCGGGGAGAGGTTGCTGTGTTCATGACTCTAATATAACCACCCAGTTCTGAGACAAGGTAGGCCTTGACTCTGGATTCTATCATTCTTGTTAAAGTATCGGGTCTAGGCTTTAAGTTGAGAGTTCGGAGAGAGACTGGGGAAGGTGGAGGATAGAATGGTTCAAGTTCTAGAATATGTGGCTCTAGATGAGAGGTTGAACTGAATCATCAATCCTACATGGATTGGGTCTCCGTATTCAAGTCTACATTAGAAATCCCCATAAACTCAATTCAATTCTTACTGTATGTTCTCAAACATACAGTTCTATTTTAGGTTTGCAAAGAAAAAGAGCTCCTCTTTTAGATTCTGAGAAGTTTCTACTATTTTTGGCAAGTAATAGATAACATATTCTGACTATGAGTGGGTAGGGAAGTACCTTTAAATTATATGCCTCAGTTTCCTCATCTGTAAAATTGGGATAATGAGATTTTCTACATTTTAGGTTGTTGTGGGGATTAAGTGAAATACAGGTAAAGTACTTGGTCCACAGTAAGTGCTTAATAAGTGTTAAAGTGTTAGCTGCAATATTATTCTGGATGGAAGAGTTTCCCCCCATGTTCAGCATGTAAGATATCCCCTATGGCATGGTTCCTTCTGAACTATAAAGAGGATCCCTTTACTCATGTTGGGTTGTGGTCTTTGTGACCATCATTCTGCTAGATCCCTTGTCTCTTGAACTCTAATAGTCATCTTCATGACTACATGGTTAAGTGAAGCCAAACGCCTTCCCCCCGCCCCCTATTCCTATGAATCTGGCTTTTCTGCTCTGTTTTCATCTTTCTCTGCATTCACACAGGTGCTCCGTTCACAGCTAACAGAATGTTATCTTACCTCTTCCTGGCAAAGCTTACACCTTCATCTTCTGTCTGAAGGGACCCTTCTAAGCTCTAGGCTCATTAGCAAAGCAAAGATAATCGATGCATGCAGACCTCATTGAATAATCAGTCATCTCTCAGTTCAGTTTACCACCTCTGTTCATTTCCCTAGATCATCCTTAATACACCACTCCTTCGAGTTTTCTTCTTCCACATAAGATATTTTTTCACAATCTCATTATTATGCACATCATAATTTTGCATCATGCATGCATGAAAACAATAACAAACCTTTTTCATTTAAAAAAAGACCAATGTCATTCATTCACAGCCAAGTTTCTGTTCTAGACATATTTCTAGTGTTCTTGTGGGTCTAGCTAAGGGAGGGTCCAGGGTTAATGAAATATCCCTGATTTTTCGTTAACAAAACCTTTGTGGACTCAGGTGGAGAGACTTATCCAAGAACGTGGCTGGGAGTTCATGTGGAATGAGCGTTTGGGATACATCTTGACCTGTCCATCTAACCTGGGCACTGGACTTCGGGCAGGAGTGCACATCAAACTGCCCCTGCTAAGCAAAGTAAAGGAGTTGTGGGGTTACAGAGGGGTGTGAGTAAGGAAGGGTGGGTTGTGGATGGGGAGGGAGTGGACCCTTTGGAAAGGAGCCAAACATGTTGTGGCTAAAGGGTCAGAGGACAGGCCAGGCACAGTGGCTCATGCCTCTAATCCCAACACTTGGGAGGCCAAGGCAGGCAGATTACTTGAGCCCAGGAGTTCAAGACCAGCCTGGGCAACCTGGTGAAACCCCATCTCTACTACAAATACAAAAGTTAGCTGGGTGTAGTGGAGGCTGAGGTGAGAGGATCACTTAAGCCTGGGAAGTCGAGGCTTCAGTGAGCTGTGATCACTCCAGCCTGGGTGACAGAGAGAGACCCTGTCTAAAAAAAATTAAAAAAGAAAAAAGAAAAAAGGAAAAAAAAAGTTCAGGAGACAGAGCTCTGAGCAGGTTCAGGGCTCTTTCAGGTAGGACTAGTCTCTGCCTCTATTGACCCTGCTCCCAATCCCTATCTCCTCTCTAGGATAGCCGCTTCCCAAAGATCCTGGAGAACCTAAGACTCCAAAAACGTGGTACTGGAGGAGTGGACACTGCTGCTACAGGCGGTGTCTTTGATATTTCTAATTTGGACCGACTAGGCAAATCAGAGGTGAGATCCTAAGGGATTAGGACAAGGAGAGGTATAGGTCTGCGAGGGCCGAAATATGGCAGTGAGTGAGCCTCCGGGATGTAAGATAATCTGAAATGAAATTCAGGTTGAGTGGGGAGGCAATTGGAAATGAGCAGGCAAGTCAGTCAGTGATAAAGAAAAACTCAGACTGTAGGAAGCAGATCAAAGATTAGTGTCCCTTAGGTGGAGCTGGTGCAACTGGTCATCGATGGAGTAAACTATTTGATTGATTGTGAACGGCGTCTGGAGAGAGGCCAGGATATCCGCATCCCCACACCTGTCATCCACACCAAGCATTAACTCCCCATCGCCAGCTGATGACTCAAGATTCCCAGGAGTTCTGCTCATTCTAATGATGGCCCATTCTACTTGCTCTGGACCTGCCCCCGCATCCCCTGCCTCCATCCTAGTAAAGACTCCTTGCTATGCTGCAGCTGTCTGTGTTACTTCTAATGGTGGGGTGAGGAGGGAGCAGCCTTCAGGAAATGAAAAGAGGCAGTGGGATTATTTATGATGGAAAGAGACTCCAGATATGGCAACCCAGGAACACTGATTCTCAGGTGGGTGGAAAGCATTAACATTTTACCCATATTCCTCATCAGCTTCTGAAAATAATCAGGATGCACTTCTGTTTGCACTTTATTCATTATGACTTAAGATTTCTCTCCCCACAATCTCCTTCTACTGTAGAGACAGGCTCATAGCAGGTGGCCAAGGAAGCTGATAGTCAATACCAGGGACCAGGAAGGTCGTGACCAGTCCTGGAGGCCCCAGGCTGTACTTCGACCTATAATAGACAGGGAATGGGAGTAATATCACAACTCAGCTCTCCAGGAGCATTGATACTTGGAAATTAGCGCTCTGCCTGTAGACTCCTTCACTCCAGGGATCTCCCTGGGTGCACTCTAAGAGCCAGACAGCACCAAATTAGGGGTTTGATTCTGGGTCAGGAGATGGAGGATCAAGCTGTGCAGCTGGGAACTCACCTTGCTGTTCTGGGCTCTCCTTTCCCTCATGTTGGGCCCATGCAACTGCTCGTCGCTGCTCAGGACTCAGAAAGGCCATTTGCTCAGGAGTGACAGCCACAGCCTGAGCACTGGTGAGACTAGATAGTTGGATGGGACTAAACACCACCTGAGGGCAGGGGTAGGAATCAGTGCATGCATGTAGTCCCCATTGGGCCCTGGCTCTCCTGTGGTCACCCCAGTCCATTAATACTTACAGCAAATTTAGGAGGAGGGATGACAGAAATGGCAAGAGGAGTAACGCCCTGGATCTGTCCCCGCAGCAGTGCTGAAAGAGCCAGGTCTGGGATCCCAGCTGTTGAAGCAAGTGGCATCCAAACATTGTCTTAGACTGACCTTCCCTCTCTTCAAACCTATAGACCTTCTCTAACTACTCCCAAAGTGCCCTATCATAGACCTTCCCCAATATGTCTCTAGCCCCTTATTTAAACACCCTCAGGCCCCCACCTTAAGAATTGCAGGGCAGTCTTCCATCCAGTCCACCCATGGTATAGAAACCAAACCAACTTGCACCAGCAGTGGCCCAGCTCCCCACCTGCTATGGTGCCAATTTCAGTGAAGATCTCAGGCCCCCAGTTACTGATTGGGCCAAACCCACCAGGCAGTACAAGTAGGTGGGCCAGAACCTCCAGTTGTTCCTCAGAGCACTGGAGATGCAGGGTGCCGAGGAAGAGAGCTGCTTGGCTGTAGAACAGTAGGAAGGAAGGAAGAAGAATTCGGCTTCAGTGAAAGGGGCTGTGGTCATGAGACAAAGGAAGAGATGGCTTCAAATGAGTTCCCTTCCTCCATGGGACCAGACCTTCATGATCCTTCTTTCCCCAGTAAGTCCACCTTTACCTCAGCACCACCACCCTCAGCCCCTTCACAAATGACCTGAACTCCCAACTGCTGATGTGCTGGAGCTCCTCTGGCCGCAGTCCACAGAGAGTATAACCCAGCGCTGTCAGATGAACGAAGTCCAGGTGGCTCACATGCCGACCACTCTGCCGTAGGAAACTGGAGACCACAATGCGGAGCTGGGGTGGGGGGTGGGAGAAGAGGGGAAGGAGGAAAGTTATGGAGAATTAATGGACAGGGAAGTGATAGGTGTTACTGGGTTATATTCTGTTACTATTAAGACCTAAGGAGTCATGGGGAAGGCTGAGGACTCAGAAAAGAAAAGGAAAGAAAAAGAGGAAGCCTCCAGGAAAAGAGGTAGGAGACAGTATTATGTGTCCAGGGCCTCAGAGTGAATAAATCAGAGTCCTGAAGGTCACTAGTATGGGGTATCAACAAAAGATAGAAAGAAGGACCAGGTAGGGTCACAGGAAAAAAATTCCTTGGGCTTTAGATGATCTATAGGGCTGGGTCTGTGGGATGGGTGTTTGGGAAGCCGTAGGGAGGAGGAAAAGTGTTACCTGAGTGGTGCTCCAGCCATCTATCTGCCCCAGGGTGCTCAGCACTCCCCAGTCCACTAGGATCAGCTCCTGTAGTTCCCGATCTCCTAGACCTATTAAGAGCCTACCAAGCTGCAGGATCTGCTCAGGACGAAATCCCCGGGGGGGACCCCACAACTAGGAGAAAGACAGGAACAATGTGAGTGGAAAAGCAGTGGATTGGGAGTCATACTGCTGGGTTTTAAGTCTTGCCTCTGCCCTTAGCTGTATAACTCTAGGTAAATCATTTGCCTTTTCTTTAGTTTCCTCCACTATAAAATGAGACCGTTGCCTTACAGTTCCTCTAAGGTGTTTTGAAAGACATTACAATCAGTGGAAAAGAAGAGCAAACTAACTCTAGTCCATGAGTTCCACACTTTTATGTGCATCAGACACAGAGACGCTTATTAAAACAGATGCCTAGGGCCCAGCACAGTGGCTAACAGCTGTAATCCCAGCACTTTGGGAGGCTGAGGTGGGAGGATTGCTTGAGCCCAGAAGTTCGAGACCATCCTGGGCAACATAGTGAAACCCCATCTCTACCAAAGATACAAAAATTAGCCAGGTGTGGTGCACCTGTAGTCCCAGCTACTTGAGAGGCTGAGGCAGGAGGATCGTTTGAACCCAGGATGTAGAGGTTACAGTGAGCCAAGATCACACCACTGCACTCCAGCCTGGATGCTGGGTGACAGAGTGAGACTCTGTCTCAAAAAAAAAAAAAAAAAAAAAAAAAGGAGATGCAGATGTCTAGACTCTTTCCCCCAGAGGCTTATTTTTTAATTTATGAGACAGGGTCTTGCTCTGACACCCAGGCTGGAGGGCAGTGGTGCGATCTTGGCACATTGCACCCTCCACCTCCTGCACTCATGGGATTCTCCTACCCCAGCCTCCTGAGTAGCTGGGATTACAGGCATGTGCCGCCACACCCAGCTAATGTTTTTTCTATTTTTAGTAGAGACAGGGTTTCACCATGTTGCCCAGTCTGGTCTCTAACTCCTGGGCTCAAGCAATCCACCTGCCTCCGCCTCCCAAAGTGCTGTGATTACAGGCATGAGTCACTGCGCCCAGCCTCCCCAAAGGTTTTTATTAAGTCAGTGAAGCATGGTAATCTGGCACTGGCACTGTTCCCATGCTCAGTTCAGCAGCACATACCCCAAAAAATTGGAATGATACAGAGATTTGCATGGCGCCTGTGCAAGGATAACACGCAAATTCATGAAGCATGCCTTTTTTTTTTTTTTTTTTTTTTGAGATGGAGTCTTGCTCTGTCACCCAGGATGGAGTGCATTGGCTTGACTTCGGCTCACTGCAAGCTCCCCCTCCCAGGTTCACGCCATTCTCCTGCCTCAGCCTCCCAAGTAGCTGGGACAACAAGTGTGCACCACCATGCCCGGCTAACTTTTTTGTATTTTTAGTAGAGACCGTGTTTCGCCGTGTTAGACAGGATGGTCTTGATCTCCTGACCTCGTGATCTGCCCGCCTTGGCCTCCCAAAGTTCTGAGATTATAGGCGTGAGCCGCTGCACCCAGCCGAAGCATGCCATTATTTTTTTAAGAAAGAAAAAAAAATAAAGAAAAAAATCTGTTCCCTTGATGATCGTGATATGCATTAAAATTTGGTAACCACTGCTTTCGTCCCTCTATTCATTATACTAGCTCTCTTTCCTCAATATTTATCTCCCTTCACCTCCTACTTGTGACCCAAATCTTCTAACTCTTCTATCTCTTGCTTCCCCCACCTCTCATCCAACTCTCCATTCTCTTTGTGTCCTACATCACACCCAAATAGCTTCCTCATGGCCAACCCCAGTTGGCTCTCCATCCCTAACCTGTTTTGCTTTGCCCATGGCTGCCCGCAGTTCCTCAGGCCCAAGTCCTGGGTCTCCTGCAAATAATGTCAGGCAGTCCTCAAAGTCTGAGAGCTCCATCTCTGCAATCTGGGTTGCAGACCAGGCTGCTGGGAATGTCCCTCGTACATCTGCACAATTTGGCACAGGTTCTGAAGGGGGAAGGCAGGGCCAGGAGGTCAGCGCAGTAATAAAATATGCCCAGAGAGATATCTGTAGATAGAGTGAGTCTTCCAACCTTTGGAGGATAGAGCACTGTGAGAAATAGGGATCAAAGGAGTATTACAGAGTAATATGTATAGGGCTTAGGAGATAATAGAACAAGAAGTGATTGGAGATGCCAAGACTTTTATAGATGGAAGACTGAGGATGTTATTCAGAGATTTAATGGTAGCACTGAATTTGAACCCAGTTCTCCAGCCTCACAATGTCTCCTTCAAAGCTTCTAGGGATCTCCCCAGCAGAGAGCTCCACACTTAGCCGAGCTAGAGCTGAGTCTAGAGCAGACACGAGAGAGCAGGAAAATGGAAGTTCTGGGCTAAAAGAAAACTTAATAGTTTACAAACTCCCAGAACTACAGAATTCTAGAACTACAAGAGGCTTGAAGATCATCCCTCTAAACTCTTTGCTTTATAAATTAGAAAACCCAGTCCCAGGGAAGAGCACATGTAGAACCCAGACCGTTTGATACTCCCTGTACATCCTGCTGGACATATAAGTATTTGGGTAGTTTCACCTGGAAGATCCTCAGCAGCTGGTCGCACCACCCCTGCTACCAGGGCTGCTTTCTTGGCAGCAAGCTGTGGCTCCCTACACAGCTGTCCAACTCTGCTCTGCTCCCAGCTCTGCTGCTTTTCTAGAAGCCGCTCCAGGGTCTCTGGACCCAAGGCCTCCTGCATGAGAAGGTAGAAGGAGAGTGGGGAGATCTGGACAGATCAGGACCTGCTGCTATAGCTCTAAGTCCAAAGTCCTGTCTCTGTTTTGCAGTCTCCCCCCAGATCTAGGCTTCATATCCTTTGCCCTCTTTGGCCACGGGTCCCCATAACCAGCTCACCAGTCCCCTCTATGCATTTACTCCCTTCCCTTCTTCCTTCATCTCACCCTGGGGATCAAGGAAATTGCCTCAGTAGACAGAGTGAATACTAGGCGTCCAGCTTGCTCTACTTCATCCTGGCTCCACAACTCTGGTTTCCTGGGGACAGGAAGAAAATCGGGGGCTGGGGAGCTGAGGGAACTGTGAGGAAAAGGAAGGGGAAAAGAGGACATGCTAGGATTTCGGACACAGGGCTCCAGGGGACCTTAAGAATATGGAACAGGCTGCCACTGATGATGGTGGCTGAGGGACTGGGTATAGAATGAGTTAGAATCTGAAGTTCTCGAAGGTCCATACCCAAGAACAGACTCCTGCAATAGCAGCCATCCCAGCTCTGTGGCAAATGTCTCTCCTAGGCAGAAGCCTTGCAGCTGACTGAGATGGGACAGCAGGATCTGTAGGGGGATCTGTCGTGTGCTCTCTGTCCCCAGGAATCCAACCAAAGGGCCTAAGGTCTCCAGCACTTCCCCTGAGACTGGAGTCTCCTTTGGAGCCTGGAGAAGAGCATCAGAACTTGGACAATGCACTTCTGACTCAGAATACCAGACACCTTGATCAAGACACCAAGCCCCCTAACCTTCCCTCCCTCCTGCTCCCAGCTCAGCACCCTATGATGCTCACTACCTTTGTTCACTTCCTTAAGCAATGAGCCCAGATAGGAGCAGGCAGAAAGACTGAGAGGTGGACTCCAAGAGATTTCTCGGACTCCAAGAGGTATGGACAAGTAACGTGAAGCATATTATCAAGGAACAGAACCCAGAGGCAAAACAGGGGCCAGGCCTTGTAGACAGGAATCTGTTTGGCAGCAAGAAAGCAAGAAGTAGAGGGTTGGGGGACAGTCAGAGAGCATTGTCTGAGGAGCAAGAATTGCCCAGGGCAGCAAATCTGAGTCTGGTAGGGTGGACTCTTACCAGGTTTTGTAGTGCCCTCTCTGCCAGGGCTGCCTGGTGGAGGGGGGTCAGTGCCAGCAGCTGCTCTGGAGCTCTTTGCACCAGCTCCACCACCAACATAATGGATTCATTGGATAGTCTGTCCATCAACTGGATCCTATTACAGCAATTTGACAACAACAGGATTCAGGTGGAGCTGGGCCAAGTCGAGAAGGGACCACAAAACCCCACAGTCCGCAGCTAAGATGTGACCCCAGACCAAATTTAGTGAAGCTGGACAGGAACTGATAGTAAACAGCTCCAGGGCCAATTCCCACCATCAAGCTTGAGTGGGGGAGAAAAAGGGAGCAACATATTTCTAGTCTTCCTAAAAAAAAAAAATAACGAACAATCCTACCTGATCTAATGGACTCAAAAGCTCCAAATATTAAGTACCATTAACATTTCCCCATTTTATAGATTAAAAAACTGAGGTTCACAGAGATCAAATGTTGAGGTCTCTCACTCCCAATTCCCGTTTTTTTCCACAGGACCACCCTTCCTCTGCTTGTGAAGAGGTCCCTTCTTGTTTGTACGTGCTATACAATTTACAAAGTTCTTTCAGGTGTTATCTCATTTGATCCTACAACAAGACCTGGCCTCACTCCATCACTCAGGCTGGAGCACAGTGGTGCTGCGATCTCAGTTCACTGCAACCCGCACCTCCCAGGTTCAAGCAATTCTCGTGCCTCAGCCTCCCGAATAGCTGGAATTACACGCACGTGCCACCACGCCCAGCTAACTTTTGTATTTTTAGTAGAGATGGTGTTTTGCCATGTTGGCCAGTCTGGTCTTGAACACCTGACCTCCGTGATCCACCCACCTTGGCCTCCCCAAATGCTGGGATTATAGGCATGAGCCACTGCACCCAGACAAAATAGGTGTTTCTCTTATCCTTCTTTCACAAATGAGAAACTCAAGTTTTTTGATGCATGGTCTAGGATCTTTCACCTCATCTGTAACCTTGGGATTCTAAATTATCTCACAGAACCCACATATTTAAACAGATCTGAATGGCATTAAAAAAAAGTAAAAACAGGCCGGACGCAGTGGCTCATGCCTGTAATCCCAGCACTTTGGGAGGCCGAGGCAGGCAGATCACAGGGTCAGAAATTCGAGACCACCCTGAGCAACATGGTGAAACCCCGTCTCTACTAAAAATGCAAAAATTAGCCGGGTGTGGTGGCACGCGCCTGTAATCCCAGCTACTCAGCAGGCTGAGGCAGGAGAATTGCTTGAACCCCAGAGGGAGAGGTTGCAGTGAGCCGAGATGGCACCATTGCACTCCAGCCTGGGTGACAGAGCGAGACTCTGTCTCAAAAATATAAATAAATAAACAAATAAATAAATAAATCCCTTTTACCCGAAATCAGAGGTGATAACCTGTACCCTACCTAGGATTACCAGTTCTGGAACTGGGCTAAGTCATACAAGAGCTGAAATCTGTGGAAAGGCCTATAAAAATATAAGAATGTTGGGAAGCCGAGGTGGGCAGATCACTTGAAGCCAGGAGTTCAAGACCAGCCTGGCCAACATGGTGAAAGCTCGTCCCTACAACAAATACAAAAATTAGCCTGGCATGGTGGTGCACACCTACAGTCCCAGCTACTCGGGAGACTGAGGCAGGAGAATTGCTTGAACCTGGAAGATGGAGGTTGCAGTGAGCCGAGATCACGTCACTGCACTCCAGCCTTGGTGACACAGCAAAACTCTGTCTCAAAAAAAAAAAAAAAGAAAAAAAAGAAAAAAGTAGGAATGAAGTCAACTGCTTTTACTCCACTTCAGCTCCATATTCCCCAGGAAGACTGTAACACCAGCATTTTCCTATCCTGACTTACAGTGCGGATGGCAACGGGGTGGTGGTAGGGGTAAAATGAGAAAAGCAGCATATGAGTAACATACTAATAAATTTCTCCATGGGTAGGGAGGAGCCTTGGGTTCCTATAGCCTTTTCTTCCCACAACCTGTATATGAACGTGCTCTACAACATTCCTGCCATGGGGCCATCTGGCTTAGGCTCGAACAGCTCCAAGGACCAGGAACTCACTACCTTAGTTTTTCTTATACTATGTAAAAATCTGATCTCCGTTAACTACTCTTAGTCTTGCCCAATGGGGCCACTCATAAATATGACAATCTAATTTCTACTTGATAGCCCCTCAGGTATTTGAAGGTATTTATCACATTTTTCATATATTTTTCTCTCGATCTACTCCTCTGAATGCACTAAGAACACAGTGCCCTGAGCAAACTACAATCCTCTGGGGCAGATTTGGAGCATTGCCTCCCTCACTTCAGATGCTCTGTCTCAATCTCAATTAATGTGGACTAGGTTATTGTAAGATTACTTGGCAGGCTTCAATACAGTGTTGCCACCCTCAGCTGCCCTGTGCTGGAGCATATTCTGGGAACCAGTCAATACATAGAGCAACTTTGAATAAAATCCTCTGCTTTGGGCTATAAATTATGTCAGGGAACTACCAGACAGAAAAACTACCTCCTCCAGGGCATTCCCTAAGGGCAGATCTTCACCCCAGATTGAGCTTTCTGAGGGGCCAATATCTCTAGCTGCAGTACTTACGGTAAGTCCAGGAGTAGCTTGCTATCCAGCCCGTTCAGTTCTGGCCCTACAGTTGTCCATTCTGGTTCTGGCATTGCCATCCTCCGCTGTAGCTCTGCCCAGATACAGGCCCTCTGTAGGGAAGCAGTGTGAGGCCAGAGCAGAACATAGGAGCTGGGTTCTATACCTAGGGTCCCAGCCTCCCTGCTCCCACTAAAGTCCAGGCACCCCCTCTCACCAGGCTCCCTCGAACTCTAGTGGGCAGCTGATAGATCATGTGCACCACTTCAAGGAAGTCTACCATGGAGTTGATCTGCTGCAGAAACTCACAGGACATGCCTCCTGCCAGGGTGCCCAGAGCCCTGTGGGTGTGTGAGTGGGGAGAGGCTCATTCAACACATACAACAGCCTGTTTGCTCCTTGATATCAGTACTCTCAACACAAGTACAGATGTTCATCCACCGTAATTTATGGTTTGAGAAATGTTTTTACATAGATATCTCATCAGCTCCCCATAACATCACTGCTGTTTATCAGAGGAGAAAATAAGGATTTATGGAAGTCAGGTGACATTCCCAACATCATTCTGCTAGAAATGTGGTAAACTGAAACTAGAGCCATGTCTTAGATTCTGAAGCCCTTGGGAGGCTGAGGCGGGTGGATCACCTGAGGTCAGGAGTTTGAGACCAGCCTGGCCAAAATGGTGAAACCCCATCTCTACTAAAAATACAAAAATTAGCTGGGTATGGTGGCACATTCCTGTAATCCCAGCTACTCCAGAGGCTGAGACAGGAGAATCGCTTGAACCTGGGAGGCAGAGGTTGCAGTGAGCCGAAATCGCGCCACTGCACTCCAGCCTGGGCAACAGAGCAAGACTGTCTCGAAAAAAAAAAAAAAAAAAAGATTCTGAAGCCCATTGTTCTTCTAATGTGGGTGTAAGTAAAGTGATACCTTCTTATTCCTATTTATTCTTGCTTGGCCAGTGCCTCTGAAGTCATCCTGAAGTAAACTAACAGTAGCAAATGACTACTGGGACTTTACAATGGACCAAACACTGTGTTAAATATCTTACATGACCTACCTCATTTAATCTTCACAGTAACTACCTATGAGGCTGGTGCCATTGTAATTCTCATTTAAAGAAGGGAAAACTGACACAGGGACGTTAAATGACTTGCCCAAGAGGACAAGTAGGTGACAGGACTGGAACCTGAATCCAGGTTTTCTGAGTCCTTTGGCTCTAGTCAGGATAGGCATGGCACTGTGGAAGGAAAGGAGGGCAAAGGGAGGTGCTAGGAGAACGTCCACGAGGCAGGGACTATGCATCATTCATCCCTATATCCCCCATTCCATATCACATGGTGCCTGGCACATAGTAAGCACTCAAAAAAATGTTGGTCGAATTCAGCGCACTGCTCAACACAAGTTACTCACTGCAGATTCCTGAGGGTAAGGTTGGTGGGTACTTGCATCTTCTTCCAGAGAAACTGTGCCTACAAGAGAAAGAAAGACGAGCCCCTTCCCAGAAGAGACACTGTCCAAGGATACCCCCTAGAGTGGAGAGGCAGGACTGCCTTGGACCCAGTCCTGCCTCCTCACTCTGTGGGACCCACCAGCCTCCCACTCTCCCAGATGCCCACTCTTCTCTCGAGAGTGAGAAAGAAATGAAAGAAAAGGGAAGGAGAAAGAAAAAGAAAAGCAAGTCACATTATAAGAGATACTAGGGGGCTGGGTGCAGTGGCTCAGGTCTGTAATCCCAGCACTTTGGGAGGCCAAGGCAGGAGGATTGCTTGAGGCCAGGAGTTCAAGACCAATCTGGACAGCATAGTACCTCAACATAGTGTCTCCACATAGTGTCCACATTTTTGTATTGTCTGTCTCTACAAAAAATTTAAAAATTGGCCGGGCATGGTGGCTCACACCTGTAATCCCAGCACTTTGAGAGGCAGAGGCAGGCAGATCACAAGGTCAGCAGTTCGAGACCAGCCTGGCCAATATGGTGAAACCCTGTCTCTACTAAAACAAAAAAAAAATTAGCCAGGCATTGTGGGGAGTGCCTGTAGTCCCAGCTACTCGGGAGGCTGAGGCAGGAGAATCGCTTGAACCCGGGAGACAGAGGTTGCAGTGAGCCAAGCTTGTGCCACTGTACTCAAGCCTGGGTGACAGAGCAAGACTTCATCTCAAAAAACAAAAAAAAAATTTAAAAATTAGCCAGGCATGGTGGTAACCACCTGTCGTCCTAGCTATTCAGGAGGCTGAGGCAGAAAGATTGCCTGAGCTCAGGAGTTTGAGGTTACAGCGAACTCTGATCATGCCACTGCACTGCAGCCTGGGCAACAGAGTGAGACTGTATCTCAAACAATCAAATAAAGGATAGTAGGGATAAGCTGGCCAAATAGGGCTAAGGGATAGGTAAAGAAGGTAGACTACATTGAGGGAGGAAGTTCTGAAATTAAGTGGGGAGAATTACCTGCTGCTCAGACCAGGGCAGCTCCCAGTAGCGTCTTCGATTTGCCAGAAGAGCCAAGGAATCCAGTTGTAGCAGCTTTAATGGGAGCAGGGGAAGCAGGCAGTCTGGCCAGGTGGTGGGAATAGGCTGCTGGCGGTGATGGGTATAGCAGTGTAGTGATAGGTGAGAGAGTCTGTACTTAGCACTCAGAGAAAAGGAACCATGGGGGTGGAAAGGGACCAAAGCTAGGACAGAAGTGGAATGGCATTTGCCACTGTAGCAATAAACGCCTAAGAGCCTCACACTGCAGGCTGCTGTGGTCAAGTGTTGCTGCTAGTTAGGCACCAGGCAAACAAAGTCCCTTAGCTTCTCCCAGCCTTGGTCTTTTCATCTGAAAGCAGGGTGGGTGGCCTGGAAGATTTCTCAGGCCCTTCCAGCTTTGACATTAGTCTAGGACAATGTGAGTGGATCATGCTGTCCTGCATCTGGCACTGGGGAGGGCTGCTAATGGGCACAGAGCTAACCAGAACTCTCAGGGCCACTGCAGGGTAGTGTGGGAGGTAGCACCAGCCATATGAAACTGCCCCAGAATGGGGAGAGGAGCTCAGTTGGGAGATCTCACACTTACCTGACCAGGGATACACACAGCTGGACCAGCACCTGTTGTACCCATATTTTTAACACCATCTTTAACCTGCATGAGAATTGGTTGTGTGTGTGTGTGTGTGTGTGTGTGTGTGTGTGTGTGTAAGTGGGGAGGTATGAAAGGCCTTCCCTGGCCTCAGGGAAGATGCCTTCCTCCCAACCAGAAAGAGCCGGTATCCCTGATTATCTCATCCTCCTTGCCACTCTCATACCCGAAAGGTCTGCAGCAGTGCTGCGGTCTGGCAGGCTGAGAGGCGTGACAGTTCAGGGGCCAGGCAGGAACAAGCCCCGACCAGGACTCGCCTAGGGATGGCCTGGAGTGTCTGGGGGCTGAGGCCTGGTAGCAGAAGGTGCAAGGAGCAGAGTTCCTCCAGGGATAGCTAAAGAGCAAGAGAGACAAGAGGCCTGAAGAAGAAGGGAAGGGTGTTGGGGAAGACAACAATCACAATGCAGCAAGGCAGTAAGTATGAGGGGAGCGGAGAGAGAGGAGGGGCAGATGCAGGAGCCAGGTTAAAAGAGGATAGAGACCTCTGGCGGGAGGCTGAGAAGTTGCTGCTACTCACATCGTGCCTAGGAAGGAGCCGTCCAAGCAGCAGGACAGCCTGTGTTGGGATGGGACCGAAAACAACAGCTCTCAGGACCCAGCAGCCAGGTCCTAAGTGGGTTCCTAAGGCAAACCCTCCAAAACTTCCCGCTGCCTCTTAACCATCCCTAGTAACCATCCTCAGTGACTCAGGTCCCTTCTTGATCTGAGGAAAGGGAATGAAGGCGTCCTCCTGCAGACAGAGTTTACCTCTACTGTTCACCCAGGGAAAGGAGGGGCTGCTTTTATCCCTGAATGGGATTCTCTTGACTGGGGCTCAAGCGGGGATGGAGGGTACATGCCAGGGAGTGAGACAGGCAAACCTGAGCAGGTGTAACACTAGTTCCCTGCAGGACAGGAAGCATGGCTCTAAGCTGGGGCTCTGACAGCTCCTGAAGGAAGCGGAGGCCCAGCTGAGAGAAGAGAGGGGCCCAGACCCGCAGCTCCCGGGGGCTCAGCACCGCTCCTCCAGATGAGCGCAACACACCCAGAAGTTCATATGCCACCTGTAACCAAAGAAGGTTTAGGACTGGAGAGAAAAGACAGATGAACCTTGAACTTCCTCTCTAATCCCACATCTGAATTTCCCAGGGCCTGGGCTAGGGTTTGGAACTAGGGATTGGACTGGAGTAGATTAGGTTCAAAATGGCAAAGGGTATGTTTGGGGTGCTACAGACCAGATAGAGAAGGGCCAGGAAGAGGTGGTAACAGGTAAGAATGGCCATGGAGTAAGGAATGGAGGTTGCAAAAGTGGGATGGGGGCTGGCACCACTGTGCTCAAGTTGACACAATGGGAAAGCCATCCACACAGACCCAGGGGAAGCCTAAAGTCTTGTAGGCTTGTGCTGAGGGGCTCACCCGTCCTTCTGGGCTGAGGGTCCCATTGGCTGCACATTCCAGCAGCCCCCGTTCTACTGGCCCCGTTGGATCACTCAGGGGCACTAGGCTCTGCAGCTCCTCAGGGCTCAGGAAACAGGCGAGGGGCCCAAGCCTGAGGAGGGCATGAAGCTGACCTTTGTGTGGTCCCCAAGACTAGCACTAAGGCAGGCCTGGCAGCAGATGGTATGGGTACATACACTGGGCACTCTGACACTACACCACTACACAGGGGCACCATCTATAGACCTCTCTCCTGGAACTCTATGCTGCCTGAGGCCACTGCCTACTCTCTTGCCCCTTTCTTCCTAGAACACCGACCCAGCGTGACAGCTGTGCCTTCCTCTCTCTACCTCTTCCACTCTTGCCTTGGTTACTGATCCCACAACAACTCACCTGCGTACCTGCTCCTCACCATCCTGGACACTCTGGTTTACCAGGCTGCGCAGCACATGGCGGGCATGCCCTGGCCCCAGACCTGCTGCTGGCCAGCTATCCTCCAGGGCCTGGATCTGAGATGGGGAAGGTTAGCTCGCACTGGGGTCACTATAGGGTTCTTGCAGGGAGGGGCCACTGAGAGACATGCCATTGACTCTTTGTCCCCACTAGCAGAAGATGGGCCAGTCAAGTAAAGAAGATGATTCTCATACCTGGTGAGGGCTGAGCTGCAAAAAGTTCTCCAGAGGGAGGTGGGGGAGCAGGGGCAGCACTGCCCACAGCAGCTCCTGGGGCCAGGCAGGCACTTCCCCAAACAGTTCAGGGGCCAGCAGTCGCTTTGCCAGAGCCTCCTTCTGTTCAGGCCTCATTCCTGGGCTGTAATCCCGGATGGCAGCCAGGCTGCGAGGAGTCATGGGTCTTAACCCTTTGTCTTCCTCCAAACTGTTTTCCTCTGACCCTCTGTAGCCCTGCTGTCTAGATAGGAAGGAGACTCTCCCTGTTTTTTTGTTTTGTTTTGTTTTTTGTTTTTTTTAAGACGGAGTCTCGCTCTGTCACCCAGGCTGGAGTGCAGTGGCACGATCTTGGTTCACTGCAACCTCTGCCTCCCAGGTTCAAGCTATCCTCCTGCCTCAGCCTCCAGAGTAACTGGGACTACAAGCGCCCACCACCATGCCTGGCTAATTTTTGTAGTTTAATAGAGACGGGGTTTCACCATATTGGCCAGGCTGGTCTCGAACTCACTAGGCGGACCTAGTGATCCACCTGCCTCGGGCTCCCAACGTGCTGGGATTACAGGCATGAGCCACCACGCCCATCCTCTCCCTGGTTTTAATAGAGAGGAGCTCTCTGATCCTTTTGTAGTTCATTAGCATAATGATTGGGTTTTCACACTCAGGCGTGAGATGTGCCTCTCTCAAACCTTGCTACGATGTTGGCACATTGCCTATCTGGCATGAAAGAAAAAAACAGAGAGGAGCTCCGGAAGGGGCTGCTCCAGGTGGATGCGGTTGGCCTGACCGTGACAGGAGCAGGAGGAGTAGTGCAAGAACCTTACACACTGTCGTTGGCTAACAGGGATGGTGGGAAGCGCATCAGGTCAGAGACAGCCAAGAAAGGGATGAGTGGTGACAGGTCAATGAAGAGCTGGGAGGTGAGGCGTGGGTACCGCTGGAGCAGCAGGGCTGTCAGGCGACCCAGGGCCTGCTCCTCGGATGGTGGTACCTGTAGGGGCACAGGAATGGATTCTGCCTCTGGAGATGCTCAGTATCCCTGCCATTTCCTCTCTGGAGTTCCTCCTCCCACTAAAGCAAGCCCTCTGAACACTAGGCTCCAGGTGCCCTTGCTCCCCTTTCTCAGTGCTCACCTGCAGCTTCCCCTGCAGCTTCCCCTGCAGCATGAGTGTCAGGAAGCCCTGTGCAGCCTCCCTCTCTGCTGAAAGCACCAGCTGCTGGAGGTTTTCTGGGGGCATATGCAGGTACGCCTGCGAATAGGAGGTCATGGTGGGTATGGCCTCACCTCACGGGGCAGGGACCTCCAGCCATGGCTGTCACCCAGCCCACCCATGTGCCCTCCACCTGTTACCTGCACTAGAATCTGCAGGGCCCAAACACTCTTTTCCCTCTGGAGCAGATCCCACAGCACAGGCTGGTGGGAAGAAAGACAATATGCCAACAGAGCTGTCTTCTCTGTCTCTCCTGCAGCTCCCCCAGGCATTCCAGCTCCACTTGCTGGGATGCTTGTCCATCATCTCAAGTGTGATTCTTCAGATATTAAGCTCTTTTAGGTCCGGGATCATATCTCTAATTTCTCTTGTACCCTCTCCCATGCCAGGTCCATAGTTGGCTCAATTAATACTTGTAGACCTGAACCAAATACTATGAGACTATCTAATTCCATTTTACTGGGCCCAGGGTTTGAAAAAGGTGGCCCCAACATGGAGTAAGAAATCTTTATATATCCTACAGAACCTAGCAAAGTGCCTTGCATATAATAGGCACTCAGTGAATTAATTATGGTGTTTAACATATTCTCACCCCTCCATTCTACAGACTAAAAACTGAAGCCCAGAAAAACTAAATGAAATTGCTTGCCTAAGATCACACTAATTTGTGGCACAGTTGAACCTAGAACCAAAGTCTTCTGATTGGTAGTGTCCCTGAATCTTTCTCATTCCTACCTTATCTTCCTGTATTCTGCCAGCCTCCAATTCTCACTCTCTAGGGGAAAAATTTAGAGTCCTCTAACTTGATCCTTTTTCTTTCTGGTGCAGAAAGTGAGAGAGTCAAAGAGCCCAAAAGAATAACAAGGTAATATTTATTGCATGTTTGTGTATCATGCACTGTGCTAAGCCCACAGCATGTATTATCTCATATACCATTATCATCCCTAGTTTATAAATGAGACGAGAAAAATATTGCTCAGAGAAGTTAAATAACTCATTCAAGGCTGGTCACAGAACCAAGATATGAATCCAAGCCTGTCTGACTCTAGAGCTGTGTGCTTCAACTACTACCCCACACTACTGCCTCTGAGTATTCGAGGAATTCCCCTGGAGGGCCTTCTCACTGTTCTAGGAGCTTTCCCTCTGGCAGAGCACTCACACTAAAGCAGGCCAGCAGCTCCATCTTGCTTATACCAGAGCTGGGGTTGACAGTGGGTTCAAAGCCTGATGGGGTTGGCTGCTCCTCATCTTGTTCCAGGTATTCCCCAATCGTCCGTAGCACACTGCGCCGGCCCTCTGGGCGAAAGGCATCCCAGAAGGAGCAGTTGTCTGGGAGACTGGAGAGCAGTAGGGCCCGACCCAGCATCCCCTGGGCCTCAGCGCCCCCAGCCCCTGGACCCAAGAGGAAGGTCAGCAGGCGGAGGAGATAGTGTAGGCGTGTGGGGTGAGCAAGAGCTGGGACAGAGGACTGACAGCGTGGCAACTGGGATAGCATGCCAAGGAGGAAGGGGCCAGGGGTCAGACAGAGTGGGGATGGTCCCAGTGGTGGCAGAGAGGGCAGAAGGGGGCCCAGCAGCCCTTCTAGGAAGCAAGTGTCATTGCCCCCACGACTTATCCTGCATTGGCCTGCTAGCCAAGGCCAGAAGGGCACCAGGACCTCATACATGGTGTCATTGGCACAGACCATCACCAGGAAGCTGCCCCCATCCGGGCAGCGTTCCCCACAGGGTCCAATGTGGCATGGTGGGGAGGCAGTGACATCTGGGGTGGGGCCCTGGCACACATGCTGGACCCAAGCCTGGTTGCTGGGGGGCACAGCCTGTAGACTTGCCTCCCCACACAGTCGCTCAGCCCACAGAGTCTCATTCTCCAAGAAGCAGCCCCAAAAGATGTCTGGGGTGAGGGGAACAGGGGGCAGGCCTTCAGGGCAGCTGGTAGGGGGTGGGAGCAGGCCAGCACAGAGCCGCTTCACCAGGCGGCGGTTGGAGCCAGACAGGGCTGAAAAGGAGAGGTTACTGCAGATCGCATCCAAAAACTCATCAGGAAACTGGTCGTGGCAGGCCTGTAGCCAGCCTTGGGCACCTGGTGCCCAGGACACTGCATACCACACAGCTGTCTGGCAGATGGCAGTGGTGCTGGGATGGGGCTGTGGAGTGGCAGGCTTGGTGTGCTGGCAGAGCAAGTGGATGGAGAAGTTGGAAATGCTGTAGGGTGGTGCTGGGCCTAAGTGGTTCTCACAGAGGGCCTCCACAGTGATGGCTCGCCGTTGGCGTGGGCTGATGTGGGCTGACGGCTGAGAAGCTCTGGGCAGAGGCACGCCCGTGCTCAGGCAGTGAAGGAGGGCAGGGGGTGGGGGTGGTGATCCAGACAGAAAGCCCAGCGCCTGGACATCCCAGGAAAGGTTGTGCCGGACGCCCCTGGGTGCAGAGGGAGGAGCAGGCAGGATCTGGTCAGTTCACATTTCCTCCAGCTGAAGATTCTGACCCTGACTCAGAGCCCTCAAGGGGCATGGCAAGCATAGGCTTTTCTACAAGCGAGGTCCCTGAGAGTTTAGGCGTTACTGGTTGAAATGCTGCAACGGGGCAAAAAAGAGAAAGCTGCCCTGCCAAGGTCCAAAATCACCTAGGAGAAGCCCCAGTTGGAATTCTTTCTGTCCACCTGGCCCCCTTCTGTCTCCTTTCTTCGTATGCTTTTAGATAGCTTAAACACAACCCTCAGCGGGCCTCATGTTAGGAAATCTGCTCAGCAACTCAATATGTCTAACTACTGTCTGGCATTGTTGTACTGAAGTAGTAAGGGGGTAGAGGAATCCAGCTGTGTCCTTATTTTCCAAATCCCATCTTTACTAGCTAACATTATTAAGCGCTATGTGCCAGCACGGTTTTAAGTCGTTTGCATACACAGTATCAACTCATTTAACCGGGTGCAACAACTCTGTGGTAACTAATATTATCATTCTCATTTTATAAATGGGGAAACTGAGGTATAGAAAGACTATGTAACCTGCTCAAGGTCATATGGCTAGGAAGAGGTGGAGCTGGGACACCAACCCAGACAGTCACACCCCAAAACCACTAAACTACACTCCTCCCATCAGTTTTCCTCTCTAGAGGCTGAGGTCTTCAGCTCTTCACCTCCAGATTTTCCAGGCCCAATCCCTCAGAACTGGTCTCCTGTTACTTACCATAAGAGCAGCTGTTGAAGGTTACCTAGGAGGGAAAGAGTAAGGAAGAAAACTACCCCAATTTCACTTTCCTTGCCCTGCCACATCCCAGTCCCAGCCCTGGCCACACTCACCTCCCTGGCACTGCCCATTGGTATCAGGCTCTGGCTGCCCCAAAATGGAGAAGACCTCATCCTGCAGGGAGTGAGTGACACGGAGCAGCCCCTCCTGAAAGGCAGCATAGAGGGGGGCCCCCACTGTGCGTAGCAGACCGCCCCAAAGAGCCTCCTTGGAGCCTAGCTCCCCTGTTGGGGTAAGCAAACCCAACAGACCCTGCAAAAAGTGAGGAGCTGCCTCCCTCCCATCGAGGCCTGTGGCATTGGTGGGGTCCACACTGGGCTGCACCTGCACCAGAGCTTGCCAGCGTGTGCCCTCTAACAACAGCAGCAGAGAAGGCAACCAGTCAGCAGCCAGGACACAGTCAGACGGCCCATCACGGGTGCATGGGGGCCGAGTTGGGGTAGGGGGGCCCCCAGGAACTAAGGCTCCCAGCAGCACCTCCACAAGTCCACCCAGCACCCCTGCCTGGTGCACCAGGAAATCTCGGGGAGTCTGCTCCTGTCCCAGCAGTGCCAGCATATCCCCTAGCAGCCCTAGCATTGGCTCCCAGTCGGGGCTACCTCTCAGTGTCACTAGAAAATCATGGAGCCGCAGAGCAGGCGGCTGGAGAGGTGGGGGCTCTCCTACTGGTCCTTCCCCCATTCTCCCAGGCTCAAAGGAAGAAGAAATGTTGGCCAGGAATGTAAAGAACCGTGAGCGGCTCAGGGAGCCCTGGGGAGCCTGGTCCAGAGTGGAGAGCAATGACTTCAGGAAGGAGAGACCAGGGTCCAGGGAATGAGGCCCAGTAGGGGCCAGAGTCACTGTAAGGAGAGAAACCAGAGGTCACTGAAGGAGAGGAACACAGAGCCCAAACTCAACCCTGCCCCTGAGCACAGTTCCCTACCTGGATCTAAAGATGAGGTGAGGGGATGGTGAGCTGAACCCCTTTCACTGGCCTACAGTAAGTCTTGGCCTGCTTTTCTTAACCCTCATTTTTCCCTTTTGCACAAGTCTCTGCCTCTCTCCTTTGTCCTTCTATCTAACAGGTTCACCTCCATATTCTTAAAGTCTTTTTCCAGCCACCCTCCTCCTCATCCCCAGTTCTGCTCACTGTTCTTCTTACCTGCAAAGGACAGCAGCAGCAGCAGCAGCAGCAGCAGCAGCAGGGGCCAGAGGCTGAGAGCCATGTTTCCAAGTGAACACTGGTACCGGAGGTGAGTTCTGGTTATTCTCACCTGTGTGGGATAGCCAGGTGAGGGCAGGGCACTGCAGGCAACCTGAGGCTCCACTGACACTGTAGTGTGGTCTTTCAGGAAACAATATGTGTAACCTGACAGCAGGTTTGTTACCTGAGCCGCTGAATATCTGATCCTTTAGCTCTGGAGAAGGGTATGCTTCTGTGAGAGGGACTAATGATAGGGGATCCCAGGGGCCCCTCAGAGAAACCCAAGGAGATTGCTTGAGTTAGGAGCCAGTGATGCAGAAAGGAACAGGCAGACATGGAGATGGAGAACTGGAGACCAGGGGTGTAATCTGGGGTTCTGCAGAAGCAAAGAAAACAAAGAGGATATGAAGGAGCTAAGAAGCAAGTAGGATTTGAGGAAATTGAAGAAGAAATGACGCCCAGGAGAAACAAACTGCACAGCAAGGTATAAACAGACGAGAGGTCCAGTCCAAGGATGGAGAATTCAGGAAGAGGAGAGCTGCTTTCAACTACTACCCAGAACCACAGAGTGTCAAGAGCTGAGCAGTACCCCAGAGATCACATACACCAAACTTTTTCACTTATGGATAAGGAAACAGACCCAGAGAAATGTGATTTGCTCATTAGGCCATTCAAATGTTTGGGTCTTTCCTTCCCCCTCCGGGATCCCCTATCATTTGGTTCTTTCTCTGTGGCCTAGGTGAAAGCCCTATCAAAAACTCTGAGCTGAGAAGACAGAAACCAGATTAAATCACTATGCACAGGGACTGATCTCCCTACACACAGAACTGCTCATGGAACAGAGAAAGAGATTTCATTCAAAATAATCTGGTCTGGTCAGGGTTAGAAGTCTTTTTTCGTCATTTTTGTTTTTTGTTTTATTGGTTTTTTGGTTTTGGTTTTTTTGAGATGGAATCTCTCTCTGTTGCCCAGGCTGGAGTTCAGTGGGGCTATCTGACCACTGCAACCCCTGCCTCCTGGGTTCAAGCGATTTTCCTGCCTCAGCCTCCCAAGTAGCTGGGATTACAGGCACGTGCCACCACACCCAGCTAATTTTTGTATTTTTAGTAGAGATGGGGTTTCACCATGTTGGCCAGGCAGGTCTTGAACTCCTGACCTCAAGTGATCTGCCCACCTCAGCCTCCCAAAGTGCTGGGGTTACAGGTGTGAGCCACCGCGGCATTTTTTTTTTTTTTTTTGAGATGGAGTCTCACTCTGTTACCCAGGCTGGAGTGCAGTGGCACTATCTTGGCTCACTGCAATTTCTGCCTCCTTCATTCAAGCGATTATCCTGTCTCAGCCTCCCAAGTAGCTGAGGACTACAGGCATGCGCCACCGCGCACGGCTAATTTTTGTATTTTTTGGTGGAGACGGGGTTTCACTATGTTGCCCAAGCTGGTCTTGAACTCCTGACCTCAAGTGATTTATCCACCTCAGTCTCCCAAAGTGCTGAGATTACAGGCTTGAGCTACTGCCCCAGTCCAGGATTAGAAGTCTTTTCCATTCTCCATCTATATCTCCCCAAAGGCCTTCACTTTATACCAACTCTAAATAGTAATTCAACACTGAAGCTATACCCAAACTTTTATTCTGTCCTTCTTTCCCTAGAACCCTTCCCCATTCTCTCCCTCAAATCCACACATGGAACTTCATTATTAATGTGCTTCTGATCTAGAAGATTCACTTAGGATCATAGAGTTTTATTTTTGTGTATTTATTTACTTAGAGACAGGGTCTTGGTCCATGGCCCAGGCTGGAATACTGTGGTATGATCCTAGCTCACTGCACCCTCAAACTCCTGGACTCAAGCAATCCTCCTGCTTCGGCCTCCCAGGATCACAGAAGAGACCTGAGGAATCCTCTGGTAAGAACTTCTCATTTTATAGACAGGGGAATTGAAGCCCAGAGAAATGGAATGACTTAACCCAGGTCACAAAGACAGCTGGGAGCAATGATGGGATTTTCCAAGGCAAATCAAAAGTTGAGATCAGTGAAATGATCTGTTGTGTAATTTTACCAATATTCCCTTTGCCCATCAAGGATACCACACCTAGTCTAAAAAGCAGACAGTTGAATCTGAGGGAGAATACGACCTGAGTTCCCAACAGCTTTGTGGTTCCAGCCCATCCTGTAATCCTTCTGAATTTCTGCCCTTCATTCTGTAACAACCCTCTTATAATAAATTATCCTTCTTTCCTCATAGGGTAGCAAAAAATGAGATGGTCTAGGTTCAAACCCTGGTTCCAACATTTACTAGCTGTGTGTCCTGGGGCAGTTTCTAAATCTCTGTTTTTGGTTTTTTGGGTTTTTGTTGTTGTGGTTGTTGTTGCTGTTGTTGTTTTTACTGTAAAAAGGAAAAAACCCTAGTGTAGAGTTTTTGTGAGGATTAAATTAGATAATGCATTTAAAGTACTTAGTGCAATGTCTAGCATTCATTCAACAAAGATTAAGCACTTATTATGGGCCAGACACTGGTACAGAATAAACATTCACTCTATGTTACTATTACTATTATTAGAATAGCTCAAGATGAATTTTTCTACTTGAAACTAAAGGAGTTCTAATGAATACATAAATGATTATCTGGAAGTTGTATCTTGAGTGAAAGACCTTCAGAACAAATATGGAACTAGTTGAGTCAACCAGAGAGAGAAACAATGAGGATTCCCTTAACTCAGGATGGAAATTTTCCTGGCAGTCCACGTTCTGCTGTTGTAAGCCATTGATTAAGCAATTCTCTTGCCGCTAAGGATTCAGACTATGTGCAAACTGACGGCAAAGTGCTTAGGGTTTATGGCACATATACCAGGCTATTTGAGTGTATTGGTAATTGCTTATAATTTGATAAAGTTCAACAAGAGCAAGACAAGTTCCAACCTACAGGTGACCAAATGGAAACAGAGAACAACCAGCAAATTTAAATTACAAAGGTCCAGAACAAGAAATTAATCATATGTCCTGCTAAAATGAAATGGATAAGACTGGTGATAACTGGAACACTCTGTGATCTGCCAGTTAGAATGGGTATACCTGGGAAGAGCCACAGGAGTTGAGAACTCTGAAACATCCTCACTCCCCAAAACTCCCACAGGACACTCTCTGCCTGACAAGAACAGATGCCTCCCTTTTTTTTTTTAATTGAAACTGAGTCTCACACTGTCGCCCAGGCTGCAGTGCAGTGGTGTGATCTCAGCTCACTGCAACCTCCACCTCCTGGGTTCAAGCAATTCTCATGCTTCAGCCTCGTGAATAGCTGGGATTATAGGTGCGTGCCACCAGGCCCAGCTGATTTTTTGTATTTTTTGTAGAGACAGGGTTTTGCCATGTTGCCCAGGCTGGTCTCAAACTCCTGGGCTCAGGCAATTTGCCTGCCTCGGCCTCCCAAGTGCTAGGATTACAGGCGTGAGCCACAATGCTCAGCCAGATGCCTCCCTTTGTAAAGTACAATTATTTTTCTCTTTTTTTGGTTTGGCTTTGGTAACTGAAATATTTATTGCTTACTAGATATCTAGGTGTTTCTCACATTTCCCAGATCTCTTGCAGTTAGCTGGGATCAGGTGATTAGTTCTGTTCAATGGACTGTGGTTGACCAAAGAATTTAAGAGCTAGCAAATGAGCCTCCAACAATCTCTTCCCTGTTGAGGCAACCTAGAAACCACATGTTGAGATGGCAGTGTCACAAGGTCAAAATAGCCCGAGGCTCCAAATTACCACAGCATTTACAGTCAGTCTTTGTCATTTGTGAGTTCTGTATTTGTGGATTTGCCTAGTCACTAAATGTTTGTAACCCAAAATCAATACTTACAGTGCTATTGAGGTCATTCACAGACTTGTATTGAGAGGTGACAAGTTGGAGTCACCTGATATACACGTTCCCAGCTGAGGTGGAACAAGGCAGTGCTCTGCCTTCTTGTTGCAGCTCTCATGGTGTAAATATTAGTGTCTTTTTTTTTTTTTTTTGAGACGGAGTCTTGCTGTGTCACCAGACTGGAGTGCAGTGGCGATCTCAGCTCACTGCAACCTCCGACCCCCTGGTTTAAGTGATTCTCCTCCCTCAGCCTCCTGAGTAGCTGGGATTACAGGCATGTGCCACCACCCCCAGCTATTTTTTGTATTTTTAGTAGAGATGGGGTTTTACCATGTTGGCCAGGATGGTCTCGATCTCCTGACCTCGTGATCTGCCCGTCTCGGCCTCCCAAAGTGCTGGGATTACAGCCGTGACCACCACACCTGGCCAGTAAGTGTCTTTTTTGTGGTCTATCTAGTGATGCACTTTTTGCATTTTGGGGCTATTTGTTGGTGATTTCACTGTTTAAAATGGCCCTTAAGCTTAATGCCAAAGTGTTGTGTGGTGTTCTTAAGAGCAAGAAGGCTGTAATGTGCCTTATAGAGAAAATTATACTGGAAAAGCTTCATTCACTACCGGGCGTAGTGGCTCATGCCTGTAATCCCAGCACTTTGGGAGGCTGAGGCGGGTGGATCACCTGAGGTCAGAAGTTCGAGACCAGCCTGGCCAACCTGGTGAAACTCTGTCTCTACTAAAAACACAAAAATTGGCTGGGCGTGGTAGCGGGCACCTGTAATCCCAGCTACTCAGGAGGCTGAAGCAGGAGAATCACTTGAACCCAGGAGGCAGATGTTGCAGTGAGCCGAGATTGCGCCATTGCACTCTAGCCTAGGTGACAGAGGGAGACTCTGTCTCAAAAAAAAAAAAAAAAAGCTTCATTCAAGCATGAGGCACAGTGCTGTTGGCCATGAGTTCAATGTTAATCAATCAACAACATATATTAAGTAAGGTGTCTATAAACAGAAACACAAAGAAAACCAAGGTTATGTATTTGATCAGTTGATGAAAATGTTGTCACCAGAGGCTCACAGGAACCTAACCCTGTATTTCCCCTGGGAGCAGTGGTTCAGTAGTCACTAATTCAGTTGTTTGCTGCACCTTTATAAAACATAATCATCATAAATAATAAAAATTTACTGTAGCTGCCTTGAACAGTTACCCAACCAGTATTGAAACCTTCATGAGTGAGTAATATGTCTTTCTTATACTAAACCACTGAGATTTAGGGGTTAATTTATTCTTGCAGCAGAGCCTTTGACTCTTCTGATTAAGACAGTTAAATTATGTTTGCACTTTGATATCAGATCTCTGAATTCTAGGTCTTCATTCCATATTTATTAGTCTGGTGACCCCAAGAAGTTTCTATAATTCACTTATCTGTAAAATGGAGATACTATTACTCACCCACCCAATTTTGCTCATTCACTTGTATTATAAAGTGTCTTGATGTGGCAGGTACTGGAACAGATCCACTAAATCTTACCACCACTATGATTAGACTAGCTCAAGATGAATTCTTCTTCTGCAACCCAATCTTTTTGGCCGGGTGCAGTGGCTCATGCCTGTAATCCCAGCACTTTGGGAGGCCGAGGCGGGCGGGTCACGAGGTCAGGAGATCGAGACCATCCTGGCTAACATGGTGAAACCCCATCTCTACTAAAAATACAAAAAATTAGCTGGTCGCGGTGGTGAGCGCCTGTAGTCCCAGCTACCTGGGAGGCTGAGGCAGAAGAATGGCATGAACCTGGGAGGAGAAGCTTGCAGTGAGCTGAGATTGTGCCACTGCACTCCAGCCTGGGAGACAGAGCAAGACTCCAACTCGGAAAAAAAAAAAAAAAAAGAATCTTTTCTTTTTTTTAGAGATGGAGTTTTGCTGTTGATGCCCAGGCTGGAGTGCAATGGCACAATCTCGGCTCACTGCAACCTCCGCCTCCCAGGTTCAAGCGATTCTCCTGCCTCAGCCTCAGTAGCTGGGATTACAGGTGCAAGCCACCATGCCCAGATGTTTTTTGTATTTTTCAGTAGAGACGGGGTTTCTCCATGTTGGCCAGACTGCTCTCAAACTCCTGACCTCAGGTGATCTGCCTGCCTTGGCCTCCCAAAGTCCTGGGATTACAGGCGTGAGCCACTGCGCCTTGCCAACTTAAAGAATCTTAATACAAAAATTGGTACAAGAAATAGCATCTTAAGTGAAAGACCTTCAAACAAAATACAGAAAAAGTTAAGCAGCAAGGAGATCTTTGAGGACTCCCCC
Source organism: Homo sapiens (assembly GCF_000001405.40). Classification (NCBI taxonomy): domain Eukaryota; kingdom Metazoa; phylum Chordata; class Mammalia; order Primates; family Hominidae; genus Homo; species Homo sapiens. The sequence goes on from NC_000015.10 coordinate 43,624,841, forward strand.
AGCCCATAGAAACTGTTTAGCAGTTCTTGAGATTAGAATAGGAAGAACAGGTTTGAAGAAGTGGTAATAAGTTCAGTTTTGGACGTATTACAACACAGCGAGACCCCCATCTCTACAAAAAATTAAAAAATTTAGCCGGGTGTGGTGGTATGCACCTGTAGTCCCAACTACTTGAGAGCCTGAGGCAGGAGAGTCACTTGAGCCTGGAAGATCAAAGCTGCAGTGAGCTATGACTGCACCACTGCACTCCAGCCTGGGTGAAAGAGCAAGACCCTGTCTCAGAAACCAAACCAAACCAAATAAACAACAACCACAAAACAGGGGAGGAGATAAAATTACTATCTTCACGGACGTTTTATTATTTGATCATATGAGGAACTAGTTAGGAGGGACAGGGATTTCTGTTTTGTTCATTCACTGATATATCCCAAGTGTCTAGAACAATGTTTGGAATGTACAAACTCAACAAATTTGTTGAATAAACTTCCATTCCTGTAGAATTAAAGCCAGATTGTTTTCACTGAGGAAAGAGTTAAAGAATAAAATGCAGAACGCACAGACCACAGATCAGCTATAGGAAGTCAGGAGGGGGCCAGGGAACAGTAGCTCACGCCTGTAATCCCAGCACTTTGGGAGGCTAAGGAGGGGCGGATTATTTGAGGCCAGGAGTTCAAGACCAGCCTGGCCAACATGGCAAAAACTCGTCTCTACTAAAAATACAAAAATTAGCCAGGCGTGGTGGCGTGACTCTAGTCCCAGTTACTTGGGAGGCTGAGGCACGAGAATCGCTTAAACCCAGGAGGCAGAGGTTGCAATGAGCATAGATTGTGCCACTGCACTCCAGCTTGGGCGACAGAGTGATACTCCATCTCGAAAATGTCAGAACAGACTAATTTGAGTAATAATAAGAAAACTCCAGTTTCCTGCACAGCCAGCTCTGTGTGGGAAAAAGAAAGAAAAAAAGAGGGGGCAGGGGAGAGAGGGAGAGAGAGAGAGAGAGAGAAAGGAAGGGAGCTAGGGAGGGAAAAAGGGAAGAAAAGAAAACAAAAGAAAGTCAGAAGGGCACATCTGTGTAGTGTTGGAGGAAAAAAGGGGAAGGAGGGAATATTCATCAAATACCTATAAAGCAGTGCTTTTGAATCTTTTTTTTTTTTTTTTGCAAACTCTGCCACCCAGATTCAAGCGATTCTCCTGTCTCAGCCTCCTGAGGCTGGGATTACAGGCGTCTGCCACTGCGCCCAGCTAATTTTTGTAGTTTTATTAGACAGGGTTTCACCATCTCTTGAACTCCTGACCTCATGATTCACCTGCCTCAGCCTCCCAAAGTGCTGGGATTACAGGCGTGAGCCACCACACCCGGCCACTTCTGAATCTTTTATGTGCAGCTACATCACCTGATTCAATAGGCCTGGGTGATGAGGCCTGAGATTCTATATATTTTTTTTGAGATGGAGTCTCGCTCTGTCGCCTAGGCTGGAGTGCGGTGGCACAGTCTCGGCTCACTGCAAACTCCATCTCCTGGGTTCAAGCGATTCTCCTGCCTCAGCCTCCTGAGTAGCTGGGATTACAGGTGTGTGCCACCACACCCAGCTAAATTTTGTATTTTTAGTAGAGATGGGAGTTCACCATGTTGGTCAGGCTGGTCTCGAACTCCTGACCTCGTGATCCGCCCACCTCAGCCTCCCAAAGTGCTGGAATTGCAGGTGTGAGCCACTGCGCCTGGCCTCTATACTTATTTTTATTTTATTATTTTTTTTGAGATGGAGTCTCTCTCTGTCACCCAGGCTGGAGTGCAGTGACGCGATCTCGGCTCACTGAAAGCTCCGCCTCCCAGGTTCAAGCCATTCTCCTGCCTCAGCCTCTCCGAGTATCTGGGACTACAGGCACCCGCCACCAGGCCCGGCTAATTTTTTTGTATTTTTAGTAGAGACGGGGTTTCACCGTGGTCTGGATCTCCTGACCTCGTGATCCGCCCGCCTCGGCCTCCCAAAAGTGCTGGGATTACAAGCGTGAGCCACAATGCCCGGCCTTCTCTTTCTATCTTTTAAACGTTTCTGTTTCTCGGGTTTCTGTCTCCAGCCTTCTTTTCTTCTAATAATTTGTTTGGATTATTAGGAGGCTGGAGTGTGGTAGCTCATTCACAGCTCACTGCAGCCTTGACTTTCCAGGCTCAAGCCATCCTCCCACCTCAGCCTCCTGAGTAGCTGGGACCACAGACACATGCCACCACACCCAGCTAATGTTCCTTTTTTATTTTTTTTGGTAGTGATGGGGTCTCACTATGTTGCCCAGGCTGGTCTTGAACTCCTGGGCTCCAGCAATCCTCCTGCCTCAGCCTCCTGAGGAGCTGGAATCACAGGCATGAGGCCACCAATCCAGCCTTTAAAAAAAAAAATTGTTTTGTAGAGACAGATCTCACTATGTTGCCCAGGGTGGTCTTGAACACCTGGCCTTAAGTGATCCTCTTGACTCAGCCTTCCAAAATGTTGGGATTACAGGTGTGAGCCTCTGCATCTGGCCCTAATAGTATTAAATGTTATATTTGACCATTGTTATCTCTAATTCTAGTTGATTCCTCTGAAATTTCTAGATATAAAATCGTGTCTAAATATCACATTTTTAGTTATTTCCAAATATTTATGCCACATTTCTTATGAGGATTTCTAATCAATGTTATATATTGCAGTTTATTTTTAAAACATTTTTGTTTTCTTCCTCATTTTATGAGGAATGACTGAAATGATTTTCATTGAAATGTTAATATTGATTCTTGGTTTTAGATAATCTTTACTTCATTTTAAAAATTCAGATATAATTCATATGAAATTCACCATTTTGTGTGTGTGTGTGTGTGTGTGTGTGTGTGTGTGTGTGTGTGTGTTTTGAGACAGGGTCTCGCTGTTGTCACCCAGGCTGGAGTAGAGTGGCATGATCTTGGCTCACTGCAACCTCCACCTCCTAGGCTTAGCCTACCAGGTAGCTGGGACTACAGGTGTTCTCCACACCTGGCTAATTTTTGCTTTCTTTTTTTTTTTTTTTTGTAGAGATGGGATTTTACCATGTTGCCCAGACTGGTCTCAAACTCCTGAGCTCAAGTGATCCACCCACCTCGGCTTCCCAAAGTGCTGTGATTACAGGTGTGAGCCACTGCACCCAGCCAAATTCACAATTTTAATGTGTACAATTCAGTGTTTTTATTTTATTTTATTTATTTAATTTTGAGATGGAGTTTCGCTCTTGTTGCCCAGGCTGGAGTGCAATGGCGCAGTCTTGGCTCACTGCAACCTCTACCTCCCGGGTTCAAGCAATTTTCCTGCCTCAGCCTCCAAAGTAGCCGGGATTACAGGCAACCCCCCACCCACCACACCCGGCTAATTTTGTATTTTTAGTAGAGACAGGGTTTCACCATGTTGGCCAGGCTGGTCTTGAACTCCTGACCTAAGGTGATCTGCCCACCTCGGCCTCCCAAACTGCTGGGATTACAAGCGTGAGCCACTGCACATGGCCCAATTCAGTGTTTTTAAATATATTATATTGTTGAACTATTCAAGACTATCCAATTCCAGAACATTTCCATCACCTGCCAAATAAACCCTATACCTATCATCTGTCAGTCTCAATTCCTCCCTCCCCAACCCCCAAGAAACCACTAATCTACTTTCTGTCTTCATAGATTTGTTTATTCTGGACATTCAATTCATTTGCCTTTTCCCCATCTTGGCCTTTTTGCCAGACATACTCTTAGGTGAGGACTTTATAATTACCACCCTATTGCCCCCTTCCATCTCTTCCCCACTTGGGTAGCAGCCCTTACTTAAGGTTGGGTGTTACTGACCTTACCTCCAGTTCAGGAGAAAGCCTTAATTAGTGATTTCATCACAACCACCACCTTACCTCAACAATTTGTTCAGACGTAAGCATATGACCTAACTTCTTGGTCCAATCAGAGTGGTGGTCAGGATATCTTTAGAGGAGTGGAGGTTGACTTACCTGCAGTTAATGCCCAAATTTTAAGTGTACATTTTGTTGAATTTTTACATCTGTATATACCGGTGTAACCACCATGCAGATCAAGATATGGAACATATCTATAGCACTCCAGATGCTTCATGCTTCCTCCCCATCAGTATCTTCACTCCAAGAATAACCATTATTGTGACCCAAAGCTCAAAAATTTTGTTCATTGACTGAGAAAGGAGTCACCGGCTCTCTTCCCCTGCATATGGGGAAATAGGTATGCAAGCCTAGGCGCTTCAGAAAATTGTCTGGCTACCCAAGTGAAGCCAGTCTGAGAATAACAAGAACACGTGGAGGAGAGCGCAGACAGGAAAATTCCAGAGAAACAAAACCACAGATCTAACAACAGTGAATTTTTACATTAAATCAATCCTGAAGCTATACTACCTTTGAATTTTCCAGTCTCCAGTAAGCTATTTTATTGTTTAAATGGCTTCAACTGATTTTTTTCTCAACTCAGAATTTTTAACCTGAGTTAGAACCTTAGCTCTACCTCTTACTTGGTATGTGCTCTTGGGCAAGCTACTTAACTTACTTAATTTCTTTAGGCCTTAGTTTTCTGATCTCTAAAAATGTGACGCTATCTTCCATATATGATTATTTTATGAAATATGCATACTCTATATACAGTATATATATACTAAATATATAAATAACCTCATACATGTTAAACACTCAATAAGTGATATAATTTTTAATAATAAACATGTCTAAAGACTTAAGTCTTCTAACGATGGAATGGGATCCCTTCTAGATAATAAATCCCAAATAACTAGAAACATTAAGCATTACCTGGATAATCCTCCTTTCAGTGATGTTCTAAAAGGTGTTCCTGCTTTGATGGGAGATAGATTAACTCTGAAATCCCTTCTAACACTAAAAACCTGTACAACACTTACTGATTTGAACACTGCCCTGAGCTATGGCAAAATGAAATAAAGAGACTTCCGGTCCAGAAACAGGTAAAAATAATATCCAATTAAAGTTAATGGTTCACAAGAGAAGCAACATGAGTGGAACACGCAATGGAAACAATACTTCTCAATTAGTTACACTAACAGCTCTGAAGATCTCCTTACTCCACAGAGGGGCCTTTACCTATGCATCAGGGAGGGAGAGGGTAAAATTAGGACTCTAATCAGGCAGTAGAGGTTGCAGGAAGGGTGGAAGCTATAATGATAAAGTCAAGAAATGAGTCAGATTCAGGAGCTGTGGAAAGGGTAGAAAGCTAAGGAGCACAGACTCCACTGGCATCTGAGCTAACTTGTTTTGTTCTTTTTTAGAGATAGGGTCTCGCTATGTTGCCCAGGCTGGAATGCAGTGATATGATCCTAGCTTGCTGTAGCCTCGAACTCCCTGCCTCAAACAATCCTGCCTCAGCCCATAGCTGGGACTAGAGGCACACATCACCACACTCAGCTTGAACTAACTCTTTTACTTGACCTTATGCCTTTCAATATCCCTTATCTCAGGGTCACACTACTGAGCAGCTATCAGGAGTATTTATAAGACACTTATACAGAGTCTCACTCTGTTGCCCAGGCTGGAGTGCAGTGGTGCAATCTTGGCTCACTGCAACCTCTGACTCCCAGGTTCAAGTGATTCTCCTGCCTCAGGCTCCCAAGTAGCTATGATTACAAGCATCTGCCACCACACCCAGCTAATTTTTTTGTATTTTTAGTAGAGACAGGGTTTCACCACGCCTGGCCTAGACACTTATACTTTTTAATTTTAATGAACAGACATTGTTCTATCTGAATGTTTATATTTTCAATTCTCTATTTCCAACAATTCCCTTCATTATCTTTTGCTGGGCCCAAGGATATTGAAGCCATCCATTGCTTTACTTGTCTTCCAAGTTCATCAGTGCCTGCACTGCAAAGGAAACAGATTGTGAGGCTGGAGAGCTAAGAATATTCTACATATATAAATGTTTGGTGAAGACCTTGCTTTTCTGGGTTCTAGGTTCCCTCACAAGTCTTTACTAATCTTTAAATTAAGCCATATGATTCTGTGTACTCTTTGCCATAGACAAGTTTTATTAGGATTAAAGAAACTACCTTGCTGCATTTTCCTCCTTTTCACCCTGTCCTCCCTAGAGAATAAGTGGGAAGTCAGGGCTAAGAATGACTAGAAGGAACAGGATTAAATTTAGGCAACATTGTGAAGTAAGCAAAGCCTGTCTTTCACATCTTGCCCTAAATTCCATGTTCCAATATTATAAATTCCTCATTTCCCACCTGTGCCCACCACACACAAACACACAGTCCTCCTCTCTAATTTCTTATTTTCAAACTGAGTTGATTTCAACTAGGTATGAGGGGAAAAACCCAGATAACACATATTAAATCATTAAAATCCACCCCTAAATCTTCTGTTTTTGGTTTGTCTTGAGACGGAGCCTCATTCTTTTGCCAGGCTGGAGTTCAGTGGCGTGATCTCCGCTCACTGCAACCTCCGCCTTCCAGGTTCAAGCAATTCTCATGCCTCAGCCTCCCGAGTAGCTGGGACTACAGGCATGTGCCACAACGTCCAGCTGATTTTTTGTATTTTAGTAGAGACAGGGTCTCACCATGTTGGCCAGGATGATCCTAATCTCCTGACCTTGTGATCTGCCCGCCTCGGCCTCCCAAAGTGCTGGGATTACAGGTGTGAGCCACCGTGCCCGGCCTTTTTTTTTCCTTTTAGAGGGAAATTGTATTAAGCCAAATTAGTCATAGAGTAATGAAATTTAGGAAAAATAACTTTGAATAGATAGTTCCCAGTTTACATCAAACTCTACTATTTAAATCACATATTTATCTTTATAGAGGCTGACACTAGAAGGGGCAGATACAAACAGAAGTTTAGAATTCATAAACCTCTTTAGGCAGTTAGGACAGTGAGCACGTGTGGGCATACTGCTCATTGTCTGATCCCCCATAGCTCTCCAGCTTGAGGCTTAGGCCCTGCTGCTCAAGTCTGAAATGCAATCTTCAGAGAGAATAAACGTGCAGAAACTGGTGGGCTGCCCAAATCAAGCAAGAGCCTACCTTGTCCTAATTCCCAACAACTGGGATTAGACTTTCTCTTCTTGGGAAATAAGCTCTCATACCTCATAGGATTTGGGTGTCCCCTGCTACAGAAGCAGAGTTTCTAGGTTCTCTCTCAGTTAGGGAAAAGTGGGACACATTCCCAGAATGTGACATACCAAACCAAGAATTTTAGTTTCTGCCTATTTTAGTTGTAGGCAGAAATTGAGAAGCTGAGATGCCAGAATAGTGGACACCCTCCTCCTTCTCCACAGCTATAAACGCTATATATATATTCCCATGGTCCCCATGACTGCCCTAACTCCATACCTGCAAACTCTTGTAACTTCTTACGTTCCTCTAGGTTATACTGAAGCTTTTCTAGCAACTCAAAATATCGGAAGAGTGAGTCTCTGGGCCAAACACGGTCATCCTGATCCATTTCCATTAGCCCGGGCAGATTTTCGTGCACAAGAGTCTCCCAGTCCAAACGACCTGCAGGGAGGAATGCTTCAGAAAAGCACGTCTAGATTTGTAAAAGTTGGGTAAGAGCTGGTAAATCCTATGGTGTGGGTGGAAAGGTGGGGTGGAAAGAGGTAACAGGAAGCAAGGAGGGAAAGGGTGCATCAGTAAGAAACCACTTTTTACAACGAGCAAAGAGGGCCACAGCCACACTTACCCGAAGTGAAGAAGAAGTACAGGGGAAATTAAGAAGCAAAAACAAAGTAATTAAGACCAGAAAATTGGAAAGGAGATATACTAGGAGAGCTCCTGTTAAGACTAAGATGTCTTAAAGAGGAGTCTGAATTCAAATGGAAAAAACTCATTATTATAGTTCTTCGGCTCACCAATAGATTCAGAAAATCTGGATTCAGAAGAGGAAGAATAGGAAGAGGATGTGGAGGAGACACAGGAGGAAGACTGGTACTCTCTCTTTTTTGACAAGGTCTCTTCTGTTTTTGATGCAGATGTTATTAAATCCTCTTCAGTGGCACCATAATTAGACTCTACTTCAGACACTTCTGATAAGTCCAAACTTTCCCTTTGTTGACTAGCTCCTCTTGAACTTAAAGAAGAAATTTATGGCTTCACAAACATTTACAAGATATGACTAGTCCACTCATTATTCTGGTTCTGCCCCTGGCCACCCCCTAAAGCTGGGGCATAAGACAATGAGGGCCAAACTACTCCCAAACTCTAAACTCAGGCACTTCCAACCTCAATCATTCATGTGTCATCCTTAACTCTTCTCTCCCCTCCCATATCCAGTCCATCAAGAAATCCTGCTGACTCTACCTTCGAAATATATCTTTTCTCAATAACTCACTGCCACCACTCTGGCCTAAGCTGTCATCATTTCTTGCCTGGGCAGCAGCATAGCCTCCCAACTGATCTCTCTACTCCTTCCCTTGTTCTTCTATCAACACAGCAACCAGAGTAATCCTTCTTAAACGTAAGTCACTTCATGTCACTCCTCTGTTCTGCTTGCCATTTCAAAGTCCCTACAATGGCACCCATAACCCTACAGGATCAGGTCACCATTCTCTCTCTGACTTCATTTCCCAGCACTCTTCCCCCTGCTCACTCTACTCCAGTCACAATGGCCTCTGCTGTTTCTCAAACAAACCAAGCATGCTTCCAGCTTCGGAGCTTTGCACCGTTTCATCTGCCTATTAACAATCTTCTTACAGATATCCACATGGTAATCCCCTTACCTCCTTCGAGTCTTTGCTCACATTACCTTTTCAATGAGGTCACCGTGACTACCCTGTTTAAAACTACAACCCATCTGCAGCTGGGCACGATGGCTCACACCTGTAATCCTAACACTTTTGGAGGCTGAGGCGGGTGGAGTGCCTGAGCTCAGGAGTTTGAGACCAGCCCGGGCAACATGGTGAAACCTCGTCTCTACTAAAATACAAAAAAATAAATAAATAAATTAGCCAGGCATGGTGGCGGACACCTGCAGTCCCAGCTACTTGGGAGGCTGAGGCAGGAGAGTCGCTTGAACCCAGGAGGCGGAGGTTGCAGTGAGCCGATATATCGTGCCACTGCACTCCAGCCTGGTGACAGAGCGAGACTCTGCCTCAAAAAAAAAAAGAAAAAAAAACCTACAACCCATTTGCAATCCCACCTTCTACTCCCAATCTCCCTTAACCTGTTCTACTTTTAATTTTCCCATAATGCTTATCATATTTTAACAGATTAATTTACTTAATATATTCACTGCTTATTATCTCTTTACCACTACTAATATGTAAGCTCCATGAAGCAGGCATTATTGTCTATTTTGTTCACTGATAACATCCCAAGCACCTACTAAGTATTCAATAATTATTTGTTCTTTATTGTTTTTTGTTTGTTTTTTTTTGAGACAGGGTCTTGCTCTGTCACCCAGGCTGCAGAGCAGTGGCACAATCACGGCTCACCACAGCCTCAACCTCTCAGCTCAAGCAGTCCTCCCACCTCAGCCTCCTAAGTAGCTGGGACCACAGGAACACACCACCACATCCAGCTAATTTTTGTTCATAGAGACAGGATTTTACCATATTGCCTAGTTTAGTCTCGAACTCCTGAGCTCAAGTCATCTGCCCACCAGTTTTCCAAAATGCTGGTATTACAGGCATGAGTCACCGCACCCACCCTGCTAAATTTTTGAGATGGGATCTTGCTCTGTTGCCCAGGCTGGAGTATAGTGGTGCAATCATGTCTCAATGCAGTCTTGAACTTCTGGCTTGAACTTCAAGCAATCCTCTTGCCTTCACCTCTCAAAGTGTTGGGATTACAAGTATAATCCACCTCATCTAGCCAGTAATTATTTGTTAATAAGTGAATGAGTTTACTTCCGCTTCTGCTTTTTTTGTCCACTGCTAAACACTTGGGGTCTAGAATCATATCTGTTTCATGGAAGGTATTTGTATTAGTGTCCTGTGGCTGCCATAACAAATTACTATAAACTTGGTAGCTTAAAATGACAGAAATATATTCCGTCACAATTCTAGAGGCTAGAGTCTGAAATGAAGGTGTTGGCAGGGCCATATTCCCTCTGGAGGCTTTAGGGGAGAAGTTCCTTGCCTCTTCTACCTTCTGGCAGCTGCCTGGCATTCCTCAGCTTCCCTTGGCTTGCGGTGGCATTAGCCCCAACCTCTATCTCCGTCTTCACATCGCCTTCTCCTATTCTCTGTGTCTTCTCCTCTTTCATCTTTTATAAGGACCCTTGCCATTGGATTTAGGACCTACCTGGATAATCTAGGATGATCTCATCTCAAGATCCTTAACTTAGGATCTTTTTTTTTTTCCAAATAAGGTCACATTCACAGGTTCCAGGGAGCAAAGACATGGACATATTATTTCGGGTGCCACTAGTCAACCTACTACAATATGCAGTTATTAAATGAATGAATTATCTCTCAAAGCCAATCTTCATCTTTAGTTTTCCACCCTCTCCTCCTTCATGTGTTTCTATCCCAGTTCACATACATACTCCTAACCTGTCCTCTATTTTGCTATGGCTTGACGTCAGTGCTTCATGTGACATGTTTTTTCTCCTGCAGAGCAAAAAAAAAAAAGAGCAAAGACAGTTATATTCAAGCAAAAGTGTGGTAAGAAAAAAAAAGTTCATATCAGAAAGTGAAGAAAACTAATTGGGGAGAACAAATTGTAGTCAAGGGGTGAAAAAAATGGAGGACACCCCACAGTGGATGAAGAATCAGGCAATATTCTAGAGCTGGAGAATTCTTATCCTTGGGGGCAAATCTACTGTCACAAAGGGAAAAGTGGGGTCGAGAAGTAGAAACAAGAAATGAGCTCAGGAAACCCTTGAGAAGGAAAGTTGGGGTTGAAAAGGGAGAAGCAGACCTCTGGATGATCTGCCGCTTGAACATGTCAGCTTTGAGCTGAACCTCCCGACGCGCCATCTCCTCATTCAGCTCTTTCCTGATATTCTGAAAGTTAGTAACTGCCCCAAAGGGCCATTAGGAGCTGGGAGATGGTAATGACTAGACTTGGGAAGAGGGCTTGGGTGGGGAGAATCCAAGTGAAATATCCAATCCAGAACCCAAGCCTTCCTGCTACACTAGGTTCTTTATACCCATAAGCCACCAATCCCAGCTTTCAGAATAACTTTTTCCCAACCACACTTCCCAAACAAGTTTCACCTCCTCTATGCTTACCCATCATGGCTACTATGATACTTCGAAAGATAATGGAGCCAAGCAACAACCAAAGGATGAAATAGATGCTGCTGAAGATGCGACTGACTTCAGGCACCTTCCAGACGTCCTGAAGCAGTGCATACCAATGATCCAAGGTGAAGAGAATGAACACTGTTACCAGGGAATTCGGGAGGTCCCTAAAGAAAAAGACATGTGAATAGACAGAAGCAGAGACCTAAACCTTTCAAAAATGGTACCATTCTTACTTTTAAAGAAACATAAAGCATTTCTTTGTAGTTTGTTCTGATTTTGGCTCCTTTTCTACCATACTCAGTTTTTAGCTAATCATTCTATAGTTTGAAGTTTTTTTTTGTTGTTGTTTTTATTAGATGCAGTCTCACTCTGTTGCCCAGGCTGGAGTGCAGTGGCGCGATCTAGGCTCACTGCAACCTCCACCTCCTGGGTTCAAGAGATTCTCCTGCCTCAGCCTCCCGAGTAGCTGGGATTATAGGCATGCACCACCACGCCCAGCTAATTTGTGTATTTTTAGTAGAGATGGGGTTTTGTCATGTTGGCCAGGCTGGTCTCGAACTCCTGACCTAAGGTGATCTGCCAGTCTCAGCCTCCCAAAGTGCTAGGATTATAGGTGTGAGCCACCGCACCCAGCCTAAATTCTCCTTTATCATGAATAATCTATGACTAACTCTCACTATTCCATTAGTTCTTGGGTATAATAAATAATAAACAGGTATTGACTGAATTTTTTAAAGATGAATGAATCACCAACTAGATAGTTTTTCTATTTTTTTTTCTTTTTTTTTTTGAGACAGAGTCTCACTCTATCATCCACGCTGGAGTTGCGTGATCTCAGCTCACTTCAACCTCTGCACTCCAGGCTCAAGCACTTCTCTCACCTCAGCCTCCCGAGTAGTTGGGATTACAGGCATGCGCCACCATGCCCAGCTAATTTTCATATTTTTAGTAGAGACAAGGTTTCACCATGTTGGCCAGGCTGGTCTTGAACCCCTAACCTCAAGTGATCTGCCTGCCTCAGCCTCCTAAAGTGCTGGGATTACAGGTGTGAGCCACCATGGCTGGCCATTTTTTCTAATTTTATTCTCTACTGCTCTATGGACTCCACTTAATAGAAGATCACTCGCAAATTTAGCAAAATTTAGCAAAATTAGCAAATTTAGCAAAATAGAAGATCATTCACAAAATTATTCCTATTAGTTTGCTGGTATGAAATGATACCCAAGCAAATGGGTATGTTACATAAACATATGTGATCCTAAATAATGAATATATACAAATTATAAAATTAATATTTAAAAATTACTAAAAAAGTAAAAAGTTTCCAGGGAGGTATCTAAATTTTCCTACCTTTCTTTTTAGTCCCCCATATACAATTTATCGAAAACATGAGAGCTTTTATAGGATAAAATCTGGGACTTTCCTAACTCAATACTCTTACAAAACTATCTGTTAGAATTTAACAGAGTGCTGAGAGGCACTGACAAGATTGAATTCTAATTCATAAACAGGATTATCCACTCAAAATTCAAGTTGATTTTCTTCTAGAAAACACTGATTAGTGGTTTAATATTTAAAAAATATGTAACACTTCATAAATTTGTGTTTCATCCTTGCACAAGGGCCATGCTAATCTTCTCTATATCGTTCCAATTTTAGTACATGTGCTGCCGAAGTGAGCACTGATTAGTGTTTTCTAGACAGAGATCAGGAATAGGCGTGTGCATGTGTAATATGTAGAGATTGGGATAAAACCAGTGATCATATTTGAGAATCATAGTAACATTAATTGATCACTTATAATGTGTTACATACTGTGCTAAGTGCTTAAATGCATTACCACATTTAACCCCACACTCTTATGAAGTAGCACTGCTATTATTCTTTTTTTTTTTTTTCTTTTCTTTTTGAGATGGAGATGGAGTTTCACTCTTTGTTGCCCAGGCTGGAGTGCAGTGGCTCAATCTCAGCTCACTGCAATCTCTGCCTCCCAAGTTCAAGTGATTCTCCTATCTCAGCCTCTGGAGTAGCTGGGATTACAGGCGCCCACCACCACACCTGGCTAATTTTTGTATTTTTAGTAGAGACAGGGTTTCACCATGTTGGCCAGGCTGGTCTCGAACTCCTGACTCAGGTGATCCACCTGTCTTGGCTTCTGAAACTGCTGGGATTATAGGCATGAGCCACTGTGCCCAGCCTATTCCCATTTTTCTTTTCTTTTTCTTTCTTTCTTTTTTTTTTTTTTTTTTTTTGAGATGGAGTATTGCTCTGTTGCCAGGCTGGAGTACAGTGGCACTATATCGGCTCACTGCAATCTCTGCCTCCCAGATTCAAGCAATTCTCCTGCCTCAGACTCCCGAGTAGCTGGGACTACAGGCGCCTGCCACCACGGCTGGCTAATTTTTGTATTTTTGGTAGATACAGGGTTTCACCATGTTGGCTAGGATGGTCTCGATCTCTTTACCTCATGATCCACCCGCCTTGGCCTCCCAAAGTGCTGGGATTTCAGGGGTGAGCCACCGCGCCCTGCCCCCATTTTTCAAAAGAGGTAACTGAGTCACAGAAACCAAGCTTAACCACTGGAGTGTACTGCTATTTAAAGATGCCTGATGACAGTGTGGTTTGAATTTGCAAAACCCAGAATAAACATGGAACTAGCTGCCCTAACCTCAAGATCAGAGCTAATACCATTCACTATTCTTTTGCTTTCTCTTTCCCTCTCCCTATTGTGTTCTATTTCAGTTTCTTGGAATAGACTGCACTTTTTATATTACTATACTTTGGACAAGCTTCCTGGTCTCTTAGCCAAATTTTCTCCCCTCACCCAGCTGTCCCCAGCTCTGCTTACGAGAAGAACACATGGTACTCCAGGTCCTGACGAGGTGAACGGGTGTACTCTGAGAAGACGTAGACACCAGTCACAGCAAAAATGTAGAAGAAGATGAGCAGCAACATCAAGAGGAAGGTCATGCTCTAGAGGCCATAACTCTCATGTCAGATGTGGGCCAAACTAGGCTGATCTCCACCAACAGCCCAGTCAAGCTCACCTGGCAATCCCCCACCAAACCCTCTCTTGCACTGCTGAACCCAGTCATCTTTGAACCATGGCACCTGTCCCCAGCCCCTTCTCATCCAATAACATTTCACAGGACGTTTCATTGCCTTCTTTGACCCACCCAGATTTCTTTCATATATTTTTTTTTTTTTTAGACGGAGTTTCACTCTGTCGCCTAGGCTAGAGTGCAGTGGCGCAGTCTCGGCTCACTGCAACTTCCGCCTCCCGGGTTCAAGTGATTCTTCTGCCTCAGCCTCCTGAGTAGCTGGGATTACAGGCACACACCACCAAGCCCGGCAATTTTTTTTTTTTTTTTTTTTTTTTTTTGGTATTTTTAGTAGAGACAGGGTTTCACCATGTTGGTCAGGCTGGTCTCGAACTCCTGACCTCATGACCCATCCCCCTCGGCTTCCCAAAGTGCTGGGATTACAGGCGTGAGCCACCGCACCCGGCCAATTTGTTTCATATTCTATGTTAAGCCCTCACATTTATCTACCTTGCCCCCTGCTTTAGCTTGCAACAGTCAAATCACCTTGAGGGCCCTGACCAGGACCAAAATAATAATTTGAATTTGACGGAATTGTGCAAGGAGTTTGAGAGACCTCAGCACCCGGCAGATCCTCAGAAGCTGAAGCCACACCGATTGGCCTGTTACCCCTACCAATACCACAACCTCGGGAAGCAGGGACTGTGGAAAACACACAGGTTATAAGTAAAATACACCCCAAGGCACCCAGGCAGAATTGCAGCTTCTTCATCTTATCCTCTTCATTGTTCCCTGGGCGTTATCCCTTGAATAGCATTCTCTGAGAAGTGCTTACTATTCAGCCTTTCTATATTAAGTTGCTTAAACACTATACTTAAACTTGTTCAGATATAAAAAGGGGGATAAAATTCATGGTTATTTAATTGGGTTGTTGTGGAGCATAAATGAGATAATGTAAGGAAAACACTTAAAATAATGCTTGGCACTTAGTAAGTGCTCAGTAACCGGCAGATGCTCTTGTTGGCATTGATGTTGTAGTTAGTCTACTTTGCTCCTAATACCAACAACTCCTGCAATGATTGATGTTTAGTTTTAGGGAAAAAAAATCAAAAGAAAGAAGTTAAGTAAATTTTTGTTTCTTCCTATTATCATGTTAACTTGTTCTTTCGATTCACCTAGGCACATTCTTCATCCCACTAAACGAACCCTCAGGATCTCTATCCTTACCAACATGGTAACAACAAAGTCAAAGACATTCCAGGCACTCTTCCAGAAAACAGAAAAGTTGGATAGCCACTTAAGAAGGATCTCCAGGATGAAAATAAGCAAGATAAACCAAGCTGCCACCTCCAAGGTCAGCTTCAATGGCCATAGTTTGGTATTTGTGGATTCCAGCAATTCTGTGAAGATAGAGCAAAGGAGGAATAAAAGTTAAGGAAGCTGGAAACCGAATGATGGAGAATGAACACACTTATAAACCACAGTTTTGCCCACTACTGTTCCATTTTTCTTCACACTGTGTTAAGAGTTAAGAGTTTCTCTTCTTAACACTGTTGCTTCAACCTGTGAAATACAGGGAAGGACAGAATTGACCATAAAACACAGCCACAACCAATCTGTTCATATAGTTATGTCTGCCCAGCTACAAGTCACTTGCGATCCACTCTGGGGCTCACACAGCTACTAAGAGAGTACTCTCTTTAATTACCCCTACCTCCAAACCCCACCCCCATCTACTGTACTGTTATCTCAGTCCCAAAGTTCACAAGAAAGCAATGGGTCTTGAGAACAGAATGAAAATACAGGGCCATGATATCTGAACTACTTTATAACGAATGTAGAAACAAGCCACAATCATTAGGGTATATCGAATTATAACAATAAATCACTTGGTTCTGTTAGCTTTCTTTTAAAACTTTTCCTTTCTTCCCTGCCTAAAATTTTGCTCTGCAAAGCAAACTGAATGCAAATTTCCTCTCTAGAAACCTATTATTTACTTTTGTTTTGTTTTGTTTTTTGTTTTTTGTTTTTTTTTTTGAGATGGAGTTTCGCTCTTGTTGCCCAGGCTGGAGTGCAATGGTGCGATCTTGTCTCACTGCAACCTCCACCTCCGGGGTTCAAGCAATTCTCCTGCCTCAGCCTTCCGAGTAGCTGGGATTACAGGCATGCACCACCACACCCGGCTAATTTTGTATTTTCAGTAGAGATGGGGTTTCTCCATGTTGAGGCTGGTCTCAAACTCCTGACCTCAGGTGATCCGCCCACCTCAGCCTCCCAAAGTGCTGGGATTATAGGCGTGAGCCACCACACCTGGCCGAAACCTATTATTTACTAATTGCTATTCCTTAATTCATTGCCTTTCTCTTTCAACCTTCTTCATCTCTTTTATACAATGAATGGATGTATGCCATACCCTTGGAAAAAAAAAAAACACTCAGATTATAATAGGCTTAAGAGCTAAATAGAAATCAACATTGTGGTGCTCTGGCTTTAAAGTCATCCTGATGCTGAACTGAATCCAGACAAAAAGAACAGAACAATACTTCAATCATCCCTAGAATTTTACAGAGGTTGGCCCCTTCTAAAAACCAATGGAGTTACGCTATACTTATTTCTATGCTTGTTTTGAGAGAGAATCTCACTCTGTCACCCAGGCTGGAGGAGTGCAGTTGCATAATCACGGTTCACGGAAGCCTGGCTCTTCCGGGCTCAAGAGCCTCTGGGTAACTGGGACCACAGGCACATGTCACCATGCCCAGCTAATTTTTTCTTTAAATTACTTGTAGAGATGGGGTCTCCCTATGCTGCCCAGGTTGGCCTCAAACTGCTGGGCTAAAGCGATCCGCCCGCCTTGGTCTCCCAAAGTGCTGGGGTTATAGGCATGAGCCACTGCACCCAGCACTCCTATGCTTATTTAGGCTCTGTACTTCTGTAAGTTTTTCTTTCACGTAAGTTTCTCTAAGACGGACAATTTTTCACATTTTAACATACATGAAATTAGGATGCTTTTTTTTTTTTCTTTGAGACACAGTCTCGCTCTGTTGCCAAGATGGAGTGCAGTGGTGCAATCTCAGCTCACTGCAACCTCCGCCTCCTGGGTTCAAGCGATTCTCCTGCCTCAGCCTCCCAAGTAGCTGGGACTACAGACATGCGCCACCATGCCCAGCTAATTTTTGTATTTTTGGTAGAGACAGGGTTTCACCATGTTGGCCAGGATGGTCTCCATCTCTAGACCTCGTGATCTGCCCACCTCGGCCTCCCAAAGTGAGGATGCATTTTACAACCAGCGATGTGTCCCAGTTTAATTGAGCATGATTTTTATTTCTTATTGGTAAACAGTGAATTTCACCATTGATGACAGCTTAAATTCAATAAAATACAAAATTTTTTCACTTAACAATAAATTCTAGCTCTCAGGAGCATGGGATTATATAATTAGAAAGAGCTGAGGACCACATTTGTGGCTGGAAAATAGAATGCTATAATTTTTATTCAGTTTTTGCCCTTGCAAAACAGGAACCCAAACAGAGCAATGAAGTAAAATAAGGCTCTTGTAAAGCAGAATATAGTTTTGAGTAGTTTAAAATAGTTTAAGTAGGGAAGTCCAAATTATAGAAGCAGTAGCACTTTTACTCTCTGGAAAAATGAATAATTTTATAGAAGCTAAACAAACCCAAGGAAGTTCAGAGGAACGAATAGCAGAAATTGCCTCAGCAGCACAGAATGTGCAGAAGTGACTGCCTCCACTCTACATCAAGTAATGTGTCCTCTCTGAAGATGAAAAATAACTTTTTAAAATTCTTGGAATTTTTCAGGCTGCTATAGCAAGGCAAAGGAGTCTTAATGGAAATAGAGACCAGGAGCCCAGTGAAGTCTACCCAGGAATCTTAGCCAGTGAAGTGAAGTAGCAGTGAACATCTATGCTTCAATATTCTTCTCAGGGTGACAGACAGTAGCCATTTGATCAAGCAAGTCAGGCAAATATATAATTCTGTTTTACAGGGTAGAGTTCACCATGAACAGTCATCTATTGCTACTCCCTATTCTAGAAAAACAACAGTAGGTCACCTCACAGAATACCAGGTAAATTCACATTGGTTTCAAGGAGTCCAATATTATAGGTGAGGAGAATAGTACACTGCAACAAACTGATATGTAGATGTTGACATTTACACAGTTTTAATATTTTTAGTAATGTTTTGGCTAGTTATATCCATCATGAAACAAGGAATACTGATGTTGAAACATAATTTCTTTCTTTTTTTTTTTGAGATGGATTCCCACTCACTCTGTCGCCCAGCTGCCATCTCGGCTCACTGCAAACTCCGCCTCCCAGGTTCAAGCGATTCTCTTGCCTCAGCCTCCGGAGAAACTGGGACCATAGATGCGCATCACCATACCCACTAATTCTTGTATTTTCAGTAGAGACGGGGTTTCACCATGTTGGCCAGGTTGGTCTTGAACTCCTGACCTCAAGTGATCCGCAGGACTAGGCCTCCCAAATTGCTGGGATTACAGGTGTGAGCCACATGCCCAGCCAGCAATACAATTTCATGAAGAGCATTAAGAATGATAATTCTGCAAGTATAATCTCAAGATGATGTTCATCTGATTCTATAAATTCCATTCATTTGACCAAAAACTTTATATAGCACATCAAACCCTCTCTAGTACTTTAAAAGTCAATGTAAAAAATTGTAATCTTCAGGAATATGCCCACCTTTGGGAAAAAATTGTAATGATATTATACTTAGGTTTTATTTTATTTTTGAGACAGGGTCTTGCTCTGTCACCCAGGCTGCAGTGCACTGGTGAGATCATAGCTCACTGCTGCCTCAATCTCCTGGCCTCAAGTGATCCTGCCACCTCAGCCTCCCAATATACTCAGTTTTTAATTTTAAGGATTATCTACACTTGCATTGTGTTATTTTCTGACAAATGCTTGCAAATGAGTCAAATCTTTTTTTCTTTCTCATTATTTAGAAACAAAATATGAGATTTTTAAAATAAGCCAATTGGTGTTTAAAATGCAAAAGAGAATTACCAATATCCAGTTGTGGAAGCAGATTTTTTTAAAGCCCTAACAGTTTAGATCACTTTGTGATTGGAAAAAAAATTTTTTAAGCCTAAAAAAAGTCTTAATGTTTATCATATGAATTAGTCTGTTCAAAGAAATCTGTTAATCACAAATAATTTCCCTCTGCAAAATCCCTCCTCCCTTTCTACCACAAGAATAAGCTTAATAAAATAAAATTTCCAGGAGCTTGCCAGGTAATTTCTAGTCTGGCAATCTACTTATCCTCTGGCACAGTGACCATGTTTCATATTCAGTTAACTGTTTTACCAAATAGAATAGTTAGTGCTATTCTATTTTGATTTGTCTATTAGATCTAGGGCAGGGGTCCCAAGCCCCAGGCTACGGACTGGTACCAGTCCATGGTCTGTTAGGAACCCGGCCATGCAGCAGGAAGTGAGTGGTGGGTGAGTGAGCATTACCGCCTGAGCTCCACCTCCTGTCAGATCAGCTGCGGCATTAGATTCTCACAGGAGGGCGAGCCCTATTGTGAACTGCATGTGCGTGACCCTTAGGAGAATCTAATGCCTGATGATCTGAGGTGGAACAGCTTCATCCTGAAACCTCCCTCCTACCCCATCCATGGAAAAACTGTCTTGCAAGAAACCAGTCCCTGATGCCAAAAAGGCTGGGGACCACTGATCTAGGAAATCCTGTATAGTTACTATTATTTACTTCATTCCAAGGCTTAGGACTATAATTCTAGCCATGCAAGGCAAATACATGGCAGCAATCATACAATAAAAGGGAATTATAAGTAAGTTAGTTCAAAATCTTCACCATTACGAGGAGGAAATAAAACACCTCAAAGTATATAGTATACTGTAGTGGGTCTGTGACATCAATTATTGTTGTATATTTAAATATCTTTGACCTGACTGCAGTAAAGGACTATTTTATTTTTTTGAGACAGGGTCTCACTTTGTCACCTAGGCTGGAGTTCCGTTGCATGATGGCTCACTGCAACCTCCGCCTCCCAGGCTCAAGCGATCCTCCCACCTCAGCCTGCTGAGTAGCTGGGACTACAGGCATGTGCCACCACACCTAGCTAACTTTTGTATTTTTTGTAGAGATGAGGTTTCTCCACATTGGCCAGGCTGGTCTCAAACTCCTGAGCTCAAGCGATCCTCCCGCCTCAGCCTCCCAAAGTGCTGGGATTACAGGCATGAACCACCATGCCTGGGCCCCAGAGATAAGCTTGTAGGGGACTTGGAGCTAGAGGCAGAGTCCTGAACTGGCTACAGGCACTGGACATTTCTGTTGAGGAAAATATCTGTGTGAAATAAACAGCCAAGAGCTTCATAACTACTCCCTTCTCTTAAAAATTCCTCCTAGGCTGGACGTGGTAACTCACGCCTGTAATCCCAGCACTTTGGGAGGCTAAGGCATGAGGATCTTTTGAGCCCAGGAGTTCAAGACCAGCCTGGGCAACATAGTGAGACCCTGTCTCTACAAAAATAAAATCAACATAATTAGCCTGGTGTAGTGGGCATGCACCTGTAGTCCAAGCTACTCAGGAGGCCGAGGTGGGAGGATCAACTGAGCCCTGGAGGTCGAGGCTGCAACAAGCCATGATCACACCACTGCACTCCAGCCTAAGCAACAAAGTGAGACTCTGTCTCTAAAACATAAAGTGGGAGACTTCCCCACAACAGTGAGAATGAAACAAGTTCTACTGTCCTTTCATCATTTCTGAGCAGTTTGAGATTATCAACAAATGAGCTCACTGATTTTGCAGACATACTTATGTTTTGAATGTATTTCATATAATTTATTATTGGTTTCAGAATCATTTCCTTTTTAAGTAATTTTTTTGGCTCAGCTAATATCTTAGTTGTACCTACCTTTCCATACTTTGTGAGCTTTCTTATTTATACTTAATCTTTCTAAATATACTTGTAAAAATGTAAATGTTAGATCGTTCACTGATAGGCACCAATATCTTTAACAGAAAAGGTTAATTCAAACAAATGTCAGGCTAAACTGACAACAGAAATAAAACTGGTCTTCCCAAGTTCAGTTCCTTGTGGATTTGTTATATTGCTACATATTACACCTAGTTTTATGTGTCTAGATGCTCTGTATCTAGTATACTCTTGAGAGCCTCCAAATATTAATATTTCTTTTTTTTTTGAGATGGGGTGCAGTGGCGTGATTTCAGCTCACTGCAACCTCGGCTTCCCACGATCAAGCGTCCTCCTGCCTCAGCCTACTGAGTAGCTGGGATTACAGGTGCCCACCACCACGCCCAGCTAATTTTTTCTATTTTTAGTACAGATGGGGTTTCAACATGTTGGCTAGGCTGGTCTTGAATTCCTGACCTCAAGTGATTCAACCACCTCGGCCTCCCAAAGTGCTGAGATTACAGGTGTGAGCTACCGTGCCCAGCGAATATTTCTAGATTTTAGCAGTTGCATAAATTCTACTCCAGGAGGCTTAATATAATTGTCCTTAATATAAATGTCACATTTCAAATGACATTCAAAAATGTAAAATGATCAATTTAGAAAAAAAAATTACTCCTACCCACTTCCTCTTTTTCTTTTTCTTTTTTTTTTTTTTGAGACAGAGTTGTACTCTGTCGCCCAGGCTGAAATGCAGTGGCACAATCTCGGCTCACTGAAACCTACGCCTCCTGGGTTTAAGCGATTCTCCTGCCTCAGCCTCCCAAGTAGCTGGGACTACAAGCGCGTGCTACCAAGCCCGGCTAATTTTTTGTATTTTTTAGTAGAGACAGGGTTTCACCATGTTGCCCAGGCTGGTCTCCAACTCCTGAGCTCCGGCAATCCACACGCCCCGGCCTCCCAAAGTGCTAGGATTACACGTGTGAGCCGGCGTGCCCGGCCTCACTTCCTCTTTCATACAAGGTCAGTTCTCACCTATTTCAACCATCAATATGATCGTATTCAAAAAGACCAGGAAGATGATGAAGTTTTTGAAGAGAGGACCTGTTGTCTCTTAAGGAAATGTACAGAGTGGAGTTCTTTCTGATTTATGCAGCTGAAATAATAAGAGCAATAACATAAGCAGTGAAAATGAGACAGTGGAGTATGGGGAGCAAAAAATAAGTCATTAGGCAGATGATCAACAGCCAGGATAAAAATGAGTGACATGAAAGGATACACTCAAGGACCCATCCGGCCCACAAAGAAAGAGGTGGCCTCTGACTGCAGCGCACATGAAGCCTGCTCAACAGCCTCTGGGCATGTGAAATCTGTTCTATACGCTGAGGCTTTATAGAGAAACGCACTAGCTGGTGTTGATCTCCCAATACAAGTTTCTTCTGGCGGGAAGGATCTACAACAAAAATTAAAAAGGGATAGTGGATAAATACAAACAAAATAGACCAGGTAGGGTTGGGGGCAGGGATACTGGTCAGGTAATGGGTTCCCCTAATGCCTTACTGCTAGTCCTTCTCTTCTCACAGCAACTAAGAATTCTGTTTGGAGTGAGAGCAAATGTATTGCTTATGACCAACACTGTCCATGCCCACAAAAGCAGCAGGCTCACTCTCAAAGTTTTAAGAGTCTTTGACAGAAACTCTTCCCAATCATCCATGGCTAGTGGCTATCCTAGGCCTAAAAGTGAAAGACGTGGATTCTATCTCTTCAGTTTTATTTACAAGCCCTTGATTTATCAAGTTTGGTAAACCAGCAACTAAACCTCCCCAGAATTTTCCACTCTTAAATGTAGAGGATGTGGATAGGAGTCTTAAATTTAAATTAGTGAAGAAATAGGCTGCTGACCAAGTAACTCCCTGATAGTGTGCCGCGGCACAGCTTGGCTCAAGCCTTGCAAATGCTCAATGAGAGAGAAAGTATCGATGAGACGTGAACGAATGGCATCAGCTCGGGGAAGCTGCATCTGCTCTTCTTGTTGGTAAGCGGCCATGTCTGCTAAGAAAATGTAAGCATCAAGTGTCATTTCATTCTTGGAGCTGCACCAAGGATTACAGGTTTTCTGTCCCCTCCTCCCCACCCTCTTTACCCTTAAGATTCCTTAATGTACCCACATCTACGAACTAGGAGCAGTTGGGAAGAACAAACATTCTACTAGGACTCAGGGTGTTTTGAAACAAAAGGGGCTAAGTGGTAAAGACATTGCACAGTCGACCAAGCGGCCAGGCATCTTCACTTTGTGATGGCATTTCTAATTAAAACTCATTAAAAACAAAACAAAACAAACAAAAACACCGCAAGAAAAAGGAGCAGCCACAAGGGCAGGGGCCCGGGGCTGGACAAAGAATCTGGGTCCCACCTGTGCCTGAGACAATCGGGCAATGAGGTGGAGTTGGGGGAGGTCTTGGCCTGCTCACGCAAGAGAAACCAAGTGCAGAGAAATTGGACAAAATGCCAAAGCCTGACATTTTGAAAATGGGTCCCGTCCCAAGTGTGTCCACTCCAACACTCCTTCGGGGGCTAGCTCCTTCTCTCCTCCATTCTCGCTTCTGGGCCTCACCTCAGCCCAGGTTCTCTTTGCCCACTCAGTCCTTATTTCACGCTTCCGCCTCCAGCTCAGGTGCCCCGAGCCTGGCTACCCCTATGCAAGACGAGCTCAGGGCCGGCTCCCAGCCTCACTGCGCCCCATTCCCCGCCCCGCTCGACCCCCAGGTTTCGGCTCACCCCGGGACCCGGCCCTAGCCCCTACCCACAGCCCAGGACCATGCGGAGCAACGCTCGCCCAGCCACTCGCCGCCTAGGCCCCGCCCCGCCCCGCTCTCCGGCCACTCAGCGGTAACCAGCTGGTCCCGCCCGCCGGACGAAGGCGACGCGCAGCCAATCAGCGGCTGCCACACAGCGGCCCGAGCCGGGTTTGGGGGTTGGGACCTCCGGCTGCAGGTCCCCTGGGCCAGACGCGCCAGCGCAGGCAGCCGGTTTGTGGTCGCGCGCCCGACCTCCGCAGTCCCAGCCGAGCCGCGACCCTTCCGGCCGTCCCCACCCCACCTCGCCGCCATGCGCCTCCGCCGCCTAGCGCTGTTCCCGGGTGTGGCGCTGCTTCTTGCCGCGGCCCGCCTCGCCGCTGCCTCCGAACTCACGGACGACAACTTCGAGAGTCGCATCTCCTACACGGGATCTGCGGGCCTCATGCTCGTCGGGTTTTTCGCCCCCTGATGACGCCACTCTGCCAAGGCGGGGGAAGAAGGGCCGGGCTGGGCCGGGGCCGGGGGCGAGGGCGCGGGGAACTGTTGGGCCTACGCAGCGCCGGCGCCCTTCATTCCTGTGGGCCCCTGCTGTGGCGGGCACATTTCTCATTCCCGGGAGCTGGAGGTGCCTCGCCGAGAGCGGTGGAGTCGGTGCTGATCGGCCCAAGGAAAACCCGAAGGCTGCGCTCACGCAGGGCCTCATCCTTATCTCGGTGCTCTTGTGGCACTTCCTATTTGCAGAGGGTTTTGCCACCCCTTCCCCCAGTTCAATATGTAGCTATATTGTTTCTGCATGAGTCAGTATTAATGTTACTCCAGTCTACAGACTAGACATCCCAAAGCCTTGTAGTGGAAGCGGACGTTTCACCAAATGCAGAAGTCCTGGATCCCTAGGGTATTTCCTTTCATCTTACCTCACGCCGCACAGCCATTGGTTTCTAGCCAAGGTCACTGAGTGGCTGCAGAATGGTCCTAAGTGCTTTCTTGAGGCAGGCAATTTGTCCGTCACATGGTGTACAGTTTCTCCCTTCAGCTGATCACTTACATCTCAGTACCGGCAGATACCTCTGTCCAAACGAAAAGAGTACCTGAACAAGAATAATTCCATCATAATCTGTCCATATTGTCCATTTTAATTAGGATTTCTTTAAAATGTCAATACTCCGAATAGGAACAGCTCCAGTCGACAGCTCCCAGCATGAGTGACGCAGAAGACGGGTGATTTCTGCATTTCCATCTGAGGTACCCGGTTCATCTCAATAGGGAGTGCCAGACAGTGGGCGCAGGTCAGTGGGTGCGCGCACTGTGCACGAGCCGAAGCAGGGCGAGGCATTGCCTCACTCGGGAAGCGCAAGGGGTCAGGGAGTTCCCTTTCCTAGTCAAAGAAAGTGGTGACAGACAGCACCTGGAAAATCGGGTCACTCCCACCCGAAAACTTCGCTTTTCCGACGGGCTTAAAAAACAGCGCACCAGGAGATTATATCCCGCACCTGGCTCGGAGGGTCCTACACCCACGGAGTCTCGCTGATTGCTAGCACAGCAGTCTGAGATCAAACTGCAAGGCGGCAGCGAGGCTGGGGGAGGGGTGCCTGCCATTGCCCAGGCTTGCTTAGGTAAACAAAGCAGCCGGGAAGCTCGAACTGGGTGGAGCCCACCACAGCTCAAGGAGGCCTGCCTGCCTCTGTAGGCTCCACCTCTGGGGGCAGGGCACAGACAAACAAAAAGACAGCAGTAACCTCTGCAGACTTAAATGTCCCTGTCTGACAGCTTTGAAGAGAGCAGTGGTTCTCCTAGCACGCAGCTGGAGATCTGAGAACGGCCAGACTGCCTCCTCAAGTGGGTCCCTGACCCCTGACCCCCAAGCAGCCTAACTGGGAGGCAACCCCCAGCAGGGGCAGACTGACACCTCACACGGCCAGGTACTCCAACAGACCTGCAGCTGAGGGTCCTGTCTGTTAGAAGGAAAACTAACAAACAGAAAGGACGTCCACACCAAAAACCCATCTGTACATCACCATCATCGAAAACCAAAAGTAGATAGAACCACAAAGATGGGGAAAAAACAGAGCAGAAAAACTGCAAACTCTAAAAAGCAGAGCACCTCTCCTCCTCCAAAGGAACACAGTTCCTCACCAGCAACGGAACAAAGCTGGACGGAGAATGACTTTGACGAGCTGAGAGAAGAAGGCTTCAGACGATCAAATTACTCTGAGCTACGGGAGGACATTCAAACCAAAGGCAAAGAAGTTGAAAACTTTGAAAAAAATTTAGAAGAATGTATAACTACAATAACCAATACAGAGAAGTGCTTAAAGGAGCTGATGGAGCTGAAAGCCAAGGCTCAAGAACTACGTGAAGAATGCAGAAGCCTCAGGAGCCGATGCAATCAACTGGAAGAAAGGGTATCAGCGATGGAAGATGAAATGAATGAAATGAAGCGAGAAGGGAAGTTTAGAGAAAAAAGAATAAAAAGAAATGAGCAAAGCCTCCAAGAAATATGGGACTATGTGAAAAGACCAAATCTACGTCTGACTGGTGTACCTGAAAGTGATGGGGAGAATGGAACCAAGTTGGAAAACACTCTACAGGATATTATCCAGGAGAACTTCCCCAATCTAGCAAGGCAGGCCAACATTCAGATTCAGGAAATACAGAGAATGCCACAAAGATACTCCTCGAGAAGAGCAACACCAAGACACATAATTGTCAGATTCACCAAAGTTGAAATGAAGGAAAAAATGTTAAGGGCAGCCAGAGAGAAAGGTGGGTTACCCTGAAAGGGAAGCCCATCAGGCTAACAGCAGATCTCTCGGCATAAACTCTACAAGCCAGAAGAGAGTGGGGGCCAATATTCAACATTCTTAAAGAAAAGAATTTTCAACCCAGAATTTCATATCCAGCCAAATTAAGCTTCATAAGTGAAGGAGAAATAAAATACTTTACAGACAAGCAAATGCTGAGAGATTTTGTCACCACCAGGCCTGCCCTAAAAGAGCTCCTGAAGGAAGCACTAAACATGGACAGGAACAAACGGTACCAGCCGCTGCAAAATCATGCCAAAATGTAAAGACCATCGAGACTAGGAAGAAACTGCATCAACTAATGAGCAAAATAACCAGCTAACATCATAATGACAGGATCAAATTCACACATAACAATAT
Source organism: Homo sapiens (assembly GCF_000001405.40). Lineage (NCBI taxonomy): Eukaryota > Metazoa > Chordata > Mammalia > Primates > Hominidae > Homo > Homo sapiens. Next base: position 43,651,974 of record NC_000015.10, read on the forward strand.
TAACTTTAAATGTAAATGGACTAAATGCTCCAATTAAAAGACACAGACTGGCAAATTGGATAAAGAGTCAAGACCCATCAGTGTGCTGTATTCAGGAAACCCATCTCACGTGCAGAGACACACATAGGCTCAAAATAAAAGGATGGAGGAAGATCTACCAAGCAAATGGAAAACAAAAAAAGGCAGGGGTTGCAATCCTAGTCTCTGATAAAACAGACTTTAAACCAACAAAGATCAAAAGAGACGAAGGCCATTACTTAATGATCAATTAAGTAATTAAGGCCTTGTTGATCAATTCAACAAGAAGAGCTAACTATCCTAAATATATATGCACCCAATACAGGAGCACCCAGATTCATAAAGCAAGTCCTGAGTGACCTACAAAGAGACTTAGACTCCCACACATTAATAATGGGAGACTTTAACACCCCACTGTCAACATTAGACAGATCAACGAGACAGAAAGTCAACAAGAATACCCAGGAATTGAACTCAGCTCTCCACCAAGCGGACCTAATAGACATCTACAGAACTCTCCACCCCAAATCAACAGAATATACGTTTTTTTCAGCACCACACCACACCTATTCCAAAATTGGCCACATAGTTGGAAGTAAAGCTCTCCTCAGCAAATGTAAAAGAACAGAAATTATAACAAACTATCTCTCAGACCACAGTGCAATCAAACTAGAACTCAGGATTAAGAATCTCACTCAAAACCGCTCAACTACATGGAAACTGAACAACCTGCTCCTGAATGACTACTGGGTACATAACGAAATGAAGGCAGAAATAAAGATGTTCTTTGAAACCAACGAGAACAAAGACACAACATACCAGAATCTCTGGGACACATTCAAAGCAGTGTGTAGAGGGAAATTTATAGCACTAAATGCCCACAAGAGAAAGCAGGAAAGATCCAAAATTGACACCCTAACATCACAATTAAAAGAACTAGAAAAGCAAAAGCAAACACATTCAAAAGCTAGCAGAAGGCAAGAAATAACTAAAATCAGAGCAGAACTGAAGGAAATAGAGACACAAAAAACCCTTCAAAAAATTAACGAATCCAGGAGCTGGTTTTTTGAAAGGATCAACAAAATTGATAGACCGCTAGCAAGACTAATAAAGAAAAAAAGAGAGAAGAATCAAATAGATGCAATAAAAAATGATAAAAGGGATATCACCACCAATCCCACAGAAATACAAACTACCATCAGAGAATACTACAAACACGTCTACGCAAATAAACCAGAAAATCTAGAAGAAATGGATAAATTCCTCGACACATACACTCTCCCAAGACTAAACCAGGAAGAAGTTGAATCTCTGAATAGACCAATAACAGGAGCTGAAATTGTGGCAATAATCAATAGCTTACCAACGAAAAAGAGTCCAGGACCAGATGGATTCACAGCCAAATTCTACCAGAGGTACAAGGAGGAACTGGTACCATTCCTTCTGAAACTATTCCAATCAATAGAAAAAGAGGGAATCCTTCCTAACTCATTTTATGAGGCCAGCATCATCCTGATACCAAAGCCGGGCAGAAACACAACCAAAAAAGAGAATTTTAGACCAATATCCTTGATGAACATTGATGCAAAAATCCTCAATAAAATACTGGCAAACCGAATCCAGCAGCACATCAAAAAGCTTATCCACCATGATCAAGTGGGCTTCATCCCTGGGATGCAAGGCTGGTTCAATATACGCAAATCAATAAATGTAATCCAGCATATAAACAGAACCAAAGACAAAAACCACATGATTATCTCAATAGATGCAGAAAAGGCCTTTGATAAAATTCAACAACCCTTCATGCTAAAAACTCTCAATAAATTAGGTATTGATGGGACGTATCTCAAAATCATAAGAGCTATCTATGACAGACCCACAGCCAATATCATACTGAATGGGCAAAAACTGGAAGCATTCCCTTTGAAAACTGGCACAAGACAGGGATGCCCTCTCTCACCACTCCTATTCAACATAGTGTTGGAAATTCTGGCCAGGACAATTAGGCAGGAGAAGGAAATAAAGAGTATTCAATTAGGAAAAGAGGAAGTCAAATTGTCCCTGTTTGCAGACGACATGACCGTATATCTACAAAACCCCATTGTCTCAGCTCAAAATCTCCTTAAGCTGATAAGCAACTTCAGCAAAGTCTCAGGATACAAAATCAATGTACAAAAATCACAAGCATTCTTATACACCAACAACAGACAAACAGAGAGCCAAATCGTGAGTGAACTCCCATTCACAATTGCTTCAAAGAGAATAAAATACCTAGGAATCCAACTTACAAGGGATGTGAAGGACCTCTTCAAGGAGAACTACAAACTACTGCTCAAGGAAATAAAAGAGGACACAAACAAATGGAAGAACATTCCATGCTCATGGGTAGGAAGAATCAATATCGTGAAAATGGCCATACTGCCCAAGGTAATTTACAGATTCAATGCCATCCCCATCAAGCTACCAATGACTTTCTTCACAGAATTGGAAAAAACTACTTTAAAGTTCATATGGAACCAAAAAAGAGCCCGCATTGCCAAGTCAATCCTGAGCCAAAAGAACAAAGCTGGAGGCATCACACTACCTGACTTCAAACTATACTACAAGGCTACAGTAACCAAAACAGCATGGTAGTGGTACCAAAACAGAGATATAGATCAATGGAACAGAACAGAGCCCTCAGAAATAACACTGCATATCTACAACTATCTGATCTTTGACAAACCTGAGAAAAACAAGCAATGGGGAAAGGATTCCCTATTTAATAAATGGTGCTGGAAAAACTGGCTAGCCATATGTAGAAAGCTGAAACTGGATCCCTTCCTTACACCTTATACAAAAATCAATTAAAGATAGATTAAAGACTTAAATGTTAGACCTAAAACCATAAAAACCCTAGAAGAAAACCTAGGCATTATCATTCAGGACATAGGCATGGGCAAGGACTTCATGTCTAAAACACCAAAAGCAATGGCTACAAAAGCCAAAATTGACAAATGGGATCTAATTAAACTAAAGAGCTTCTGCACGGCAAAAGAAACTACCATCAGAGTGAACAGGCAACCTACAAAATGGGAGAAAATTTTTGCAACCTACTCATCTGACAAAGGGCTAATATCCAGAATCTACAAAGAACTCAAACAAATTTACAAGAAACAAACAAACAACCCCATCAAAAAGTGGGCAAAGGACATGAACAGACACTTCTCAAAAGAAGACATTTATGCAGCCAAAAAACACATGAAAAAATGCTCACCATCACTGGCCATCAGAGAAATGCAAATCAAAACCACAATGACATACCATCTCACACCAGTTAGAGTGGCAATCATAAAAAAGTCAGGAAACAACAGGTGCTGGAGAGGATGTGGAGAAATAGGAACACTTTTACACTGTTGGTGGGACTGTAAACTAGTTCAACCATTGTGGAAGTCAGTGTGGCGATTCCTCAGGGACCTAGAACTAGAAATACCATTTGACCCAGCCATCCCATTACTGGGTATATACCCAGAGGACTATAAATCATGCTGCTATAAAGACACATGCACACGTATGTTTATTGCGGGACTATTCACAATAGCAAAGACTTGGAACCAACCCAAATGTCCAACAATGATAGACTGGATTAAGAAAATGTGGCACATATACACCATGGAATACTATGCAGCCATAAAAAATGATGAGTTCACGTCCTTTGTAGGGACATGGATGAAATTGGAAATCATCATTCTCAGTAAACTATAGCAAGAACAAAAAACGAAATACCGCATATTCTCACTCATAGGTGGGAACTGAACAATGAGAACACATGGACACAGGAAGGGGAACATCACACTCTGGGGACTGTTGTGGGGTGGGGGGAGGGGGGAGGGATAGCATTGGGAGATATACCTAATGCTAGATGATGAGTTAGTGGGTGCAGCGCACCAGCATGGCACATGTATACATATGTAACTAACCTGCACATTGTGCACATGTACCCTAAAACTTAAAGTATTAAAAAAAAAAAAAAGAACAGCTTTTGGATTTACCCTGAGGTACTGTTAGTTAATTAAAGATCATGTGATAGATTGCAAATAAATAAATAAATAAATAAAATAAAATGTCAATACTCCAGTGAGAAAGTAACCAATATTGAGTAAATACTCCACTTTAGGGTGACTTAAATGAACAAGGGTGTAAATTCCTTAGATAGAACTAACTCAAAATAATCTGTTGGGGAGAAGGAAGAGCAAATAAGATTTCTGGCCCAGTCAATTTGAGTGGTTTTCTTTGTTTTGTTTTTGTTTTTTGTTTTTTAAACCTCCAGATCACTATCATAGTAAACAGTGATTCCTTTATCCTTGGGATAGCTCAATATATATAATTACAGTACTTAATTTTTCCCCTCCTGGCACAGTGACCCTTGGTTTAATACTATCCGTGTTCAAAAATGTCAGTAAAAGTTGTATATAACTTTTATTTGCTTCAGACTCAGGTCTTCGCTTCTTAGCCTCAAACAACTTGCTAAGGGTTACACGAAAAAAGTCCTGTAGTAAAGACCACCTGAATCAGAATGATGTGCTAGAGATGGCAAATTTTGTTTTCAGCTTGGACAGATTTTGTGTCCAGGGCATTTCTGGGGCTAACTGGCAGTACAGATTACACATATAGATAGTTCTTATACATCTCTGGAACTCATGTTCTCTCTTAGGAACAACTCTTCCCAATTATATGATAATGCTGTTAGCTTTGAGGGGGTGTCACTAAATTTGTAAAAACTGGGGGTGTCTGAGTTTGTCAGATCTGAGTAATGCTTTTTACTACAGGGGTCATGCAACAATTTAATGTGGGAATTGTTGGAGAATAGTGCGCCACTAGAATATTGGTTTAAAAAAGGAATTTTGGGGCCAGGCGCGGTGGCTCCCGCCTGTAATCCCAGCACTTTGGGAGGCCGAGGTGGGCGGATCACCTGAGGTTGGGAGTTCGAGATCAGCCTGACCATGAAGGAGAAACCCCGAATCTACTAAAAATACAAAATTAGCTGGGCATAGTGGCACATGCCTGTAATCTCAGCTACTCAGGAGGCTGAGGCAGGAGAATAGCTTGAACCCACGAAGCAGAGGCTGCAGTGAGCCAAGATCATACCATTGCACCCCAGCCTGGGCAATAAGAGCGAAATTCTGTCTCAAAAAAAAAAAAAAAATAGAATTTTTTGTTTGAATTGAAGGGGGTCTTTCCTACTTTAAGTTGTTACACGTGCTACCCTAAAAACTAGATATCCCATCAGGCACTGACTGTCTCAAGAATTGGGTGGATCTCTGCTGTGGTGTCTGCTTTGAATTTGTTTAAAAGAAAAAGTCACCCTCCACAATGTCAGCAAAGAAGTTGAGTTTTCTCAATGAGCAATTTGGAGTTAAAGAAGTCTCCTGTTGATGTCTTTTATATCTTCACATTCCACTACAGTTTTTTTTTTTTTTTGAGATGGAGTCTCGCTTTGTTGCCCAGGCTAGAGTGCAATGGCACGATCTTGACCCACTACAACCTCTGCCTCTTGGGTTCAAGTGATTCCCCTGCCTCAGCCTCCCAAGTAGCTGAGATTACAGGCCCGCCACAATGCCCGGCTAATTTTTTTGTATTTTTAGTAGAGATGGGTTTCACCATTTGGGCCAGGCTTCTCTTGAACTCCTGACCTCAGGTAATCTACCCACCTCGTCCTCCCAAAGTGCTAGGATTACAGGCGTGAGCCACCATACCCGGCCTATTTTTTTTTATTTTATTTAAGACAGAGTCTTGCTCTGTTACCCAGGCTGGAGTGCAGTGGCATGATCTGGGCTCACCGCAACCTCCGCCTCCCAGGTTCAAGCGATTCTCCTACCTCAGCCTCCTGAGTAGCTGGGATTACAGGCACACACCACCAAGCCCGGCTAATTTTTGCATTTTAGAAGAGACGGGGTTTCACCATGTTAGGCTGGTGACAAACCACTGACCTCAGGTGATCCACCCTCCTCGGCCTCCCAAAGTGCTGGGATTACAGGCGTGAGCCACCTAGCCCGGCCTTGGTATTTTTATTTATTAACATTTCAGCTGGAAATGTTTTCTGACTGCTATATTCCTTTGTACAGTTCAGGAGTACTATCTTACAAGAAACAGTTAAAGAATCCTTAGTAAGAGTAAAATGGGCTGCGCTCGGTGGCTCACGCCTGTAATCCCAACACTTTGGGAGGCTGAGTCGGGTGGATCACGAGGTCAGGAGATTGAGACCATCCTGGCTAACACGGTGAAACCCTGTCTCTACTAAAAATATAAAAAATTAGTCGGGCATGGTGGCGGGCGCTTGTAGTCCCAGCTACTCGGGAGGCTGAGGCAGGAGAATGGCGTGAACCCAGGAGGCGGAGGTTGCAGTGAGCCAAGAGCAGTGAGCCAAGATCGGACCACTGCACTCCAGCCTGGGCGACAGAGTAAGACTCCATCTCAAAAAAAAAAAAAAAAAACAAAACACAGTAAAATGGGGTCTGGCATGAAAAGAGATGGGCAAAGTCAATGTTATTCCTGCCAGATATACCCCAACTGGCCAAGGAAGCAGGGAGAGTCCCTGAGAGCCATCAGGAGAGTCCGTGGCTTTTGGAGTGTGGGGTATCCAAGACTCTTAGGAGAAGGAACTCTTTAGAGCGCCTAGGGAGTCTGTTTTTCTCACCTTCAGATTTCCTAAAACATCTACCTGCTAAGGCCTCAAGGTGAATCAAATCACCTCTCATGCTACCTATGGAGAGCTTGCAATGTCCCATGGAAAAATAAACAGAATCCCAGTAGAGTAAGCACCAACGTTGCTCTCACATTTTCTAGGGGAATAAAACAAGGATCCAGAGGTAAGGGGTGAAACTGCAGATCTAACATGAGATAGGGAGGTCAGGGAGCTGGGAAGAAACAGCAGATTTTGGGTATCATGCATAAGAGAACCAGATTAAGAAGGACATGGAATCTGAGAAGGGGTTCATGCAAATTTAGGATGTCAGTAGAAAGGCTAGAATACTCGGACGCAAACTGGAGGGCATGCAATACACATGAAGCTCAGCCCAGGAAAACCACATGCATAATCAGGAAGGGGATGGAAGTTCTTTCTTGGTAATTTCCATCACATCAAAGCATCACCCTTCTGATCTACTGGAAAACCCCAGACTTGCTAGGATCTTTCTACTTCATCAGAAAAATGAGGCAAATGCCCTAGAAAAAAGAAAAAGTACTGATTCTCTGCTCTAAACCCAAGAATTCCAATGTAGGTCTATCAGTCTGGGTAGGGTCAAGGATAAACATAAATATGTAACCCTAATACTAGGGACTGGTGATGGAAAAAATGTCCCCATTGGAGGATGAAGAAAAACACATCCAAACCACTATCTCAGTCCCCAGTCTTTCCTATGCCTCCTCAACATCTCCTTAAAGGGACTAAGGATACACGGGACAACGAAGTCTATGCAAGACAGCTTCCTGTTCACCAGTGACTAAAGCCCGTAACTCAAAAGGATTATAGCCTGACCATCTTCGAACCTCTGGACTTTGCCCCAAGGATACAATTGAGGCTTCTGTGCCTCAATTTCTCCCATGATCTAGTGGCAGGAGGGCAGGAAAGTTACTGTCTCTAGCTCCTCAGAGTGGCTAGAAAAACATTTGGATTTGAAGATGGTGGTAGTAGAGGGTTAGAGTGATAAGAACAGATTCCAAGGCAAGAGATTACTCCTGTATTGAACAGAACTGGGGAATGAGTAACATTAGGGGGTGGTGAGAAAGGAGAATAGGAAGGGGATGAGCAGCCAATGCTACAGCTACCAGGCAGTCTGGCCCCAATCCCATCCAAGTGACTAAATGCAAGTTACATAACCTTAGGGCAAATAGGAGAAAGAAATAGGTGGGCTCTCCTGCCAGAAGTGCAATAAGCAAAGCAGTCAGACCCAGCCAGGGTAGTGGCAGCAGCCAGTTTGGTGGCAGGGGGTACCGTAGAGGCATTCGGGGTCATCCTGGCCTGAGCGCAGCCAGTTCCGGAAGAGGCGCAGGTGGTAGGAGCACTGGTGCAGGTGATGCGCCAGCGTGGCATCCAAGGAGACTGGCCGGCCCCCTGTACAGTCAGAGGAAAAACTGCGCAGCAACCGGACCACAGGGTGCTGGTCATCCAGCAGCTCTGGACGGGGTGAGGGGACCACGGCAGGAAGCACAAAGATAGAGAAAGAGAAGAGGGAGAGACAATGAGGGGGGCACTGACTAGCACAAGCATTACTGGGAGGTGGGGGCACTCAGATCCAAGGTGAGCTAAGAGAGAAGCAGAGATGGTCAGAGCCACTGGGCATCTCTTGCAGGGAAGAACAGTGGTGTCATCATACAATGAGTCTGAAAGAAGGGATAAGTGAGATCTCATCATACAGCAATGCCTTCCCCTTGCTCCTTGAGCATAATTCCGTCAGTGCTTGTAGACATCAGTCACATCATTGTGAACAGGGGTGAGCTGGCAGTTTTGCAGCTGGGAGTCTTGACTGCAGCTTCAGGATCCCTCATCATTGGATGAACCCTACTTAGGGCCTGCATTCTCAGGTGAATGGATTTATGTAGTAGGGATAAAAATGAAAAAGTGATGGTATTGTGTATCAAGACAGTCAAGCTAAAAAGGCTCTCTTTTAGGGCAGGCCTTCTGGACCACACTCTAAGATAGCTGAAGACAGGAATGGTATTAGGCAGTTGGCACAGGAGACTGGCAGGAAACCAGGTGTAGAACTCCTTTAAAACGGTATGTGTGGAAAATGGAATCAGTATGTGAAAATACCAATATTGACTAACCATCCTGTACCTTACTGTTGTTTAAACAATCAGTTAAAAAAAAAAAGTACACTAAAACTCCGGACTTAGAGATACTGTATCCATTACACAAGCTGAAAGTTAGATAATTTTATATTTTCTTCCCACTGCTGGTGAGTCTAACTGCACTTTTTTCAGCTGGTGAGTGGAAAAGCTTTGATTCTGAACCCCTCATTTTAGCTATTTGGCAAACTTTGTGGATGATGTAATTCAGCTACAAAAGGTTGAAGGCAGTCAAAGCCATGTGGAGAGGGGTGTAAGAGGAACAATAGTGAAAAGATCTTAGAGAAAAGATATGGGATCTTAAGACATGATGTGAGGATGGACAAGAACTTGAGTACAGGATGTTGGTATAGAGAAGGTAGAAACAAGGCAGCTCAGGATGACTGCTCAAAACTCCCAGACCAGAACTGGCTCCACAAGGTGATCCCATGAGACTGTGGTCTTCAGAGACCTTAGCTTGGATGTCAGGACAGATTTCAGCTCTACCTAGGCTAGTCTTGTGAGCACTAACTGTATATACCAATGGTCACATAGTTATATGGGTCCCTAGAAGATAACGGGCTTGACAAATCCAGTGGTCACACCCTGACATTCTGGATGAGCGTGAGCCACAGTCTTTCCCACTTTATTAATTTACTTTGGTGAATTCAGTGTGCAGCTTAGTAACAGGCTATACTTGTGTGCTGGATATAGTTACAGGATATAAGAGCAGCTTATTAGGAACAAAGGCAGAGAAAGGCTGAGGGCTGCTCTCCCATCAAAGTGTGAAGACACACTGCCTTGCCTCTTTTCCAAAGCCAGGTCCAGTATTTCCAGCTGCTGTTTCAAAGCCAGATATCATGGCAAGGAGATGGTGATGACGGAGCTGCTGTGACTTACCTGCAACTACAGACAAAACATCCACTTTGTAATTGCTGGTCAGTCAAGCAAGATCTTGGCCATGGAGAAGAGCCTTCATATTTCTTGAGGGTCAAATTGAATCTAGATAATCTTCCTCAGCAAGTGACATACAGCTCCAAATTTCTCCTATTGTCAACAGGTAGAGCCCAGATTCTGGCTTCTTAAGCATGTTAGCCTCCAAGCTCCAGCACAAGAAAAACAAAGGAGGCCACAAGGCCCCTGAGGAAGTGTGCAGGGCATTGGAGATCTTAAATTTGTTTTCCTGCACAACACCTGCATTTTCCAGCTCTTTTTTCCTCAACTCCTTTTAGCAGAATTAAATCTTCTTCAACGGGTGAGGCTGCTGAACAGTACTTCGGGGAATTGGAGGTACATACGTCTGAGGGTCTGTTTAATGGACTTGGGTCTTTTCTCATGGCACTTAAGAACTAGGAGATACGTGATTTAGCTCTGATTTCAGGAGCCCACGTTCCTTGTACTATATTGTGGACCCTAAGTCCAAGTCCCAGGCTATGCTATTCATGCATCAGGTTCTATTCTGGAGATGGCTGTGGCACATGAAGGCCAGAAGAGCTTGAAGCTAAATGAGCCGGCACACCCATGAGGCTCTGAATGGGAACTCCTGCCACAGGCACAATTGGGAGCCTGGGGGCAGGGATAAACTGAGCCAGCATAGGCTGGTCAACCTAGGGAGAGATTTCAGCAGTGCCTTGTGAAGATGTACAACCTGACTGGGCTAAAATCTAGCAGCTGTCACTTGCTAGCCAATAGGAGATTAGCACGTAGAGGTTTTCTAGTCAGGAAGCCAGCCTAGTTTTACTTCCCTCAGAGAGTCTTAGCTCTTGAATAGAAGAAAACCATACCTAAAAAACCTAGATTTACCCTGAAGACAAAATATAATACAGAGAGACAAATAAGGATACCAAGGATAAAACTTTGAAAGAGAGTGAGCCTGGGTTCTCCTGCTATACCCTACAAAGAGACCATACCCTTCAATTTATGGTTTACAGAGATCTCCAAGCTCTCCCACCTTAGTGTGGGCAGACCCAGTTCTTCAATGTTCTTAAAATATTATTCCTTCCTAAGCTCCCCCAGAATCCCCAGCAGACATCTCCACTCTTCAAACTTCTCTGCAATAGCTTTATCATAGGTAGGCTGGTGCCACATGGAAACTACACTTAAAAACTCAAGGTACAGTCCTTTTTCTTTTACCTACTACCTCCTACTCCTTTCTTTTTATTTTTATCCCAAAGCAACCTGGGCTCTTGTTTTCTAGGCCCAGGCAATAGGTTAGTAGTAACATAAAGCAAATGTCAGGAGCACAAGAGCCACACAAAATACACATAATGACAGGAGAAAGAAATACGGAGATGGGAAACTATATACTCAAGACTAACACCCATATAAGTAGGCTTAGGAGCTGGGAACTGCAGCATTGCTCCGAAAGAGGAACAAACTAGTCATCCACATCCACCCCAACAAGAGTTGGAGAAAACACAGAAAGATCAAAGTTATATCAGCTGAGGAATTGGGGGTATGGGGGAAGAGAAGAAATGGAATCAATCTAGGAAACACTATTCCCATCCTAAGAAGGGGAACCATCATATCTGTACACAGCCTGGCAGTCATGTGATAGGAAAGGGAGAGGTTTAATCAGTGTTTTGGTGGTGATGCTGACAAAAGTGACATAATGGTGATGATGGTGACTATGGAATTAAGACCCTGAGTTGCAGGGATGGGGCAGCCAGGCTGCAGCCAAGACTAAGGCTGTCACAAGGAAACCATCCCAGGAGGGACACTTAGTGAGTGACTCATTCAGAGACAGCAGGGTGTCAACACAGTGGAAGGAGAGGCAAAGTCAGTGTCGAAACTCAGAGTTAAGTGTCTAGAGGTGACATGGTGAGGAGGAATGACATTGAGTCAGAAGCAAACGTACCGTTAGTCGGATGCTTTGCAAACGACACAGAAAATCGTTTTACGGCCGGGACAAACAAGAGCTCTGGGGAGAAAAGACATCATGGGGATTATACCCACCCTTGTCCCCACCCTCTGCTCTGGAGTTTGCCCGCAAGATATTCTGTTCTTTAAAGTTAGTTATCTGACCTGCTCCCCTCCCCATCCCTTGGATTTCTAACTAACACACGTCAATCTCTTTTCCTTTGATAAATCTCTTAGGAATCAATGTGTCATCTCTACCACAATACACCCCTACAAACAACCCTAATTTTACCACTGTGTCTTCTTTCTGGTCATTTGGAAATAAAATCTTCACAGAAATATTCATCCCTTCCCCTAGTCTCTTTCCACATTATCTTTTCTCCCTTGGTTGAGTAACATTCCCTTCCCTAAACCCAATTTGCTGGATTTTAATCGAGGTTCCACCACTTTCTTCCCAACTATGCATCATCCTCCTTGGTCCTTACCCCTACAGGCCAGAATCCAGGAAAGAGTACAAACTGATGCAGCAGGACTGTATGTGGGAGATTATGAAGGGATAAGCATAAATAAGTAGTATTTTTATGGCAAGAGGAAATGCAAATGGAGGGGTGAAAGGGGTCCTGGTTCCTTCTCCCATCTATTACTGATGAAGAAAACTTGTTATAAGGCCAGTGTCATCTTAAGCATGAATAGTTCTTGAGCTATGTCCTTGCTGAGAGACAAGTGAAAAAAGGAGTTATCCCCCAAAACCCACCCACATACCATCTCGGTGCTTCAGACTGGCAGGTGGTAGCTTTTTGCCATGGCTGCGGGCGTAGTCCTGAAGATTCGGGGCACTGGAGGAGCCACCCAGCACTGTGGTGCTGAACAGCCCTGTGCACTGTGAGCCTGCAAGGCCGGGAGTGCGTTAGTAGCCACGTAAAGCCACAACTATCACACAGAACTATACACAACTTCACATGATAACATCAAGACACACATGCAGCCATTCAGAGCCACCACCATGTGGCCATTCCACATAACCACAAATGGCTTTACACTTCTCCATAGTCACAGTGGGCAAGCAAAAGGGGGATTCTTCTGAAGAGCTACATGGCAGAAACAACAGGCCACTACAAATGCAGGGTTAGTCATATTAGGGGATTCAAAGCTACTGGAAGGGATAGACTGTGCTCTTCAGGTGGCTCTCAGAAATGCCAAAATAACAGGTAGGTCCCTCTAGATTCCCCTCAGATTTAATTCGGCACCCCTTACCCTGGATATATAGCTTGAGAAACCCAGAAATCTAGTCCTTGTATATTTGAAAGGAAAAGGCTTTGACTGAAGCTAGAGACTATATTCTGAACACTCAGCTGGCACCCTTCCAATCCTTCCTAAGTTTTTCATCCAACATCCCCTCCCTTCAGGCCTTTTGACCTTTCCCAAGAATGAAAGTATGAGGCTCACAATTTTTTTTTTTTTTAAGACAGGGTCTCACTCTGTTGCCCAGGCTGCAGTGCAGTGGCACAATCATAGCTCACTGCAGCCTTGGTCTCCCAAGCTCAAGTGATCCTCCCATCTTAGCTTCCCAAGTAGCTGGGATTGCAAGTACACACCATCATGCCTGGACAATTTTTTTATTTTTAGTAGAAATGAGGTCTCACTATGTTGCCCAGGTTGGTCTCTAACTCCTGAGCTCAAGTGATCCTCCCACCTTGGCCTCCCATAGTGCTGGGATTATTGGTGTGAGCCACAGCCCCCTGCCTCATTGAATTTTTTAAGCTAGAAGGGACTCATAGATCATCCAGTCCAACTTTCTTATTTTAGAGATGAAGAAACTGAGATCCAAAAGGGACCTCCTTTGCTCAAGGTCACATAGTTTTTTAGAAGCTAAGCTGGACTAGAATCCAGGTCTCCTGACTCTGAGGACCAACTGTATTGTTAGAAAATAAATAACTATTTTTTTTTAGGAACCAGCAGTTTCTAAAGTCAAGATGGACACAAATTGAAGGGCATGTGAAGAATCAGTTGATTATATGTAGAGCATGCCTATTATGTGAGGAGCACCCTACTAAGAAGGAATACAGGAAATAACAACAAAAAGACATGTTTGTTCTGCTTGCAAAAGTGTATTATCATGTAAGCCTATGCTCAAAGCCAGTTGCCCACACATATAAATTCTAAGAAAACAAAGAGAATTCCATTGCCAATGAGAGGATTAAATAAAATCTGAATAATCTCTGAAGTATGAAATAAATCAGACCAGTCACTGTCCCCAACAGCTGATCTAGAGGAGGGTTAGGACTCCACGGTCCCTTCTCCTACTATAGCCTATAAGGACAGAGTGGTCAAGAAGAAACAAGACTGATACCCAAGTTCTCAGGATTTGCCTCTCTACTTCCAAATCCATCTTAGCCAAGACCCTGGGTTTGGCTTGGGACTTAACATTCATAGGGGAAATGGATGGAGTGGAAAGGAGTTCAATTCCCTTGAGGCCACCAAGAAGGGACCATGGTTTCAGGGGTCCCAGGATTTCGGGGTCACCAGAGCAATCAGGAAGTTCAGATGCCTGATGATTCCCACCCTGGAATTCAGGACCTCTCCCCTATACAGCAACTTCCTCCACCTTTCATGTTCAAACAGGCTCTGGAATGAGATTCCAGAGAGTAATAACAGTTGCTAAATATGACTGCTTTTCTTCAGAGAAGCTAAAACTAGCTGGCTCTATCCCAGACCACCCCAAGCTTTGTCCTACATACACTTCCTCCACTGAATACTTTTCTGGTGCAGTCATGCCAACTCTGTTCTGCCCAGTCCTCAGATCATCTCAGAGGGTGGTCTCTACCTTACCACCACCATCTGCCAACCAGTTCCATGTCCATACCTCTGCCTTGCTCTTGAAAGCATTCCCACGGCCCACTTAACTGGGACAGACACACCTATCCTCTTTTCTAGTCTGTCTGAAACCTATTCTTTACTGGGACTTCTGGGAAGAGAGGTTCATTTCTTAGATCTACACTATTGTTGTTTCGGGTTTTTTTTTTTTTTTTTTTTTTTTTTTTTTTGAGACAGAGTGTCACTCTGTCACCCAGGTTGGAGTACAGTGGCACAGTCTCAGCTCACTGCAACCTCCATCTTCTGGGTTCAAGCAATTCTCGTGTCTCAACCTCCCAAGTAGCTGGGATTACAGGCATGCGTCACCATGCTCAGCTAATTTTTGTATTTTTAGTAGAGATGGGGTTTCACTATGTTGGCCAGGCTAGTCTCAGAACTCCTGACCTCAAGTGATCTGCCTTCTTTGGCCTCCCAAAATGCTGGGATTATAGGCATGAGCCACTGCGCCTGGCCAGATCTACACACTTGTCATTTATTTCTCATGCCCCATACCATCTTCCTCATTTCAGGAATCTAGAAGGCAACTTATTCTCATAAAATTAGCCTGGAAAGTTACCAAAACCTTTCTCCCCCTTGCTAGTCCAAAAGCTGACCATTTTGGGGCCAAGAAAATGGCTGCCAAGGACAAAGGCAACAGAACAATTAGAGGCGCTAAATAGAGAGAATAATAGGACAAGACAGAAACAGCCAGAGGACCAAGACCAGACCCCACACAACCATGTCTGACCTCCAGTTCTAATTACTGGCTCACAAGGCACTGTGCTCAGAGATAGTTCCTCCCAAGGACTGCCCCCCACCCAAAGAATACAATACCCTCTGAGGCTTGGTCCTTCCTGCCGTCTGTGCTCTTAGAAAAAGCTGAGTGATGTTCTCTACCCCTTTCCAGGGATCCAAAAATCAAGAGACATTTCCTCAAAGTCCTGAGAGATGCCTCTGCCACTACACCAGTCTCAGACTGGTCAATTTTCCAGAAGGAAGGGGAAAAAGTTACAGGATTAGGAGATGATGGAGGAAAGGGCAAGGTGGTAAGAAGGGCAAGAGCGGGGATGTGAAAAACACAGGTTTCAGGGGAAGACGTGGCACATTTCTTCAAATGAGGAATACGACATTTATGAGGGTTGCAAGTACCTCTATTTATAGCTCTGTCTTTGATAACTCTGAAGGTTCAGAGTCTCCATGGCCCCTTAAGGTCTGGGCTAGACTGGAGGGACAGATAAGGAATGAGAGGGAAAGCCAGAAAAACGCCCTTTGGCCAGGGAAATGTGGTTGGTATAGAAAACCAAGAGATAAACACCTTCCTGGGATGGAATAATCATCTGAGATCCAAGTTCACATCTAACTATGGCTTCTCCCACTTCATCCTCCCTACCTCCACCTGATGATATTCCACTGATTGGACGGTCCCAAATCCCATGACAAAGGTTTCCCACAATAAAACTCTGAAGAACAGACAGACAACTTTTCCAACAATAGGTGAGAAATGCTGGCAAAACCATACCTAGGCCACTCTGCTTCATTTCTGTGGGTGGCCGTGAAGATGAAAAGAGCCGGTAGCCACCAGGCCTCGAGGATGAAGTCTCAGAAAGTACCTGCAGAAAAAGGACTCTATATTAATCATTTTGCCACCTCAACCCCAAAGTATAAAACTCAGGTCCTGGATTCCTGTCCCTACAAAGCCAAGCAATGTTAGAAAGTTTGGAAGTACCAAAGGATTTATAGGGGAAGAGGGATGAAAAGGGAACAGAGAATGTACTTTATGGAGGGAACTGTCCGGGGCATCTTTCTATACTAGAAGGCACTTCTATTTTCAAGATGCCTTTCCCCACAGCCCTCCCATTCCCAATCTGAGTTTGAGAAATCATTATTCAACCCATTCCTAGTTCTCAGCAGAGCAGAGTTTCCTAATTGTATCTATCCCCCCACAGACTCAGAAAGCCAATCACAATGGCTCAGCCACAGATAAGAGTCTGGCCACCCTCTCTTCTTTGCATGGGAGAGCTGTGGCTACTGCAACCATACTACATTCCTTGTTAGAACCAAGAAGCCCACCCCTCCACTGTCTCACCCCTAGAAACATGAAACAGAATTTTTACAATGCCCACAAGGGCCCAATCACACAACCCCCAAAACACACACATCCCACCCAGATAGTGTCTGAGCCCCTAGATCCCAAAAGGCAAAGACAGAAGGCAAGACAGGAAGGTGAGGTAGGGAGGGACACCTGTGTGCAGGATGCCAGGTGAGTGGTGGACACAGCCCGGGGCTGTAGGCCAATGGCTAGGGAAGGCTGGGGGAGGTCTCCCGACCTCCTGCAGCGCCGTCCCCGCAAGGGGATGAGGTCCAGGTTCCCCGTGCACTGCATGTTCATGACCTGCAATCAGACCGGGTGGAAAGCCGGTCACGGCTCCTTTAAACCCCAGGCTCCCAAAAGCCCCAGGGCCCACAGGGCAGAGCTAGTTACAGGGCTAGAGAGGATGACCAGCTAGGGCATAGCTGCTATAAAGGTCGTAAGTTTTATAATCTAAAATAGTTAAAAAGTATGAGATGACAAGAGGAGAAGAAGGGATGGAGGGAAGGATAAGTTGTATGCCTATATTTATAGAGCAAGGAAGATAAACATTAACATTAGTATCATAAGGCTTTGTGACCAAGGAGCAGAGAGATGATTTTCTTGCAAAGCTGAGGAAAATATCCTGGACAACCATCACCCTGGATAAGCCAGGGTCTAAGCAGCACTAGTAATTGAAAAGAAAGCCTGTGATTACAATAGGAAGCTTCCCATAGGCCTGAAAGAAGTCAATCTTATCAAGTCTGAGAGATGATACACAGAGCTTTCCTTTACCTGTGCCTTTTTTTTTTTTCCATCTTATAATGTTTTAAAATTTTTTGTAGAGACAGGATCTTGCCATGTTGCCCAGGCTGGTTTTGAACTCCTGGCCTCAAATGATTCTCCCACTTAGGCTTCCCAAAGTGTTGGGATTACAGGTGTGATCCACCACACGCAGCTGTCTATGTCTTATGACTGCATAAACCAGAAAAAAATGGTTGGGGGATGGGGGACGCGGTTCAGGCACAACAGCACCAGGAGAGACTAGCAGACCATGTGAATAGGAAAGACATTTGGAGGATCAGTTTATTGATGGAAGATTATGTATCATTCTATCCATGTGATCTATTGGATGTGAGTATAAAGGGTAATAGAGTACTACGGATACCAACCGACACCTACACCTCAAAGAGAAAATAATGTATATCCTACCTAAAGAAACTCTGCATATTACCAATGGCAATTTCACCTTAAAATAATCAGGAAGTAAAGGATGAATCAAAAGAAGAGACTGCAGTTCATCTTCTCAGCTTTCTCCAAAATCTGAATTGCAAAACTTTTGCTGAACCTAGGTCAGCTTGTTATAGATTCTTCTGATATATCCCTAAAATGGAAAAACCAATTCCTCTAAGATAGAGACCTGGCACCGAGCCAGGGTGAACACGGTCATTAGGACAGAGCAGAATCTAAATCAGACAGTCAAAGTCTCTGAGACAGGGATAAATTGTGGTGTCAAAATGAATGTAAGTGATACAGAAAGAGCAAGATAGGGGAAAAAAAAAAAGGATATAATTAGGCCAAAGACAGAAACAGTTTTTCCAGGAAAAAGACCAAAACAAAAACCTCAGATGGTTAGCTGGACACAATATGAGATTAATAACACTTACTGCCTTTAGGCTAGAGAGCTAGAACCAGAACTAGAAACAACCTCCAAGAACAGCAGAATATAGGCCCATGCTGATAAAGATCCTCATTAGAACAAGAGGAAGACAGACAGAGCTCTTGACTGACCCACTTTCTGGAATGACAGTACAGATAAAGTGCCAGGTATTTGCTCCTATCTGAGCTATAATTTTTACCCAAGGTGACCAAGAGCTGGAGAGGGCTGGACCTTTAATATCAATTGCATTGTTAATATATTACTGCTTGTTGAGCATCTATAAAGTGGATACTACTCACATTTTAGAGGTGAAAAAAAATTGAGGCTTAGAGAAGTTAAGGTCAGA
The DNA here is from genome assembly GCF_000001405.40 of Homo sapiens. Lineage (NCBI taxonomy): Eukaryota > Metazoa > Chordata > Mammalia > Primates > Hominidae > Homo > Homo sapiens. The sequence continues at coordinate 43,670,583 of NC_000015.10, forward strand.
GAAATGTAGAGAAGTTACCCAGCCAAAGTCACACAGCTTCCAAGTATTACACTGGGATTTTGGCCCGGAGTTCAAGCTGTTTCCACTAGATTTCCTTTTAAAGAACTACCTTTTCAAATTCATCCAGAGGCCTCCTCCTTAATCTTATCTCTTTAAACCCTTATCTCTCAGGCATCCCTCAATGGCAACTCTTTAATCTGAGAAGTAGCAACCAGTTAAAGAAGCACTACTGGGAGACCAGCTGTGAAAGAGAGATTAAGTAAAACATATCAATCAGAGCAGGAGGACTCTGCTTCAAGTCCCAAGAGACCCCCCAAGGGGATCTAGTGGATCTGTGGATATAGTCCTATGAGCACTGCCACCCCTTCATTTCTTCCCAAGGCCCTCTCATTACCTCCATGGAACCAGCTTTTCGGTTACGAATGAGGGGTGATCTCCTCGGAAGGCCAGGGCCCTCAGGAGGCTGGGGTGAAGTCTGCAATGCCCGGTCTGGTTCATCTGATGCCTTTCCTGGACACAGGTTCTCCATACTGCCTTGGTTGGTTTTCATCTCCTCATTCTATACAACAAAAGGCAGATAAGAGAGGTGTTAATGGCCTCCAAAATCCTAATCCCAGACTACCTAGCCCTTTTACTTCTCCCTGTACTGCTTCCCACCACTTGGTTCCTAAGTCCTTCAGTCCCAAATCCCAGCACTCTGACCCACCTCAGAAGAGGCTGGACGGAATCCACAGCCAGCCGGGGCACTGCCTTCTTCCTCAACACCTTTCACTCCGGGGCTGAAGTGTAGCTCCACATGGAACCGTTCCTCTGATAAGGGATCCTATGGAGCATAACCACAAGAGGGGGAAGTTGGGAGAAGCTGGATATTGTGGTGGAAGTAGAGAGGAACTCAAGGGGATTCATCCTCCCAGGAATTCAGGGTCTTGTCCCACTCCGGGGCTGACCTGTTATAGCTTCCTTTCAACTATATATTGTCTCTTACAGGATCCTCATTCCCTCATCTCTACCATTTGTGATTTCACCATTGCACATGACTTCTGAACTTCCAGCTTTACAACGCTTCCCATCACCTTCCACAATAACTCAGCTTGGCTGTGGTGCATATAGCAGAACATTTAAAGATACCTTGTGGGCCAGGAGCAGTGGCTCACACCTGTAATCCTAGCACCTTGGGAGGCTGGGACAGGCAGATCACTTGAGTCCAGGAGTTTGACACCACCCTGGGCAACATGTTGAGACCCTATCTCTACAAAAAATTAGCCGGGCATGGTGGCACATGTCTGTCATCCCAGCTACTTGGGAGGCTGATGTGAGAGGATCACTTGAGCCCAGGAGGCAGAGGTTGCAAGGCTGCAGTGAGCTCAGATTGTAGCACTGCACTCCAGCGCGGGTGACAGAGTGAGACCTTGTCTCAAAAAAAAAAAAAAAAAAAAAAAAGTATCATTGTGGAGCCGTATGCAGAAGGTATATGTATAACCATGTTTGAGGAAATAAGACTCATAACATTGTCCCAAATTCCATACTCTTCTAATGCCAGAGCTGTGTTCTAGGTTACCTCTCTGGCTCAACAACATCCCAGAACATATTTTCCATTCCAGTAGGAACTTCCTGGATGCTCTGTGTCATGCTGTGCGTAAGTGCCACACCTAGCTGGATTCTCCAAATTATAAGGATAAGCAAGTTTTTTTTTTTTAATAGAATTCAAAAGAAGGGGCCTTCCTCTCATCTCCCACCTGCTAGCTCCTCACCTGTGTGTTGTCCTCATAAAGCATGATGACAATCTGGGTCATGTAGTTAAGCTCTGAGATGGCACTAAGATAATCCAAAGCTCGCTGCCATTGTGCATCCTGGGTCTCCTACCAAATGCAAAAAGAGGTAAGCCATTGCTTAAGGAAATGGGAGTCAGAGAATGAGCAGGGAGCCAATGAGAATGGAGAAAGCTTTCATTTGAGAAGAGTAAAAGAATGCTGGGAAAAAGCTGTTCACAGGCTAAAGAAGAAGGAGGATCCTTACATCAAGAAGTCCTCCATAACGGAAGACACTGAGCAGGGAGTGGACATGGCTCTCACTGGTGAAATAGAGACGCGTTCGAACGTGGCGACCTGGGGAGAGCACGCCTCGGGAGTACCTGAGATAACAGCTAAATCACTCACACAGTCAGTTAACCCTGTTCCCACCCTTCTGCAAACTCCCTCCTCCCACCTCAAAGACTTCTCTCCTTTCCATCCCAAAATCTTGTCTATTCTTGGTTCCCCAGGCTGTCCCAGCTTTGATTCCCCCAAGGCTCCCTGACATGCCCCTCCCTCCATCCAACACCCCTCCCAGCCCTCCCTCACAGGGGATGCAGCTTGTTGACAGACTCATCCTCGTGGGTTCTCTGCAGGTCAAGTAGTATCTTCCGCAACAGTGGAAGACAGAAGCCCACAGCAATTTCCAGTTTCTCCTCCCGACTGATCCCGTACTCCTAGGGGCCACAGGCCAGGAATAAATACCTCAATAAATCTTGTTTTCTCATGCCTCATATTCCCAGGACCAAGATCATGCCTGTCTTCACCTCACGTCTAGGGCTTCTTTCATATCCACTACATTCCCCCTCTTCCAGGTGTCTCCTGAATTAGCCTCCTGTACTTACCAAGAGCCAGAGTGGACCCTGAGAAATGTAGCAACTCAACCTATTCCTTCTCTGAGTTGCTTTCCTCTAGTCTCAAATCACCCTTCCTTTCCACCTTTTCTCTCTTTCCTTCCCAACACCCTCATCCCCAGGCTAGGTCCCTTATACAAGACACACCTGGGGAATGACCACATCAGCCAGTGCCTTAGAGAGACGGAGCAACTCTGCTGTGCCTTGAAGTCCCAGACTCCCATTGTGCTGCACATCATACTTGACACAGTCATAGATGTCAGGGATCTTACTGATATCATAGCGCCCACTCTTCTGTCGAAAGTCACGCTCCAGCTTGCTCCAACGCTGTAGCATTAGCTCTAGTGTCTCACTGTGGTAGAGCTGCAGGTCTGGAAGAAAGGCAGGAATCAGATAAGAATCAAAGATTTTACCTCCAACAAAAGACCCTGACAACTCTGAAGTACAGCCAGAGGGAGGAGGAGGCCTGGTCTCTGACATTTAGGAGAGGACACCAGAATGCCTGAGAAACCCATCCATACCTGAGACCTTGAAGGGAAGATAGTAGTATTCATACCCACCTACAGACCTGGGGTCCTGCATTCGTTCCCGGATCTGGTGGGTGAGGTTTTCGATCAGGGCAAATACCTGATCACAGACCTTCACAGGATTCTGGATGATAGTCATGGAGTTGAGCAGGGAAGTACTTCTGGTGGGAGCCAGCTATGAAGAATAGAGAGAAGAAAAGCAAGACAGGCTCGGCACTAATTGCCCAGATTCCTGTGAGTTTATTACACAGAGACTACTCACAATACAGCTCTGTATGTTGGTTCACTCCAGTGAGCATTCTTAGGTTACTGGGCATACTAGCAGTTCTAGGCCTTCAGGTAAGGGCACTGCTCTAGCATATAGTCGTCTAAGAGGGATTGATTTTAAGAGTCCAGAGAAAATAAAACAGACCTAAGTTCTTTTCTTGAGGGCTCTAGAATACACATGGAAAATACTGGAGAATAAAGATTGAACCAAAATCCCTCAAAATCTCCACAGAATGTTTTCATGAGTAGAGATCACAGATAACATTATCTTCTTCCTCTAAACAAGATGCTAGCCTGAGCCTAGAGTAGAAATGCTGCCTCAAAACTGGGTTCTGACTCAGGCTTGTAGGACAGTAACAGTCAATGAGAAATGTGGAGGCAGAATCAAGACTGTGGCTGAAAATGCACAATTCTGTTTAGGTCCTCACAAGTTTCATTCTTGCTCGCAAAAGAAGGCAAGGCAGAAAGGAAAGCTGCCTTAGCTTTTTTGAGTTTGACAGTGAGCAATGGATTGGGAAATAAAGGAGCAAGGTCCTGTTCCTTATCAAGTCCTACTCAGAGAACACAGAAAATCCTATGGGCTCACAGCAATGTGCTTAGCTACTTAACTCATTTAAGAACCAATCAGAAATGTTACACAACAATGTAAATACATGTAATGCTACTGAACTGTAAACTTAAAAATGGTTAAAATGGTACCACAATTTTAAAGTTTTAAACATTTTTTTAAAAGAACATATCAGAAATGAGGAGTGGGAAGAGTAGAAAACCACTGCCTGGTCATTTGTGGCCTAGATATGCAGGAAAAAGAACGACCATATTGGGTAATGGCATATAGTGGGATTAATACTATAAAGCAATGTAACAGCCTGGGCGTTGGAGTTAGACCCCTTCGGTTTGTATTAGCTGGATGACATGAGGAAAATTGCTTAGATTCTTCTGAGCCTAGGTTTCCTCATCTGTAAAATGGGAGGAAAGTCCTTGTGGTCTACAGTCCTTGTAGTGCTTTAAAGATGACCATCAATTCTTTGTCTTCCTTTCCTTCCCTTCCCTTAAATCTGGCTGGCCCTGTAACTGTTTAACCAATAAAAAATAACAAAGTTATGTTGTGCTATTTCTGGGCCTACACTTTAAGAAAGCTTCTAAGCTTCTGCTTTTGAATATCCCTAAAGCTACCATTTAATACATCTGGCTATCATGCTACGGAAACCATATGAAGAACCATGTGGAGAAAAGAGGCACTGAGGTTACAGGGAGAGCATGAAGAGGGAGAGAGCCAGCCATCCCACAGTCCCAGCTGAACTTCCAGATGGTTCCAGCTCCAGTCAATATCTGACTGCAATTTCAGGAGAGACTCCAAGCAAGATCAGATGAGCCCAGAACTGTGAGAGATAATAAAATGGTTGCTGTTTTAGGTTACTACGTTTTGGGGTAGTTTATTATGCAACAATGGATAACTGAAACGTTCTTTTGTTCAGGATCCTTGGGATCAGAGCTGTGCTTTGGAACTGAGAATCTGTGGGACTTTAGAAGTTAATACAGTACATATGCCATATGTATATAATACCTCCATCAGGGCCCATGGCATAACCAAACACATTAATATTTCTGCCACAAAATGCACGACTATTTACACTAAGTGGGAAAACTAAGGATTATAAAAGTCTTATGACAGTTCGTGTCAGGTTTAGCTGCCAAATGAATCTCAATGTCAAGAAAAAAATCTTTTTAATTTTCAAAATTATGCATAAGAGATTGTGGACCTGTACTTATCTCAAAGGGTTGCTGTAAGGATTAAATAATATATGTGTAAAATAACTAAAACAGTGCCTGGCATGCAGTAAATACTGTTATTATTGATCCCTACTATTTAGAATTCTAGGAATTGGGGATCCAGGCTATTTTTGAGCCTGACCTGATCGTAGTCCTCAGGGCCAAAGGGCGCATCCTGCTGTAGAATATGGTGCAGCCGAGCCTTCACCCGGTGCTGGCAGCTGCTCAAGGAATCCCCATCGCTGTCCAGTAGCCCATTCATGTTGGCACTCTTCACCATTTGCACCAAAATGGGTGTCAGCTCCCCTTCTAGAGCCAGAAGGCCCTAAAGAGAAAGCACAAGGTCTATTTGTTTCCCTTGCAGGTTAGCATCCCTAGGCCTAGATGGTCCCAGGGATCGAACGGGAGCTGGTTGAAGAGATGGGGCCTACCCTCACTAATTATTCTCAGCTCATTCTCGGTAGTACAGAATGGGTCCGATACATGCAGAAACTTCTCTGAGTTGGCCTACAAGCACCCTGAAATGCTCCAACTGGTTCTCCAAACTCTCTGCTTCTCTACCTAATGGAAACTGGGACTACAGAACTGTAGTATGCACCTTGGCGAAGGCAGCAGCAGTCATCTGAACACGACCCTCATCAGAGGCATAGATCTTGAGATCGTGGCGGAAAGTGCTATGGAGACGAAGCAGCCCACAACCAGGGAAGCCAGCATAGTCACCTGGGGACAAAGGTGGGGGACCACAAATGGACTGCTATAAATACTCGTGGAAGAAAAAATATTCATTCCCCCACTGTCTCTGTCCCTTCATTTTCCCCAACTTACTCTCTAATCATTTTATCCTGGCCCTGCTATGCGTTCACTCCCCAAAACACTCACCCTGTCCTCCAGGGTACATGCAGCGAAAAGCTCGCCCCAGCTCCTCAGCCTGAACACGGCCAGCAGGAGTCAGTTCTCCACCCCACTTCAGTACCAGCAACAGAGATGGGGCCAGAGTTTCCCTCTGTGGATCTGAAGGAATAAGAGGCAGTGAATGGTCTAGATCTAAGAAAAATAGTGGGAACATCTAAACCTTAGGTCTTCTGAGGAGACCAGAGATGTAATTTGGGGTAAAGGTCATCTATAGGCTCAAGAAAAAGAGATCTTGTGGGGAAAGAAGATGGACAAAAAACATAAAAAGAACACAAGATCTGAGAGGTAGTGGTAAGGGGGACTACATCTTACCTTGCCCCTCATTAGAAGCTTTTACTCCATGAGGGTAGTAAGTCAATTGTACCTTCCGGTTTATACCTGAGAAGTGACCATACCTGCAGGATAAAGTCACAGTTTATGTTCTGTTCCAGCACCCCAATTCTCACTGTTATTGGCTCCCTTTTGCTATCCCCTTTCTCACATCTCCAGTACAGACTTCAGCTGCTCTAGTTTTCCAGTCTTCTCCTCGATCTCACCACCTGGTTCTTTCTCCAGTTCAGCCAACAACAGCCTTGTGATATCCAGCACCTCCTAGAGGAAATAATAAGGTATCCATGCAGAAGGCCAAGTCCTAGACAGTTACCTTTCCATCCTAGTCTTTTATCAAGACTCCCAATGCCATATCCTCTATCTCTCTCATGGCACTGTTCCTCCTGGTCAGATTCACTACCTTACCTGGAGCTGCTCAGGTCGCTTGAGTTTTAATTTCCCTGTCTTGTAGCCACCATGTTTTTCAAACAGAGCAAAAAACCTGAAGAAGTAACGAGAAGCTTCAGTGTGGCATGAGACAGTCAAAGCCTCCAGGACTTGCCCCCCATGCAGTCTTCCTCACAAAAACCTATTTATGTAAATTAGGACACTCTTCTGACCTTGGGTGTTTCACTTCCATCTTCATCTTCTGCTTGGGAGTACGATCCCCATGACGAATAATTGCAATGACACAACGAAGTTCCATCCTAAGATCATAAATGTTATCAGAGCCTCTCCCACACCCCCATCCCACCTGCTGTCATCACATTACTTGACATGTCAAAAAAACAGAGGGGCTGAGCAGGGCTCAGGCCTGTGATCTCAGCACTTTGGGAGGCTGAGGTGGGAGGATCACTCAGGCCCAGGAGAAACATAGGGTGAGCATGAGCAACATAGGGTGAGTCTGTCTCTATAAAAAAAGTTAAAAGAAAAAAAATTATCCAGGCATGGTGCCACACGCCTGTGGTCCCAGCTATTTGGGAGGCTGAGGTGGGAGCATCACTTGAGCCCAGGAGATAGAGGCTGCAGTGAACCATGAGTGCACCACTGCACTCCAGCCTGGGAGACAGAGCCAGATCCTGTCGCAAAAAAAAAAAAAAAAAAAAAAAAAAGAAAGAAAGAAAAAGAAAAGGGAACTGAGATTAGGAATATAAATGGAGGCTGGGCATGGTGGCTCATGCCTGTAATCCCAGCTCGTTGGAAGGCCGAGGCGGGTGGATCACTTGACGTCAGGAGTTCAAGATCAGCCTGGTCACATGGTGAAACCCCATCTCTACTAAAAACACAAAAATTAGCCAGATGTGCTCACCTGAACCCAGGAGGTGGAGGTTGCTGTGGGCCGAGATCATGCCACTGCACTCCAGCCTGGGCAACAGAGCTAGACTCTGTCTCAAAAACAAACACAACAAAACAAAAAAAACGGCGGGGGAATATAAGTGGAGTTAAGAAGACTGTGTATAAGAGGCCTAGGCTCCGTTAGTCAGATAGTGTGGGGTCAGGAAGTAACCATTAGCCTGGCTTAAGGAATCCCATGGGTCTTAAGTAGGTTACTCCAGATTTTTTGCTTTTGCTTACATAGTGCCAGATGTGGTGGGAACAATGGGAATGTCCTCAGCCTCCGTGGGGATGGACCATGGAATCTGGAACTGTGGGGCAAGCTCCCGCATTATGGTGTTCCTAGAAAGAGAAACAAAGAAGCCCTGTAAAAATGAATAAACCAGAACTACTCAGAGGAATGAAGCTCACAAAAACAAGCAGGCTGCAGGCAGAAGAATACCTTAATATAAAGTCTAAAAACATACAAACAAATACCCATATTTATGTAGTACAAATATAAATAAATACAAGGAATGACAAACACCAAATTATGGATTGTGGTTCCCTCTGGGGATGGGGAGGGGATGTTACTAGGGAGGAGTACATAGGGGCTTCGATTATATACACACACACACACACACACACACACACACATACACGTATGTGTACATACACACACGTATGTGTACAGTTTGTGTATATACACACATGTATGCGCATATAGATACACACATATGTGTATATAGATGCACATATGTGTATATAGATGCACATATGTATGTGTATATATACATATATACGTACATATATACACATATATACATATATGTGTACGTGTGTGTGTGTGTGTGTGTGTGTGTGTATATATATATATATATATTTTTTTTTTTTTTTTTTTTTTTTTTTGAGATAGAGTTTCACTCTTGTTGCCCAGGCTGGAGTACAATGGCATGATCTCAGCTCACTGCAACCTCCACCTCCTGGGATCAAGTGATTCTACTGCCTCAGCCTCCCAAGCAGCTGAGATTATAGGGAACCACCACCACGGCTGACTAATTTTTTTTTTTTTTGGGTTTTTTTTTTTGAGATGGAGTCTCACTCTTGTCACCCAGGCTGGAGTACAGCGGCATGATCTCGGCTCACTGCAATCTCTTCCTCCCGGGTTCAAGTGATTCTCCTGTCTCAGCCTCCCAAGTAGCTGGGATTACAGGCGTCCACCAATATGCCTGGCTCATTTTTTTTTTGTATTTTTAGTAGAGATGGGGTTTCACCATGTTGGCCAGGCTGGTCTCGAAGTCCTGACCTCAGGTGATCCACGCACCCTGGCCTCCCAAAGTGCTGGGATTACAGGCGGAAGCCACTGAGCCTGGCCAATTTTTTGTATTTGTAGTAGAAACGAGGTTTCACCATGTTGGTCAGGCTGGTCTCAAACTCCTGACCTCAGGTGATCTACCCGCCTCGGCCTCCCAAAGTGCCAGGATTACAGGCGTGAGCTACCGCACCCGACCTATATTCCTAATATTTTATTTCTTAAGCTAGGTGGTGAATACATAGATGCTCACTATAGTCATCATTCCTCATATATTTCTGAATGGTTTATACATTACGTGACGAATTTCTTGGAAAGTCAAGTTGCAGAGCAGTATTATAGTATGACCACATTTAGTAAAAGAAATACAGTTTGGATATGGCAGAAAAAGATAAATTGTTATGTCTAAAACTGTTAACAACAATGGTCTCTGGGAGGGGCAGTGTTAGAAAGGCAAGGGCTACCGCACCCGACCTATATTCCTAATATTTTATTTCTTAAGCTAGGTAGTGAATACATAGATGCTCACTATAGTCATCATTCCTCATATATTTCTGAATGGTTTATACATTACGTGACAAATTTCTTGGAAAGTCAAGTTGCAGAGCAGTATTATAGTATGACCACATTTAGTAAAAGAAATACAGTTTGGATATGGCAGAAAAAGATAAATTGTTATGTCTAAAACTGTTAACAACAATGGTCTCTGGGAGGGGCAGTGTTAGAAAGGCAAGGAGCCTGAGGAGCCCTTCCTTTCTTATTTTTATTTTTTTAATTTAATTAATTAATTAATTTATTTATTTATTGGGACGCAGTTTTGCTCTTGTCACCCAGGCTGGAGTGCAATGGCACTATCTCAGCTCACTGCAACCTTCACCTCCTGCGTTCAAGCGATTCTCCTGCCGCAGCCTCCCTAGTAGCTGGGATTACAGGCATGCTCCACCATGCCTGGCTAAGGTTGTATCTTTAGTAGAAACAGGGTTTCACCATGTTGACCAGGCTGGTCTCTAACTCCTGACCTCAGGTGACCCACCCGCCTCAGCCTCTCAAAGTGCTGAGTTTATAGGCATGAGCCATCGCGCCTGGCCTGCTTTTTCACTTTTAAATCATATTTGTGATATTTAAAATAAAGCAAAAACTTTCAAATATTCTTCTGTAAGCCCATTCTCCCCAGCGCAGACCACTATGTCTCTTACCCCAGAATCTTGGCACAGTCATCGTAGTATTTCATCGAGTTCTTGACAAAACTAAAGCCATTGACATCACACACAAAGGAATGACCATTGGCACGAAGAAGGTCAAATCCACAAACTGTTTGCTGCAAGGAAAAGAAGAAAGATGAGAACAAGACAGTTACTCTTCCCGGACCCCTGTTCCTTCCTTTCTCCCTCATTTCACAACCTCCCTGGGCCCTCCTCTACCTTGAAAGCTACGCAGACTTTCCTGGCCACCAGCTTTTCCATGGCAGTCAGCATGACTGGATATTGAATCTCTTTCCCCTCACTGTCTCGTTCAACCTTCCCATCCAAAGCTGGAGATTTTCTAGCTTCAGCATGGGCATAATCTGGCCCCACTGTATACACCTGCAGGTACATAGCATCACTGAGTATGCCCACAGCTCACCCTGTATATGAGAAGACAATATGAGCACTAGGTCTGTAGACGAGTTTCAGAGTAAAACAACAACAACAAAAACAAAACAAATCCTGAGCATTAAGGAGACTGACCAACATTTTTCCTACTGAGCCTTACTGAAGTATCATTATGAATTTCTCCTCGGGACTCCACTACTGTCAGGTAGTCCTTATTAAAAAATAATTTACAAACATTATACCATTTTTCTAAGTCAGCCTTGCCCTTGCTCTGATAGTGAAAATGTGAATGTCTGTATCCTCCACTCATTATCTTCACCTGAATATGAAAGCCAATCACATTCACATCATGTTATTTTCTAGGACCTCCTCCCCATATACTTCCACCTGCTTCCCAAGTACCCCATCCCCACCCACACATTTGTAACCTCTTAAATCCCTATATCCACCATAACCTTGACATCTGTGCCATCTGTTGGCATAAACTCCTCATAGATGTACGACCCCGTCTTTCGGACGCTGCTCTCAGGAGAGTAAACACTGCTTCGGCTGCCAATCTTCAAGAGAAAAAAAGAAGAAAAAGCAATGTTGCCTCAACTCTCTGTTCTGTCCCCAAATTCTCCATCTTCCTTCCCCACAACCTCATCCTTGCCCTTGCACCTCTCTGACTCCCCAGATGCTCAAATATCCCCCCTACCTTACGAAAGAGACGCTGGCTTCCTCCTCCAGCTGAGCTGGGGTAGTAGATGTAAACATTGTGGTCTTCTGCACTCACTGGCTTCTCCACAAAGGGCTTGGGAAAGACAGCTCCATTGACCTCTACTTGGTCTTCACCTTCTATCAGGTTGCATTCTGAAAGGTGGATGTGTAGTCATTCCTATGGCCTAAGGTTGTGGAATATTACTAATTCTCATTTCCCCAGGTTTTCATCTCTATAACCCTCAAATTTTTATGACTATATCTTTGTAATAGATGAGGTAAAATCTCTATATAACAGGTCCAACCCTCTGTCCGAAGACTCATGGCTCTAACCCCACCCATAATCCAATAACCAAAACCCCACATAGATAGGTGGTATACAGGAGATGTCTAGAAGATGGAAACGTGGCTAAGTCATAGAAAGCAAGGAAAGGCAGGACTAACCCTCCCTCAGGCCAGGTACTCACCCTCAGGCCGGGCAGGATCACGGTTGAGCACAGCATATCGAGGCAGATCAATACCCTCTTCCTGCAGGATCCGGTACACCTCCCTCCTGTCACCCCCAAATAAAATAGCTGGGAGAGGTGGGAGTAACTAAGGGGAGAGGCTGGGGATTTCATTTGCACAGGATTAAAAGACACCAGGGCACAAAATTATGGTACAAAAATTAGGCATGTTGGTTTGACTCTGCCCCTCTCACAGTGGGTTCCCCGAACACGCATGATCCCAAAGCCACCCATCTCACTGGTCAACAGGAAGTTATACCTATCTTGGATGTAATACTGCATGGCCAGATCATTGATAAGAAAGGGGTTTCGAAGCTTGGAGTAAGCAACAGCTTTGTCCAGAGGAAAGCCTGGGATGGAGACAGGAAATAAAGAGACCAAAGGAAGGGAGAGAAAGAGAACGAGAAAAGAGCAAGAGAGATACAAAGACATATTAAAGCTATTAGCTGCCACTGAGCTCCTCTACCCATTCAACCCATCACTTATTCTTCTTCCCAGCTCCCCAAGTCTAGGATATTTATCAAGAAAAAGTAAAACAGAAGTTATTTTTACAGTCCTTCCAGAGACCCAATTCTGTCAGAGATCCTAAGACACTTAGAGTTGTCCTGAGGTTAGACTATAGGCTTTAAACCCCCGGCAACTCCTCCAAGATGTAGGGAAAGCAAACTCCTTGGCACCATTCTCTAGTGTGTCACAAGTAGCTGACGGCTCTTTACTAAGGAAATAAGACAATAAGAACCTCATTTCCCGAACCAGTATTCCCACCACCATTCCCTCCCATTTTCCTTCATAGACCCCAACCTTTGGAGTGGAAAGAGATGAGGCAGTGGCAGGATGGCCAGTTTTCCACAGGTTCATTAAGGATTACATCTTCTCCCAGAATGACAACAGTCAGGTAGTCAAATCTGCAGAGTCGCTCTAGGATTTGAGTCATTGGCTTGGACTTGGATTTCTTGGTCATGGCACAGATGCCAACAATGATCTGAGGTTCAGGAGGCTACAGAGAGGAAGTGCTATCAGAAACTCAAGAACTTCCCACCAATATCACCCCCTTCTGGGAACACTGTCTTATCTTCTTAGGGCACAGAGTTTCTTGCCAGGACTCTGGACCTATGGGATAAAGGGTGCCTCCTAACTTTGATCGAGGTTGAGGCACAGCTAGGGATTCCAACTGCCTACAGAATAGGAGCCTTTCCACAGTAGGAAATATGTGCTCAAGCAGGAGAGCTAGAGAACCAACAACCATGAGACGACAGGAAGATCCTAAGGGCAGGGGTTTCTTTTTTTTTTTTTTTGGAGATAGAGTCTCACTCTGTCGCCCAGGCTGGCATGCAGTGGCACGATTTCTGCTCACTGCAACCTCCAACTCCCGGGCTCAAGCGATTCTCCTGCCTAGACCTCCCGAGTAGCTGGGATTACAGGCGCCCACCACCACACCCAGCTAATTTTTGTATTTTTAGTAGAGACAGGGTTTCACCATGTTGGACAGGCTGCTTTTGAATTCCTGACCTCAAATGATCTGGCCGCCTTGGCCTTCCAAAGTGCTGGGATTACCCACGCCCGGCCAGGGCAGGGATTTCTAAGAGAGGCAACCTACCAATCTCTACTGCCCCTCCCCTAAACTAGGATAGGGCCTGTTTATGACAGGGAGTCTATGCATTCGGAAAGAACAGAGAGGTATCTCTAACCAATAGAATCTTAACTCTTTAGGACAGAGGCTCCAACCCCAAGTTACATCATTTTCCCCATTCTTACCACTTCATCCTCCTCATCCTCAAGGAGCTCGCTGTCACTCTCTTCTGGCCTCATGCCTATTCCACGGGTGCCCAGCCCCTCATCTCCAGCTCCAAGGAAGAAGTGGGCCGTGGTACTCTCGCCCTCACTGGCCGTCAATGACCACATCCCTGCCGGAACACCCACTCATCCCGCTCTGCAGAGGGGGGTACCCCATCAGCTCAGAACCCAAGCCCCCTGGCTGTGGGTGGGGCTGGGGATGGAGATGAAAAGCATAAGAGGGAACTATAAGGGGAAACAAAACAAAGCTATAGGAAGAAGGATCAACAAGAAAGGAGGCATATGGGCTATGACTTGAGATGCTAAAAGAGCCATAAAAGAAAAGCAAGGTATCCCTTTTCCTCCCTGCTCACCCCACCCCAACCAATAAATTAGTAAGAGGATCAGATAATCAGCCCTTACAATGCCGGCATGTCCCTGATTTGGCCAGCAAGAAACATTAACTTCAGGCAGCAAATGGGAAAGGCAGGTCCTCGAGGAAGGCTACTCTTGAGTCCTACCAGAAGAGAAGGTTAGAGTGACATTTCAAACTTTGGACTCATTTCACAATGTTCCTAGCCCTTTTCCACCTCCTCACAGTAGTGTTGAATTCAGTAATTTAATTCAAAGGCAGAGGAATGAGAGAGCTCAGCTGCCTTTCCCCTTAAACCTCTTCTTCATTCTTCCCAAAGATTAACTCAAAAAATATTTATTGAGGGCACCCTACATTCTAAGCATTATATCAGAACATTAAGGCCAGGCACACTGGCTTACACCTATAATCTCGGCGCTTTGGGAGGCTGAGGAGGGTGGATCACTTGAGTCCAGGAGTTCAAGACCAGCCAGGCAACATGTCAAAACCCAGTTTCTACAAAAACATTCAAAAATTAGGCAGGCATGGTGGTGCATGCCTGTAGTCCCAACTACTTGGGAGGCTGAGGCAAGAGGATCATTTGAGCCCAGGATGCAGACGTTGCAGTGAGCTGAGATCACGCCATTGCACTCCAGCCTGGGTGACAGAGTGAGACCCTCTCTCAAACCAAAAATTTAAAAAATAATAAAACCCCCATGCTCTCTCTCTCCTTCATCTACTCCACCTTAAAAGACAGTTGCACAGCCAGATACCATGGTTCATCCCTGTAATTCCAGCATTTTGGGAGGCTGAGGCAAGAGGATCGCTCGGGCTTAGGGGTTTAAGACCGGCCAGGGCAACATAGCAAGACCTCATCTCTACAAAAAAATTTTAAGGCTGGGTGCAGTGGTTCATGCGTGTAATCCCAGCACTTTCGGAGGCTGAACCAGGATGACTGCTTGAGCCTCGGAGTTTGAGACCAGCCTGGGCAATATAGGTAGACCTGACCTTTACAAAAGCTTTTTCTTAAATTAGCCATGCATGGTGGCACGTTGCCTGTGGTCCCAGCTACTTGGGAGGTTAAGCTGGGAGGACTGTTTAAGCCCAAGAGGTCGGGACCGCAATGACCCGTGATTGTACCACTGCACTCCAGCCTGGGCGACACAAAAATACCCTGTTTCGGCCAGGCACGGTGGCTCACGCCTGTAATCCCAGCACTTTGGGACGCCGAGGCGGGTGATCACGAGGTCAGGAGATCGAGACCATCCTGGCTAACACGGTGAAACCCCGTCTCTACTAAAAATACACAAAAAAAATTAGCCGGGCATGGTGGCCGGCTCCTGTAGTCCTAGCTACTGGGGAGGCTGAGGCAGGAAAATGGTGTGAACCCGGGAGGCGGAGCTTGCAGTGAGTGGAGATCATGTCACTGCACTCCAGCCTGGGCAAAAGAGCAAGACTCCGTCTCAAAAAAAAAAAAAATACCGTTTCAAAAGGAAAAAAAAAAAATTTCTTTTCTTGAGATGGAGTCTCGCTCTCTTGCCCAGGCTGGAGAGCAGTGGCATGACCTCAGCTCACTGCAACCTCCACCTCCCGGGTTCAAGCAATTCTGCCTCAGCCTCCCGAGTAGCTGGGACCACAGGCACACCCCACCATGCCTGGCCAATTTTTGTATTTTTTTTTTTTAGTAGAGACGGGGTTTCACCATGCGGTCCAGGCTAGTCTCGAACTCCTGACCTCATGATCCACCTGCCTCGGCCTCCCAAAGTGCTGGGATTACAGGCGTGAACCGCCATACCCGGCCAAAAAGTTTTTAAAAATTAGCCAGGCATAGTGAGTGGCACAAGCCTGTGGTCCCAGCTACTCAATAGACTGAGGTGGAAGGTTTGTTTAAGCCCAAGAGGTCAAGGCTGCAGTGAGCTGTGATCGTGCCACTGCACTCCAGCCTGGGTGAGAGCAAAACCCTGCCTCAAATAATGATGATGATAATAATAATAATAATAATAATAATAATAATAATAATAGAAGACAAATGCCCAAGTTCAGAAAACCTGTTCAGGGAAAGAGGTCTAGTGTGGTTGGGAGGTTGAGAATACAGGCATCCATACAGTAGTCTCCAGCCCACTCTCAAACTGAAATCTCAATGTTCTCTCTAGTGTCCCCTGGTACTATAGAACCAGTGCTAGTCTAGGCCAAGGTCCCTCACACCAGGAGCTACAGTGAAAAAAAAAAAAATCCTGCCTAAAACTGTACCAGTAAGAATATCTTAAGACTTTAACTTGAACCAGCAGTTCCACTTCTGTGTACACACAAGTAATGTAGTTGTTCTCAACCAGCTGTGATTTTGCTACACAGGGGACTTTTGGCAGGAGACATTTTTGGTTGTCACAATTGGAAAGGTACTATTGGCGTCTAGTGAGTAGAAGCCAGGGATACTGCCAAACATTCTAAAATGCGTAAGATATCTCCTCACAACCAAGAATTATCCAGCCTTAAATCTCAGTAGTGCTGAGGTAGAGAAACCCTGCTGTAGAGAAATTCTCCTACATAAGACTTTTGTGAGGAACTTCTTAATCCTCTTCATCTCTCTGTTGGTAATGAGAAAAACTGAAAACAGTTCAGAGGTTACAAGTAGAATCCATAAATATAATGTCATATATAGAAATGATAGACTAATAGCAATGTAAAAATAAAAGCTATATGTAATAAATGGACAGTTTCCAAATACAAACTGCAGAAATATACCTGCAGTACATCGCTATTGTATAAATACAAATGTTACATATGGTTTATGACTGCATATATAATTAGTAGAAGTATAAAAACAGGGACTGGAAAGAAAGACATCAAATTCATGATAGTGGTTACCTTTGAGAAGGGAGAATGGAACTGAGGATTCAAATGGTACTCCACAACCTTATCTACAATGTTTATTTCAATTGTAAAAAAGATCTGAAGCAAATACACAGGTTAACATTTGTTCCTATGAATTGTAAGGATATGAATATCTGTTATTATTTTCCAAAAATAAAAATTGAGTCACACATCAGCAATTTTCCGTGGTCTCCAAAAGTTCTCAGAAACACTGACCAATGACTCTAGTGAAAGCCACAAACTCCTTAAGTAAATGAACTTGTCTTACAGAAATAATATCTTATATATGTAATTAGTCTCATAGATTTTGAAAACAGTCTTGAACAATTATTTTCTCTATCTTTATTTCAAACTCTTTCATTACAACTGGGGTTTGCAGTTTTGACTAGAAAGTTCTAGCTGACCACCAGGCACAGTGGCTCACACCTGTAATCTCAGCATTTTGGGAGGCCAAGGCAGGCAGATCACTTGAGGTCAGGAGTTCAAGAACAGCCTGGCCAACATGGCGAAACCCCGCCTCTACTAAAAATACAAAAAATTAGCCGGGTGGGGTGGCGCACGCCTGTAATCCCAGCTACTCAGGAGGCTGGGGCTGGAGAATCGCTTGAAACCAGGAGGCAGAGGTTGCAGTGAGCCGAGATCACGCCACTGCACTCCAGCCTGGGCAACAAGAGTGAAAATCCTGTCTCAAAAAAAAAAATAAACAGAAAGAAAGTTCTAGCGGACCTTTATATAGACCTCGACCTCTCGACCTTTCCAGTTTTCATTATCTGCTGTCTTTATTTCTCAACTGCCACGGGGGTGCGACATTCTCCTTAGGCTTAATATTTCTAGTTGTGCACTGCAGGTCTCACACACACACTCTTACCCCTGATAAAAACGCTATTTTTTTGAATTCCTTTTCAGTGACCTGACCCAATTTCCCTGACTTGGGACATTCCCAAGGTCCCTGTATAGTTTGAGCAAGTAGAATTTTGTTGCATTCTTTATCTTCGCTCTGAAGCCGGGACTTTCTCTCAACTCTAAGATTCCTAACCCTTTGCCCTTTCTTCCATTGAGTCCTTCCTCGTTTTCCACTGAATGTACACTCATGTTCTTGAAATTCTACTGCAACTACATAACGGGGCATGGTAACTAATAGAATAGGGAAGAGACTGTTTACAAATATGTGGCTGAAGAGAGACGAAAGGTCTAAATTCCCAGTTAACAAAGCAAAAATAGAAGCCTGACAGAAATAGCTATGAAATAAGCCAGGATTTATTTAGATGCACCTCTGGGAGAAGATGGGCTTTAATGTGGTGTTCCCAGAGCCGCTTCCCTGTTTTCCATGCTCTTCTCCCCATCCGCCTCTCCCCCAAGCTTTGTTGTGAAAGAAAAGAAAACTTCACACTCCACACTGGGCTAAAGGGCAGTCTTACTCTGACAGGAATCAATGTGAATGGAAGGAAAGAAGCAAGGAGATAGGCGAGTAAGGTAACGAGGGAGGGGCAGGCAGGCAATCTTCTCAGGAACATCTATGTTAGATCTGGAGAAGGGGTAGAAGGGAGGGTAAACGGTGTAACTTCTTTAACCCTTAGAATTTAGGGCTCCTTGCATAGTCATCTAATTTCCTAAATCACTATGCACTTGATGGTGGACTCCATTGGTAGCGAAGAGGAAATATCAATACAAATTCCAGGCAGGAATACTTCCAACACAGAAAAACTCCTCAGGCCACCAACACTATTTTCTGCCCACCTTGAACAGTGGACGCCTCACTTCCTTCTTAATGCAATTTTTAATTCTTCAGACACACTCCTCATTCCGACTCTGATCAACTGTGCTCCTCTCCCTGTTCTCAGTATCAGCTGCTTCGTTTCGCCTTCTTTCCCCAACTTGCTATGACTCTTGCCCCAATACTGACTGCAGCCTCCCCATCCCACCCCGCATCATTGGTCAACTAATTCCATTAATCCAACTAATCCTCGCACTCACTGATTGCCCAGTATTAAACTCCTTCACCCTCTCGCACGAGTCATCATACTTGGTAACATCTTTATATTGACCCCTCAGTGACCCCCCACAATGACGACCTGCCATCCATTCTTTCCTCACATCACCCCTCCCTCCAGGCTGTCTTCTCTCAGCCGCAACCCATTCCTCAAGCTACCCCCTTCCTCCTGGACTCCAGCCCCACCCCTCCTGGCGCAGATCCCTTCCACCTTGATCCTCTCCCCTGTACGACTCCGCTCCTCCATCCTCCCACAGGACCCCCTCTTCCTCACGCAGACCCCCACATACCTATCTCCTCTCCCGCCGACCCCCTCCTCGGTACTCTCCTCGCACAGCTCCGGGTCACGAATACCGCCCTCGCATCCCGACTCCACTAGCCTTTGCCCGCCCCCGCCTTCGCCGCCTCACTCTCCCTACGCTGACACTAAGGCCCCTCCGCTGGGCCTCTTCCCAAAGCGGAGCCCACCCGGAACGAACCCCAGCCCTGGGAACCCACCAAGCCCACTCTACCGCGCCCACCCGGTCCGATACCGCCCCCAGCCCCAGCCACTCCCCCACCGCCCCCGGCCTTCACTCACCCGCCTCCCTCCGCTCGCGCAGCCGAACCTGCAGGCAGCGACACCTGACAGCGGCCCAATCAAAGCGCGACTTCTTTGCGGTTCCACCAATCAGCGAAGGGCGCGCACCGGTAACAGAGTCAGGCTGCGTTGGCCGGCGCTTCTGCGCGGAGGAGCGTGACCCCTAGTGGCTCTGGGAGGGAATGCAACTTGATGCTCCCTTCCTTTGATTTCTTAGTGTGTCGCCAAAGTCCAGAAGCGTGGTCTAGACAGAGACGTTTCATGAGACGACGGGGTGGGTGGGAAGCCTCATGCTGAGAAAGAGGAAGAGGCAGAGTTTGTGCCATTGCTGTTCCTTCAGAGCAAAAACCAGGTCTTCCCTTTGTCTTATGAGACAAAACAGGGTCTCATATATGTACAGATCCAATAAATAAAGGTTGAAAATTTTAACAGATGTAAAGAGGACTGATAGGGAGACTGGAGACAAAAAAGAGACAAGGAGAGAAGCAGATAAGAAAGTTAAGGGAAGGAACAGAGAGACATTTACAGAGGAGGCAAGAAAGTGGATGGACCTGGAACTCTAGACAAATTGATTCCTATCTCCACAGCCTGCTTTTTCTCTATGCTCCAGACAAAGCTGGATTTGAATCCTGGCCTTACCTCTAATAGCTGTGCAGCCTTGAGCGACTCACTTAATTTCTCTGAGCCTTTATTTTTCTCATCCATAAAAATAGGATTAAAAACCTAGGGCTGGGCTCGGTGGCTCACGCCTGTAATCCCAGCACTTTCGGAGGCCAAGTTAGGCGGATCACTAGGTCAGGAGGTCGAGATCATCCTGGCCAACATGGTGAAACCCCGTCTCTACTGAATATACAGAAATTAGCCGAGTGTGGTGGTGCGCACCTGTAATCCCAGCTACTCGGGAGGCTGAGGCAGGAGAATCGTTTGAACCCGGGAGGTGGAGACTGCAGTGAGCCGAAATGGCGCCACTGCACCCCAGCCTGGTGAGAAAGCCAGACTCCTTCTCAAAAAAAAAAAAAGAACCCAAAAAAACCCCCCAAAAACCTAATTAAGGCCAATTGTAGTGGCTCGCGCCTACAATCCCAGTACGTTGGGAGGCCGAGGCGGGCAGATCGCTGGAGTGCAAGGAGTTCAAGACCAGCCTGGTCAACATGATGAAACTCTGTCTCTACAAGAAATGCAAAAGCTAGCCAGGTGTGGTGGCGTATGCCTGTGCTCCCAGCTACTTAGGAGGCTGAGGCGGGAGGATCACTTGAGCCTGGGAGATGGAGTTTGCAGTGAGCCAAGATCACCTCACTACATTCCAACCTGGGTGACAGAGCGAGGCCCTGTCTCAAAAAACAACAACAACAAAACACCTCACTTAAAGGTACTGATAATATGAAAGCATTTTGTATTGTATATGTTATTGCTCTTATTATCCTCGCATCTTCACTTGGGTTTCCCTGGTCAAGACAGTTGTTCCCTTTTCCTTCTCTGCAATATTAGGGGTCTTGCCACTTTTCCAGTCGTGCCTCATTGTACTGACCCCACAAGGCCTCCTGAATGGACATAGAAATGATTCTAATGGCTTGAATAGATTATTCTAAGAGGAATAGATGCCTCCCTAGTTCATGCTCAGGCTCATACCCCCTCCACCACTCTAGCCCTTCAAACTAGCTATTACAGCATCTTCCAGGTATTTAACTCCCCTTACTATCCCCATGAAAATGTAGACTCTGTCCCCAGTAATCATTGGAACAATCCAATTCAACTCAATGAAATAATACATATAAAAGTTCCTTGTAATTGTAAAGTGCTTTAAAAATATTAAATACTATTGACAACAATAATTCTTATTAAATAAATGAAATACCATATAACAATACCATATATTGATTACTTCCATATGCTGCAAAATAATTTTTTAAATGAGCATTAATATATTATGTGCTTGTAAAAGGCACACAAGGGATAAGAAAAGTGCATAAGTACATGTGTTTTCTCAGTGGAATTATTGTTCACATTTGGGAAGCTACTCTCTAAACTTGGGTAATTTCTCTACTCCTCTGGCTGTCTTATTTCTCCTTCGGTAATTATCTCTTCCCACTTCCTATTCCTTAGTAACACCCTCTCAATCAAATAGCAACCCTACTGCTCTGGAAGATTATCTCCCTATTTATCTGGATAAATACACGCTATTCTAAGAAATTATATTTATTTACTCATGGCTACTTTTCAACCTAGGTAAAGAGGCCCCACAACACAGGTAACATTTTCCACACTACAGCTGCATAACTCTGTTCTCTAATAATTGATGTCTTACCAGAAGAAGAAGGGATGGACCCAAGAGAGAAGTGGACACTTCTAAGAATACCCACAAATGACAAAGGTAGAATAAAAGGACACAAGGAAGGCCTAAGGAGAATGAAGGGAATGAGAGTAATATGGGGGAATTTTCTATGTAAAGGGAATTCTCTTTCCCAAATACTCTCTGTTAAGATTTCCAAGTATCTGTCTTGTGGGTACACCAGGATAGCAGAGGGAAGGGACTAATGCCACGGTGCTACTCCACCTTAACTGACCCTCCACGCTGAAGCCCCTCATCTCTATTTCAACTCTAGCATTCATTCTCCTTGCTACCAGGACAAAGGTCAAATCATACCTGGAGCTGGGAAACAAAGCCCTCTCAAATCTGAATATGTGTTTCACGAGGAGAGAGAGAGCAGCAGAGGGGACCACGAGGAAGGCAGAGATTCCCTGACCACCTCATGCCTTTGTACACCACTCGCCTTTACTCTCTGGATTAAACAGCATTAGGGAGACAAGAGAGGAAACACATGTGGTGTCTGGAGACCTGTGCCTGCCTGTTCCAGTCCCACACCCAGTCATCTCACCACACCCTTCACCTCACTTTACCTTCTCCTCCAGCACAGGAACTAGGAACTACGGAGAGAGAAGCCAAGGGAGAGGAGGAGGAGGAAACTAACGATTCCCTGCCCACCCCCACACCCAGCACCACCAACAGGTGGGCAAGCTTGCCGAGAAAACGCAGAGGGCATCCTGTGAGCAGCAAACACATCTGAG
Organism: Homo sapiens; assembly: GCF_000001405.40. NCBI lineage: Eukaryota > Metazoa > Chordata > Mammalia > Primates > Hominidae > Homo > Homo sapiens. The sequence continues at coordinate 43,693,070 of NC_000015.10, forward strand.
CCTGGAAAAGACGCAGAGAAGTAAAAGATCAAAGGTGAGGTAGGGGACGTGGAGGAAAGTGGGAGAGACAAAAGGAAAACAAAAAGTGGGGGATCATGAGAAGCAGAGGCAGGAAATAACAGGGCTTCAGACTTGGGTGCAGAATGGAGGTGGAGGACACAGCACAGATGGCATAAGAATTAATATTTCCTTGGTTCCTCCCAGGGAGTCCTTTCTCAACTTTGTAAGGCGTGCACAGAGGTGGCAAGGAAGCACCTTGCTCCTCTTCCTGGTTCTAAGGAAAAGGTGACCTTGAGCCAGTGGGTGTCTTTCCCAGTGCCTGCCTCTAACCCTGTGCTTTCTCCATATCCTCCTCTGGTATCTGTGTTTATTCCGCGGTTTCCCCGCGGCTGCCCCCGGGAGACCGAAGAGGTGGCTGGGGCAGGCCGAAAGCAGAGGAAAGGTTGGGCAGTGTCACCCTTGCACACCCACAGGGTAGACGGATCGAGTTTCAGCTTAAACCGAGGGGTGTGGGGGAAGGGTGTTGGGTTCAGCTAGTCCACGTGGGTGCTGTCCTCCACTTGGTGCTGAAATCTGGGCGGCCACATCCCCGGGGCGGGAGGGGGCTACATCCCCGGCTTTAGACGCGCGAGTCTCAGGTCCCGCTAATTACCTGGCGGGTGCTGCCCACCCCTGCCCTCGCGCACCTAGCGCGGTGGCAGGCGGGAAGGCGGGGCCTGGGGGAGCCCCACCCCTGGAGACTGCGGCTGGGGCCTCCCTCTCCTCCGCCCGCCCGCCTGCCACTAGCTCATTGCGCCTCTCCTGCAGTCTGATTGGCACCGGCTCCCATTCCGGCTCCAGCCTCCAATCCGACCCCCATTTCGGCTGCAGCCTCGGACCTAGCTCCGGCCCTCGGTCTATCCGGTTGCATCCTCCCTCCCTGTTCCGGATCTTATCTTGCGCCAGCGCCTACTCCAGGATCCCGTAGCCAGACCTCAAGCCATGGCTGGTCCCTTCTCCCGTCTGCTGTCCGCCCGCCCGGGACTCAGGCTCCTGGCTTTGGCCGGAGCGGGGTCTCTAGCCGCTGGGTTTCTGCTCCGACCGGAACCTGTACGAGCTGCCAGTGAACGACGGAGGCTGTATCCCCCGAGGTAACAGTGCCTGAGGCGCGGGAGGAGGCGGGGGCAGGAGGTGATGGGAACGAAGGTGCGGGTAGAAGTGAGAATCCGGGCAACAGAGAAGGGCTATAATCACGAAGGCCCTGGAGCTGGAGGGCTGTGCAGTCTGCAGACCTCAGTGGGGTGGGGGTGGGGGCCAAAACCATAAAGCAAGAACATTCCTGGGGACCTGCCAAGACCAGCTCTGGCCCTACGAGTTCTAGCTGCACTGGCTGCCCAAATCCCTAATTGTAAAGCCAGGAACTATCCTTTTCGCTCCCCTCCATCTCCTTCCCTCATTTCCTCAATTCCTCTCCTTAGGCTTTTCCCCTCCTCCATCCGTAGTGTTGTGTCATGGGAGGAAAGAACTGAGCAGATCTGAAGAAACTGAGCTGGCCAGCCAGAGGCAACTAGAACTATTAGGAAAGCATAGACTCTGAAAGTCCCTAAAGAGATTACCAAGGTTTACCCTCTTTCTAATTCCCCCTCCTCCCGCGGAGCAAAGCCAGACATGGCCAACTGGACAGCTCCCAGGTAACTGCACTAGGTCTAGGCGTCTGTGCCCTCCCTCCATGGTTACTGGGTACCCCCTCCCCAGCGCTGAGTACCCAGACCTCCGAAAGCACAACAACTGCATGGCCAGTCACCTGACCCCAGCAGTCTATGCACGGCTCTGCGACAAGACCACACCCACTGGTTGGACGCTAGATCAGTGTATCCAGACTGGCGTGGACAACCCTGGCCACCCCTTCATCAAGACTGTGGGCATGGTGGCTGGAGATGAGGAGACCTATGAGGTAGGGGGTCCCCAGAGTCTCCCTGATGATCCAATTCATCTTCCCAGTAATCCCAGCTCCTTTCCCCTAAAGACCTCTCACTTTCCCCCAAGACTCTGAGCCCCCCATACTTAAGTTTTCTGAACCAGTGAAATCAATGCACAATTGAAGTCTGGGGAGGGATTCCCTCTCCTTAACCATCTCTCCCTCTTAACTCCCCTTAGGTATTTGCTGACCTGTTTGACCCTGTGATCCAAGAGCGACACAATGGATATGACCCCCGGACAATGAAGCACACCACGGATCTAGATGCCAGTAAAGTGAGTTCAAATATCCCACTTCTGATTTGCATTGCCTGTGTACAACACTCTGTATCTCCAACCCCTTCACCTTATTTCCTGACTCATGGTCATTATACAGCTGAGCTTTTAATCTTAATGTAAGGAAAGAATCATATCTTAAGGGGCAGCATATATGGAGATGGAAGGATAGATAAGAATGACCATGACCCAAGGTGGGTGGTTTGGGGAAAGGTCTGCAATGCCCCCTTCAATTCCAGTGCTTTCCCAAAGGGCCTCTTCTTCCAATGCATGCAGGAAGAATGCACAAAGAGTCCTCTAATGCCTAAGGAAGGTCTCTCCTTTCCCAGGGGCCCTCAGTTCCCACCGTGTTTCTGTGACTTACATTCATTTCCCTTATCTCCCAGATCCGTTCTGGCTACTTTGATGAGAGGTATGTATTGTCCTCTAGAGTCAGAACTGGCCGAAGCATCCGAGGACTCAGTCTGCCTCCAGCTTGCACTCGAGCAGAGCGACGAGAGGTGGAACGTGTTGTGGTGGATGCACTGAGTGGCCTGAAGGGTGACCTGGCTGGACGTTACTATAGGCTCAGTGAGATGACAGAGGCTGAACAGCAGCAGCTTATTGATGTGAGGGCCTTAAGAGGGTGCTGGTTGGTGGGAGCAGATGGGGAAGGCTGGGCCAGATGAGACATGGGCTCTGAAAGGCCCAGGGGCCACCATGAAGATTCTTAACCCAAGTCCCGTTACTCTTCCCAGGACCACTTTCTGTTTGATAAGCCTGTGTCCCCGTTGCTGACTGCAGCAGGAATGGCTCGAGACTGGCCAGATGCTCGTGGAATTTGGTATGAAGCTGCTCATTACCTCTTTTGTCTTCATGCCCTCATAAATGCTTTTTTTCCCTCTATCTCTCCCAATTCTTGCCTTGCCTCTTGATCACTGTCCCTCTCCGGCCCTCAGGCACAACAATGAGAAGAGCTTCCTGATCTGGGTGAATGAGGAGGATCATACACGGGTGATCTCCATGGAGAAGGGTGGTAACATGAAGAGAGTGTTTGAAAGATTCTGCCGAGGCCTCAAAGAGGTTAGAGAAGATTGTGTAGGGGAGCTAGGTGGGAGGACATAAGGAAAACCAAAGAGTAGCATAAATAGATTATGTAATTTATCAACCAACCCAAGACATGTCTGATGGTAAAAAGGACTACCTAGGACTCACTCTAGGACTAAAGGTATAAACCAGCTGGGACCATACTGGGAAAACCAGGACATGTGGTCACACTAAGATTAGGAAAAGAGTGTCAGGAACCTTAGAAAGTGAAGAAGGCAGGTAATGCAAAGAAGGAATAACTGAGATGGCACGTCAGTGCCTGGGATGTGTGCAGTGGGATGGTGAGGTGTGCAGATAAGGAAAACATTCGAGCTTAGATTGATGTTGGCGGGGAGAGGTTGCTGTGTTCATGACTCTAATATAACCACCCAGTTCTGAGACAAGGTAGGCCTTGACTCTGGATTCTATCATTCTTGTTAAAGTATCGGGTCTAGGCTTTAAGTTGAGAGTTCAGAGGGAGACTGGGGAAGGTGGAGGATAGAATGGTTCGAGTTCTAGAATATGTGGCTCTAGATGAGAGGTTGAACTGAATCATCAATCCTACATGGATTGGGTCTCCGTATTCAAGTCTACATTAGAAATCCCCATAAACTCAATTCAATTCTTACTGTATGTTCTCAAACATACAGTTCTATTTTAGGTTTGCAAAGAAAAAGAGCTCCTCTTTTAGATTCTGAGAAGTTTCTACTATTTTTGGCAAGTAATAGATAACATATTCTGACTATGAGTGGGTAGGGAAGTACCTTTAAATTATATGCCTCAGTTTCCTCATCTGTAAAATTGGGATAATGAGATTTTCTACATTTTAGGTTGTTGTGGGGATTAAGTGAAATACAGGTAAAGTACTTGGTCCACAGTAAGTGCTTAATAAGTGTTAAAGTGTTAGCTGCAATATTATTCTGGATGGAAGAGTTTCCCCCCATGTTCAGCACATAAGATATCCCTGGTGGCATGGTTCCTTCTGAACTACAAACAGGATCCCTTTACTCATGTTGGATAGTGGTCTTTGTGATCATCACTCTGCTAGATCCCTTGTCTCTTGAACTCTAATAGTCATCTTCATGACTACATGGTTAATGGAAGCAAAATGCCTTCCCCCTGTCCCCTATTCCTATGAATCTGGCTTTCCTGCTCTGTTTTCATCTTTCTCTGCATTCACACAGGTGCTCCGTTCACAGCTAATAGAACGTTATCTCACCTCTTCCTGGCAAAGCTTACACCTTCATCTTCTGTCTGAAAGGACCCTTCCAAGCTCTAGGCTCATTAGCAAAGCAAAGATAATCGATGCATGCAGACCTCATTGAATAATCAGTCCTCTCTCAGTTCAGTTTACCACCTCTGTTCATTTCCCTAGATCATCCTTAATACACCACGCCTTCGAGTTTTCTTCTTCCACATAAGATATTTTTTCACAATCTCATTATTATGCACATCATAATTTTGCATCATGCATGCATGAAAACAATAACAAACCTTTTTCATTTAAAAAAAGACCAATGTCATTCATTCACAGCCAAGTTTCTATTCTAGACAAATTTCTAGTGTTCTTGTGGGTCTAGCTAAGGGAGGGTCCAGGGTTAATGAAATATCCCTGATTTTTCATTAATAAAAACTTTGTGGACTCAGGTGGAGAGACTTATCCAAGAACGTGGCTGGGAGTTCATGTGGAATGAGCGTTTGGGATACATCTTGACCTGTCCATCTAACCTGGGCACTGGACTTCGGGCAGGAGTGCACATCAAACTGCCCCTGCTAAGCAAAGTAAAGGAGTTGTGGGGTTACAGAGGGGTGTGAGTAAGGAAGGGTGGGTTGTGGATGGGGAGGGAGTGGACCCTTTGGAGAGGAGCCAAACATGTTGTGGCTAAAGGGTCAGAGGACAGGCCAGGCACAGTGGCTCATGCCTCTAATCCCAACACTTGGGAGGCCAAGGCAGGCAGATCATTTGAGCCCAGGAGTTCAAGACCAGCCTGGGCAACCTGGTGAAACCCCATCTCTACTACAAATACAAAAGTTAGCTGGGTGTAGTGGAGGCTGAGGTGAGAGGATCACTTAAGCCTGGGAAGTCGAGGCTTCAGTGAGCTGTGATCACTCCAGCCTGGGTGACAGAGAGAGACCCTGTCTAAAAAAAAAAAAAAAGAAAAAAGGAAAAAAAAAAGTTCAGGAGACAGAGCTCTGAGCAGGTTCAGGGCTCTTTCAGGTAGGACTAGTCTCTGCCTCTATTGACCCTGCTCCCAATCCCTATCTCCTCTCTAGGATAGCCGCTTCCCAAAGATCCTGGAGAACCTAAGACTCCAAAAGCGTGGTACTGGAGGAGTGGACACTGCTGCCACAGGCGGTGTCTTTGATATTTCTAATTTGGACCGACTAGGCAAATCAGAGGTGAGATCCTAAGGGATTAGGATGAGGAGAGGTATAGGTCTGTGGGGGCTGAAATATGGCAGTGAGTGAGCCTCCGGGATGTAACATAATCTGAAATGAAATTCAGGTTGAGTGGGGAGGCAATTGGAAATGAGCAGGCAAGTCAGTCAGTGATAAAGAAAAACTCAGACTGTAGGAAGCAGAGATCAAAGATTAGTGTCCTTCAGGTGGAGCTGGTGCAACTGGTCATCGATGGAGTAAACTATTTGATTGATTGTGAACGGCGTCTGGAGAGAGGCCAGGATATCCGCATCCCCACACCTGTCATCCACACCAAGCATTAACTCCCCATCGCCAGCTGATGACTCAAGATTCCAAGGAGTTCTGCTCATTCTAATGATGGCCCATTCTACTTGCTCTGGACCTGCCCTCGCATCCCCTGCCTCCATCCTAGTAAAGACTCCTTGCTATGCTGCAGCTGTCTGTGTTACTTCTAATGGTGGGGTGAGGAGGGAGCAGCCTTCAGGAAATGAAAAGAGGCAGTGGGATTATTTATGATGGAAAGAGACTCCAGATATGGCAACCCAGGAACACTGATTCTCAGGTGGGTGGAAAGCATTAACATTTTACCCATATTCCTCATCAGCTTCTGAAAATAATCAGGATGCACTTCTGTTTGCACTTTATTCATTATGACTTAAGATTTCTCTCCCCACAATCTCCTTCTACTGTAGAGACAGGCTCATAGCAGGTGGCCAAGGAAGCTGATAGTCAATACCAGGGACCAGGAAGGTCGTGACCAGTCCTGGAGGCCCCAGGCTGTACTTCGACCTATAATAGACAGGGAATGGGAGTAATATCACAACTCAGCTCTCCAGGAGCATTGATACTTGGAAATTAGCGCTCTGCCTGTAGACTCCTTCACTCCAGGGATCTCCCTGGGTGCACTCTAAGAGCCAGACAGCACCAAATTAGGGGTTTGATTCTGGGTCAGGAGATGGAGGATCAAGCTGTGCAGCTGGGAACTCACCTTGCTGTTCTGGGCTCTCCTTTCCCTCATGTTGGGCCCATGCAACTGCTCGTCGCTGCTCAGGACTCAGAAAGGCCATTTGCTCAGGAGTGACAGCCACAGCCTGAGCACTGGCGAGACTAGATAGTTGGATGGGACTAAACACCACCTGAGGGCAGGGGTAGGAATCAGTGCATGCATGTAGTCCCCATTGGGCCCTGGCTCTCCTGTGGTCACCCCAGTCCATTAATACTTACAGCAAATTTAGGAGGAGGGATGACAGAAATGGCAAGAGGAGTAACGCCCTGGATCTGTCCCCGCAGCAGTGCTGAAAGAGCCAGGTCTGGGATCCCAGCTGTTGAAGCAAGTGGCATCCAAACATTGTCTTAGACTGACCTTCCCTCTCTTCAAACCTATAGACCTTCTCTAACTACTCCCAAAGTGCCCTATCATAGACCTTCCCCAATATGTCTCTAGCCCCTTATTTAAACACCCTCTCAGGCCCACACCTGAAGAATTGCAGGGCAGTCTTCCATCCAGTCCACCCATGGTATAGAAACCAAACCAACTTGCACCAGCAGTGGCCCAGCTCCCCACCTGCTATGGTGCCAATTTCAGTGAAGATCTCAGGCCCCCAGTTACTGATTGGGCCAAACCCACCAGGCAGTACAAAGAGGTGGGCCAGAAACTCCAGTTGTTCCTCAGAGCACTGCAGATGCAGGGTGCCCAGGAAGAGAGCTGCTTGGCTGTAGAACAGTGGGAAGGAAGGAAGAAGAATTCGGCTTCAGTGAAAGGGACTGTGGTCATGAGACAAAGGAAGAGATGGCTTCAAATGAGTTCCCTTCCTCCATGGGACTATAACTTCATGATCCTCCTTTCCCCAGCAAGTCCACCTTTACCTGAACACGACCACCCTCAGCCCCTTCACAAATGACCTAAACTCCCAACTGCTGATGTGCTGGAGCTCCTCTGGCCGCAGTCCACAGAGAGTATAACCCAGCGCTGTCAGATGAACGAAGTCCAGGTGGCTCACATGCCGACCACTCTGCCGTAGGAAACTGGAGACCACAATGCGGAGCTGGGGTGGGGGGTGGGAGAAGAGGGGAAGGAGGAAAGTTATGGAGAATTAATGGACAGGGAAGTGATAGGTGTTACTGGGTTATATTCTGTTACTATTAAGACCTAAGGAGTCATGGGGAAGGCTGAGGACTCAGAAAAGAAAAGGAAAGAAAAAGAGGAAGCCTCCAGGAAAAGAGGTAGGAGACAGTATTATGTGTCCAGGGCCTCAGAGTGAATAAATCAAGAGTCCTGAAGGTCACTAGTATGGGATATTAACAAAAGACAGAAAGAATGACCAGGTAGGGTCACAGGAAAAAATTCCTTGGGCTTTAGATGATCTATAGGGCTGGGTCTGTGGGATGGGTGTTTGGGAAGCGGTAGGGAGGAGTAAAAGTGTTACCTGAGTGGAGCTCCAGCCATCTATCTGCCCCAGGGTGCTCAGCACTCCCCAGTCCACTAGGATCAGCTCCTGTAGTTCCTGATCTCCCAGACCTATTAAGAGTCTACCGAGCTGCAGGATCTGCTCAGGACCAAATCCCCGGGGGGGACCCCACAACTAGGAGAAAGAGAGGAACAATGTGAGTGGAAAACCAGTAGATTGGGAGTCAGAATGCTGGGTTTTAAGTCTTGCCTCTGACCTTAGCTGTATAACTCTAGGCAAGTCACTTGCCTTTTCTTTGGTTTCCTCCACTATAAAATGAGACCGTTGCCTTACAGTTCCTCTAAGGTGTTTTGAAAGACATTACAATCAGTGGAAAAGAAGAGCAAACTAACTCTAGTCCATGAGTTCCACACTTTTATGTGCATCAGACACAGAGACGCTTATTAAAATGCAGATGCCTGGGGCCCAGCACAGTGGCTCACAGCTGTAATCCCAGCACTTTGGGAGGCTGAGGTGGGAGGAATGCTTGAGCCCAGGAGTTCAAGACCATCCTGGGCAACACAGCGAAACCTCATCTCTACCAAAAATACAAAAATTAGCCAGGTGTAGTGGTGTGCACCTGTAGTCCCAGCTTCTCGAGAGGCTGAGGCAGGAGGATCGTTTGAGCCCAGGATGTAGAGGTTACAGTGAGCCAAGATCACACCACCGCACTCCAGCCTGGATGCTGGGTGACAGAGTGAGACTGTGTCTCAAAAAAAAAAAAAAAAAAAAAAGCAGATGCAGATGTCTAGACTTTCTCCCAGAGGCTTATTTTTTAATTTATGAGACAGGGTCTTGCTCTGACACCCAGGCTGGAGTGCAGTGGTGTGATCTTGGCTCATTGCACCCTCCACCTCCTGCGCTCAGGGGATTCTCCTACCCCAGCCTCCTGAGTAGCTGGGATTACAGGCATGTGCCGCCACACCCAGCTAATTTTTTTTCTATTTTTAGTAGAGACAGGGCTTCACCATGTTGCCCAGTCTGGTCTCAAACTCCTGGGCTCAAGCAATCCACCTGCCTCAGCCTCCCAAAGTGCTGTGATTACAGGCACGAGCCACTCCGTCCAGCCTCCGCAAAGGTTTTTATTAAGTCAGTCTAGCATGGTAATCCAGCATTGGCACTGTTCCCGTGCTCGGTTCAGCAGCACATATACAAAAAAAAATTGGAATGATACAGAGATTAGCATGGCGCCTGCGCAAGGATAACACACAAATTCATGAAGTATGCCATTATTTTTTAAGAAAGAAAAAAAAAGAAAAAAGAAAAAAATCTGTTCCCTTGATGATTGTGATATGCATTAAAATTTGGTAATCACTGCTTTAGTCCCTCTATTCATTATAGTAGCTCTCTTTCCTCAATATTTATCTCTCCTCACCTTCTACTTGTGACCCAAATCTTCTAACTCTTTTATCTTCTGCTTCCCCCACCTCTCATCCAACTCTCTATTCTCTTCGTGTCCTACATCACACCCACACAGCTTCCTCATGGCCAACCTCAGTTGGCTCTCCGTCCCTGACCCATTTTGCTTTGCCCATGGCTGCCCGTGGTTCCTCAGGCCCAAGTCCTGGGTCTCCTGCAAATAGTGTCAGGCAGTCCTTAAAGTCTGAGAGCTCCATCTCAGCAATCTGGGTTGCAGAGCAGGCTGCTGGGAATGTCCCTCGTACATCTGCACAATTTGGCACAGGTTCTGAAGGGGGAAGGCAGGGCCAGGAGGTATCTGTAGATGGAATGACTCTTCCAACCTTTGGAGGATGGAGCACTGTGGGAAGTAGGGATCGAGGGAGTATTACAGGTTAAGATGTATAGGGCTTAGAAGTGAATTGAACAAGAAGTGATTGGAGATGCCAAGTCCCTCATTTTATAGATGGAAGACTGAGGATGTTGGTCAGGGATTTCATGGCAGAGCTGAATTTGAAACCAGTTCTCTAGCCTCACAATGTCTCCTTCGAGGGATCTCCCCAGCAGAGAGCTCCACACTTAGCCGAGCTAGAGCTGAGTCAGCTGTTTAAAGAGACAAGACAGCAGGAAAATGGAAGTTCTGGGCTAAAGGAAAACTTAATAGTTTACACACTCCCAGAGCTATAGAATTTTAGAACTAGACGAGACTTGAAGATCATCCCTCTAAACTCTTTGCTTTATAAATTAGAAAACCCAGTCCCAGAGAAAAGCACATGTAGAACCCAGACCGTTTGATACTCCCTGTACATCCTGCTGGACATATAAGTATTTGGGTAGTTTCACCTGGAAGATCCTCAGCAGCTGGTCGCACCACCCCTGCTACCAGGGCTGCTTTCTTGGCAGCAAGCTGTGGCCCCCTACACAGCTGTCCAACTCTGCTCTGCTCCCAGCTCTGCTGCTTTTCTAGAAGCCGCTCCAGGGTCTCTGGACCCAAGGCCTCCTGCATGAGAAGGTAGAAGGAGAGTGGGGAGATCTGGACAGATCAGGACCTGCTGCTATAGCTATAAGTCCAAAGTCCTGTCTCTGTTTCGCAGTATCCCCCCAGATCTAGGCTTCATATCCTTTGCCCTCGTTGGCCACGGGTCCCCATAACCAGCTCACCAGTCCCCTCTATGCATTTACTCCCTTCCCTTCTTCCTTCATCTCACCCTGGGGATCAAGGAAATTGCCTCAGTAGACAGAGTGAATACTAGGCGTCCAGCTTGCTCTACTTCATCCTGGCTCCACAACTCTGGTTTCCTGGGGACAGGAAGAAAATCGGGGGCTGGGGAGCTGAGGGAACTGTGAGGAAAAGGAAGGGGAAAAGAGGACATGCTAGGATTTCGGACACAGGGCTCCAAGGGCCCTTAGGAATATGGAACAGGCTGCCACTGATGATGGTGGCTGAGGGACTGGGTATAGAATGAGTTAGAATCTGAAGTTCTCGAAGATCCATACCCAAGAACAGACTCCTGCAATAGCAGCCATCCCAGCTCTGTGGCAAATGTCTCTCCTAGGCAGAAGCCTTACAGCTGACTGAGATGGGACAGCAGGATCTGTAGGGGGATCTGTCGTGTGCTCTCTGTCCCCAGGAATCCAACCAAAGGGCCTAAGGTCTCCAGCACTTCCCCTGAGACTGGAGTCTCCTTTGGAGCCTGGAGAAGAGCATCAGAACTTGGACAATGCACTTCTGACTCAGAATACCAGACACCTTGATCAAGACACCAAGCCCCCTGACCTTCCCTCCCTCCTGCTCCCAACTCAGCACCCTATGATGCTCACTACCTTTGTTCACTTTCTTAAGCAATGAGACCAGATAGGAGCAGGCAGAAAGACTGAGAGGTGGACTCCAAGAGATTTCTCGGACTCCAAGAGGTATGGACAAGTAACGTGAAGCATATTATCAAGGAACAGAACCCAGAGGCAAAACGGGCCAGGCCTTGTAGACAGGAACCTGTTTGGCAGCAAGAAAGCAAGAAGTAGAGGGTTGGAGGACAGTCAGAGAGCATTGTCTGAGGAGCAAGAATTGCCCAGGGCAGCAAATCTGAGTCTGGTAGGGTGGACTCTTACCAGGTTTTGTAGTGCCCTCTCTGCCAGGGCTGCCTGGTGGAGGGGGGTCAGTGCCAGCAGCTGCTCTGGAGCTCTTTGCACCAGCTCCACCACCAACATAATGGATTCATTGGATAGTCTGTCCATCAACTGGATTCTATTATAGCAATTTGACAACAATATCATTCAAGTGGAGCTGGGCCAAGTCGAGAAGGGACCACAGAACCCCACAGTCCCCAGCTAAGATGTGACCCCAGACCAAATTTAGTGAAGCTGGACAGGAACTGACAGTAAACAGCTCCAGGGCCAATTCCCACCATCAAGCTTGAGTGGGGGAGAAAAAGGGAGCAACATATTTCTAGTCTTCCTAAAAAAAAAAAATAACGAACAATCCTACCTGATCTAATGGACTCAAAAGCTCCAAATATTAAGTACCATTAACATTTCCCCATTTTATAGATTAAAAAACTGAGGTTCACAGAGATCAAATGTTGAGGTCTCTCACTCCCAATTCCCGTTTTTTTCCACAGGACCACCCTTCCTCTGCTTGTGAAGAGGTCCCTTCTTGTTTGTACGTGCTATACAATTTACAAAGTTCTTTCAGGTGTTATCTCATTTGATCCTACAACAAGACCTGGCCTCACTCCATCACTCAGGCTGGAGCACAGTGGTGCTGCGATCTCAGTTCACTGCAACCCGCACCTCCCAGGTTCAAGCAATTCTCGTGCCTCAGCCTCCCGAATAGCTGGAATTACACGCACGTGCCACCACGCCCAGCTAACTTTTGTATTTTTAGTAGAGATGGTGTTTTGCCATGTTGGCCAGTCTGGTCTTGAACACCTGACCTCCGTGATCCACCCACCTTGGCCTCCCCAAATGCTGGGATTATAGGCATGAGCCACTGCACCCAGACAAAATAGGTGTTTCTCTTATCCTTCTTTCACAAATGAGAAACTCAAGTTTTTTGATGCATGGTCTAGGATCTTTCACCTCATCTGTAACCTTGGGATTCTAAATTATCTCACAGAACCCACATATTTAAACAGATCTGAATGGCATTAAAAAAAAGTAAAAACAGGCCGGACGCAGTGGCTCATGCCTGTAATCCCAGCACTTTGGGAGGCCGAGGCAGGCAGATCACAGGGTCAGAAATTCGAGACCACCCTGAGCAACATGGTGAAACCCCGTCTCTACTAAAAATGCAAAAATTAGCCGGGTGTGGTGGCACGCGCCTGTAATCCCAGCTACTCAGGAGGCTGAGGCAGAAGTGCTTGAACCCCAGAGGGAGAGGTTGCAGTGAGCCGAGATGGCACCATTGCACTCCAGCCTGGGTGACAGAGCGAGACTCTGTCTCAAAAATATAAATAAATAAACAAATAAATAAATAAATCCCTTTTACCCGAAATCAGAGGTGATAACCTGTACCCTACCTAGGATTACCAGTTCTGGAACTGGGCTAAGTCATACAAGAGCTGAAATCTGTGGAAAGGCCTATAAAAATATAAGAATGTTGGGAAGCCGAGGTGGGCAGATCACTTGAAGCCAGGAGTTCAAGACCAGCCTGGCCAACATGGTGAAAGCTCGTCCCTACAACAAATACAAAAATTAGCCTGGCATGGTGGTGCACACCTACAGTCCCAGCTACTCGGGAGACTGAGGCAGGAGAATTGCTTGAACCTGGAAGATGGAGGTTGCAGTGAGCCGAGATCACGTCACTGCACTCCAGCCTTGGTGACACAGCAAAACTCTGTCTCAAAAAAAAAAAAAAAAAGAAAAAGAAAAAAGTAAGAATGAAGTCAACTGCTTTTACTCCACTTCAGCTCCATATTCCCCAGGAAGACTGTAACACCAGCATTTTCCTATCCTGACTTACAGTGCGGATGGCAACGGGGTGGTGGTAGGGGTAAAATGAGAAAAGCAGCATATGAGTAACATACTAATAAATTTCTCCATGGGTAGGGAGGAGCCTTGGGTTCCTATAGCCTTTTCTTCCCACAACCTGTATATGAACGTGCTCTACAACATTCCTGCCATGGGGCCATCTGGCTTAGGCTCGAACAGCTCCAAGGACCAGGAACTCACTACCTTAGTTTTTCTTATACTATGTAAAAATCTGATCTCCGTTAACTACTCTTAGTCTTGCCCAATGGGGCCACTCATAAATATGACAATCTAATTTCTACTTGATAGCCCCTCAGGTATTTGAAGGTATTTATCACATTTTTCATATATTTTTCTCTCGATCCACTCCTCTGAATGCACTAAGAACACAGTGCCCTGAGCAAACTACAATCCTCTGGGGCAGATTTGGAGCATTGCCTCCCTCACTTCAGATGCTCTGTCTCAATCTCAATTAATGTGGACTAGGTTATTGTAAGATTACTTGGCAGGCTTCAATACAGTGTTGCCACCCTCAGCTGCCCTGTGCTGGAGCATATTCTGGGAACCAGTCAATACATAGAGCAACTTTGAATAAAATCCTCTGCTTTGGGCTATAAATTATGTCAGGGAACTACCAGACAGAAAAACTACCTCCTCCAGGGCATTCCCTAAGGGCAGATCTTCACCCCAGATTGAGCTTTCTGAGGGGCCAATATCTCTAGCTGCAGTACTTACGGTAAGTCCAGGAGTAGCTTGCTATCCAGCCCGTTCAGTTCTGGCCCTACAGTTGTCCATTCTGGTTCTGGCATTGCCATCCTCCGCTGTAGCTCTGCCCAGATACAGGCCCTCTGTAGGGAAGCAGAGTGAGGCCAGAGCAGAACATAGGAGCTGGGTTCTATACCTAGGGTCCCAGCCTCCCTGCTCCCACTAAAGTCCAGGCATCCCCTCTCACCAGGCTCCCTCGAACTCTAGTGGGCAGCTGATAGATCATGTGCACCACTTCAAGGAAGTCTACCATGGAGTTGATCTGCTGCAGAAACTCACAGGACATGCCTCCTGCCAGGGTGCCCAGAGCCCTGTGGGTGTGTGAGTGGGGAGAGGCTCATTCAACACATACAACAGCCTGTTTGCTCCTTGATATCAGTACTCTCAACACAAGTACAGATGTTCATCCACCGTAATTTATGGTTTGAGAAATGTTTTTACATAGATATCTCATCAGCTCCCCATAACATCACTGCTGTTTATCAGAGGAGAAAATAAGGATTTATGGAAGTCAGGTGACATTCCCAACATCATTCTGCTAGAAATGTGGTAAACTGAAACTAGAGACATGTCTTAGATTCTGAAGCCCTTGGGAGGCTGAGGCGGGTGGATCACCTGAGGTCAGGAGTTTGAGACCAGCCTGGCCAAAATGGTGAAACCCCATCTCTACTAAAAATACAAAAATTAGCTGGGTATGGTGGCACATTCCTGTAATCCCAGCTACTCCAGAGGCTGAGACAGGAGAATCGCTTGAACCTGGGAGGCAGAGGTTGCAGTGAGCCGAAATCGCGCCACTGCACTCCAGCCTGGGCAACAGAGCAAGACTGTCTCGAAAAAAAAAAAAAAAAAGATTCTGAAGCCCATTGTTCTTCTAATGTGGGTATAAGTAAAGTGATACCTTCTTATTCCTATTTATTCTTGCTTGGCCAGTGCCTCTGAAGTCATCCTGAAGTAAACTAACAGTAGCAAATGACTACTGGAACTTTACAATGGACCAAACACTGTGTTAAATATCTTACATGACCTACCTCATTTAATCTTCACAGTAACTACCTATGAGGCTGGTGCCATTGTAATTCTCATTTAAAGAAGGGAAAACTGACACAGGGACGTTAAATGACTTGCCCAAGAGGACAAGTAGGTGACAGGACTGGAACCTGAATCCAGGTTTTCTGAGTCCTTTGGCTCTAGTCAGGATAGGCATGGCACTGTGGAAGGAAAGGAGGGCAAAGGGAGGTGCTAGGAGAACGTCCACGAGGCAGGGACTATGCATCATTCATCCCTATATCCCCCATTCCATATCATATGGTGCCTGGCACATAGTAAGCACTCAAAAAAATGTTGGTCGAATTCAGCGCACTGCTCAACACAAGTTACTCACTGTAGATTCCTGAGGGTCAGGTTGGTGGGTACTTGCATCTTCTTCCAGAGAAACTGTGCCTACAAGAGAAAGAAAGACGAGCCCCTTCCCAGAAGAGACACTGTCCAAGGATACCCCCTAGAGTGGAGAGGCAGGACTGCCTTGGACCCAGTCCTGCCTCCTCACTCTGTGGGACCCACCAGCCTCCCACTCTCCCAGATGCCCACTCTTCTCTCGAGAGTGAGAAAGAAATGAAAGAAAAGGGAAGGAGAAAGAAAAAGAAAAGCAAGTCACATTATAAGGGATACTAGGGGGCTGGGTGCAGTGGCTCAGGTCTGTAATCCCAGCACTTTGGGAGGCCAAGGCAGGAGGATTGCTTGAGGCCAGGAGTTCAAGACCAATCTGGACAGCATAGTACCTCAACATAGTGTCTCCACATAGTGTCCACATTTTTGTATTGTCTGTCTCTACAAAAAATTTAAAAATTGGCCGGGCATGGTGGCTCACACCTGTAATCCCAGCACTTTGAGAGGCAGAGGCAGGCAGATCACAAGGTCAGCAGTTCGAGACCAGCCTGGCCAATATGGTGAAACCCTGTCTCTACTAAAACAAAAAAAAAATTAGCCGGGCATTGTGGGGAGTGCCTGTAGTCCCAGCTACTCGGGAGGCTGAGGCAGGAGAATCGCTTGAACCCGGGAGACAGAGGTTGCAGTGAGCCAAGCTTGTGCCACTGTACTCAAGCCTGGGTGACAGAGCAAGACTTCATCTCAAAAAACAAAAAAAAAATTTAAAAATTAGCCAGGCATGGTGGTAACCACCTGTCATCCTAGCTATTCAGGAGGCTGAGGCAGAAAGATTGCCTGAGCTCATGAGTTTGAGGTTACAGCGAACTCTGATCATGCCACTGCACTGCAGCCTGGGCAACAGAGTGAGACTGTATCTCAAACAATCAAATAAAGGATAGTAGGGATAAGCTGGCCAAATAGGGCTAAGGGATAGGTAAAGAAGGTAGACTACATTGAGGGAGGAAGTTCTGAAATTAAGTGGGGAGAATTACCTGCTGCTCAGACCAGGGCAGCTCCCAGTAGCGTCTTCGATTTGCCAGAAGAGCCAAGGAATCCAGTTGTAGCAGCTTTAATGGGAGCAGGGGAAGCAGGCAGTCTGGCCAGGTGGTGGGAATAGGCTGCTGGCGGTGATGGGTATAGCAGTGTAGTGATAGGTGAGAGAGTCTGTACTTAGCACTCAGAGAAAAGGAACCATGGGGGTGGAAAGGGACCAAAGCTAGGACAGAAGTGGAATGGCATTTGCCACTGTAGCAATAAACGCCTAAGAGCCTCACACTGCAGGCTGCTGTGGTCAAGTGTTGCTGCTAGTTAGGCACCAGGCAAACAAAGTCCCTTAGCTTCTCCCAGCCTTGGTCTTTTCATCTGAAAGCAGGGTGGGTGGCCTGGAAGATTTCTCAGGCCCTTCCAGCTTTGACATTAGTCTAGGACAATGTGAGTGGATCATGCTGTCCTGCATCTGGCACTGGGGAGGGCTGCTAATGGGCACAGAGCTAACCAGAACTCTCAGGGCCACTGCAGGGTAGTGTGGGAGGTAGCACCAGCCATATGAAACTGCCCCAGAATGGGGAGAGGAGCTCAGTTGGGAGATCTCACACTTACCTGACCAGGGATGCACACAGCTGGACCAGCACCTGTTGTACCCATATTTTTAACACCATCTTTAACCTGCATGAGAATTGGTTGTGTGTGTGTGTGTGTGTGTGTGTGTGTAAGTGGGGAGGTATGAAAGGCCTTCCCTGGCCTCAGGGAAGATGCCTTCCTCCCAACCAGAAAGAGCCGGTATCCCTGATTATCTCATCCTCCTTGCCACTCTCATACCCGAAAGGTCTGCAGCAGTGCTGCGGTCTGGCAGGCTGAGAGGCGTGACAGTTCAGGGGCCAGGCAGGAACAAGCCCCGACCAGGACTCGCCTAGGGATGGCCTGGAGTGTCTGGGGGCTGAGGCCTGGTAGCAGAAGGTGCAAGGAGCAGAGTTCCTCCAGGGATAGCTAAAGAGCAAGAGAGACAAGAGGCCTGAAGAAGAAGGGAAGGGTGTTGGGGAAGACAACAATCACAATGCAGCAAGGCAGTAAGTATGAGGGGAGCGGAGAGAGAGGAGGGGCAGATGCAGGAGCCAGGTTAAAAGAGGATAGAGACCTCTGGCGGGAGGCTGAGAAGTTGCTGCTACTCACATCGTGCCTAGGAAGGAGCCGTCCAAGCAGCAGGACAGCCTGTGTTGGGATGGGACCGAAAACAACAGCTCTCAGGACCCAGCAGCCAGGTCCTAAGTGGGTTCCTAAGGCAAACCCTCCAAAACTTCCCGCTGCCTCTTAACCATCCCCAGTAACCATCCTCAGTGACTCAGGTCCCTTCTTGATCTGAGGAAAGGGAATGAAGGCGTCCTCCTGCAGACAGAGTTTACCTCTACTGTTCACCCAGGGAAAGGAGGGGCTGCTTTTATCCCTGAATGGGATTCTCTTGACTGGGGCTCAAGCGGGGATGGAGGGTACATGCCAGGGAGTGAGACAGGCAAACCTGAGCAGGTGTAACACTAGTTCCCTGCAGGACAGGAAGCATGGCTCTAAGCTGGGGCTCTGACAGCTCCTGAAGGAAGCGGAGGCCCAGCTGAGAGAAGAGAGGGGCCCAGACCCGCAGCTCCCGGGGGCTCAGCACCGCTCCTCCAGATGAGCGCAACACACCCAGAAGTTCATATGCCACCTGTAACCAAAGAAGGTTTAGGACTGGAGAGAAAAGACAGATGAACCTTGAACTTCCTCTCTAATCCCACATCTGAATTTCCCAGGGCCTGGGCTAGGGTTTGGAACTAGGGATTGGACTGGAGTAGATTAGGTTCAAAATGGCAAAGGGTATGTTTGGGGTGCTACAGACCAGATAGAGAAGGGCCAGGAAGAGGTGGTAACAGGTAAGAATGGCCATGGAGTAAGGAATGGAGGTTGCAAAAGTGGGATGGGGGCTGGCACCACTGTGCTCAAGTTGACACAATGGGAAAGCCATCCACACAGACCCAGGGGAAGCCTAAAGTCTTGTAGGCTTGTGCTGAGGGGCTCACCCGTCCTTCTGGGCTGAGGGTCCCATTGGCTGCACATTCCAGCAGCCCCCGTTCTACTGGCCCCGTTGGATCACTCAGGGGCACTAGGCTCTGCAGCTCCTCAGGGCTCAGGAAACAGGCGAGGGGCCCAAGCCTGAGGAGGGCATGAAGCTGACCTTTGTGTGGTCCCCAAGACTAGCACTAAGGCAGGCCTGGCAGCAGATGGTATGGGTACATACACTGGGCACTCTGACACTACACCACTACACAGGGGCACCATCTATAGACCTCTCTCCTGGAACTCTATGCTGCCTGAGGCCACTGCCTACTCTCTTGCCCCTTTCTTCCTAGAACACCGACCCAGCGTGACAGCTGTGCCTTCCTCTCTCTACCTCTTCCACTCTTGCCTTGGTTACTGATCCCACAACAACTCACCTGCGTACCTGCTCCTCACCATCCTGGACACTCTGGTTTACCAGGCTGCGCAGCACATGGCGGGCATGCCCTGGCCCCAGACCTGCTGCTGGCCAGCTATCCTCCAGGGCCTGGATCTGAGATGGGGAAGGTTAGCTCGCACTGGGGTCACTATAGGGTTCTTGCAGGGAGGGGCCACTGAGAGACATGCCATTGACTCTTTGTCCCCACTAGCAGAAGATGGGCCAGTCAAGTAAAGAAGATGATTCTCATACCTGGTGAGGGCTGAGCTGCAAAAAGTTCTCCAGAGGGAGGTGGGGGAGCAGGGGCAGCACTGCCCACAGCAGCTCCTGGGGCCAGGCAGGCACTTCCCCAAACAGTTCAGGGGCCAGCAGTCGCTTTGCCAGAGCCTCCTTCTGTTCAGGCCTCATTCCTGGGCTGTAATCCCGGATGGCAGCCAGGCTGCGAGGAGTCATGGGTCTTAACCCTTTGTCTTCCTCCAAACTGTTTTCCTCTGACCCTCTGTAGCCCTGCTGTCTAGATAGGAAGGAGACTCTCCCTGTTTTTTTGTTTTGTTTTGTTTTTTGTTTTTTTTAAGACGGAGTCTCGCTCTGTCACCCAGGCTGGAGTGCAGTGGCACGATCTTGGCTCACTGCAACCTCTGCCTCCCAGGTTCAAGCTATCCTCCTGCCTCAGCCTCCAGAGTAACTGGGACTACAAGCGCCCACCACCATGCCTGGCTAATTTTTGTAGTTTAATAGAGACAGGGTTTCACCATATTGGCCAGGCTGGTCTCGAACTCACTAGGCGGACCTAGTGATCCACCTGCCTCGGGCTCCCAACGTGCTGGGATTACAGGCATGAGCCACCACGCCCATCCTCTCCCTGGTTTTAATAGAGAGGAGCTCTCTGATCCTTTTGTAGTTCATTAGCATAATGATTGGGTTTTCACACTCAGGCGTGAGATGTGCCTCTCTCAAACCTTGCTACGATGTTGGCACATTGCCTATCTGGCATGAAAGAAAAAAACAGAGAGGAGCTCCGGAAGGGGCTGCTCCAGGTGGATGCGGTTGGCCTGACCGTGACAGGAGCAGGAGGAGTAGTGCAAGAACCTTACACACTGTCGTTGGCTAACAGGGATGGTGGGAAGCGCATCAGGTCAGAGACAGCCAAGAAAGGGATGAGTGGTGACAGGTCAATGAAGAGCTGGGAGGTGAGGCGTGGGTACCGCTGGAGCAGCAGGGCTGTCAGGCGACCCAGGGCCTGCTCCTCGGATGGTGGTACCTGTAGGGGCACAGGAATGGATTCTGCCTCTGGAGATGCTCAGTATCCCTGCCATTTCCTCTCTGGAGTTCCTCCTCCCACTAAAGCAAGCCCTCTGAACACTAGGCTCCAGGTGCCCTTGCTCCCCTTTCTCAGTGCTCACCTGCAGCTTCCCCTGCAGCTTCCCCTGCAGCATGAGTGTCAGGAAGCCCTGTGCAGCCTCCCTCTCTGCTGAAAGCACCAGCTGCTGGAGGTTTTCTGGGGGCATATGCAGGTACGCCTGCGAATAGGAGGTCATGGTGGGTATGGCCTCACCTCACGGGGCAGGGACCTCCAGCCATGGCTGTCACCCAGCCCACCCATGTGCCCTCCACCTGTTACCTGCACTAGAATCTGCAGGGCCCAAACACTCTTTTCCCTCTGGAGCAGATCCCACAGCACAGGCTGGTGGGAAGAAAGACAATATGCCAACAGAGCTGTCTTCTCTGTCTCTCCTGCAGCTCCCCCAGGCATTCCAACTCCACTTGCTGGGATGCTTGTCCATCATCTCAAGTGTGATTCTTCAGATATTAAGCTCTTTTAGGTCCGGGATCATATCTCTAATTTCTCTTGTACCCTCTCCCATGCCAGGTCCATAGTTGGCTCAATTAATACTTGTAGACCTGAACCAAATACTATGAGACTATCTAATTCCATTTTACTGGGCCCAGGGTTTGAAAAAGGTGGCCCCAACATGGAGTAAGAAATCTTTATATATCCTACAGAACCTAGCAAAGTGCCTTGCATATAATAGGCACTCAGTGAATTAATTATGGTGTTTAACATATTCTCACCCCTCCATTCTACAGACTAAAAACTGAAGCCCAGAAAAACTAAATGAAATTGCTTGCCTAAGATCACACTAATTTGTGGCACAGTTGAACCTAGAACCAAAGTCTTCTGATTGGTAGTGTCCCTGAATCTTTCTCATTCCTACCTTATCTTCCTGTATTCTGCCAGCCTCCAATTCTCACTCTCTAGGGGAAAAATTTAGAGTCCTCTAACTTGATCCTTTTTCTTTCTGGTGCAGAAAGTGAGAGAGTCAAAGAGCCCAAAAGAATAACAAGGTAATATTTATTGCATGTTTGTGTATCATGCACTGTGCTAAGCCCACAGCATGTATTATCTCATATACCATTATCATCCCTAGTTTATAAATGAGACGAGAAAAATATTGCTCAGAGAAGTTAAATAACTCATTCAAGGCTGGTCACAGAACCAAGATATGAATCCAAGCCTGTCTGACTCTAGAGCTGTGTGCTTCAACTACTACCCCACACTACTGCCTCTGAGTATTCGAGGAATTCCCCTGGAGGGCCTTCTCACTGTTCTAGGAGCTTTCCCTCTGGCAGAGCACTCACACTAAAGCAGGCCAGCAGCTCCATCTTGCTTATACCAGAGCTGGGGTTGACAGTGGGTTCAAAGCCTGATGGGGTTGGCTGCTCCTCATCTTGTTCCAGGTATTCCCCAATCGTCCGTAGCACACTGCGCCGGCCCTCTGGGCGAAAGGCATCCCAGAAGGAGCAGTTGTCTGGGAGACTGGAGAGCAGTAGGGCCCGACCCAGCATCCCCTGGGCCTCAGCGCCCCCAGCCCCTGGACCCAAGAGGAAGGTCAGCAGGCGGAGGAGATAGTGTAGGCGTGTGGGGTGAGCAAGAGCTGGGACAGAGGACTGACAGCGTGGCAACTGGGATAGCATGCCAAGGAGGAAGGGGCCAGGGGTCAGACAGAGTGGGGATGGTCCCAGTGGTGGCAGAGAGGGCAGAAGGGGGCCCAGCAGCCCTTCTAGGAAGCAAGTGTCATTGCCCCCACGACTTATCCTGCATTGGCCTGCTAGCCAAGGCCAGAAGGGCACCAGGACCTCATACATGGTGTCATTGGCACAGACCATCACCAGGAAGCTGCCCCCATCCGGGCAGCGTTCCCCACAGGGTCCAATGTGGCATGGTGGGGAGGCAGTGACATCTGGGGTGGGGCCCTGGCACACATGCTGGACCCAAGCCTGGTTGCTGGGGGGCACAGCCTGTAGACTTGCCTCCCCACACAGTCGCTCAGCCCACAGAGTCTCATTCTCCAAGAAGCAGCCCCAAAAGATGTCTGGGGTGAGGGGAACAGGGGGCAGGCCTTCAGGGCAGCTGGTAGGGGGTGGGAGCAGGCCAGCACAGAGCCGCTTCACCAGGCGGCGGTTGGAGCCAGACAGGGCTGAAAAGGAGAGGTTACTGCAGATCGCATCCAAAAACTCATCAGGAAACTGGTCGTGGCAGGCCTGTAGCCAGCCTTGGGCACCTGGTGCCCAGGACACTGCATACCACACAGCTGTCTGGCAGATGGCAGTGGTGCTGGGATGGGGCTGTGGAGTGGCAGGCTTGGTGTGCTGGCAGAGCAAGTGGATGGAGAAGTTGGAAATGCTGTAGGGTGGTGCTGGGCCTAAGTGGTTCTCACAGAGGGCCTCCACAGTGATGGCTCGCCGTTGGCGTGGGCTGATGTGGGCTGACGGCTGAGAAGCTCTGGGCAGAGGCACGCCCGTGCTCAGGCAGTGAAGGAGGGCAGGGGGTGGGGGTGGTGATCCAGACAGAAAGCCCAGCGCCTGGACATCCCAGGAAAGGTTGTGCCGGACGCCCCTGGGTGCAGAGGGAGGAGCAGGCAGGATCTGGTCAGTTCACATTTCCTCCAGCTGAAGATTCTGACCCTGACTCAGAGCCCTCAAGGGGCATGGCAAGCATAGGCTTTTCTACAAGCGAGGTCCCTGAGAGTTTAGGCGTTACTGGTTGAAATGCTGCAACGGGGCAAAAAAGAGAAAGCTGCCCTGCCAAGGTCCAAAATCACCTAGGAGAAGCCCCAGTTGGAATTCTTTCTGTCCACCTGGCCCCCTTCTGTCTCCTTTCTTCATATGCTTTTAGATAGCTTAAACACAACCCTCAGCGGGCCTCATGTTAGGAAATCTGCTCAGCAACTCAATATGTCTAACTACTGTCTGGCATTGTTGTACTGAAGTAGTAAGGGGGTAGAGGAATCCAGCTGTGTCCTTATTTTCCAAATCCCATCTTTACTAGCTAACATTATTAAGCGCTATGTGCCAGCACGGTTTTAAGTCGTTTGCATACACAGTATCAACTCATTTAACCGGGTGCAACAACTCTGTGGTAACTAATATTATCATTCTCATTTTATAAATGGGGAAACTGAGGTATAGAAAGACTATGTAACCTGCTCAAGGTCATATGGCTAGGAAGAGGTGGAGCTGGGACACCAACCCAGACAGTCACACCCCAAAACCACTAAACTACACTCCTCCCATCAGTTTTCCTCTCTAGAGGCTGAGGTCTTCAGCTCTTCACCTCCAGATTTTCCAGGCCCAATCCCTCAGAACTGGTCTCCTGTTACTTACCATAAGAGCAGCTGTTGAAGGTTACCTAGGAGGGAAAGAGTAAGGAAGAAAACTACCCCAATTTCACTTTCCTTGCCCTGCCACATCCCAGTCCCAGCCCTGGCCACACTCACCTCCCTGGCACTGCCCATTGGTATCAGGCTCTGGCTGCCCCAAAATGGAGAAGACCTCATCCTGCAGGGAGTGAGTGACACGGAGCAGCCCCTCCTGAAAGGCAGCATAGAGGGGGGCCCCCACTGTGCGTAGCAGACCGCCCCAAAGAGCCTCCTTGGAGCCTAGCTCCCCTGTTGGGGTAAGCAAACCCAACAGACCCTGCAAAAAGTGAGGAGCTGCCTCCCTCCCATCGAGGCCTGTGGCATTGGTGGGGTCCACACTGGGCTGCACCTGCACCAGAGCTTGCCAGCGTGTGCCCTCTAACAACAGCAGCAGAGAAGGCAACCAGTCAGCAGCCAGGACACAGTCAGACGGCCCATCACGGGTGCATGGGGGCTGAGTTGGGGTAGGGGGGCCCCCAGGAACTAAGGCTCCCAGCAGCACCTCCACAAGTCCACCCAGCACCCCTGCCTGGTGCACCAGGAAATCTCGGGGAGTCTGCTCCTGTCCCAGCAGTGCCAGCATATCCCCTAGCAGCCCTAGCATTGGCTCCCAGTCGGGGCTACCTCTCAGTGTCACTAGAAAATCATGGAGCCGCAGAGCAGGCGGCTGGAGAGGTGGGGGCTCTCCTACTGGTCCTTCCCCCATTCTCCCAGGCTCAAAGGAAGAAGAAATGTTGGCCAGGAATGTAAAGAACCGTGAGCGGCTCAGGGAGCCCTGGGGAGCCTGGTCCAGAGTGGAGAGCAATGACTTCAGGAAGGAGAGACCAGGGTCCAGGGAATGAGGCCCAGTAGGGGCCAGAGTCACTGTAAGGAGAGAAACCAGAGGTCACTGAAGGAGAGGAACACAGAGCCCAAACTCAACCCTGCCCCTGAGCACAGTTCCCTACCTGGATCTAAAGATGAGGTGAGGGGATGGTGAGCTGAACCCCTTTCACTGGCCTACAGTAAGTCTTGGCCTGCTTTTCTTAACCCTCATTTTTCCCTTTTGCACAAGTCTCTGCCTCTCTCCTTTGTCCTTCTATCTAACAGGTTCACCTCCATATTCTTAAAGTCTTTTTCCAGCCACCCTCCTCCTCATCCCCAGTTCTGCTCACTGTTCTTCTTACCTGCAAAGGACAGCAGCAGCAGCAGCAGCAGCAGCAGCAGCAGGGGCCAGAGGCTGAGAGCCATGTTTCCAAGTGAACACTGGTACCGGAGGTGAGTTCTGGTTATTCTCACCTGTGTGGGATAGCCAGGTGAGGGCAGGGCACTGCAGGCAACCTGAGGCTCCACTGACACTGTAGTGTGGTCTTTCAGGAAACAATATGTGTAACCTGACAGCAGGTTTGTTACCTGAGCCGCTGAATATCTGATCCTTTAGCTCTGGAGAAGGGTATGCTTCTGTGAGAGGGACTAATGATAGGGGATCCCAGGGGCCCCTCAGAGAAACCCAAGGAGATTGCTTGAGTTAGGAGCCAGTGATGCAGAAAGGAACAGGCAGACATGGAGATGGAGAACTGGAGACCAGGGGTGTAATCTGGGGTTCTGCAGAAGCAAAGAAAACAAAGAGGATATGAAGGAGCTAAGAAGCAAGTAGGATTTGAGGAAATTGAAGAAGAAATGACGCCCAGGAGAAACAAACTGCACAGCAAGGTATAAACAGACGAGAGGTCCAGTCCAAGGATGGAGAATTCAGGAAGAGGAGAGCTGCTTTCAACTACTACCCAGAACCACAGAGTGTCAAGAGCTGAGCAGTACCCCAGAGATCACATACACCAAACTTTTTCACTTATGGATAAGGAAACAGACCCAGAGAAATGTGATTTGCTCATTAGGCCATTCAAATGTTTGGGTCTTTCCTTCCCCCTCCGGGATCCCCTATCATTTGGTTCTTTCTCTGTGGCCTAGTAGGTAAAAGCCCCATCAAAAACTCTGAGCTGAGAAGACAGAAACCAGATTTAAATCACTATGCACAGGGACTGATCTCCCTACACACAGAATTGCTCATGGAACAGAGAGAGAAAGAGATGTCATTCAAAATAATCTGGTCTGGTCAGGGTTAGAAGTCTTTTTTGTTGTTGTTTTTGTTTTTTGTTTTTTCCAGGGGATGGTTTGAGATGTAATCTCTCTCTGTTGCCCAGGCTGGAGTGCAGTGGGGCTATCTCACCACCGCAACCTCTTCCTTCCGGGTTCAAGCGATTTTCCTGCCTCAGCCTCCCAAGTAGCTGGGATTACAGGCACGTGCCACCACACCCAGCTAATTTTTGTATTTTTAGTAGAGATGGGGTTTCACCACGTTGGCTAGGCTTGTCTTGAACTGACCTCAAGTGATCTACCCACCTCAGCCTCCCAAAGTGCTGGGGTTACAGGCGTGAGCCACAGCGCCTTTTTTTTTTTTTTTTTTTTTTTTTTTGAGATGGAGTCTCACTCTGTTACGCAGGCTGGAGTACAGTGGCACTATCGGCTCACTGCAATTTCTGCCTCCTTGGTTCAAGCAATTATCCTGCCTCAGCCTCCCAAGTAGTTGGGGGACTACAGGCATGCGCCACCATGCATGGCTAATTTTTGTATTTTTTGTGGAGATGGGGTTTCACCATGTTGCCCAAGCTGGTCTTGAACTCCTGACCTCAAGTGATTCATCCACCTTGGCCTCCCAAAGTGGTGGGATTACAGGCTTGAGCCACTACCCCAGGCCAGGGTTAGAAGTCTTTTCCATTCTCCATCTATATCTCCCCAAAGGCCTTCACTTTACACCAACTCTAAATAGCAATTCAACACTGAAGCTATACCCAAACTTTTATTCTGTCCTTCTTTCCCTAGAAACCTTCCCCATTCTCTCCCTCAAATCCACACATGGAACTTCATTATTAATGTGCTTCTGACCTAGAAGATTCACTTAGGATCACAGAGTTTTATTTTTGTGTATTTATTTACTTAGAGACAGGGTCTTGGTCCATGGCCCAGGCTGGAATACTGTGGTATGATCCTAGCTCACTGCACCCTCAAACTCCTGGACTCAAGCAATCCTCCTGCTTCGGCCTCCCAGGATCACAGAAGAGACCTGAGGAATCCTCTGGTAAGAACTTCTCATTTTATAGACAGGGGAATTGAAGCCCAAAGAAATGGAATGACTTAACCCAGGTCACAAAGACAGCTGGGAGCAATGATGGGATTTTCCAAGGCAAATCAAAAGTTGAGATCAGTGAAATGATCTGTTGTGTAATTTTACCAATATTCCCTTTGCCCATCAAGGATACCACATCTAGTCTAAAAAGCAGACAGATGAATCCGAGGGAGAATACGACCTGAGTTCCCAACAGCTTTGTGGTTCCAGCCCATCCTGTAATCCTTCTGAATTTCTGCCCTTCATTCTGTAACAACTCTCTTATAACAAATTATCCTTCTTTCCTCATAGGGTAGCAAAAAATGAGATGGTCTAGGTTCAAACCCTGGTTCCAACATTTACTAGCTGTGTGTCCTGGGGCAGTTTCTAAATCTCTGTTTTTGGTTTTTTGGGTTTTTGTTGTTGTGGTTGTTGTTGCTGTTGTTGTTTTTACTGTAAAAAGGAAAAAACCCTAGTGTAGAGTTTTTGTGAGGATTAAATTAGATAATGCATTTAAAGTACTTAGTGCAATGTCTAGCATTCATTCAACAAAGATTAAGCACTTATTATGGGCCAGACACTGGTACAGAATAAACATTCACTCTATGTTACTATTACTATTATTAGAATAGCTCAAGATGATTTTCTCTACTCGAAACTAAAGGAGTTCTAATGAATACATAAATGATTATCTGGAAGTTGTATCTTGAGTGAAAGACCTTCAGAACAAATATGGAACTAGTTGAGTCAACCAGAGAGAGAAACAATGAGGATTCCCTCAACTCAGGATGGAAATTTTCCTGGCAGTCCACGTTCTGCTGTTGTAAGCCGTTGATTAAGCAATTCTCTTGCCGCTAAGGATTCAGACTATGTGCAAACTGATGGCGAAGTGCTTAGGGTTTATGGCAAATATCCCAGGCTATTTGAGTGTATTGGTTATTGCTTATAATTTGACAAAGTTCAACAAGAGCGAGACAAGTTCCAACCTGCAGATGACCAAATGGAAACAGAGAACAACCAGCAAATTTAAATTACAAAGGTCCAGAACAAGAAATTAATCATATGTCCTGCTAAAATGAAATGGATAAGACTGGTGATAACTGGAACACTCTGTGATCTGCCAGTTAGAATGGGTATACCTGGGAAGAGCCACAGGAGTTGAGAACTCTGAAACATCCTCACTCCCCAAAACTCCCACAGGATACTCTCTGCCTGACAAGAACAGATACCTCCCTAACCGGTTGCGGTGGCTCACGCCTCTAATCCGAGCACTTTGGGAGGCTGAGGCAGGCAGATCATGAGGTCAAGAGATTGAGACCATCCTGGCCAACATGGTGAAACCCTGTCTCTACTAAAAAATACAAAAAATTAGCTGGGCATGGTGGCATGTGCCTGTAGTCCCAGCTACTCGGGAGGCTGAGGCAGAAGAATCGCTTGAAACCGGAAGGCAGAGGTTGCACTGAGCCAAGATCCCACCACTGCACTCCAGCCTGGGCAACAAGAGGGAAACTCTATCTCAAAAAAAAAAAAACAACAAAAAAGAACAGATGCCTCCTTTTTTTTTTGAAACTGAGTCTCACTCTGATACCCAGGCTGCAGTGCAGTGATGTGATCTCAGCTCACTGCAACCTCCACCTCCTGGGTTCAAGCAATTCTCATGCTTCAGCCTCCTGAGTAGCTGGGATTATAGGTGTGTGCCACCACGTCCAGCTGATTTTTTGTGTTTTTAGTAGAGACAGGGTTTCCCCATGTTGCCCAGGCTGGTCTCAAACTCCTGGACTCAGGCAATTCACTTACTTCGGCTTCCCAAGTGCTTGGATTACAGGCGTGAACCACCATGCCCAGCCAGATGCCTCTCTTTGTAAAGTACAATTATTTTTCTCTTTTTTTGGTTTGGCTTTGGTAACTGAAATATTTATTGCTTACTAGATATCTAGGTGTTTTTCACATTTCCCAGGTCTCTTGCAGTTAGCTGGGCTCAGGTGATTAGTTCTGTTCAATGGACTGTGGTTGAACAAAGAATTTAAGAGCTAGCAAATGAGCCTCCAACAATCTCTTCCCTGTTGAGGCAACCTAGAAACCACATGTTGAGATGGCAGTGTCACAAGGTCAAAATAGCCCGAGGCTCCAAATTACCACAGCATTTACAGTCAGTCTTTGTCATTTGTGAGTTCTGTATTTGTGGATTTGCCTAGTCACTAAATGTTTGTAACCCAAAATCAATACTTACAGTGCTATTGAGGTCATTCACAGACTTGTATTGAGAGGTGACAAGTTGGAGTCACCTGATATACACGTTCCCAGCTGAGGTGGAACAAGGCAGTGCTCTGCCTTCTTGTTGCAGCTCTCATGGTGTAAATATTAGTGTCTTTTTTTTTTTTTTTTTTGAGACGGAGTCTTGCTGTGTCACCAGACTGGAGTGCAGTGGCGATCTCAGCTCACTGCAACCTCCGACCCCCTGGTTTAAGTGATTCTCCTCCCTCAGCCTCCCGAGTAGCTGGGATTACAGGCATGTGCCACCACCCCCAGCTATTTTTTGTATTTTTAGTAGAGACGGGGTTTTACCATGTTGGCCAGGATGGTCTCAATCTCCTGACCTCATGATCCGCCCACCTTGGCCTCCCAAAGTGCTGGGATTACAGGCGTGAGCCACCGCGCCCAGCCAGTGTCTTTTTTGAGCTCTATCTAGTGATGCACTTTTTGTGTTTTGGGGCTGTTTGTTGGTGATTTCACCGTTTAAAATGGCTCCTAAGCTTAATGCCAAAGTGTTGTGTGGTGTTCTTAATAGCAAGAAGGCTGTAAAGTGCCTTATAGAGAAAATGTATGCTAGAAAAGCTTCATTCAGGCCAGGCACGGTGGCTCACGCCTGTAATCACAGCACTTCAGGAGGCAAAGGAGCGGCGGATTACTTGAGGCCAGGAGTTTAAGACCAGCCTGGCCAACATGGCAAAAAACCCATCTCTACTAAAAATACGAAAATTAGCCAGGTGTGGTGGCGTGTGACTGTAGTCCCAGTTACTTGGGAGGCTGAGGCACGAGAATCGCTTAAACCCAGGAGGCGGAGGTTGTAATGAGCAGAGACTGTGCCACTGCACTGCAGCTTGGGCGACAGAGTGATACTCCGTCTCAAAAACGTCAGAAGAGACTAATTTGAGTAATAATAGTAAAACTCCAGTCTCCTGCACAGCCAGCTCTGTGTGGGAAAAAGAAAGAAAGAGAGAAGGGGCAGGGGAGAGAGGGAGAGGGAAGGAAGGAAGGGAGAAAGGAAGAAAGGAAGGAAAGAAGGAAGGAAGGAAAGGAGGGAGGGAGGGAAAAAAGGAAGAAAAGAAAAAAAGAAAAGGGAAGAAAAGAAAAAGTCAAGAGGGTATATCTGTGTAGTGTTTTGGGGGAAAAGGGAAGGAGGGAATATTCATCAAATACCTATGAAGCAGTGCCTTATGAATCTTTTTTTTTTTTGCAACCTCTGCCAGCCAGGTTCAAGCTATTTTCCTGCCTCAGCCTCCTGAGTAGCTGGGATTACAGGCGCCTTACACCGCCCCCAGCTAATTTTTGTAGTTTTACTAGAGACAGGGTTTCACCATGTTGGCCAGGCTGGTCTTGAACTCCTGACCTCATGATTCACCTGCCTCGGCCTCCCAAAGTGCTGGGATTACAGGCGTGAGCCACCACACCCGGCTGTTCTGAATCTTTTATGTGCAGCTACATCACCTGATTCAATAGGCCTGGGGAATGGGGCCTGAGATTCTTTTTCCTTTTTTTTGGTTGGAGTTCAGTGGTGTGATCTCAGCTTACTGCAACCTCCACCTCCCGGGTTCAAGCAATGCTCCTGCCTCAGCCTCCTGAGTAGCTGGGATTACAGGTGTGTGCCACCACGCCCAGCTGATTTTTGTATTTTTAGTAGGGACAGGGTTTCACCATGTTGGTCAGGCTGGTCTGGAACTCCTGACCTCGTGATCCACCCACCTCTGCCTCCCAAAGTGCTGGGATTACAGGCGTGAGCCACCATGCCCGGCCTCTATACTTATTTTTTTAATTATTTTTTAGTCTCTTGCTAGTGAGAGATTCTACACTTCTAACAAATGACCAGATGAGGCCAATTCTGCTCATCTTCAGGCCACACTTTGAGCAAAACTATTCAAGAGCATCTCCTTTGTGGATAATATATGTAAGATTTATGATATAATGCTTCCTTATTCTGTTTTATGATGTTTATTGTATTCTGATTGACAAGTTCAATGGATGATGCTCCAGTCCAGCTCTTTTTTTTTTTTTTTTTTTTTTTTGAGACAGAGTTTCTCTCGTTGACCAGGCTGGAGTGCAGTGGTGCGCTCTCGGCTCACTGCAACCTCCACCTCCCGGGTTCAAGCAATTCTCCTGCCTCAGCCTCCCAAGTAGCTGGGATTACAGGCACCCACGACCACGCCCAGCTAATTTTGTATTTTTAGTAGAGATGGGGTTTCACCATGTTGGCCAGGCTGGTCTTGAACTCCTGACCTAAGGTGATCCACCCGACTCGGTCTCCCAAACTGCTGGGATTACAAGCATGAGTCACCACACCTGGCCCAATTCAGTGTTTTTAAATATATTACATTGTTGAACTATTCAAGGCTATCTAATTCCAGAACATTTCCATCACCTGCCAAATAAACCCTATACCTATCATCTGTCAGTCTCAATTCCTCCCTCCCCAACCCCCAAGAAACCACTAATCTACTTTCTGTCTTCATAGATTTGTTTATTCTGGACATTCAATTCATTTGCCTTTTCCCCATCTTGGCCTTTTTGCCAGACATACTCTTAGGTGAGGACTTTATAATTACCACCCTATTGCCCCCTTCCATCTCTTCCCCACTTGGGTAGCAGCCCTTACGTAAGGTTGGGTGTTACTGACCTTACCTCCAGTTCAGGAGAAAGCCTTAATTAGTGATTTCATCACATCCACCACCTTACCTCAACAATTTGTTCAGACGTAAGCATATGACCTAACTTCTTGGTGCAATCAGAGTGGTGGTCAGGATATCTTTAGAGGAGTGGAGGTTGACTTACCTACAGTTAATGCCCAAATTTTAAGTGTACATTTTGTTGAATTTTTACATCTGTATATACCGGTGTAACCACCATGCAGATCAAGATATGGAACATATCTATAGCACTCCAGATGCTTCATGCTTCCTCCCCATCAGTATCTTCACTCCAAGAATAACCATTATTGTGACCCAAAGCTCAAAAATTTTGTTCATTGACTGAGAAAGGAGTCACTGGCTCTCTTCCCCTGCATATGGGGAAATAGGTATGCAAGCCTAGGCGCTTCAGAAAATTGTCTGGCTACCCAAGTGAAGCCAGTCTGAGAATAACAAGAACACGTGGAGGAGAGCGCAGACAGGAAAATTCCAGAGAAACAAAACCACAGATCTAACAACAGTGAATTTTTACATTAAATCAATCCTGAAGCTATACTACCTTTGAATTTTCCAGTCTCCAGTAAGCTATTTTATTGTTTAAATGGCTTCAACTGATTTTTTTCTCAACTCAGAATTTTTAACCTGAGTTAGAACCTTAGCTCTACCTCTTACTTGGTATGTGCTCTTGGGCAAGCTACTTAACTTACTTAATTTCTTTAGGCCTTAGTTTTCTGATCTCTAAAAATGTGACGCTATCTTCCATATATGATTATTTTATGAAATATGCATACTCTATATACAGTATATATATACTAAATATATAAATATCCTCATACATGTTAAACACTCAATAAGTGATATAATTTTTAATAATAAACATGTCTAAAGACTTAAGTCTTCTAACGATGGAATGGGATCCCTTCTAGATAATAAATCCCAAATAACTAGAAACATTAAGCATTACCTGGATAATCCTCCTTTCAGTGATGTTCTAAAAGGTGTTCCTGCTTTGATGGGAGATAGATTAACTCTGAAATCCCTTCTAAC
This sequence comes from Homo sapiens, assembly GCF_000001405.40. Taxonomy (NCBI): domain Eukaryota; kingdom Metazoa; phylum Chordata; class Mammalia; order Primates; family Hominidae; genus Homo; species Homo sapiens. The sequence continues at coordinate 43,726,045 of NC_000015.10, forward strand.
ACTAAAAACCTGTACAACACTTACTGATTTGAGCACTGCCCTGAGCAATGGCAAAATGAAATAAAGAGACTTTCGGTCCAGAAACAGGTAAAAATAATATCCAATTAAAGTTAATGGTTCACAAGAGAAGCAACATGAGTAGAACACGCAATGGAAACAATACTTCTCAATTAGTTACACTAACAGCTCTGAAGATCTCCTTACTCCACAGAGGGGCCTTTACCTATGCATCAGGGAGGGAGAGGGTAAAATTAGGACTCTAATCAGGCAGTAGAGGTTGCAGGAAGGGTGGAAGCTATAATGATAAAGTCAAGAAATGAGTCAGATTCAGGAGCTGTGGAAAGGGTAGAAAGCTAAGGAGCACAGACTCCGCTGGCATCTGAGCTAACTTGTTTTGTTCTTTTTTAGAGATATGGTCTTGCTATGTTGCCCAGGCTGGAATGCAGTGGTATGATCCTAGCTTGCTGCAGCCTCCAACTCCTGGCCTCAAACAATTCTGCCTCAGCTCATAGCTGGGACTAGAGGCACACATCACCACACTCAGCTTGAACTAACTCTTTTGCTTGACTTTATGCCTTTCAATATCCCTTATCCCAGAGGCAGACTACTGAGCAGCTACTAGGAGCATCTATTAGACACTTATAAATATATATATATATATATATATATATATATATATATATATATATATATATTTTTTTTTTTTTTTTTTTGAGACCGAGTCTCACTCTGTTGCCCAGGCTGGAGTGCAGTGGTGCGATCTTGGCTCACTGCAACCTCTGCCTCCCAGGTTCAAGTGATTCTCCTGCCTCAGGCTCTAGAGTGGCTGGGATTACAGGCATCTGCCACCACACCTGGCTAAATTTTTTTTTTGTATTTTTTAGCAGAGACAGGGTTTCACCATGCTGGCCAGGCTGGTCTTGAACTCCCGAACTCAGGTGATCTATCCGCCTCGGTGTCCCAAAGTGCTGGGATTACAGGCGTGAGCCACCGCGCCCGGCCTAGACACTTATACTTTTTAATTTTAATGAACAGATATTGTTCTATCTGAATGTTTATATTTTCAATTCTCTATTTCCAACAATTCCCTTCATTATCTTTTGCTGGGCCCAAGGATATTGAAGCCATCCATTGCTTTACTTGTCTTCCAAGTTCATCAGTGCCTGCACTGCAAAGGAAACAGATTGTGAGGCTGGAGAGCTAAGAATATTCTACATATATAAATGTTTGGTGAAGACCTTGCTTTTCTGGGTTCCAGGTTCCCACAAAAGTCTTTATTAATCTTTTAATTAAGCCTTATGATTCTGTGTACTCTTTGCCATAGACAAGTTTATCAGGATTAAAGAAACTACCTTGCTGCATTTTCCTCCTTTTCACCCTGTCCTCCCTAGAGAATAAGTGGGAAGGCAGGGCTAAGAATGACTAGAAGGAACAGGATTAAATTTAGGCAACATTGTGAAGTAAGCAAAGCCTGTCTTTCACATCTTGCCCTAAATTCCATGTTCCAATATTATAAATTCCTCATTTCCCACCTGTGCCCACCACACACAAACACACAGTCCTCCTCTCTAATTTCTTATTTTCAAACTGAGTTGATTTCAACTAGATATGAGGGGGAAACCCCAGATAACACATATTAAATTGTAAAAATCTGCCCTTAACTGTTCTGTTTTTGCTTTGTTTTGAGACAGAGTCTCGTTCTGTTGCCAGGCTGGAGTTCAGTGGCGTGATCTCCGCTCACTGCAACCTCCGCCTTCCAGGTTCAAGCAATTCTCATGCCTCAGCCTCCTGAGTAGCTGGGACTACAGGCATGTGCCACCAGGCCCGGCTGATATTTTGTATTTTAGTAGAGACAGGGTCTCACCATGTTGGCCAGGATGATCCTGATCTCCTGACCTCGTGATCTGCCCACCTCAGCCTCCCAAAGTGCTGGGATTACAGGCATGAGCCGCCGTGCCCAGCCTTTTTTTTTCCTTTTAGAGGGAAATTGTATTAATCCAAATTAGTCAGAGAGTAATGAAATTTAGGAAAAATAATTTTGGATAGTTCTCAGTTTACATCAAACTCTACTATTTAAATCACATATTTATCTTTATAGAGGCTGACACTAGAAGGGGCAGATACAAGCAGAAGTTTAGAATTCATAAACCTCTTTAGGGAGTTAGGACAGTGAGCACTTGTGGGCATCCTGCTCATTGTCTGATCCCCCATAGCTCTCCAGCTTGAGGCTTAGGCCCTGCTGCTCAAGTCTGAAATGCAATCTTCAGAGAGAACAAACGTGCAGAAACTGGTGGGCTGCCCAAATCAAGCAAGAGCCTACCTTGTCCTAATTCCCAACAACTGGGATTAGACTTTCTCTTCTTGGGAAATAAGCTCTCATACCTCATAGGATTTGGGTGTCCCCTGCTACAGAAGCAGAGTTTCTAGGTTCTCTCTCAGTTAGAGAAAACTGGGACACATTCCCAGAATATGACATACCAAACCAAGAATTTGCCTATTTTAGGTGTAGGCAGAAATTGAGAAGCTGAAATGCCAGAATAGTGGACACCCTCCTCCTTCTCCACAGCTATAAATGCTATATATATATTCCCATGGTCCCCATGACTGCCCTAACTCCATACCTGCAAACTCTTGTAACTTCTTATGCTCCTCTAGGTTACACTGAAGCTTTTCTAGCAACTCAAAATATCGGAAGAGTGAGTCTCTGGGCCAAACACGGTCATCCTGATCCATTTCCATTAGCCTGGGCAGATTCTCGTGCACAAGAGTTTCCCAGTCCAAATGACCTATAGGGAGGAATGCTTCAGAAAAGCATGTCTAGATTTGTAAAAGCTGGGTAAGAGCTGGTAAATCCTATGGTGTGGGTGGAAAGGTGGAGTGGAAAGAGGTAACAGGAAGCAAGGAGGGAAAGGGTGCATCAGCAAGAAACCACTTTTTACAATGAGCAAAGAGGCCACGGCCACACTTACCCAAAGCGAAGAAGAAGTACAGGGGAAATTAAGAAGCAAAAAGAAAGTAATTAAGACCAGAAAATTGGAAAGGAGATATAGTAGGAGAGCTCCTGTTAAGACTAAGATGTCTTAAAGAGGAGTCTGAATTCAAATGGAAAAAACTCATTATTATAGTTCTTCGGCTCACCAATAGATTCAGAAAATCTGGATTCAGAAGAGGAAGAATAGGAAGAGGATGTGGATGAGACACAGGAGGAAGACTGGTACTCTCTTTTTTGACAAGGTCTCTTCTGTTTTTGATGCAGATGTTATTAAATCCTCTTCAGTGGCACCATAATTAGACTCTACTTCAGACACTTCTGATAAGTCCAAACTTTCCCTTTGTTGACTAGCTCCTCTTGAACTTAAAGAAGAAATTTATGGCTTCACAAACATTTACAAGATATGACTAGTCCACTCATTATTCTGGTTCTGCCCCTGGCCACCCCCTAAAGCTGGGGCATAAGACAATGAGGGCCAAACTACTCCCAAACTCTAAACTCAGGCACTTCCAACCTCAATCATTCATGTGTCATCCTTAACTCTTCTCTTCCCTCCCATATCCAGTCCATCAAGAAATCCTGCTGACTCTACCTTCGAAATATATCTTTTCTCAATAACTCACTGCCACCACTCTGGCCTAAGCTGTCATCATTTCTTGCCTGGGCAGCAGCATAGCCTCCCAGCTGATCTCTCTGCTCCTTCCCTTGTTCTTCTATCAACACAGCAACCAGAGTAATCCTTCTTAAACGTAAGTCACTTCATGTCACCCCTCTGTTCTGCTTGCCATTTCAAAGTCCCTACAATGGCACCCATAACCCTACAGGATCAGGTCACCATTCTCTCTCTGACTTCATTTCCCAGCACTCTTCCCCCTGCTCACTCTACTCCAGTCACAATGGCCTCTTTGCTGTTTCTCAAACACACCAAGCATGCATCCAGCTTAGGAGCTTTGCACTAGCTGTTTCATCTGCCTATTAACACTCTTCTTACAGATATCCACATGGTAATCCCTTTACCTCCTTCGAGTCTTTGCTCACATTACCTTTTCAATGAGGTCACCGTGACTACCCTGTTTAAAACTACAACCCATCTGCGGCTGGGCACGATAGCTCACGCCTGTAATCCTAACACTTTTGGAGGCTGAGGCGGGTGGAGTGCCTGAGCTCAGGAACTTGAGACCAGCCTGGGCAACATGGTGAAACCTCGTCTCTACTAAAATACAAAAAAATAAACAAATAAATTAGCCAGGCATGGTGGCAGGCACCTGTAGTCCCAGCTATTTGGGAGGCTGAGGCAGGAGAGTCGCTTGAACCCAGGAGGCGGAGGTTGCAGTGAGCCGATATATCGTGCCACTGCACTCCACAGCCTGGTGACAGAGCGAGACTCTGTCTCAAGAAAAAAAAACTACAACCCATCTGCAATCCCACCTTATACTCCCAATCTCCCTTAACCTGTTCTACTTTTAACTTTCCCATAATGCTTATCATATTTTAACAGATTACTTAATATATTCACTGCTTATTATCTCTTTACCACTACTAATATGTAAGCTCCATGAAGCAGGCATTATTGTCTATTTTGTTCACTGATAACATCCCAAGCACCTACTAAGTATTCAATAATTATTTGTTCTTTATTGTTTTTGTTTGTTTTTTTTGAGACAGGGTCTTGCTCTGTCACCCAGGCTGCAGAGCAGTGGCACAATCACGGCTCACCACAGCCTCAACCTCTCAGCTCAAGCAGTCCTCCCACCTCAGCCTCCTAAGTAGCTGGGACCACAGGAACACACCACCACATCCAGCTAATTTTTGTTCGCAGAGACAGGATTTTGCCATATTACCTAGTTTAGTCTTGAACTCCTGAGCTCAAGTCATCTGCCCACCTCAGTTTTCGAAAATGCTGGTATTATAGGCATGAGTGCCCATGCCCACCCTGCTAAATTTTTGAGATGGGATCTTGCTCTGTTGCCCAGGCTGGAGTATAGTGGTGCAATCATGTCTCAATGCAGCCTTGAACTTCTGGCTTGAACTTCAAGCAATCCTCTTGCCTTCACCTCTCAAAGTGTTGGGATTACAAGTGTAAGCCACCACATCCACCCAGTAATTATTTGTTAATGAGTGAATGAGTTTACTTCTGCTTCTGCTTTTTTTGTCCACTGCTAAACACTTGGGGTCTAGAATCATATCTGTTTCATGGAAGGTATTTGTATTAGTGTCCTGTGGCTGCCATAACAAATTACTATAAACTTGGTAGCTTAAAATGACAGAAATATATTCCGTCACAATTCTAGAGGCTAGAGTCTGAAATGAAGGTGTTGGCAGGGCCATATTCCCTCTGGAGGCTTTAGGGGAGAAGTTCCTTGCCTCTTCTACCTTCTGGCAGCTGCCTGGCATTCCTCAGCTTCCCTTGGCTTGTGGCGGCATTAACCCTAACCTCTATCTCCGTCTTCACATCGCCTTCTCCTATTCTCTGTGTCTTCTCCTCTTTCAACTCTTATAAGTACCCTTGCCATTGGATTTAGGACCTACCTGGATAATCTAGGATGATCTCATCTCAAGATCCTTAACTTAGGATCTTTTTTTTTTTCCAAATAAGGTCACATTCACAGGTTCCAGGGAGCAAAGACATGGACATATTATTTCGGGTGCCACTAGTCAACCTACTACAATATGCAGTTATTAAATGAATGAATTATCTCTCAAAGCCAATCTTCATCTTTAGTTTTCCACCCTCTCCTCCTTCATGTGTTTCTATCCCAGTTCACATACATACTCCTAACCTGGCATCTATTTTGCTGTGGCTTGACCTCAGTGCCTCACGTGACATGTTTTTTTCTCCTGCAAAGCAAAAAAAAAAAAGAAAAAAAAAAGAAAAAAGAGCAAAGACAGTTATATTCAAGCAAAAGTGTGGTAAGAAAAAAAGAGTTCATATCAGAAAGTGAAGAAAACTAATTGGGGAGAACAAATTGTAGTCACGGGGTGAAAAAAATGGAGGACTCCCCACAGTGGATGAAGAATCAGGCAATATTCTAGAGCTGGAGAATTCTTATCCTTGGGGGCAAATCTACTGTCACAAAGGGAAAAGTGGGGTCAAGGAGCAGAAACAAGAAATGAGCTCAGGAAACCCTTGAGAAGGAAAGTTGGGGTTGAAAAGGGAGAAGTAGATCTCTGGATGATCTGCCGCTTGAACATATCAGCTTTGAGCTGAACCTCCTGACATGCCATCTCCTCATGCAGCTCTTTCCTGATATTCTGCAAGTTAATGACTTCCCCAAAGGGCCATTAGGAGCTGGGAGATGGTAATGACTAGACTTGGGAAGAGGGCTTGGGTGGGGAGAATCCAAGTGAAATATCCAATCCAGAACCCAAGCCTTCCTGCTACACTAGGTTCTTTATACCCATAAGCCACCAATCCCAGCTTTCAGAATAACTTTTTCCCAACCACACTTCCCAAACAAGTTTCACCTCCTCTATGCTTACCCATCATGGCTACTATGATACTTCGAAAGATAATGGAGCCAAGCAACAACCAAAGGATGAAATAGATGCTGCTGAAGATGCGACTGACTTCAGGCACCTTCCAGACGTCCTGAAGCAGTGCATACCAATGATCCAAGGTGAAGAGAATGAACACTGTTACCAGGGAATTCGGGAGGTCCCTAAAGAAAAAAGCATGTGAATAGACGGAAGCAGAGACCTAAACCTTTCAAAAATGGTATCATTCCTACTTTCAAAGAAACATAAAGCATTTCTTTGTAGTTTGTTCTGATTTTGGCTCCTTTTCTACCATACTGTTTTTAGCTAATCATTCTTGTTTGAAGTTGTTTTATTTTAATTTAATTTAATTTAATTTAATTTTTTTTGAGACAGAGTCTCGCTCTGTTGCCCAGGCTGGAGTGTAGTGGCACGATCTCAGCTCACTGCAACCTCCACCTCATGGGTTCAAGAGATTCTCGTCTCAGCCCCGCAAGGAGCTGGGATTACAGGCACGCACCACCACGCCCAGCTAATTTGTGTATTTTTAGTAGAGCCATCTCTACTAAACTTTTGTCATGTTGGCCAGGCTGGTCTCAAACTCCTGACCTAAGGTGATCCACCAGTCTCAGCCTCCCAAAATGCTAGGATTATAGGCGTGAGCTACCACACCCAGCCTAAATTCTCCTTTATCATGAATAATCTGTGACTACCTCTCACTACTCCATTAGTCCTGGGGTATAATAAATAATAAATAGGTATTGACTGAATTTTTTAAAGATGAATGAATTTTTAAAGATCAATTTTTTAAAGATGAATGAATCACCAACTAGATAGTTTTCTAATTTTTTTTTCTTTTTTTGAGACAGAGTCTCACTCTATCATCCAAGCTGGAGTGGCGTGATCTCAGCTCACTTCAACCTCTGCCCCCCAGGCTCAAGTGATTGTCTTGACTCAGCCTCCCGAGTAGTTGAGATTACAGGTGTGCACCACCATGCCCAGCTAATTTTCATATTTCATATTTTTAGTAGAGACAGGGTTTCACCATGTTGGCCAGGCTGGTCTTGAACTCCTGACCTCAAGTGATCTATCTGCCTGCCTCCACCTCCCAAGGTGCTGGGATTACAGATGTGAGCCACCATGCCCAGCGGTTTTTTCTAATTTTATTCTCCACTGCTCTATGGACTCCACTTAATAGAAGATCACTCGTAAATTTAGCAAAATTTAGCAAAATTAGCAAATTTAGCAAAATAGAAGATCATTCAAAAAATTATTCCTATTAGTTTGCTGGTATGAAATGATATGCAAGTAAATGGGTATGTTACATAAACATATGTGATCCTAAATAATGAATATATACAAATTATAAAATTAATAATATTTAAAAATTGCTAAAAAAGTAAAAAGTTTCCGGGAAGGTATCTAAATTTTCCTACCTTTCTTTTTAGTTCCCCATACACAATTTATTGAAAACATCAGAGCTTGTATAGGATAAATTCTAGGACTTTCCTAACTCAATACTCTTACAAAACTATCTGTTAGAGTCTAACAGAGTCCTGAGAGGCGCTGACCAGATTGAATTATAATTCATAAGCAAGATTATCTACTCTAAATTCAAGCTGATTTTCTTCTAGAAAACACTGATTAGTGAGGTTTTGTTAATATTTAAAAAATATGTAACACTTCATAAATTTGTGTTTCATCCTTGCACAAGGGCCATGCTAATCTTCTCTATATCGTTCCAATTTTAGTACATGTGCTGCCGAAGTGAGCACTGATTAGTGTTTTCTAGACAGAGATCAGGAATAGGCGTGTGCATGTGTAATATGTAGAGATTGGGATAAAACCAGTGATCATATTTGAGAATCATAGTAACATTAATTGATCACTTATAACGTGTTACATACTGTGCTAAGTGCTTAAATGCATTACCACATTTAACCCCACACTCTTATGAAGTAGCACTGCTATTATTCCCCCCACCTTTCTTTTTTTTTGAGACAGAATTTCACTCTTTGTAGCCCAGGCTGGAGTGCAGTGGCTCAATCTCAGCTCACTGCAATCTCCGCCTCCCTAGTTCAAGTGATTCTCCTGTCTCAGCCTCCCGAGTAGCTGGGATTACAGGCACCCACCACCATGCCCAGCTAATTTTGTATTTTTAGTGGAGACAGGGTTTCACCATGTTGGCCAGGCTGGTCTCGAACTCCTGACCTCAGGTGATCCACCCGCCTTGGCTTCTCAAAGTGCTGGGATTACAGGCGTAAGCCACCATGCCCAGCCTATTTCCATTTTTCTTTTCTTTTTCTTTTTTTTTTTTTTTTTGAGATGGAGTCTCGCTCTGTTGCCAGGCTGGAGTACAGTGGCATGATCTCGGCTCACTGCAATCTCTGCCTCCCAGATTCAAGCAATTCTCCTGCCTCAGCCTCCCGAGTAGCTGGGACTACAGGTGCAAGCCACCACGCCTGGCTAATTTTTGTATTTTTGGTAGAGATGGGTTTTCACCATGTTGGCCATGATAGTCTCGATCCCTTGACCTCATGATCCACCCGCCTCAGCCTCCCAAAGTGCTGGGATTTCAGGGGTGAGCCACTGTGCCTGGCCCCCAGTTTTCAAAAGACGTAACTGAGTCACAGAAACCAAGCTCAACCACTGGAGTGTACCGCTATTTAAAGATGCCTGATGACAGTGTGGTTTGAATTTGCAAAACCCAGAATAAACATGGAACTAGCTGCCCTAACCTCAAGATCAGAGCTAATACCATTCACTGTTCTTTTGCTTTCTCTTTCCCTCTCCCTATTGTGTTCTATTTCAGTTTCTTGGAATAGACTGTACTTTTTATATTACTATACTTTGGACAAGCTTCCTGGTCTCTTAGCCAAATTTTCTCCCCTCACTCAGCTGTCACTCAGCTCTGCTTACGAGAATACATGATACTCCAGGTCCTGACGAGGTAAATGGGTGTACTCTGAGAAGACGTAGACACCAGTCACAACAAAAATGTAGAAGATGAGCAGCAACATCAAGAGGAAAGTCATGCTCTAGAGGCCATAAACTCAAGTCAGATGTGGGCCAGACTAGGCTGATCTCCACCAACAGCCCAGTCAAGCCCACCTGGCAATCTCCCACCAAACCCTCTCTTGCACTGCTGAACCCAGTCATCTCTGAACCATGGCACCTGTCCCCAGCCCCTTCTCATCCAATAACATTTCACAGGACGTTTCATTGCCTTCTTTGACCCATCCAGATTTGTTTCATATTCTTTTTTTTTTTTTTAAACGGAGTTTCACTCTGTCGCCTAGGCTGGAGTGCAGTGGAGCAGTCTCGGCTCACTGCAACTTCCGCCTCCTGGGTTCAAGTGATTCTTCTGCCTCAGCCTCCTGAGTAGCTGGGATTACAGGCACACACCACCAAGCCCGGCAATTTTTTTTTTTTTTTTTTTGGTATTTTTAGTAGAGACAGGGTTTCACCATGTTGGTCAGGCTGGTCTCGAACTCCTGACCTCATGACCCATCCCCCTCGGCCTCCCAAAGTGCTGGGATTACAGGCATGAGCCACCGCACCCGGCCAATTTGTTTCATATTCTATGTTAAGCCCTCACATTTATCTACCTTGCCCCCTGCTTTAGCTTGCAACAGTCAAATCACCTTGAGGGCCCTGACCAGGACCAAAATAATAACTCGAATTTGACGGAATTGTGCAAGGAGTTTGAGAGACCTCAGCACCCGGCAGATCCTCAGAAGCTGAAGCCACACCGATTGGCCTGTTACCCCTACCAATACCACAACCTCGGGAAGCAGGGACTGTGGAAAACACACAGGTTATAAGTAAAATACACCCCAAGGCACCCAGGCAGAATTGCAGCTTCTTCATCTTATCCTCTTCATTGTTCCCTGGGCGTTATCCTTTGAATAGCATTCTCTGAGAAGTGCTTACTATTCAGCCTTTCTATATTAAGTTGCTTAAACACTATACTTCAACTTGTTCAGATATAAAAAGGGGGATAAAATTCATGGTTATTTAATTAGGTTGTTGTGGAGCATAAATGAGATAATGTAAGGAAAACACTTAAAATAGTGCTTGGCACTTAGTAAGTGCTCAGTAACCGGCAGATGCTCTTGTTGGCATTGATGTTGTAGTTAGTCTACTTTGCTCCTAATACCAACAACTCCTGCAATGATTGATGTTTAGTTTTAGGAAAAAAAAATCAAAAGAAAGAAGTTAAGTAAATTTTTGTTTCTTCCTATTATCATGTTAACTTGTTCTTTCGATTCACCTAGGCACATTCTTCATCCCACTAAACGAACCCTCAGGATCTCTATCCTTACCAACATGGTAACAACAAAGTCAAAGACATTCCAGGCACTCTTCCAGAAAACAGAAAAGTTGGATAGCCACTTAAGAAGGATCTCCAGGATGAAAATAAGCAAGATAAACCAAGCTGCCCCCTCCAAGGTCAGCTTCAATGGCCATAGTTTGGTATTTGTGGATTCCAGCAATTCTGTGAGGATAGAGCAAAGGAGGAATAAAAGTTAAGGAAGCTGGAAACCGAATGATGGAGAATGAACACACTTATAAACCACAGTTTTGCCCACTACTGTTCCATTTTTCTTCACACTGTGTTAAGAGTTAAGAGTTTCTCTTCTTAACACTGTTGCTTCAACCTGTGAAATACAGGGAAGGACAGAATTGACCATAAAACACAGCCACAACCAATCTGTTCATATAGTTATGTCTGCCCAGCTACAAGTCACTTGCGATCCACTCTGGGGCTCACACAGCTACTAAGAGACTACTCTCTTTAATTACCCCTACCTCCAACCCCCCACCCCCATCTACTGTACTGTTATCTCAGTCCCAAAGTTCACAAGAAAGCAATGGGTCTTGAGAACAGAATGAAAATACAGGGCCATGATATCTGAACTACTTTATAACGAATGTAGAAACAAGCCACAATCATTAGGGTATATCGAATTATAACAATAAATCACTTGGTTCTGTTAGCTTTCTTTTAAAACTTTTCCTTTCTTCCCTGCCTAAAATTGGTTTTGTTCTGCAAAGCAAATTGAATGCATACTTCCTCTCTAGAACCTTATTATTTACCAATTGCTATTCCTTAATTCATTGCCTTTCTCTTTCAACCTTCTTCATCTCTTTTATACAATTAATGGATGTATGCCATGCTCTAGAAAAAAAAACACTGAAATTAAAATGGCTTAAGAGCTAAATAGAAATCAACATTGTGGTGCTCTGGCTTTAAATTCATCCTGATGCTGAACTGGATCCAGACAAAAAGAACAGAACCATACTTCGATCATCCCTAGAATTTTACAGAGGTTGGCCCCTTCTAAAAACCAATGGGGTTACACTATACTTATTCCTATGCTTGTTTTGAGACAGAGTCTCACTCTGTCACCCAGGCTGGAGGAGTGCAGTGGCATAATCACAGTTCGCGGAAGCCTGGATCTTCCGGGCTCAAGAGCCTCTGGGTAACTGGGACCACAGGCACATGTCACCATGCCCAGCTAATTTTTTCTTTAAATTACTTGTAGAGATGGGGTCTCCCTATGCTGCCCAGGTTGGCCTCAAACTCCTGGGCTCAAGCGATCCTCCGGCCTTGGTCTCCCAAAGTGCTGGGGTTATAGGCATGAGCCACTGCACCCAGCACTCCTATGCTTATTTAGGCTCTGTACTTCTTCCGTAAGTTTTTCTTTCATGCACATTTCTCTAAGATGGACAATATTTCACATTTTAACATCCATGAAATTAGGATGCTTTTTTTTTTTTTTTTTTTTTTTGAGATGGAATCTCGCTCTGTTTCCAGGCTGGAGTGCAGTGGTGCAATCTCAGCTTACTGCAACCTCTGCCTCTGCGCCACCATGCCCAGCTAATTTTATTATTTTTGGTAGAGACGGGGTTTCACCATGTTGGCCAGGATGGTCTCTATCTCTAGACCTCGTGATCTGCCCACCTCGGCCTCCCAAAGTGAGGATGCATTTTACAACCAGCGATGTGTCCCAGTTTAATTGAGCATGATTTTTATTTCTTATTGGTAAACAGTGAATTTCACCATTGATGACAGCTTAAATTCAATAAAATACAAAATTTTTTCACTTAACAATAAATTCTAGCTCTCAGGAGCATGGGATTATATAATTAGAAAGAGCTGAGGACCACATTTGTGGCTGGAAAATAGAATGCTATAATTTTTATTCAGTTTTTGCCCTTGCAAAACAGGAACCCAAACAGAGCAATGAAGTAAAATAAGGCTCTTGTAAAGCAGAATATAGTTTTGAGTAGTTTAAAATAGTTTAAGTAGGGAAGTCCAAATTATAGAAGCAGTAGCACTTTTACTCTCTGGAAAAATGAATAATTTTATAGAAGCTAAACAAACCCAAGGAAGTTCAGAGGAACGAATAGCAGAAATTGCCTCAGCAGCACAGAATGTGCAGAAGTGACTGCCTCCACTCTACATCAAGTAATGTGTCCTCTCTGAAGATGAAAAATAACTTTTTAAAATTCTTGGAATTTTTCAGGCTGCTATAGCAAAGCAAAGGAGTCTTAATGGAAATAGAGACCAGGAGCCCAGTGAAGTCTACCCAGGAATCTTAGCCAGTGAAGTGAAGTAGCAGTGAACATCTATGTTTCAATATTCTTCTCAGGGTGACAGACAGTAGCCATTTGATCAAGCAAGTCAGGCAAATACATAATTCTGTTTTACAAGGTAGAGTTCACCATGAACAGTCATCTATTGCTACTCCCTATTCTAGAAAAACAACAGTAGGTCACCTCACAGAATACCAGGTAAATTCACATTGGTTTCAAGGAGTCCAATACTATAGGTGAGGAGAATAGTACACTGTAACAATAAACTGTTATGTAGATTTTGACATTTACAGTTTTAATATTTTTAGTAATGTTTTGGCTAGTTATATCCATCATGAAACAAGGAACACTGATGTTGAAACATAATTTCTTTCTTTCTTTTTTTTTTGAAATGGAGTCTCACTCAATCTGTTGCCCAGCTGCCATCTCAGCTCACTACAAACTCCGCCTCCCGGGTTCAAGCGATTCTTCTGCCTCAGCCTCCTGAGTAACTGGAACCATAGGTGCACATCACCATACCCACTGATTCTTGTATTTTTAGTAGAGATGGGGTTTCACCATGTTGGCCAGGTTGGTCTTGAACTCCTGACCTCAAGTGATCCGCAGGACTAGGCCTCCCAAATTGCTGGGATTACAGGCATGAGCCACATGCCCAGCCAGAAATACAATTTCATGAAGAGCATTAAGAGTGATAATTCTGGCTGGGCGCGGTGGCTCATGCCTGTAATCCCAGCTCTTTGGGAGGCCGAGGCGGGCGGATCACGAGGTCAGAAGTTCGAGACCATCCTGGCTAACATAGTGAAACCCCGTCTCTACTAAAAATACAAAAAATTAGCTGGGCGTGGTGGCGGGCGCCTGTAATCCTAGCTACTTGGGAGGCTGAGGCAGGAGAATGGCATGAACCCAGGGGGTGGAGCTTGCAGTGAGCAGAGATGGCGTCTCTGCACTCCAGCCTGGGAGACAGAGCAAGAGTCTGTCTCAAAAAAAAAAAAAAAAAAAAAAGAATGACAATTCTGCAAGTTTAATCTCAAGATGATCTTCATCAGATTCTATAAATTCCATTCATATGACCAAAAACTTTATATAGCACATCAAACCCTCTCTAGGACTTTAAAAGTCAATGTAAAAAATTGTAATCTTCAGGAATATGCCCACCTTTGGGAAAAAATTGTAATGATATTATACTTAGGTTTTATTTTATTTTTGATACAGAATCTTGCTCTGTCACCCAGGCTGCAGTGCACTGGTGAGATCATAGCTCACTGCTGCCTCAATCCCCTGGGCTCAAGTGATCCTCCCACCTCACCCTCCTAATATACTCAGTTTTTAATTTTAAGTAGAGATTGTCTACACTTGCAATGTGTTATTTTCTGACAAAGGCTTGCAAATGAGTCAAATCATTTTTTCTTTCTCATTATTTGAAACAAAATACAAGATTTTAAAAATAAGCCAATTGATGTTTAAAGTGCAAAACAGAGGCCAGGCACAGTGGCTCATGCCTGTAATCCCAGCACTTTGGGATGCCGAGGCGGGCGGATCACCAGGTCAGGAGATCGAGACCATCCTGGCTAACACAGTGAAACCCCATCACTACTAAAAATACACAAAATTAGCCAGGTGTGATGGCAGGGGCCTGTAGTCCCAGCTACTCGGGAGGCTGAGGCAGGAGAATGGCGTGAACCTGGGAGGCAGAGCTTGCAGTGAGCCGAGATCGTGCCACTGCACTCCAGCCTGGGTGACAGAGCGAGACTCCGTCTCAAAAAATAATAATAATAAAATAATAAAATTTAAAAAATAAAGTGCAAAACAGAATTACCAATATCCAGTTGTGGAAGTAGATTTTTTAAAGCCCTAACAGTTTAGATCGCTTTGTGATCTGGAAAAAAAATTTTAAGCCTAAAAAAAGTCTTAATGTTTATCATATGAATTAGTCTGTTCAAAGAAATCTGTTAATCACAAATAATTTCCCTCTGCAAAATCCCTCCTCCGTTTCTCCCACAAGAATAAACTTAATAAGATAAAATTTCCACGAGCTTGCCAGATAATTTCTAGTCTGGCAATCTACTTATCCTCTGACACAGTGATCATGTTTCATATTCAGTTAACTGTTTTACCAAATAGAATAGTTAGTGCTATTCTATTTTGATTTGTCTATTAGATCTAGGGCAGGGGTCCCAAGCCCCAGGCTACGGACTGGTACCAGTCCATGGTCTGTTAGGAACCCGGCCATGCAGCAGGAAGTGAGTGGTGGGTGAGTGAGCATTACCGCCTGAGCTCCACCTCCTGTCAGATCAGCTGCGGCATTAGATTCTCATAGGAGGGCAAGCCCTATTGTGAACTGCATGTGCGTGACCCTTAGGAGAATCTAATGCCTGATGATCTGAGGTGGAACAGCTTCATCCTGAAACCTCCCTCCTACCCCATCCATGGAAAAACTGTCTTCCAAGAAACCAGTCCCTGAAGCCAAAAAGGCTGGGGACCACTGATCTAGGAAATCCTGTATAGTTACTATTATTTACTTCATTCCAAGGCTTAGTACTATAATCCTAGCCATGCAAGGCAAATACATGGCAGCAATCATACAATAAAAGGGAATTATAAGTAACTTAGTTCAAAATCTTCACCATTATGAGGAGGAAATAAAACACCTCAAAGTATATAGTATACTGTAGTGGGTCCGTGACATCAATTATTGTTGTTTATTTAAATATCTTTGACCTGACTGCAGTAAAGGACTATTTTTTTCGAGACAGGGTCTCACTTTGTCACCTAGGCTGGAGTTCAGTTGCACGATGTCTCACTGCAACCTCCGCCTCCCAGGCTCAAGCGATCCTCCCACCTCAGCCTACTGAGTAGCTGGGACTACAGGCATGTGCCACCACACCTAGCTAATTTTTGTATTTTTTGTAGAGATGAGGTTTCTCCACATTGGCCAGACTGGTCTCAAACTCCTGAGCTCAAGCAATCCTCCTGCCTCAGCCTCCCAAAGTGCTGGGATTACAGGCATGAGCCACCATGCCTGGGCCCCAGAGATAAGCTTGTAGGGGACTTGGAGCTAGAGGCAGAGTTCTGAACTGGCTACCGGCACTGGACACTTCTGTTGAGGAAAATATCTGTGTGACATAAACAGCCAAGAGCTTCATAACTACGCCCTTCTCTTAAAAATTCCTCCTAGGCTGGACGTGGTAACTCATGCCTGTAATCCCAGCACTTTGGGAGGCTGAGGTATGAGGATCACTTAAGCCCAGGAGTTCAAGACCAGCCTGGACAACATAGTGAGACCCTGTCTCTACAAAAAAAAAATCAACATAATTAGCTTGGTGTAGTGGCATGCACCTGTAGTCCAAGCTACTCAGGAGGCTGACGTGGGAGGATCAATAGAGCTCTGGAGGTTGAGGATGCAGCGAGCCATGATCACACCACTATACTCCAACCTAAGTAACAAAGTGAGACTCTGTCACTAAAAAATAAAGTGGGAGACTTCTCTACAACAGTGAGAATGAAACAAGTGAGTAGTTCTACTGTCCTTTCATCATTTCTGAGCAGTTTGAGATTATCAACAAATGAGCTCACTGATTTTGCAGACATCCTTATGTTTTGAATATGTTTCATATAATTTATTATTGGTTTAAGAATCATTTCCTTTTAAGTAATTTTTTTGGCTCAGCTAATATCTTAGTGGTACCTACCTTTCCATACTTTGTGAGCTTTCTTATTTTTACTTGAATAATATTTCTAAATATACTTGTAAAAATGTAAATGTTAGGCTGGGCGCAGTGGCTCACCCCTGTAATCCCAGCACTCTGGGAGGCCGAGGCGGGTGGATCACGAGGTCAGGAGATTGAGACCATCCTGGCTAACACGGTGAAACCCCGTCTCTACTAAAAAATACAAAAAATTAGCTGGGCGTGGTGGCGGGCACCTGTAGTCCCAGCTACTTCGGAGGCTGAGGCAGGAGAATGGCGTGAACCTGGGAGGCTGAGCTTGTGGTGAGCCAAGATCGTGCCACTGCACTCCAGCCTGGGCGACCGAGTGAAACTCCGTCTCAAAAAAAAAAAAAATGTAAATGTTAGATCATTCACCGATAGGCACCAATATCTTTAACAGAAAAGGTTAATGCAAACAATTGTCAGCCTAAACTGACAACAGAAATAAAACTGGTCTTCCCAAGTTCAATTCCTTGTGGATTTGTTACATTGCTACATATTACACCTAGTTTTATGTGTCTAGATGCTCTGTATCTAGTATACGCTTGAGAGCCCTCCAAATATTAATATTTCTTTTTTTTTTTTTTGAGATCAGGTGCAGTGGCGTGATTTCGGCTTACTGCAACCTCCGCCTCCCAGGATCAAGTGTTATTCTGCCACAGCCTCCTGAGTAGCTGGGATTACAGGTGTCCGCCACCACGCCCAGCTAATTTTTTGTATTTTTAGTAGAGATGGGATTTCGCCATGTTGGCTAGGCTGGTCTTGAATTCCTGACCTCAAGTGATTCAACCACCTCGGCCTCCCAAAGTGCTGAGATTACAGGTGTGAGCTACCGTGCCCAGCGAATATTTCTAGATTTTAGCAGTTGCATAAATTCTACTCCAGGAGGCTTAATTGTCCTTAATATAAATGTCACATTTCAAATGACATTCAAAAATGTAAAATGATCAATTTAGAAAAAAAAAATTACTCCTACCCACTTCCTCTTTTTCTTTTTCTTTTTTTTTTTTTTTTGAGACAGAGTTGTACTCTGTCGCCCAGGCTGAAATGCAGTGGCACAATCTCAGCTCACTGAAACCTACGCCTCCTGGGTTCAAGCGATTCTCCTGCCTCAGCCTCCCGAGTAGCTGGGACTACAGGCCATGCCACCACGCCCAGCTAATTTTTTGTATTTTTTAGTAGAAACAGGGTTTCACCATGTTGCCCAGGCTGGTCTTGAACTCCTGAGCTTTGGCAATCCGCCTGCCTCGGCCTCCCACAGTGCTAGGATTACACGTGTGAGCCGCCGCGCCTGGCCTCACTTCCTCTTTCATACAATGTCAGTTCTCACGTATTTCAACCATCAGTACGATCGTATTCAAAAAGATCAGGAAGATGATGAAGTTTTTGAAGAGAGGACCTGTTGTCTCTTAAGGAAACATACAGAGTGGAGTTCTTTCTGATTTATGCAGCTGAAATAATAAGAGCAATAACATAAGCAGTGAGAATGAGACAATGGAGTTTGGGAAGCAAAAAATAAGTCATTAGGCAGATGATCAACAGCCAGGATAAAAATGAGTGACATGAAAGGATACACTCAAGGACCCATCCGGCCCACAAAGAAAGAGGTGGCCTCTGACTGCAGCGCACATGAAGCCTGCTCAACAGCCTCTGGGCATGTGAAATCTGTTCTATACGTTGAGGCTTTATAGAGACGCCCACTAGCTGGTGTTGATCTCCCAACATAAGTTTCTTCTGGCGGGAAGGATCTACAACAAAAATTGAAAAGGGGTAGTGGATAAATACAAACAAAATAGACCAGGTAGGGTTGGGGGCAGGGATACTGTTCAGATAATGGGTCCCCCTAATGGCTTACTGCTGGTCCTTCTCTTCTCACAGCAACTAAGAATTCTGTTTGGAGTGAGAGCAAATGTATTGCTTATGACCAACACTGTCCATGCCCACAAAAGCAGCAGGTTCACTCTCAAAGTTTTAAGAGTCTTTGACAGAAACTGTTCCGTATCATCCACGGCTAGTGGCTATCCTAGGCCTAAAAGTGAAAGACGTGGATTCTATCTCCTTAGTTTTATTTACAAGCCCTTGATTTATCAAGTTTGGTAAACCAGCAACTAAACCGGCCTCCCCAGAATTTTCCACTCTTAAATGTAGAGGATGTGGATAGGAGTCTTAAATTTAAATTAGTGAAGAAATAGGCTGCTGACCAAGTAACTCCTGATAGTGTGTCGCAGCACAGCTTGGCTCAAGCCTTGCAAATGCTCGATGAGAGAGAAAGTATCGATGAGACGTGAACGAATGGCATCAGCTCGGGGAAGCTGCATCTGCCCTTCTTGTTGGTAAGCGGCCATGTCTGCTAAGAAAATGTAAGCATCAAGTGTCATTTCATTCTTGGAGCTGCACCAAGGATTACAGGTTTTCTGTCCCCTCCTCCCCACCCTCTTTGCCCTTAAGATTCCTTAATGTACCCACATCTACGAACTAGGAGCAGTTGGGCAGAACAAACATTCTACTAAGACTCAGGGTTTTTTGAAACAAAAGGGGCTAAGAGTGGTAAAGACATTGAGCAGTCGACCAAGTGGCCAGGCATCTTCACTTTGTGACGGCACTACCAATTAAAAGCTCATTAAAAAAAAAAAAAAAAAAAAAAAAAGTCCGGGCGTGGTGGCTCACGCCTGTAATTCCAGCACTTTGGAATGCCGAGGCGAGCGGATCACGAGGTCAGGAGATAGAGACCATCCTGGCTAACACGGTGAAACCCGGTCTCTACTAAAAATACAAAAAATTAGCCGGGCGTGGTGGCGGGCGCCTGTAGGCCCAGCTACTCGGGAAGCTGAGGCAGGAGAATGGCGTGAACCCGGGAGGCAGAGCTTGCAGTGAGCGGAGATCGCGCCACTGCACTCCAGCGTGGGGGACAGAGCAAGACGGCATCTCAGACAAAACAAAACAAAACAAAACAAGAAACTCAATAAAAAAGGAGCAGCCACAAGGGCAGGGGCCCGGGGCTGGACAAAGAAGAACCTGGGTCCCACCTGGGCCTGAGAGAATCGGGCAATGAGGTGGAGTTGGGGGAGGGCTTGGCCTGCCCACGCAAGAGAAACCAAGTGAAGAGAAATTGGACAAAATGCCAAAGCCTGACATTTTGAAAATGGGTCCCGTCCCAAGTGTGTCCACTCCAACACTCCTTCGGGGGCTAGCTCCTTCTCTCCTCCATTCTCGCTTCTGGGCCTCACCTCAGCCCAGGTTCTCTTCGCCCACTCAGTCCTGACTTCACGCTTCCACCTCCAGCTCAGGCGCCCCCTGAGCCCGGCTACCCCTACGCAGGACGAGCTCAGGGCCGGCTCCCAGCCTCACTGCGCCCCATTTCCCGCCCCGCCCGACCCCCAGGTTTCGGCTCACCCCGGGACCCGGCCCTAGCCCCTGCCCCCAGCCCAGGACCGGGCCCAGCCACGCTCGCCCAGACACTCGCCGCCTCGGCCCCGCCCCGCGCTCCGGCCACTCGGCGGTAACGAGTTGGTCCCGCCCGCCCGACGAAGGCGACGCGCAGCCAATCAGCGGCTGCCACACAGCGGCCCAAGCCGGGTTTGGGGGTTGGGACCTCCGGCTGCAGGTCCGCCTGGGCCAGACGCGCGAGCGCAAGCAGCGGGTTAGTGGTCGCGCGCCCGACCTCCGCAGTCCCAGCCGAGCCGCGACCCTTCCGGCCGTCCCCACCCCACCTCGCCGCCATGCGCCTCCGCCGCCTAGCGCTGTTCCCGGGTGTGGCGCTGCTTCTTGCCGCGGCCCGCCTCGCCGCTGCCTCCGACGTGCTAGAACTCACGGACGACAACTTCGAGAGTCGCATCTCCGACACGGGCTCTGCGGGCCTCATGCTCGTCGAGTTCTTCGCCCCCTGGTGAGTCCATTCTGCCGAGGCGGGGGAAGAAAGGCGGGGCTGGGCCGGGGGCGAGAGCGCGGGGAACTGTTGGGCCTACGCAGCGCCGGGGCCCTTCATTCCTGTGGGCCCCTGCTGCGGCGGGCACATTTCTCATTCCCGGGAGCTGGAGGCGCCTCGCCGAGAGCGGGGGAGTCGGTGCTGATCGGCCCAAGGAAAACCCGAAGGCTGCGCTCACGCAGGGCCTCATCCTTATCTCGGTGCTCTTGTGGCACTTCCTATTTGCAGAGGGTTTTGCCACCCCTTCCCCCAGTCCAATATGTAGCTATATCTTTTCTGCGTGAGTCAGTATTAATGCTCCTCCAGTCTACAGACTAGGCATCCCAAAGCCTTGTAGTGGAAGCGGACGTTTCACCAAATGCAGAAGTCCTGGATCCCTAGGGTATTTCCTTTCATCTTACCTCACGCCGCACAGCCATTGGTTTCTAGCCAAGGTCACTGAGTGGCTGCAGAATGGTCGTAAGTGCTTTCTTGAGGCAGGTAATTTGTCCGTCACATGGTGTACAGTTTCTCCCTTCAGCTGATCACTTACATCTCAGTACCGGCAGATACCTCTGTCCAAACGAAAGGAGTACGTGAACAAGAATAATTCCATCAGAATCTGTCCATATTGTCTGTTTTAAATAGCATTTCTTTAAAATGTCAAAAAAGACTCCAATGAGAAAATAACCAATATTGATTACATACTCCACTTTAGGGTGACTTAAGTGATCAAGGGTGTAAATTCCTTAGATAGAACTAACTCGAAATAAAAAACTGTTGGGGAGAAGGAAGAGCAAATAAGATTTCTGGCCCAGTCAACTTGAGTGTTTGTTTTTTTTTTTTATTTGTGTGTGTGTGTGTTTTTAAACCTCCAGATCATTACCAGAGTAAACAGTGATTCCTTTATCCTGGGGATAGCTCTCTATATATAATTCAATATATATAATTACAGTACTTAATTTTTCCCCTCCTGGCACAGTGACCCTTGGTTTAATACTATCCGTGTTCAAAAATGTCAGTAAAAGTTGTGTATAACTTTTATTTGCTTCAGACTCAGGTCTTCCCTTCTTAGCCTCAAACAACTTGCTAAGGGTTACACGAAAAAAGTCCTGTAGTAAAGACCACCTGAATCAGAATGATGTGCTAGAGATGGCAAATTTTGTTTGCAGCTTGGACAGATTTTGTGTCCAGGGCATTTCTGGGGCTAACTGGCAGTACAGATTACACATATAGATAGTTCTTATACATCTCTGGAACTCATGTTCTCTCTTAGGAACAACTCTTCCCAATTATATAATCATGCTGTTAGCTTTGAGGGGGTGTCAATAATTTGTAAAAACTGGGGGTGTCACTAAGTTTGTCAGATCTGAGTGATGCTTTTTACTACAGGGGTCATGCAACAATTTAAAGTAGGAATTGTTGGAGAATAGTGGGCCACTAGAATATTAGTTTAAAAAAGGAATTTTGGGGCTGGGCATGGTGGCTCCCGCCTGTAATCCCAGCACTTTGGGAGGCCGAGGCAGGCGGATCACCTGAGGTCGGGAGTTCAAGACCAGTCTGACCATCATGGAGAAACCCCCGTCTCTACTAAAAATACGAAATTAGCCGGGCATAGTGGCACATGCCTGTAATCCCAGCTACTCAGGAAGCTGAGGCAGGAGAATAGCTTGAACCCAGGAAGCAGAGGCTGCAGTGAGCCACGATCCTGCCATTGCACTCCAGCCTGGGCAACAAGAGCGAAACTCTGTCTCAAAAAAAAAAACCAGAATTTTTTATTTGAATTGAAGGGGGTGTTTCCTACTTTAAATTGTTACACGTGCTACCCTAAAAACTACATATCCCATCAGGCACTGACTGTCCCAAGAATTGGGTGGATCTCTGCTGTGGTGTCTGCTTTTAATTGGTTTAAAAGAAAAAGTCATCCTCCACAATTTCAGCAAGAAAGATGAGTTTTCTGAATGAGCAATTTGGAGTTAAAGAAGTCTCCTGTTGAGGTCTTTATTTCTTCACATTCCACTACATTTTTTTTGTGTGTGTGTTTGTGTATTTTTTTTTTTTTGAGATGGAGTCTCGCTTTGTTGCCCAGGCTAGAGTGCCATGGCACTATCTTGACTCACTGCAACCTCCGCCTCTTGGGTTCAAGTGATTCCCCTGCCTCAGCCTCCCGAGTAGCTGGGATTACAGGTGCCTGCCACAATGCCCAGCTAATTTTTTTGTATTTTTAATAGAGACAGGGTTTCACCATGTTGGCCAGGCTGGTCTCGAACTCCTGACTTCAGGTGATCTGCCCACCTTGGCCTCCCAAAATGCTGGGATTACTGGCATGAGCCACTGCACCCAGCCTGTTTTTTTGTTTTTGTTTTGTTTTGTTTTGTTTTGTTTTTGAGACAGAGTCTTGCTCTGTTACCCAGGCTGGAGTGCAGTGGCATGGTCTGGGCTCACTGCAACCTCCGCCTCCCGTGTTCAAGTGATTCTCCTGCCTCAGCCTCCTGAGTAGCTGGGATTACAGGCACGCACCACCAAGCCCGGCTAATTTTTGTATTTTAGTAGAGACGGGGTTTCACCATGTTAGCCTGATGGTGAACTCCTGACCTCAGGAGATCCACCCTCCTCGGCCTCCCAAAGTGCTGGGATTACAGGCGTGCGCCACCTAGCCTGGCCTCTGTATTTTTATTTATTAACATTTCAGCTGGAAATGTTTTCTGACTGCTATATTCCTTTGTACAGTTCAGTAGTACTATCTTACAAGAAACAGTTAAAAAATCCTTAGTAAGAGTAAAATGGGGTCTGGCCCTGTTGTGCATTCCTGTAATCCCAGCAGTTTGGGAGGCCAAGGCAGGCAGATCACTTGAGATCAGGAGTTCAGACCAGCCTGGCCAACATGGGGAAACCCCATCTCTACTAAAAATACAAAAATTAGCTGGACGTGGTGGCGCACATCTGTAATCCCAGCTATTTGGGAGGCTGAGTTGGGAAAATCACTTGAACCCAGGAGGCAGTGGCGAGGTAAGAGACCAGCCTGGGCAGCATGGCCAGACCCCATCTCTACTAAAAAATGACAAAAATTAACCGGGCATGGTAGCACACGCCTGTAGTCCTAGCTACTCAGGAGGCTGAGGTGGGAGGAGAAGATCACTTGAGCCTGGGAGGTGGAGGTTGCAGGAAGCTGAGATTGCACCATTGCACTCCAGCCTAAATGACAGTGTGAGACCATCTCAAAAAAGAAAGTAAAATGGGCTTTTTTTTTTTTAACCTTATTCTCGTCACAAAATAGACCTATTTAAGCAAATTCTTTTTCCGCTTTCATGTTTCAAGTGAAAGTGAAAGGTGAAAGCTTGCTTTGCTTGCTTTTTTTTTTTTTGAGACAGTCTCTCTCTGTTGCCAAGGCTGGAGTGCAGTGGCGCGATCCCGGCTCTGCAACCTCCGCCTCCCCTGTCTGGCTAATTTTTTTTTTTTTTTTTTTTTTTAAGTAGAGACCAGGTTTCACCATGTTGGCCAGGCTGGTCTTGAACTCCTGACTTCACCTGAATCACCTGCGTTGGACTCCCAAAGTGCTGGGATTTCAGGCGTGAGCCACCGTGCCTGGCTTAGTGAAAGCTTTCTTTGCAGTTGATTTTGTAGACTAATATTTCCATTATGGAGTTAATCTGCTATATATTTTTAAGGATAAGAGTATCTGAATTTCTCTGGGGAAATAACACTATTTAAATGTTTGGAAATGTCCGAAAATTTATTGATTAGTGTTAATATGTAATATTAAGTCCTTGGCCGGGCACGGTGGCTCACGCCTGTAATCCCAGCACTTTGGGAGGTCAAGGCGGGTGGATCACGAGGTCAAGAGATCGAGACCATCCTGGCCAACATGGTGAAACCCCGTCTCTACTAAAAATACAAAAAGTTAGCTGGGCGTGGTAGCAGGTGCCTGTAGTCCCAGCTACTCGGGAGGCTGAGGCAGGAGAATGGTGTGAACCCAGGAGGTGGAGCTTGCAGTAAGCCAAGATCACGCCACTGCACTCCAGCCTGGGCGACAGCGAGACTCCTTCTCAAAAAAAAAAAAAGTCCTCAACATCTATTTATGCTATAGATGTGTATGCTACCCTCTAAGACAGTAGTAATAAATAATGGCTGGGTGCAAAGGCTCACGCCTGTAATCCCAGCACTTTGGGAGGCCAAGGTGGGCAGATCACGAGGTTCAGGAGTTTGAGACTAGCCTGGCCAACATGGGGAAACCTTGTCTCTACTAAAAATACAAAAATTGGCTAGGCACGGTGGCAGGAGCCTGTAATCCCAGCTACTCAGGAGGCTGAGGCAGGAGAATTGCTTGAACCTGGGAGGTGCAGGTTGCAGTGAGCTGAGATCATGCCACTGGACTCCAGCCTGAGTGACAGAGCAAGACTCCGTCTCGAAAAAAAAAAAAAAAATAATATATGTGCTAATTTCTTTACTTGTAATCCCCACCCCGAGTTGATCTTTTCAACATCAACATTTAGCTCATATTTTTTTTTTCCTTCCCTGGACAACTAACTGGTTGATCCTGCCTCTCTATTGGCATCTAATAATACTGTGTCACCCCTGCCAGACTGGTGTTCCTATAAGGAAAGGACTATACCAATTTTCTTATCAAAGACACTTGATAAGGCACTTATCAAAAAGTACTTGACGCATGGCACACATGATGAAGTGATGATTATGGGTGAATATATGTTGGAATTCATTATCAACTGCCAGGTGCCATCCCTGAGGATAGATAGAATTAATTGTGTTTTAATATTTTCTAGGGGTGGGTGAAAGAAGTAGTGGTTAATCTTGAAGGATGTATGTTAACCAACCCTGATTTCCCTTAAATACCACCTGAGTTCCATTCCTGCTGGATTTGAAGAGGAGAGTCTCCTCCAGCCTCATTGAAACTCTTTTTGTGGATTTGATGACCTTATGGATATTGCCAAAGTTTAAGGCAGTGGATTTTAGTCCCAGCCTTGCAGCTTACACACACACCTGGTTGCTCCCCAGATTTCTGGAGATTCTCATTCAGTAAGCCATGCATACTTTTGTTGTTTTAATGCTCTGTGGGTATTTTTGATAAGCATCTAGAGTTGACACCTACTGGCTTGACCTAGTAACTATTGTATGTGATTTTTTTCTCTTAAAATGTTTGAAGATAGTTGAAACAATTAACTCATAAATCTGTTGCCTCAGCCTTGACAACTACTATATATTCAACAGAAATCTCTCATCTGTCTCTTCTTTATTCTCATTGCTGCCATTCCGGTCCAAGCTTTTATTGTCTGCCATGTGAAATATATTATCTTCTAGATGGCTTTACTCTTGTCTCTATTTTCTCCCTTTCTGTCAGTCTTTGACATTGCTGATTGACGTAGTCTTAGTACACGTGCACGCACATTTATTATCTCACAAAAGCCCTTTACAGTTCTCTGAATGCATCATGCTTACTGGTATTCTTTTACGTTTGCTCTACTATCTCCCTCATCTTAAATACCCTGCCCTCTTCTCTCTGAAGCGTTAAATCCTTAAAGACCCAGATCCAATTGTTACTCCCTTTAAAATCCATTTACTATGCAGTATTAAAGGAATACAGAGGATATAATGAATAAGACCCTATTTCACACACATAAGATACCACTGATTGTGAGAGGAACTATCTTGTGTCTCACTGAGAAAGAAATACTACCACTGAAACTATAACATGACTGCAAAATACATCTTAATATCAGGAAAAAACAATGAATCTGAAATACAGCATAAGGAATAGCATTTGTTTGCACTCAGTCTGAAAAACATAGCCAGTACATTTGAAGTCCCCTATGTGCCCCTTTACCATCTTATACACTCCTTTATCTTGAATTTGGTATTTATCATTTGGTTCTTTTATACTTTAATAGGCCGCCTGAAGGCCTTGGAGAATAAGCTGTTATAATCCTTTATTTTAAACAAGTTTTAGGTGTACAATATTTCCAAGTTATCCATCACTTGATAAAATTACACCATTGACTATTGAAATATATCTGCTCAAGTTTCTTCTCTATTATATTTCTATTTTTGCTGTCTACGGGAAGGTTACAGAACTCACCTTCTCAACGTGATCCCTCTGCAACCCTTTGGCTTTTGAAAAGGTGATGTACAGCTGGTGCTAGCTGTATATACACTGATTAGGATTTTCTGGGCAGAGGAGCCGGTGCTTCTGGTGGCCCTCTGGGAAAGGTATTCTAGTTTACATGTTTTGTTATCACTTCTCATGGCTAGGTGAACTATGTAGCTGTAAAAATCAGGCCTGCCATCTAAAAGACTTAATATCATACTTGAGACATTACAGGGTTTCAGTCACAATTTTGTGTCCCCACCCCCACCCCGAGACAGAGTCTTATTCTGTCACCCAGGCTGGAGTGCAGTGGCGCGATGTCAGCTCACTGCAACCTCCACCTCCCAGGTTCAAGCAATTCTCCTGCCTCAGCCTCCCGATTAGCTTTGATTACAGGTGCCCACCACCACGCCTGGCTAATTTTTGTATTGTCAGTAGAGACGGGGTTTCACTATTTTGGCCAGGCTGGTCTTGAACTCCTGACCTCGAGTGATCTACTCGCCTTGGCCTCCCAAAGTGCTGGGATTACAGGTGTGAGCTTCAGTCACTATTTTTAACAACCACAATGCTGGTTTCCCAGGGAATTGTATTTTCCTCTGGGGAATTCTATCAGAAATGGGATTATTTCTATTTTGTCCTTCATTCAGCCTCATTAATTGGTCAAAAGGGCATTAACCCATTCAACCCTCTTTAATAATGTGGCGTACACCTTTGACTACAGCTTTCACAACTTAGTTATACTTTGTATTGAGAAAATAGAGCTGCCCTGTGCTGAGCCAGTACTATGGAGTCAACCTCAGTCTAGGGGTAGGACCTTTACCTCTTGAGAGTTCTGGTTTACTTTAACAATAATGAATGTTGTTCATGTGATGATTTTGCTTTTTGGAAGTGTCTACTAGCTCAAAGGTAGTATTATAGTTTGAGATTCTTCCTAGTGAGACAACATTAACAAATTCATAGGACTAAACTGAGAATTTGGCTTTTTTAATACGTATATAGGTGTGGACACTGCAAGAGACTTGCACCTGAGTATGAAGCTGCAGCTACCAGATTAAAAGGAATAGTCCCATTAGCAAAGGTAAGTACAGGTGGATTCTTCACTAAAGGACGTGAAGTATTTTAAAAAGTAGTTTGTTGTCTCAGCTTTGTTACATGGAAAAAAATAACAGTAATAAATAGTTTGTAAGATTAACATTCATTTTCTCTACTCTTATTCTGCTAAGAAGAGCGAATACTAGTTTCTGGGCAAATACACAACTGACTTGTAGTTTCAAAAGATTAAAAGTAGTGGCTGGGCGCAATGGCTCATGCCTGTAATCCCAGCACTTTGGGAGGCCGAGGTGGGTGGATCACGAAGTCAAGAGATTGAGACCATCCTAGCCAACACGGTGAAACCCTGTCTCAACTAAAAATACAAAAATTAGCTGGGTGTGATGGCACGTGCCTGTAGTCCCAGCTACTCAGGAGACTGAGGCAGGAGAATTGCTTGAACCCAGGAGATGAAGGTTTCAGTGAGCCGAGATCGGGCCACTGCACTCCAGCCTGGTGACAGAGCAAGACTCCGTCTCAAAAAAAAAAAAAAAAAAAAATTAAAAGTAGTGAGAGTAAGGAAATTACTGGCATAAGAAGTAAAATAGACCAGGTATGGTGCCTCACAGCTGTAATTCCAGCACTTTGGGATGATTACTTGAGGCCAGGAGTTTGTTGCCTGGGCAACAAAGCAAGACCTCATCTCTACAAAAAATTTAAAAAGCTGGGTGTGTTGGCTCACACCTGTAGTCCCAGCTTCTCAAAAGGCTGAAGCAGGAGGATTGCTTGAGGCTGCAGTGACTAGACACTGCACACTACTAGACTCCAGCCTAGGTGACAGAGTAAGACCCTGTCTCTTAAAAAAAAAAAAAAAAGTGTAATCCCAGTACTTTGGGAGGCCAAGGCAAGTAGATCACTTGAGACCAGCCTGGGCAACATGGCAAAATTCCATCTCTACTAAAGATACAGGCAGGCTTCCATAGTCCCAGCTACTCAGAGGCTGAGGTGGAAGGATTGCTTAAGCCAGAGAGGTTGAGGCTGCACTGAGCTGTGATTGAACCATTGCACTCTAGCCTGGGCAATAGAGCGAAACCCTGTCTCAAAAAAAAAAAAAGTAGTAAAGTATATGGTAAATAAGAATTAAAGATGGAAAGCAGAAGTACAGCTATAAAGGTTAAAATAATCATTGAGGCTGGGCACGGTGGCTCACGCCTGTAATCCCAGCACTTTGACAGGCTGAGGAGGGCGGATCACCTGAGGTCAAGAGTTCGAGACCCGCCTGGCCAACATGGTGAAACCCCATCTCTACTAAAAAATATAAAAATTAGCCATGTGTGGTGGCAGGTGCCTGTAATCCCAGCTACTTGGAAGGCTGAGACAGGACAATCGCTTGAACCCAGGGGGGCGGAGGTTGCAGTGAGCTGAGATCATGGCACTGTACTCCAGCCTGGGCGACAGAGCAAGACTCCATCTCAAAAAATAATAATAATCTACAAGTAAATGAGTTCCCTAAACTGCTATGTGATAATCACAATGATGGTAATACGAAAATGATATGAGGATATTGATGAAAATGTAACCAAATGGTCAACTGTAAACTTGGTATTTGTTTTTACAATTAAAGTAATGCTTCCAGAATGTTGCCATTCTGTAGTAAACCCATAGTTGTTCTAGTCTAAAAGCTCTTACCTCTGCCAAATAGTTCATATATAAGGCTATTTTTGGAAATTACTTTTAATCTTATCAAGCAGCTTGCCATAGGAAAAAAATTTAATCATAGCCAGGCGCTGTGGCTCACGCCTGTAATCCCAGCACTTTGGGAGGCCAAGGCGGGTGGATCTCCTGAGGTCTGGAGTTCAAGACCAGCCTGGCCAACATGGTGAAACCCCGTCTCTACTAAAAATACAAAAATTAGCCAGGTGTGGTGGCCGGTGCCTGCAATCCCAGCTACTCGGGAGGCTGAGGCAGGAGAATGGCTTGAACCTGTGTGGTAGAGGTTGCAGTGAGCTGAGTTCGTGCCATTGCACTCCAGCCTGGGCAACAAGAGTGAAACTCCGTCTCAAAAAAAAAAAAAAAAATTCAATCACAATTCCTACCTGTGTGACTATAGACACATTAATTAATTTTCTGGATCTTAGTTTACCCATCTTAGAGCATAAGGATCATACTTCATAATCTTATGGAGATTAAATGAGATAATATATGCAAAGTACTTGTGCCTGGGTTGGAGTAAGTGGCTCGTTCCGGGAAATTATTTTCCTTCTTCCTGATAGGTCTCACTAGATCGGTTATGTTATGGTATAGCCCAGATTCAAACTAGTTCAGGGTACGTGTACAGGTGTTGGTACCTTTGATAATAGCTCTAGATGATTTGCAAAATCAAATTACATTACACCTAAAGGATATGTACCACCATCGATATATCCCCTTGGTGATAGTCGTAATCAAAGTAAGCCACTGTTAATAATTTAAGTGATTTATCCCTCATGTGTTCTGAGGCAGAAAAAAGATGAAGACCACCGCTTTAGCTAATAGAGACTACAAGGGCAGAATTTAAACAGGAACTTTGCATTTTATGTGAGGCCTAGGAATCTCAATTTTAAAGAATTCCTTAGGCAGTTCTGATGTAGTTAGGCAAGCTCCAGTCTGCCTTTAAAATCTAATGTTCTGTGGCATATATGCCAAGAATTCCTTGATCCCCTTAGGATTTGACCAATCCTAGTATTTTGAGAATATAGGAAGAACCTGCAGCAGAAACTTGGATAAGAAAATAGTTTGTGTATTTTGATCTTTAGGTTGATTGCACTGCCAACACTAACACCTGTAATAAATATGGAGTCAGTGGATATCCAACCCTGAAGATATTTAGAGATGGTGAAGAAGCAGGTGCTTATGATGGACCTAGGACTGCTGGTAAGGATCCTGAATTACATTCTGGAAACTGATGTTAAGTACCTTATTCTTTGTAGTGGAAACATAAAAATGTGTTTTTCTACACAGTATACTTTCAGTCTTAAAACTTCCTCATCTAAGAGGTCAGTTTGGTGGTAACAAAAGACCTCTCTAAATGAACAGATTATATAAGTAATATAGAAAATACACAAACTTGATTTATAAGGTCAGCTCGACATTTTTTCATTTTACAAATATTTATTGAGTAATTACTGTGTGCCAGATATTCTAAATATACTAGGTCGTTGGCATTTATTGATAAAATAGACAAGGTCCCTACTCTTGTGAAGCTTACATTCTGGGGGATGAGGGGGAGAAGGCAACAAACAAGTTTTAAAAATATAGATGAGCTGGGTGCAGTGGCACGTACCTATAGTTTTAGCTACTCGGGAGGCTGAGGTGAGAGACTGTCTTGAGCACAGCCTGGGCAATATAAGTTTGTCCCCATCTCCAATAAAAAGTTTGGGCCGGGGCCGGGTGCGGTGGCTCACGCCTGTAATCCCAGCACTTTGGGAGGCCGAGGCAGGTGGATCACGAGGTCAGGAGATCGAGACCATCCTGGCTAACACAGTGAAACCCCATCTCTACCAAAAATACAAAAAATTAGCCGGGCGTGGTGGCGGGCGCCTGTAGTCCTAGCTGCTCGGGAGGCTGAGGCAGGAGAATGGGGTGAACCTGGGAGGCGGAGCTTGCAGTGAGCCGAGATCGCGCCACTGCACTCCAACATGGGCGACAGAGCGAGACTCCGTCTCAAAAAAAAAAAAAAAAGTGTGGGCCAGGCACAGTGGCTCACACCTATAATCCCAGCACTTTGGGAGGCTGAGGTGGGCAGATCACGAGGTCAGGAATTTGAGGCCAGCCTGGCCAGCATGGTGAAACCCCATTTCTGCTAAAAATAGAAAAAATTAGCACTGGGCGTGGTGGCACATGCCTGTAATCCCAGCTACTCAGGAGGCTGAGGCAGGAGAATCACTTGAACCCAGGAGGCGGAGGTTGCAGTGAGCCAAGATTGTGTCACAGCACTCCAGCCTGGGCAACAGAGCGAGACTCCATCTCCACACACACAAAGGTATGTGTGTTATCTCCATGTATATATGGATAACCATCTCATACCCATTAGGATGGCTACTATTTAAAAAAAAAAAAACAACGAAATAGGCCGGGCGCGGTGGCTCACGCCTGTAATCCTAGCACTTTGGGAGGCTGGCGGATCACCTGAGGTCGGGAGTTCGAGACCAGCCTGACCAACATGGGGAAACCCTGTCACTACTAAAAATACAAAATTAGCCAGGAGTGGTGGTACATGCCTGTAATCCCAGCTACTCGGGAGGCTGAGGCAGGAGAATCGCTTGAACCTGGGAGGCGGGGTTGCGGTGAGCCAAGATCATGCCATTGTACTCCAGCCTGGGCAACAAGAAGGAAACTCCGTCTCAAAACAACAACAACAACAAAATAGCCAATGTTGGTATGGATGTAGAGAAATTGGAAACTTTGTGCACTATTAGGAATGTAAAATGGGACAACCACTATGGAAAACACAGTATGTTGGTTCCTTTAAAAATTAAAAATAGGGCCAGGCCTGGTGGCTCATGCCTATAATCCCAGCACTTTGGGAGGCCAAGGCAGGCAGATCATTTGAGATCAGGAGTTTGAGGCCAGCCAGGACAATGTGGTGAAACCGTCTCTCTACTAAAAATACAAAAATTAGCTGGGTGTGATGCGCATACCTGTAATCCCAGCTACCTGGGAGGCTGAGGCAGGAGGATCACTTGAGCCCGGGAGGCAGAGGTTGTAGTGAGTCGAGATCGGGCCACTGCACTCCAGCCTGGGGAACAACGCAAGACTCCGTCTCAAAAAAAAAAAAAGATTGAAAAAATTAAAAATAGAAGGCCAGGCACGGTAGCTCATGACTGTAATCCCAGCTCTTTGGGAGGCCAAGGTAGGCTGATCACTTGAGGTCAGGAGTTCTAGACCAGCCTGGCCAACATGGTGAAACCATGTCTCCACCAAAAAATACAAAAATTAGCTGGGCGTGGTGGTGCACACGTGTAGTCCTAGCTACTTGAGAGGCTAAGGCAGGAGACTCGCTTGAACCTGGAAGGTGGAGGTTGCAGCGAGCTGAGATCACACCACTGCACTCCAGCCTGGGTGACAGTGAGACCCTGTCTCAAAAAAAAAAATAAAAATGAAAATAAAATTACTAGGCCAGGCGTGGTGGCTCACGTCTGTAATCCCAGCACTTTGGGAGGCTGAGGCAGGCGGATCACAAGGTCAGGAGAGCGAGACCATCCTGGCTAACACATTGAAACCCCGTCTCTACTAAAAATACAAAAAATTAGCCGGGTGCAGTGGCGGGTGCCTGTAGTTCCAGCTACTCGGGAGGCTGAGGCAGGAGAATGGCGTGAACCCTGGAGGCGGAGCTTGCAGTAAGCGGAGATAGCACCACTGCAGTCTGGCCTGGGCGAAAGAGTGAGACTCTGTCTCAAAAATAAGTAAATAAATAAATAAAATTACCATATATATGATCCAGCTTCTGTATGCCCACTTCTGAGTATACATTTAGTTCTCACTTAATGTTGTCTATAGATTCTTGGAAGCTGTGACTTTTAAGTGAAACAACCTATAACAAAACTTGTTTTTTTTTTTCCTCATCAATGTTACAGGAAACAGTGTTATTCTAGGACTTGCTATGCATTCTTTCTCTTGAAGTTGCAGTTTCTGAGAACATATGAATAATATTGAGGACTTATTGTATACCCAAAAGAAGATAGTTGTACACCTATATCCACAGCAGCATTATTCATAGTAGCCAAAAGGTAGAAGTAACCCAAGTATCTTATCAGTGAATGAATAGTAAACAAAATACGGTATATGCATCCAGTGGAAGATTATTCAGCCTTAAAGAAGAAAATTCTGACTACATGCTGCTATATGATTCCACTTACATGAGGTAGCACAAATAGTATACAAAATTGTATGTTTAAAAATGGTTAACAAGGGCCAGGCATGGTGGCTCACGCCTGTAATCCCAGCACTTTGGGAGGTCGAGGTGGGCAGATCACGAGGTCAGGAGTTCAAGACCAGCCTGACCAGCCAACATAGTGAAACCCCGTCTGTACTAAAAATACAAAAAATTAGCCGGGCGTGGTGGCAGGAGCCTGTAATTCCAGCTACTCGGGAGGCTGAGGCAGGAGAATTGCTTGAACCCAGGAGGCGGATGTTGCAGTGAGCCAATGTTGCAATCGCGCCATTGCACTCCAGCCTGGGTGACAAGAGTGAAACTCCATCTCAAACAAACAAAAAAATGGTTTAACAAGGCTCATGCCTGAAATCCCAGCACTTTGGGAAGCTGAGGCAGGTGGTTTGCTTGAGCCTAGGAGTTGGAGGCCATCCTGGGCAACATAGTGAGACCCCGTCTTTATAAAAATACAAAAAACTAGCCAGGTGGGATGGTGCATGCCTGTAGACCCAGCTACTCAGGAGACTGAGGCGAGAGGTCTGATTGACCCTGGGAGGTCGAGGCTGCAGTGAGCAATGATCATGCCGCTGGACCCCAGCCTGGGTGACAGAAGGAGACCCTGTCTCAAAAAAAAAATAAAGAAAAGAAAAAAAAGATTGGAAACAAATGTCCATCAGTTTTGCAATTGTGTCTGCTTAAATAAACTGTGGCACATTTATAGTGAAACACTATGCATTGTAAACAATGTTTCTGTTAAAAAAAAAACTTTTTTTTTTTTTTTTGAGACAGAGTCTCACTCTGTCACCCAGGCTGGAGTGCAGTGGCACGACCTCGGCTCACTGCAAGCTCCGCCTCCCGGGTTCACACCATTCTCCTGCCTCAGCCTCCCGAGTAGCTCGGGACCACAGGCGCCCGCCACCATGCCCGGCTAATTTTTTTGGTATTTTTAGTGGAGACGGGGTTTCACCGTGTTAGCCAGGATGGTCTCGATCTCCTGACCTCGTGATCTGCCCGCCTCGGCCTCCCAAAGTGCTGTGATTACAGGCGTGAGCCACAGCACCCGGCCAAAAAAACTTTTTAATAATAATAAAAAACGCTATGCCACTGTAATAAAAGGTTGAGGTAGCTATGTATATATAATTGCCTGTTTATGCAGAAAATGTCTGGAAGGATATACAAGCAACTGAAATCTTGGCTGGGTGTGGTGGCTCACGCCTGTAATCC
The DNA here is from genome assembly GCF_000001405.40 of Homo sapiens. Lineage (NCBI taxonomy): Eukaryota > Metazoa > Chordata > Mammalia > Primates > Hominidae > Homo > Homo sapiens. The sequence goes on from NC_000015.10 coordinate 43,760,989, forward strand.
CAGCACTTTGGGAGGCCAAGGTAGGTGGATCAAAGGTCAGGAGATCGAGACCATCCTGTCTAACATGGTGAAACCCCGTCTCTACTAAAAAAATACAAAAAAAAGTAGCCGGGCATGGTGGTGGGCACCTGTAGTCCCAGCTACTCAGGAGGCTGAGGTAGGAGAATGGCATGAACACAGGAGGCAGAGCTTGCAGTGAGCTGAGATTGTGCCACTGCACTCCAGCCTGGGCGACAGAGCGAGACTCTGTCTCAAAAAAAAAAAAAAAAAAACCTGAAATCTTACAAGGAGGAAACTGGGTGACTAGGGACAAGGGTGGCAAGAAGATTTCATCTTATACCCTTTTGTACCTTCTGAATTGTGAATGATGAATAATTGCCTTCTCAAAAATTATAAATAAGTTGTGTTGTCATAACTTTTATTTTGACTTCTAAGATGGAATTGTCAGCCACTTGAAGAAGCAGGCAGGACCAGCTTCAGTGCCTCTCAGGACTGAGGAAGAATTTAAGAAATTCATTAGTGATAAAGATGCCTCTATAGTAGGTAAGTAGCAAATATTAAACCGTGCCACAGAATTGTCAGTTTGGTTTCCAAAACCCTCCATGTCTGGGAAAACCACAGAATTAAAGCAGTTAAGGAAACCTTGGGGCAGTTGAGAAGGCAACTGACAGAATTGGGTCAGCAATTACTATAATGTACTATATAGTACATTATATAATTACTATATAATGTAATTATAATGTGGGGGGCAATTGGTGTTTTATTTGAGTGGGTTTGTGTTCTCATAGATGTAAAGGTTTAATTTCAATTAAAGGGACTGGAAGGGGTGGGTGTGGGGAAAAAAATAAAGGACTAGGATAGGAATATCTTCAGCGTTTTCTAATGCTTCTTAAACTCTGAGATTTGACTCACAATAGGGTAGTTATGACTGAAAATAAGGTTTTAAGGTAGGAAGATACAAGTAAATAATAAACCTCTGCTATTTTCACAGAAATTAGGGAACTTTAAAATCAGATCGCTAGGATTTATCTTGTTTTTGCAGCATTCATTGCTTTCTCATGTGTTGCAGTATCTCGTTTTTAAATGACATGAGCCAGTTAAACACTTTCTGCATCTTAGATGTTCATTGTTTTGTTTTTTAAATGTGATATATGATAAATTTGACTAAAAAATAAATTTAAACATAAAAGCTATGTTTGTGCTTCTCTTAGTCTCCTAATTACTGTAATAAAACTGACTTTCGCCTGGCTCAGTGGCTCACGCCTGTAATCCCAGCACTTTGGGAGGCTGAAGCGGGCGGATCACCTGAGGTCGGGAGTTTGAGACCAACCTGACCAACATGGAGAAACCCTGTCTCTACTAAAAATACAAAATTAGCCGAGCATGGTGGTGCATGCCTGTAATCTCAGCTACTCGGGAGGCTGAGGCAGGAGAAACGCTTGAACCCGGGAGGCGGAGGTTGGGGTGAGCTAAGATCGCGCCATTGTACTCCAGCCTGGGCAACAAGAGCAAAACTCTGTCGCAAAAAAAAAAAAAAAAAAGTGACTTTCTGGCAGCAGAATATGGTTTACTGTTTAAATTTGGCTAAAAGCCACTTTTTATCATCTAGATTTTACTGATTCTTTATATTTTACAAGGAGTTAGCATGTATTTATTAAACATTTATGTTTTAGTCACTTTTCTAAATGAGTAGTTCTGAAGACAAATATAGAGAAGGAAAAAAATTGGGTGAAGTGGTTTACAGTTTATTTTGACATGTCATCTTAATTTAATCCTTCTGATACCTGAAATAGTCCCTGAAACTCTTAAGCAATTTGCCCAAATTTGTTCAATTATGGGAAAGTAAAATGAAGACTTGAACACTGACAAATTTTCTCCCTTGGCTCTCTCAAGAAATGTTTCTGTAAAGGGTAGAGGGAAAATTCTCATCCTAAATATTGTGCCTGTCTGAGGTAGTCATGGCAAAGCAGACCCAGTCCTCAAAATAGAATGAAATGTTTATGGTTTATGGAATAGACGTTTATGGTTTGGAATGTCCATCTGTCAGCACTTATTGCTTCTTCCTTGTGTTTAATATTTTCTGTATAGGTTTTTTCGATGATTCATTCAGTGAGGCTCACTCCGAGTTCCTAAAAGCAGCCAGCAACTTGAGGGATAACTACCGATTTGCACATACGAATGTTGAGTCTCTGGTGAACGAGTATGATGATAATGGAGAGTAAGTGACTGAGTTGAATCTCCTGACCAAGTATTATTGTGTGAACTGGTGATACTGATTGACTGGGACAAGGTTTCACTCTGTCACCCAGGCTGGAGTGCAGTGGTGCAATCTCTGCTCACTGCAGCCTCCACCTCCCAGGTTCAAACGATTCTCGCGCCTCAACCTCCTGCATAGCTGGGAGTACAGGCACGCGCCACCACACCCTGCTAATTTTTGTATTTTTAGTAGAGACAGGGTTTCACCATGTTGCCCAGGCTGGTTTCAAATTCCTGGCCTCAAGTGTTCCACCCACCTCGGCCTCCCAAAGTGCTGAGATTACAGGCATGAGCCACCGCACCCAGCTGAATTGGTCATTTTTATACCTAATTTTTCCCAAGGGTTTATTGAGTACTTTCAAGGCATTATGCTACATGCCCAGAAACTATTGCTGCCTTCAAGGAACATCCCTCTATCTAGTAGAGGGAGATTGTATGCATGAACATATATAAAAATGAAAGTGTAAGTGTATGTAGAACTATATATGGAGTGGTTGGAAGTACAAAAGAGGGAGTGTTTTTTTCTTCTTATGGGGTAGGGGGGTAATATCAGAAATATTCATAGAGGGGGTGACTCTTGAAGGATCAGTTTTCTCTGGAAGGTTATGGCCTTTGAAATAAAAATTATTCCAGATAGAGCACCAGGAGTGAAGGCCTTGAGATGTAAGATAGCCTAGGCATGTTGGGGCCCATAGTACTGCTGGAGTATTGTTTGTGATTGAGATCATAATGAAAGATAAGATTGGAGTATTAAGCAGAGACCAAATTATAAATTTTAAGTGCCATACAAAAGAGCTTTGATTTTATCTTTTAGACATTTGAGAGCCATTAAAAGACTTTGGGCTGGGGAGTAATGCCTAGTGTTCCATTACTGGAATACTAAGCTTGTGGGAGTTATTTATATCCTCCTGCTCAAGGTCATTGCCAAGGTCTGATCTTTCACAAAAACAATTTGCAACCTCCCACGTAAATGGGTTAAATTTGTGAAGAAGTCACTGGCAGCCACATGATAATGATTTGAAGGGGGAGTGGTGCAAGGCATTCTAAGGATTCTAAGGAGAATTCTAAGGACTATAAGGAGAATCTAAACTGAGGATGACATGTGAGAGTCTAAACTCGGTCAACAGCATTAGTGGCAATGGATAGGAAGGGGTGAGTATAAAAAAATGTAAACAATAGTCACTAACTATGAGTGAAAAGAAGATTCAGAGCAAGTTTGAGTTTATTTTTTTATTTTTTTCAGACAGAGTCTCGCCCTTGTTGCCCAGGCTGGAGTGCAGTGGTGCGATCTCGGCTCACTACAACCTCCGCCTCCTGGGTTCAAGTGATTCTCCTGCCTCAGCCTCCTGAGTAGCTAGGATTACAGGTGTGCACCACCACACCTGGGTAGTTTATGTGTTTTTAGTAGAGACAGGGTTTCATCATATTAGCCAGTCTGGTCTCAAACTCCTGACCTGAGGTGATCTGTCTGCCTCGGGCTCCCAAAGTGTTGGGATTACAGGTGTGAGCCACCACACCCAGCCCGCTATTGTTTCTAAAGGTTTGAAAATCTACTCTAACCCCCTTTTGAGATAATGAAAAAGCTGAAGCCCAGAAGGATTAAATTGAGACCTGGTCCAACGTGTTTGGAATTAGTTGGGGAACTATGATTAGAACCACGTTCTCTTAATTTTCTAACCCAAAATTTAGTAAACCCTATACCCAATTATTGCACTTAAGATTAAGGTGGTTAGCATCTTAGTGTTAATGAGAAGGTCTTGTTGCTGAATCTGTGGTACTAGAAAAGAGTCCTTATGTGCTTAGATGTTGCTAGTTAAAAGTGGCAGCAAAAGTACATAGTCTGAGCTTTACATGAAACATGGGAGCTCCACCAGTAATCCCAGCATTTTTGGAGGCTGAGATGGGAGGATCGCTTGAGCCTGGGAGTTCAAGACCACCCTTGGTAACATGATGAGACCCCCATCTCTACAAAAATTTAAAAAATAAATTAGTTGTGCATGGTGGTGCACACCTGTGTTCTCAGCTATTTGGGCAGCTAAGGTAGGAGGATCACTTGAGCCTAGGAGTTCAAGGCTACAGTGAGCTATAATCACACCATTGCACTCCAGCCTGAGCAACAGAGCGAAACCCTATCTCAAAAAAAAAAAGATGGGAGACAGTTCTTCTGCTATCTGCCTACTGAGACTTTTCTTTTTTTTTTTTAAGGGGTATCATCTTATTTCGTCCTTCACATCTCACTAACAAGTTTGAGGACAAGACTGTGGCATATACAGAGCAAAAAATGACCAGTGGCAAAATTAAAAAGTTTATCCAGGAAAACATGTGAGTACTTCTTTGTATCTTGTCTGGGATTTATTTGCTTGATTTTAGTTTGTTTACCTCAGTTATTAAGCCGAGCTATATTTTGGCGTAAACAGTCTATTTGGGGGGATTGTAATAGTAATAGTTTGAGTTTATATTAAAGCAGTAATGTGTGGGTGTTAGAACTCCTGTTGTCATCCTGTAAGGTATATATTGCTCAGTACTTGTTCTAAATGTTTAAAATCTCTTTCCTTCATAAATGCTATCAATTATTTTGTGGCAACTTTATGATATAGCTAAAAACTTGGCAAGCCAGTTGATAATGGATTATTTCATTTCAGTTTTGGTATCTGCCCTCACATGACAGAAGACAATAAAGATTTGATACAGGGCAAGGACTTACTTATTGCTTACTATGATGTGGACTATGAAAAGAACGCTAAAGGTTCCAACTACTGGAGAAACAGGTAATAAGAATTATGTTTTTCCCTCATGAACAAGTTTACCCAATGTATAGACAGTCCCTTCTAACTATCTTGTTGGTTCCTTAAGAATCTGTAAAACAATAAATGGTTCCTTAAGAAGAGGTAAAAAAAAAAAAAAAAAAATTAAAGTAACTATCCTGTTACCATGTGTGGTATAAAAGCAGGAAAGAATGGGAACATTTGGCTTCCAAATTGTCTACAATTGACTTCAAATGGCTACATTTGAAGCCATAAGGACAAATAAACTGTTTTCACAATCTGTTGGGCATGTATTTCGTAGGTGTTTCTTTGCTTTGTGACACAGTGACTCCAAGTAGAAGGTGGAAATTTGATATAAAATGCACTTAAAACATTGTGCTTACTTGCACATTGAGCCTCTCAGTGCATTTTACCCTTACAAATTTTGTTTTCAGATCAGTTATTATGCCTATAATAGATTTCAGTTATATATTACAGCAAGATTTAGCAGGAATGCACCAGTTGATTGGGTATCACCAATTTGCCAGTGAAGTTCAGTAAGGCATTGAAGTATATCATAACCCTGTGTCAGTGCCCAAGAGCTCAGACTGTTCAGACTGATTCCAGAAGGCTAGAACTATAGAACTTAGTCTTTGCTTTCCAATCACTTGCTTCTTAGTTTCAAAAGTGCTTGACCACCCTGTATAGTCTTGGCACAAATGTCTCTTGTTTCCCACAGGGTAATGATGGTGGCAAAGAAATTCCTGGATGCTGGGCACAAACTCAACTTTGCTGTAGCTAGCCGCAAAACCTTTAGCCATGAACTTTCTGATTTTGGCTTGGAGAGCACTGCTGGAGAGATTCCTGTTGTTGCTATCAGAACTGCTAAAGGAGAGAAGTTTGTCATGCAGGAGGAGTTCTCGTGAGTTGCTAGTTGGGCTTTGATTCTCCAAGGCAATTATTAAAGCCTTTTATACTACAAAGGATTTCTAAAGAACAATAACCCTGGAATGTGAAGATAGGTCTTTTAATCAAGACCTATGACTGTCATTTTTCTCAATTTAAATATAGGTACTTTAGACCAGGCGTGGTGGCTCACGCCTGTAATCCCAGCACTTTGGGAGGCCAAGGCAGGTGGATCGCCTAAGGTCGGGAGTTCGAGACCAGCCTGACCAACATAGAGAAACCCCGTCTCTACTAAAAATGCAAAAAAATTAGCCAGGCACGGTGGTGCATGCCTGCAATCCCAGCTACTCAGGAGGCTGAGGCAGGAGAATCGCTTGAACCTGGGAGGCGGAGGTTGCGGTGAACCAGGATCGTGCCATTGCACTCTGGCCTGGGCAACAAGAGCGAAACTCTGTCTCAAAAAAAGAAATAAATAAAGAAAAATAAATACATATAGGTACTTTAAGGATTATGATCCTTAATGAATTCTGAAAACTAATGAAAGGATGGCAGGTTGGAATTCTTACATGATTCCACTTGGTCATTAGAAATAGCAGATAAAGGGTGAGCACAGTGGCTCACACCTGTAATCCCAGCACTTTGGGAGGCCGAGGCATGTGGATCACAGGAGTTAAAGACCAGCCTGGCCCACATAGTGAAACCCCGTCTCTACTAAAAATACAAAAATTAGCCGGGTGTGACGGTGCGCACCTGTAATTCCAGCTACTGGGGAGGCTGAGGCACCAGAATCACTTGAACCCGGGAGGAAGAGGTTGCAGTGAGCTGAGATCATGCCACTGTTCTCCAGCCTGGGTGACAGAGCAAGACTCTGTCTCAAAAAAAAAAAAAAAAAAAAAGAAAGAAATAGATAAGATTGGACAGCCTCCTTTGGGCCAGATGTGGTGGCTCACACCTATAATCCCAGCACTTTGGGAGGCTGAGGCAGGAAGATCACTTGATCACTTGAGCCCATGAGTTTGAGGCCAGCCTGGGCAACATAGCAAGACCCCGTCTCCAAAAAATTTAAAAATCTAAAAAAAGATTGAACAGTCTCCTTGATACTGACGTAATTTCAAACCAAACCATTCCCCCCCCTCATCCCTACAGAATGTATTTTCTTTTTGAAATAGCACATGGGTCTAAAGTGAACTCAGAATCGGGAAGATCTGAAGACCCCGGAAACAATTTTTACCCTCACTTTCTGAGATTTTGGGAGATTGAGACAAGAGAAAATCTTCCTTGTGAGCCAGTCAATAAAACAAAATACTGTAAATAGTGTGCTCCAGAGCAATAAGACCTTGTTTTCTTACAAAGATGAATCTCCAGAAGACCAATGATTCTCCTTTCTCTGAACTTTGTAATCCACAAAGAACACACTAGAAATAAAAGGAACGGTTTGTTTCTTCAGTCGGTAGTTCTGCATATTGAGAGATGAGAGTCCCCCTTTTTTAGCCTTGAAAAGCTAAAATACATAGTAACTATTCAAAGAAATTGCTGTAATTTTCTCAGCGGTGGGAATAGATTAACAAGCCTTACCCTTGTTTTCCAATTGTAGGCGTGATGGGAAGGCTCTGGAGAGGTTCCTGCAGGATTACTTTGATGGCAATCTGAAGAGATACCTGAAGTCTGAACCTATCCCAGAGAGCAATGATGGGCCTGTGAAGGTGAGGTGCTCACAGCCTCATCAAGCTATGAGCAATTGCCTGTCCTCATTTCTTTGTTCCAAAACTGTGGGGTCTAAATGAAGACTTCGTTGGCCATCTCTTTTTTTTTTTGTCCTTACTCCCGAGTCATAAAATAAGCATTGGCAGGCCAAGCGGTGGCTCATGCCTGTAATCCCAGCACTTTGGGAGGCAAAGGCGGGCACATCACAAGGTCAAGAGTTTGAGACCAGCCTGCCCAACATGGTGAAACCCCGTATCTACTAAAAACACAAAAAAATCAGCCGGGCATGGTGGCGGGCGCCTGTAAGCCCAGCTACTCGGGAGGCTGAGGCAGGAGAATCGCCTGAACCCAGGAAGCAGAGGTTGCAGTGAGTCAAGATTATGCCACTGCACTCCAGCCTGGGCGACAAGAGCGAAACTCCATCTCAAAAAAAAAAAAAGCATTGGCAGGGCTCATAATGCTTGGTAGGGGCAAGCGTGTAAAGCCTGCGTAGAATTTTCTGATGAAATTTATATTGGGCTAAGTTACTCTTGAGGATAGAGCAACCCCTAAGAACAGTGTGTTGCTTTGAATTTTTTATAGGGATGTGGTCTTACTCTGTTGCCTCAGCCTTCTGAGTAGCTTGGACTGCAGGCATGTGCCACCAAGCTTGGCTTGAAATTATTTTAAGGAATGGTTGGGTAGCACTTCTATGTCCTGTAACTTCCTGAACATAGTTTGACAGGTGACAGACATAGGAACGAGTTGGTATCTAGTGAATGACAACATCTTTAATACAATCTGTAAATGTGATTTGGGTTTCCATGACTTATTTTCTGTGGTAACACATCAAATTAGAGAGGGATTGGGTCTAGGAACAAATACAGTTGTGAATTTATTTTTTTATGTTACCAACTAGAGATTCTTCTGTGTTTTCCAGGTAGTGGTAGCAGAGAATTTTGATGAAATAGTGAATAATGAAAATAAAGATGTGCTGATTGAATTTTATGCCCCTTGGTGTGGTCACTGTAAGAACCTGGAGCCCAAGTATAAAGAACTTGGCGAGAAGGTAAGTGTGAACCCTATTCTGAGGATAACATTTGAGCGGGAGCAGTAAGTTTATGTATGTATTCAGCATTGGCTAATTTGGTTGGTTCCTAAGTACTGATAGATTTTTTTCCCAATTACTTGCTGTTTACTCACTTTCTCGTGACTGCCCCCTAGTGCTCCAGCCTGTGCAGTGCCTGAGATACCCACTTTTAACATTCCATTCCTCAGGCTCAATCTAGATAATGGTTAAAAATATCTAAGGACTTCTGAATTTTGGTAATGGCTTACATGAATCCATATGGTCCTTCATCTTAAAACATTTGGCTTAGCCCCTGTAATGTCTTATTCAGACCAGGTAAATTTGAAGGTGGCAATATGTAGAGTCTTAATACAAGAGAAAAAAGGGAAGCTTGTGGAAAGTGAGGTACTACCATCTGCAAACCACTCTTCCCACATGAACAGCAGTTTATCTGCTGGAATTACAGGTGCGCACCACCACACCCGGCTAATTTTTGTATTTTTAGTGTTTGAAGAATGAGATTGTTTTAAGTCTTCAATTGACTAAGTGTCCCTCTGTCACTGAAAACTTGAAATGTAAACATTTAACCTGTTTTATTAACAGCTCAGCAAAGACCCAAATATCGTCATAGCCAAGATGGATGCCACAGCCAATGATGTGCCTTCTCCATATGAAGTCAGAGGGTAAGTGGCTTAAAACTTAACAAAAGTGTCTAGGCAATAGATAGGAATAAAGCTTGTAACCACCAGGAAATCATTACTAGACATAGTTTTCATATTCAGTTGAAGGCAGAACCACTGATTCCTTCTTGGCTTAAGAGTTCTGCAGTATGGGCCCACATAACTGCTTGAAATTAATAAATGTTTCTTTCCCCAGTTTTCCTACCATATACTTCTCTCCAGCCAACAAGAAGCTAAATCCAAAGAAATATGAAGTAAGTGAATTGTCCCATATCCCCACAAATATATACACAGACGTAAACACACAACCTTAAACATAGTTCTTTAATTGGGTTTATTTATTTATTTAATTATTTTTTGAGACGGAGTTTCGCTCTTGTTGCCTGGGCTGGAGTGCAATGGCGTGATCTCGGCTCACCGTTCAAGCGATTCTCCTGCCTCAGCCTCCCGAGTAGCTGGGATTACAGGCATGCGCCACCACCCCGGCTAATTTTGTATTTTTAGTAGAGATGGGGTTTCTCCATGTTGGTTGGGCTGGTCTTGAACTCCTAACCTCAGGTGATCAGCCTGCCTTGGCCTCCCAAAGTGCTGGGATTACAGGCGTGAGCCACCGTGCTAGGCTAATTGGGTTTATTTAACTAAAATCTCTTTAAACTCTCATGGGCAGTATATGTGGCTGCTAATATGCTTTTACAAACTCAGAAGTCTTCCTGTTTGGGTGGGGCAGATCAGGGTTCTTTAAAAAGTTACACTTTTAAGCTGATCTTTCTGTTTTCAGGGTGGCCGTGAATTAAGTGATTTTATTAGCTATCTACAAAGAGAAGCTACAAACCCCCCTGTAATTCAAGAAGAAAAACCCAAGAAGAAGAAGAAGGCACAGGAGGATCTCTAAAGCAGTAGCCAAACACCACTTTGTAAAAGGACTCTTCCATCAGAGATGGGAAAACCATTGGGGAGGACTAGGACCCATATGGGAATTATTACCTCTCAGGGCCGAGAGGACAGAATGGATATAATCTGAATCCTGTTAAATTTTCTCTAAACTGTTTCTTAGCTGCACTGTTTATGGAAATACCAGGACCAGTTTATGTTTGTGGTTTTGGGAAAAATTATTTGTGTTGGGGGAAATGTTGTGGGGGTGGGGTTGAGTTGGGGGTATTTTCTAATTTTTTTTGTACATTTGGAACAGTGACAATAAATGAGACCCCTTTAAACTGTCTTATTTTCCACCAGATTGAGAACCAGATGTTCTCTACACACTATCACTGTTCAATAGAGCTTTCTTCAGTGATGGAAATGCTCTGTAATCTACACTGTTCAGTACAGGTAGCTACGGAGCATCTGAAATATGGCTAGAAACTACATTTTTGTTTTGATTAATTTAAATAGCCATACAGTTGCTACCATACTGGTCACGGCAGCTGTAGACTGACTGGGTCCATAGTTCATCACCTCAAAATTCTTTCAAAATTTATTATCTCTTTCTCTCCTTACATGTTTATTTCCCAGGCCTACCCTGGTGATTAGAACAGCTGAAGGGCCTTTCTTGTTAGGCTGTCCATGCCCTAAGGATGGGTTCCTGTTTATCCTTGCCACGCAGCTGAGCTTACTGCATGTTTATATCTCCCAAGGACTGTTCTCTGCTCAGAAATGCCCTGTCAAGGGTGTGGCATCACGCAGTTTCATCCAAGTTGTTTCAGGAATTGCTGACACTGCTGGGTGCAGTTCTATCCCCTAAAGCCTAGGGTGTGGCCCTTTAACTTCCCCTTCAGTAGAACTGGGAAAGGCAGTACCATTCCTAGTTATGAGTGAAGCATCCACTTTCTTTTGTAACAATGAGGAACAGAAAGGATAAGACTGAAGAGTGATCTTTTGTCCAACTAAACCATTTATCTCCTTTTGTAGGTAAATTCAAATCCTGCCCAGTTATAGTTTTCAGTCACTGGAGAATTCCAGGTAGGAGCCCTACTTTAGGTGATCCTAGGAACTCCTATGTTCAGAAAAGAATTTTCTTCCTACTATATAATTACAGTATTTAGCTGTCAATTTTAAGATGAATTTGGTAGAGCCTTATAGTAAAGTATGTATCTTGGTCACACACAAAGCTTGGAAAAAGTAAAAGATGTCTAAACCATAATCTTGTAACTCATAACATCTGGGCTGGGGCCCGGGGATCTAATTGTTTAGAGAGCCCCAAAAGTGGCTCAGATGTAAAGCCAGGGTTAAGAACCATCTGCCTTGGAAGATTTAAGGGAAACATATAAACTTGTACAAAGGACACAGAAGCAGTCAGTTTTAATTTTTTAGCCATGTTGGTAAAAGTTCATTTTCAGTACATGGGTAACACCCAGGCCCTTTCCCATTATATCCAGGTATGCTACAAGTTCTTTTAACTCTTATCAGAAGTTATTATTACTGTTTCCTTAGAGAGGCTACCAGGCTAAAATTCACTTAGTTTGGTTTGTCTAATGTCCTCATTATTTTATCCTGAAGATGATGTCATTTCTCAGGACTTGAAAATGACTTGGCTGAACTAAAGGTAAAAAAGCCAAGCCTCTGTCACTTTTCCTAGACTCCTAGGCACAGCTATGGAGTCTTTGCACAGTGCCCATACCCTAAAAATTAATAATGAAAACCAAACCTCAAGAACCTAGAGCAGCTCTCTACTTGCCACCATGGACTCCAGTGGTCAGCATAAGAAAAGCAGATAGTTGCATTCTATTTAGTTTATAGCTGCTTTGTTCCTTTGTGTTTCACTAAGCAGAGGCTCAAAAATTCCCTTGATAACTTCAGCTGCCCCTGTTCTTTTCCTCAAACTCCAGGATGAGACCTTTAATGTGGGACAATTTCTGGTGAAGGTACTCACAGCGACGCTTTTCTTCTCTGTAACTTGGGTACTGCTGCAGAGAAAAAGCATCCATGTCAAAAAGTAAAAATTCTCATTCTACCTTGCTTCCGTTCCCAGACCTTGTCTTACCTTCCTGAACTTTTTATATTCCTGGATTATCTTGTCTTCCAGGACCTGAAACAGAAATTACTAGCACTGAGTTCAACATTAAGAAATGAGAGAGGGGCGGCCAGGCATGGTGGCTCACGCCTGTAATCCCAGCACTTTGGGCGGCTGAGGCAGGCAGATAACGAGGTCAGGAGATCTTGACCATCCTGGCTAACACAGTGAAACCCGTCTCTACTAAAAAAATACAAAAAAATTAGCTGGGCGTGGTGGCAGGCGCTTGTAGTCTCAGCTGCTCGGGAGGCTGCGGCAGGAGAATGGGGCAGGAGAATGGCGTGAACCCGGGAGGCGGAGCTTGCAGTGAGCCAAGATCACGCTACTGCACTCCAGCCTGGGCAACCAAGTGAGACTGTCTCAAAAAGAAAAAAAAAAGAGAGAGGGGCCAGGCGCAGTGGCTCACACCTGTAATCCCAGCGCTTTGGGAGACTGAGGTGGGTGGATCACTTGAAGTCAGGAGTTCAAGACCAGCCTGGCCAACATGGTAAAACCCTGTCTCTACTAAAAATACAAAAAGTGGCTGGGCATGGTGGCACATACCTATAATCCCAGCTATTCGGAAAGCTGAGGCATGAGAATCGCTTTAGCCTAAGAGGTGGAGGTTGCAGCGAGCCAAGATTGCGCCACTGCACTCCAGCTTGAGAGACGGAGCTAGACTGTCCCCCCAAAAAAAGAAGGGAAGTAACTTCCCTTCTCATTCTACCAAATGATACAGACTAATTTTTCCCTTCAAACAGGTTTCCTTGTCACTTTGCTTAGTCACTTTATAAACACAGGTGTATGGATGGTTAGCAGGGGGTTAATGGCCAGTAGAGCTGGAAAGCCAGGCTGGGTCCTGTCCTTACCTTGTATTCTGGAGTTCCTCGCCGAACTCTTTTAATCTCTGCTCCCAGCTCTATGAACCTTTGGCTTGCAGTCCCAACACGGGCATGCAGGATGCGGTATTCAGCATAATCTGTCTCAAAGTCCTGCTCATAGGCATGTTGCTGTTCTGCACTGTGGATGGCCCTGTATTGCCTGCCAGGAGCAGAGAGTTGTCACCTTCAATTTCATTGCCCCTGAAAAGCCCCCAGCTTCCAGGAAGTGTATCTTAATATATGAACAAGTCTTGATGAAATTGGAAAAAGCAAGGAACTCACAGGAGGTAGTCTGGTATATCTTCAGGACTTGGGGATTCAGAATCTAGGAAGGAAGCAAGAAAACACAAGTGATTATAAGTCTTTTCCACTGGCATTTTTACCCTCCTCTCATTAACTCACCTTCTTGAACTGAGGAACTGTGTTCTAATCTGGGGTCCATGTCCTCATCTTCTTGCTCCCAATCTTCTCCCTCTTGTAAATCCTGATTGGTCAGGCCTTGTAGGGGGCTTGGCACTAAAGGCAGAGTTCTGAACCTCTTTTCTTCCAGTTCTACAGTGGCTACAGGCACTGAACGTTTCTGTTGAGGAAAATATCTGTGTGACATAAACAGCCAAGAGCTTCCTAAATATGTTCTTCTCTCAAGAATTTCTCCTAGGCTGGGCACAGTGGCTCATACCTGTAATCCTGACCGTTTCAGAGGCTCAGGTGGGGGGATCGCTTGAGCCCAAGATTTCAAGACTAGTCTGGGTAACATAGTGAGACCCTATCTCTACAAAAAAATAAAAAAATGAGCCTGGTGTAGTGGCACACACCAGCTGAGGAGGGAGAATCGAGCCTAGGAGTTCAAGGCTGTGGTGAGCCGTGATCATACCACAACACTCCAGCCTGAGGTGACTGAGTGAGAATAAGAAAAAAAAAAAGGATGGCCTGAGCCCAGGAGTCTCCAGCCTGGGGAACAGAGAGACCTTGTCTCTAAAAAAATTCCTCCCATATAACGAGCTTCCAATTTCTAAATTTTAGCTTGACTAAAAGTGCTTTTCAAAATAGTCTTTGCCACTGTTTAATTATATTAATGTTACAAAAAAAAAGCCCTTGCCATTCTAACTTACCTTGTCCAGACGTTTCCGGCTGGCAGAGGAAGGCAGTGCCTGAACAGGTTCTCTGTTTGGAACATGGGTCTGGCTTCTAGGATATTTTAAGGGAATGGGACAGATGAAGACCAGGGTAGGAGGTGGAACTGGATCTTTTATTACAACATTTAAGAGTGGAGATTAGAAAGGAAGACAATGCCAAAGCTTCCCATGTTAGTCCCACCCCATCCAAAGTACCTCACTTCCCACTGTGCCATGTGCTCCCTTGAGGATCCTGGGAGTGACTGTCCTTGGTTGCTTGCCAGTGGATCTGACACTGACACCTGGTGGGGAAAGTGGCAGGAGCACTTGGTTCCCTGGAGTACTGGGATACCTTGGACTTCAGGCTTTGCCCCACCTTATCACAACTCCCTGCAATTTCTGGCCTCACCCACCTCCTCTAGTGCCATCTGTGGCTGTGATACTGCATCTCCTTCAGAATAGCCTCCTGTGTTCTGCCAACTCTCAGGATGTCTGGCATCTTCAGTCAGGTTGTGTCCCTGAACTGATGATGGGGCTGGGATAGAATCCATGGCTGCCCAAATAATGAGGCGCTCCCTGAGTGAGCCCAGGCAGTGGAGGCTGTTAGGCCCAGACCTGGAAAAGGATGGTGGAAAAAAATAGGAGGGTGGAGACCTCTTAAGCACCTCTCCACATTTCCCTCCCCCACTTTCCACAAACCCTTTCTTGCCGGCTACCTGTTCCCCCTCACCTGAGGAAGCGTTGGCACACAAGGTCCAAGCTACCACCAGCGCCCTCCTGACAACACTGGGACACTATGAAGGAGAAGAGGCAGGACCAACCAGGGCCTGGGAGTCTCAGATACTGGGGGTGGAAGGAGACGGTAAGCCCCATGAAGTCAGCCCCTCCCCCTCCTGCCGCCGCCACTCGTCCGGGAGCCAGTCCGTAAGTAAGACTAAGACGGGTCCCACAGGGCTTGTTAGCACACCAGGTGCAGCTGGGCCTGAGTTCCCCAGGAGGCCGAAACAGCACAGTCCCCTCAAACCACAGCCCCCTGGGACAACCCCAGCAGCCTCCTCGCCCCACTTGGAGTTCAGTTATCGGAACTACCTCAGACCGTGACTACTCGCAGCCTCCGGCCCCGACCGCACCTTCCACCTCCAGCCCACGTTTATGCTCCCTCGCCCTCACCTCGCTCACACACCCTGAGCTCGCACTTACCCCTCGGTGGCCTTGGAAAGCAATCACCGGCCGTACCTGCGGGGAGAGCGAAGATGTGACCGTTGAGCGCAGGTGAAGCAGTGTCCCCAGGATCCGGCGTCCGGAGCCCGGGATCACCTGCCTAGCGGGCTTCACTTGGAGAGGTGGGGAGGCCAGAGCTTGCGGAAGCCGCTCCCTCTCCCCTGCACCTTCTCCAGGGTCGCCGGCTGAGGCCCAAGGTCCCTAGGGGCAGTGACTAGAGAAGAAGGGGGCCGGCCGTACCTGTTGCCGCTGACACTCTTGCAGCGCCCGCAGGGCAGCGTCGTTGAGCCTGAGCAGTAAGAGGCTAGTCCGGGCAGCTTGCGTGAAGCAGAGCCGGAGCTGTCCTCTCAGAGGCTCCTGGAGCTCCTCCATGGCGACGAGTTCGAGTGCAAGCAGCACGGGGGCCACAGGCGAGGGCCACCACCGCCACCTCCTCTGTTCAGGGTTTGGTTGGCACACCCGGTAACCCACGTCTGCCCCACCCTCCGCCAGGAACCCGCCCCCGGCCCCACCTCCCGCCAGCGCCACCCCAAGCTTTCCCAGCCGCGTGGGCGGCGCTTCGCTCTCCCCGGCCAACCGCCCGGACCTCGGCGCTTTCTTCTAGGATCCGCATGAATCGCTTTGGGCTATCGGAAGAGCTATCCCCAGTTCTCGGGAGAAAGAGTCCGCGACCAGCGTCTGACCTCTCACTCAGAGTCCCCAGTCCTGCCTTAGTTTCCCCAGCGACCCTGAATTTGGAGTTGCTGTCTCTAAGTGAAAGCTGAACCTGCAACCCCTTGAGGGTTTCAGCCGCAGAGGGGCGGGAGAAAGGGCCTGGTTGGTAGGCGGGCTCAGCGGTTCGCGCCCAGTTAGCCCCGAGCTTCGGAGACCCGAGAGACCAGAGGATGGCTGACACGAAGGGGCACCCGAGACAGCGCCTGGGCTTTTTCCCGCCCGCGGTTCCACCGCTCTGAAACCGATTTCTAACAGAGAGGTAATTGGGGCCCTGCGGTTGTGGTGGCAGCAGTGAAAGTTGGCTGTCACCGACTGGAGCGCCCCCAGTTGGTGGGCAGGGATACGGGCGCGGGTAGTGGCAGGAAAGTTGCAGGGCAGAGAGCCAGAACCCAGTCCTAGGTCTCACCTCGTGGCCTAAACACGCGTCAGAGTGGTGAGACCGCTCCCTGAGGAGGGCCAGGAGCTGCCATGAAGTCGCCAGGCATTCCAGAGGGCCAGATCCTGGTGCACTGAGACCCCAGCACCAACCTCTGGCCAGCCCTTGGTGTCTCCACTTGTTCCTGTTTGATTATGTTTCCCAAGAGCCCCGATGTTGTCCTGTTTCCTAAACAGGATCCCTCTGTTAAATCCCTGGACCTGCACAATCCCCGGGAACCTTAACGTCCTCTACTACAAATAAAATTACCTATACATTTGTCAAAACTCATAAAAAAAAAATACATTTTTTTTTTTTTTTTTGAGACGAAGTCTTGCTCTGTCGCCCAGGCTGGAGTGCAGTGGCACGATCTCCGCTCACTGCAAGCCCCGCCTCCTGGGTTCACGCCATTCTCCTGCCTCAGCCTCCCGAGTAACTGGGACTACGGGCACCCACCACCACGCCTGGCTAATGTTTTGTATTTTTAGTAGAGATGGGGTTTCACCGTGTTAGCCAGGATGGTTTTGATCTCCTGACCTCGTGATCCACCCGCCTCGGCTTCCCAAAGTGCTGGGATTACAGGGATGAGCCACCGCGCCCGGCTAATACACATAAAATTTGTATGTAAATTATACTTCAATAAAGTTGATCTTTAAAATCTGTGCTATTTCTGTTTCTCTGCGGCAATATCCTAATCTGATAAACAGTTGTGGTAATGGATAAAGCTGGTCTCTTAGCTGGGCATGGCGGTGCATGCCTGTAGTCCCAGCTACTCAGGAGGCTGAAGCAGGAGGATCGCTTGAATCCATGAATCAGGTTGCAGTGAGCCATGTTTTCGCCACTGAACTTCAGCCTGAGCAACAGAGAGAGACCCTGTCTCAAAAAAAGAAAAAAAGGCCAGGCGCGCTGGCAGATTCCATCTCAAAAAAAAAAAAAAAAAAAAAAAAAAAAAAAAAAGAGGCTGGGTGCGGTAGCTCATGCCTGTAATCCCAGCACTTTGGGAGGCTGAGGCAGGTGGATTACCTGAGCTCAGGAGTTCGAGACCACCCAGGGCAACATGGTGAAACCCTGTCTCTACTAAAACTACAAAAAAATTAACCAGGTGTGGTGGCGCACACCTGTAGTCCCAGCTACTTGGGAGGCTGAGGCAGGAGAATCGCTTGAGCCCCAGAGGTGAATGTTGCAGTGAGCTGAGATCACGCCACTCCACTCCAGCTTAGGCTGGAGTGAGACTCCATCTCAAAAAGAAACCTGAGTTTTGCTGAATACGGGGACAGAGAAATGGGAGTCATGGTGGAGGAAATAGGATCAAGAAAAAGTTTTAAGATGGGAGAAATAGCATGTTCCATGTTGACGGAAATAATTTTTAGAACATCTCCAAAATTTTGATGGTGTAGGAGATTTACTGCAGTAGTGCCCTTGAATAGGTTTGAGGTCATGAGATCTATTCAGGATTAGCTAAAGCCTAAAGGTAGGAGTGTGGGCAGTTCGTTTATGGTAACAGGCCACAGGCAGAGAAGGTGGGTGTAAGTGTAGAGGTTAGGTAGATGTGGTGGGAGTCTGAAAATTTTTTTCTGATTGCTTCCATTTTTCTCAGTGAAGTAGGAAGCAACTGAGAGAGAGAATGAGGGAGGAGTGATTGGGGTTGAGGTGTGAAAATAGTGTGAAACAGTTGCCTGTAAGTGTGAGAGAGTGAATAAGTTAGGAATGTGTCAAACACTAAGGACTGATGATAAATCTGAGGCTTAGAGAAGCAGAGATTCTAAACCTAGGCCTACAGATCATACAATTCAGGGAATCTGTGAACTTGGAAGGGAAAAAAAATTACATATTTATTTATTTATTTATTTTTGAGGCAGGTGTCCCTCAGTTGCCCAGGCTGGAGTGCAGTGGCACAATCATAGTTCACTGCATCCTCGAACTCCTGGGGTCAAGCAGTCCACCCACCTCAGCCTCCTTCATAGCTGTAACTACAGGAGCGTGCCACCATACCTAGCAATTTTTTAAATTTTTTGTAGAGACAGGATCTTGCCATGTTGCCCAGGCTGGTCTCAAACTCCTGGCCTCAAGTGATCCTCCCACCTCAGCCTCCCAAAGTGCTGAGATTTACAGGCATGAGTCTCCATGCTCAGCCAAAATTACATCTGTATTTTCACTAACTTTTAACAGAAATTTAGCATCTCCTTTAATTATGAATGTAGGCAACAAATCACTGGTACTGGCAGTAACTGCAATGTTATTACTAATAGAAATAACAGATATTTTCATTTTACATTACAAGTGTTGAAGATACATCTAAATATTGTTTGCATTCAGCACACTTTGTAATTATAATTGATATTAGACTTGCTGTTAGATCTTTAATACATTGATAAAAATCAGTTACATCATAAACATTTTAATATTTTGATAATTATATGTGAATATAATTGTTTTTCTTTATGAACCCCTGTGTTTTTTGCAAATTTAAAAAATGTTTATTTATTTTCTTTTTTTGGAGGCCAGAGTTTGGCTCTTGTCAACCAGGCTGGAGTGCAATGGTGCGATCTTGGCTCACTGCAAGCTCTGCCTCCCAGGTTCACGCCATTCTCCTGCCTCAGCCTCCCGAGTAGCTGAGACTACAGGCGCCCGCCACCACGCCCGGCTAATTTTTTGTATTTTTTTTAGTAGAGACGGGGTTTCGCCATGTTAGCCAGGATGGTCTCGATCTCCTGACCTCGTGATCCGCCCACCTCGGCCTCCCAAAGTGCTGGGATTACAGGCGTCAGCCACCGCGCCCTGCGATCTTGACTGTTTTTAAGTGTATGGTTCAGTAGTGTTAAGTATCGCCTATCCTATCGCCCTGCAGCCAATCTCCAAAGCTCTTTATCTTGGAAAACTGAAACTCTATATCCATTTAACAATTCCCGATTTCCCCCTCCTCCCAGCCCCTAGCAACAACCACCCTTCTGCCTTCTGTATCTGTGAATTTGACTACTGTAGATACCTCATACAGTAGTCTACCCTTATCTTCAGGGAAGTTCCAAGGCCCTCAGTGGATGCCTGAAACTGCAGATAATACTGAACCTGAATAATGACAATCAGAACATGTTTCTGTTCATGTCTCCCATCCACAAATGTAATGCCTTTTCTGTCTTAATTAAGCACTTAATGATGCACTGTGGCCATAACTTTTGCAGTTTGAGGTGCAACAGCAAAACTGGCATGAGTTTTTCTCTCTTTTTTTCACAATTTCACGAATAGGGGAGATTTGTTCTTACCTTAAATCTTAGCTAACTCAGCATAAGATTTTTTTTTTCCTTATTGAGAACTTCTACCTTTTCACTTAAAGGAAGCACTTGATGGCTTCTCTTTGGCAAAACCAAATTGGCAGCAACACTACTCTTGCATTTTGGGCTCATTATTAAGTAAAATAAGGGTTGCTTGCATATAAACACTGTGATACGCTCTGATAACTGAGATGGCTACTAAGTGATTAGTGGGTGGGTGTTGCCTACAGTGTGGATACACTGGACAAAGGAAGGATTGCCATCCTGGGTGGGATGGAGAGGGAGGACACAAGATTTTATCACACTATTCAGAACAGCACTCAATTGAAAAGCTTCTGAGTTGTTGGCCAGCCACGGTGGCTCACGCCTGTGATCCCAGCACTTTGGGAGGCCGAGGCAGGTGGACCATTTGAGGTCAGGAGTTCGAGACCAGCCTGGCCAACATAGCGAAATCCCATGTCTACTAAAAACACAAAAATTAGCTGGGAGCGGTGACTAATTTTAGTCCCAGCTACTCGGGAGGAGGAGACAGGAGAATCACTTCAACCCAGGAGGCAGAGGTTTCAGTGAGCTGAGATAGAGCAAGGTCTGTCTCAAAAACAAACAAAACAAACAAACAAACAAACAACAAAAGAAAAACTTATTGTTTATGTCTGCATTTTTCCTTTTTTTTTTTTTTTTTGAGACAAGGTCTCACTATGTTACCCAAGCTGGAGTGCAATGGTACAATCCCGGCTCACTGAAACCTCTGCCTACTGGGTTCAAGCGATTCTCCTGCCTCAGCCTCCTGGGACTATAGGCATGCCACCATGCCTGGCTGATTTTTGTATTTTCAATAAAGATGGGGTTTCACCATGTTGCCCAGGCTGGTCTCGAACTCCTGGACTCAAGTGATCCACCTGCCTCGGCTTCTCCAAGTGCTGGGATTACAGGTGTGAGCCACCGCACCTGGTCCTACTTCTTCTTCTTTTTTTTTTTTTGAGACACAGTTTGCTTTGTCACCCAGGCTGGACTGCAGTGGTGCGATCTCAGCTCACTGCAACCTCTGCCTCCCGGGTTCAAGCAATTCTGGTGCCTCAGCCTCCCGAGTACCTGGGATTACAGGCACATGCCACTGTGCCCCGCTAATTTTTGTATTTTTAGTAGAGATGGGGTTTCACCATGTTGTCCAGGCTGGTCTTGAACTCCTGACCTCAGGTGATCCGCCCGCCTTGGCCTCCCATAGTGCTAGGATTACAAGCGTGAGCCACCATGCCCGACCCTACTTCTATTTTTAAAATGAGGATTTAACTCTCATCTGCCCCCAAAATATGCATGTACTTTCTCTCTCCATCCTCCTAATGTAGTAATGTTATTTTTGTTATATCAATATTGAATGTTTCTATTATTAGGAGTATGTAAATGTTATTTGCAAGCTGTGACACTTACCATATTATGTTCACATTTTCCTTCTTGTATGTTCCTCTACACCAATTAATAATTATGCATTTTTTTTGTTTGCTTAGTTACCTATGTACTTATTACCAATTCATTCTCATACCCTCTTCTAGGAGTATAACTCTCCTCTTAGTATAACCAAATACAATCAGATAATTTATCAATTTTATCAGTTTCCATTTTTTCTTAGATATATGGCTCCAGAGCCCTCCATACTCCTGCTCCAATCTGAAATGATTGTTCTCTAGGTCGGCTGCAAAGCTATTATCCTGGGATCTCCCTTCTATCTCAGCTGGAGGATTTCCTTCACTTACCTCCTGTGTCAGATACACTTTTTCCTGGATCCTGTAACTTTTTTCTTGGCTTACTCCCTCATTTTGGTGCAAAGCCTCAAAGGATTTATCCACCATGCATTCTTTTCAGGAAGCTTTTGGACAAATCCTTTGAGACTTTGCATACCTTTATTTTATTCTCATAACTTTTTTTTTTCTTTTTTTTGAGATGGAGTCTTCGCTCTGTCACCAGGCTGGAGTGCAGTGGCGTGATCTCGGCTCACTGCAACCTCTGCCTCCTGGGTTCAAGCAATTCTCGTGCCTCAGCCTCCTGAGTAGCTGGGATTACAGGCACGCACCACCACACCTGGCTTTTTTTTTTTTTTTTTTGAGACATAGTCTAACTCTGTCACCAGGCTGTAGTGCAGTGGCACAATTTCAGCTCACTGCAATCTCCACCTCCCGGGTTCAAGCCACTCTCCTGCCTCAGCCTCCCGAGTAGCTGGGATTACAGGCATACGCCACCACACTCAGCCAATTTTTATATTTTTAGTAGAGACAGGGTTTCACCACATTGGTCAGGATGGTCTCAATCTCCTGACCTCATGATCCGCCCAGCTTGGCATCCCAAAGTGCTGGGATTACAGGCGTGAGCCACCATGCCTGGCCAACTTTTTTTTTGAGACAGTCTCACTCTGTTGCCCAGGCTGGAGTGCAGTGGCATGATCTCGGCTCACTGCAACCTCTGCCTTCTGGGTTCAAGCAATTCTTGTGCCTCAGCCTCTTGAGTAGCTGGGACTACAGGCATGTGCCACCACGCCTGGCTAATTTTTGTATATTCTTTTAGTACAGACGGGGCTTCATTATGTTGGCTAGGCTGGTCTCGAACTCCTGGCCTCAAGTGATCCACTGGCCTCGGCCTCCCAAAGTGCTGGGATTACAGGCATGAGCCACCAAGCCTGGCTTCATAATTTTTTTTAAGAGACAGAATTTTGCCCTGTTGCCCAGGCTGGAGTGCAGTGACACAATCATAGCTCACTGCAGCCTCAACCTCCTTGGCTCAAGCAATCCTCCCACCTCAGCCTCCCAAGTAGCTGGGACTACAGGCACACACCACCATATCTGGCTAATTTTTTTTTTTTTGAAATGGAATCTTCCTCTGTCGTCCAGGCTGGAGTGTGGTGACGTGATCTTGGCTCACTGAAACCTCCACCTCTGGGTTCATGTGATTCTCCTGTCTCAGCTTTCTGGAGTAGCTGGGACTACAAGCGGGTGCCACCACGCCCAGCTATTTTTTTTTTTTTTTTTTTTTTTTTTTTTGTATTTTTAGTAGAGACGAGGTTTCATCATGTTGGCCAGGCTGGTCTCAAACTCCTGACCTTGTGATCCGCCCACCTTGGCCTCCCAAAGTGCTGGGATTACAGGTATCAGCCACCGCACCTGGCCACATGTGGCTAATTTTTAAAAGTTTTGTAGAGATGGGTCTCCCTACCCAAGCTGGTCTCAAAGTCTTGGTCTCAAGTGATTCTCTTGACTTGGCCTCTCAAAGTGTTAGGATTTCAGGCATAAACAACTGAGTCCAGCCTATTCTCTTCAGGTATTTGATAACATTGCCCCATTGTCTTCTCGTTTCCAGTGTTGCTGCTGACAAGTCTGTAGCCATTCTGATTCTTCATCCTTTGTATATGAACTATTTTTTATCTCAGAAGCCATTAGGATCTTTTTAATTCTGACACTCTGATGTGTGGTGATGTAGAGCTTTTCTCATTTCTTGGGTTGGGCACTCTGTGACCTCCCTCTATTTTTGTTTTATTTATTTATTTTAATTAATTAATTCGTTTGTTTGTTTGGAGATGGTGTCTCACTCTGTCACCCAGGCTGGAGTGCAGTGGCGCGATCTCGGCTCACTGCAAGCTCCGCCTTCCGGGTTCACGCCATTCTCCTGCCTCAGCCTCCCGAGTAGCTGGGACTACAGGCACCCGCCACTGCGCCCAGCTAATTTTTTGTATTTTTAGTAGAGACAGGGTTTCACCATGGTCTCGATCTCCTGACCTCGTGATCCGCCTGCCTCAGCCTCCCAAAGTGCTGGGATTACAGGTGTGAGCCACCGCGCCCGGCCCTAATTAATTTTTTTGAGACGGTGTCTCACTCTGTCGCCCAAGTTGGAGTGTAATGACTGAATCTTGGCTCACTGCAACCTCCACCTACCGGGTTCAAGTGATTCTCCCGCCTCAGCCTCCCAAGTAGCTGGGACTATAGGCGCGCACCATCACGCTTGGCTAATTTTTGTATTTTTAGTAAAGACAAGGTTTTGCCATGTTGGCCAGGCTGGTCTTGAACTCATGACCTCAGGTGATCCGCTCACATCAGCCTCCCAAAGTGCTGGGATTACAGGCGTGAGCCACTGTGCTCTGCCATTATTTATTTATTTATTACTTTTTTTTTTTTTTTAGACAGAGTCTCACTCTGCTGCCCAGGCTGGAGTGCAGTGGAGCAATCTCGGCTCACTGAAACCTCCATCTCCTAGGTTCAAGCTATTCTCCTGCTTCAGCCTCCCAAGTAGTTGGGATTACAGGCGCCCACCACCACACCCGGCTAATTTTTGTATTTTTAGTAGAGATGAGGTTTCACCATGTTGGCCAGGCGGGTCACCAACTCCTGGCCTCAAATGATCCACCTGCCTCAGCCTCCCAAAGTGCTGGGATTACAGGCGTGATCCACCGCGCCCCGCCTGAATGTTTCTTTCTTTCTTTTATTTTTTCCTTTTTTTTAGAGACATAGTCTTGCTCTGTTACCCATGCTGGAGTACGGTGGCGAGATCACGACTCACTACAACTTTGAATTCCTGGATTCAAGCAATCCTCCCATCTCAGCCTCCTGAGTAGCTAAGGACTACAGGTGCGTACCACCACTCCTGGCTGTTTTCTGAATATCTGTTTTTATAAACTCCCTATTGTTGTTCAATACCCTCTCTCAAAGAATACTATTTATAGTCCTGTGTCTCCGATTTTCTTGTGATCTTGCAACTGAATTGTTTCTGTATCCTCTGGGACTGAATTTTCTTTTTCTTTTTTTTTTTTTTTTTTTGAGACAGATACTTGCTCTGTCACCCAGGCTAGAGTTCAGTGGCTTGATCTCAGCTCATTGCAACCTCCGCCTCCTGGGTTCAAGCAATTCTTGCGCCTCAGCCTCCCAAGTAGCTGGAATTACAGATGCATGCCACCACGCCCCACTAATTTTTGTATTTTTAGTAGGGACTGGGTTTCACCATGTTGGCCAGGCTGGTCTTGTACTCCTGACCTCAAGTGATCTGCCCGTCTCGGCCTCCCAAAGTGCTGGGATTATAGGCATGAGCCACCATGCCCAGCCATGAGACTGAATTTTCTGCTTGTGTTTTTTTGGGGTCTATTTTTATGTTAGGACTGTTTTCTCCAACGCTTGGTGATCTTTGGCTCTATATTCATCTCTACAAGCAAGGCACTAAAAAGCTGGTTGAAGGCCAGACACAGCGGCTCACGCCTGTAATCCCAGCACTTTGGGAGGCTGAGGCAGGCAGATCATGAGGTCAGGAGGTCGAGACCATCCTGACTAACACGGTGAAACCCTGTCTCTACTAAAAATACAAAAAATTAGCCAGGTGTGGTGGCGGGTGCCTGTAGTCCCAGCTACTTGGGAGGCTGAGGCAGGAGAATGGTATGAGCCCAGGAGGCGGAGCTTGCAGTGAGCCGAGATTATGCCACTGCACTCCAGCCTGGACCACAGAGCAAGACTCTGTCTCAAAAAAAAAAAAAAAAAAAAGCTGGTTGACGTTTGGTACGCATGGAAAGAGCTGCCTACACTTTAAGATAATCTGACTGGACCATTTCATTATGTAAGGCCTAAGTTCATCTAATTATCCAAGCTTATCCCCCTCTCAGGGCCTTGGTATATGCTGTTTCTCTTGTGTGTGTTTGATTAAAAGTATTTGGCTGAAGTGACAGAAATCTGACTCAAGGTAGCTTAAACCAACAAAACAATATGGTAGTTCCCACACCAGGAAACTCAATGTAGAACAAATGTTACAGTTGAGGTATCCAGTGGTCCAACAGCATGACCAAGAACCAAGATTCTTTCTGCTACTCATTTGCTTCAACCTAAGGCTGGCTCTCTTCTAGGTGATAGACTAGAGCTGCCAGGAGCAGTATGGGCTATGTGTTTCCTCATTCATGTCAACGGGAAACAGCATTGTCACCACCCTAGCAATGGAAAAAAAGTCCTTCTCTTTGGTCTGATCAGGCTAATTTAGGCCACATGCTCACTCCTGAACCAATAACTGTTACCAGGTGAATACCACAAAATAATCTGCTTAGGCCTGGGTTCGTTTTTTTGTTTTTTTTTTTTTGAGATGGAGTCTGCTCTGTGGCCCAGGCTGGAGTGCAGTGGCGCTCCACTCGGCTTACTGCAACCTCCGCCTCCTGGGTTCACGCCATTCTCCTGCCTCAGCCTCCCAGGTAGCTGGGACTACAGGCGCCTGCAACCACGCCTGGCTAATTTTTTGTATTTTTAGTAGAGACGGGGTTTCACCGTGTTAGCCAGGATGGTCTTGATCTCCTGACCTCATGATCAGCCCGCCTCGGCCTCCCAAAGTGCTGGGATTACAGGCGTGAGCCACCACGCCCGGCCAGGCCTGGGTTCTTAAACCAATCAATATTAAAAGGGATTAGTTTACTTTGATTGACTTAGCCATTCAGTACCACTCTTGGAGTATAGGCTGGAGGGGAAGAATTTTTTTATTTTTTGAGACAGAGTTTCACTCTTGCTGCCCAGGCTGGAATGCAATGGTGCGATTTCCGCTCACCGCAACCTCTGCCTCCCGGGTTCAAGTGATTCTCCTGCCTCAGACTCCCGAGTATCTGGGATTGCGGGCATGCGCCGCCATGCCAGGCTAATTTTGTATTTTTAGTAGAGACGGGGGTTTTACCATGTTGGTCAGGCTGGTCTTGAACCCCTGACCTCAGGTGGTCTGCCCACCTCAGCCTCCCAAAATGCTGGGATTATAGGCGTGAGCCACCTTGCCCAGCCAGAATTTTTTTTTTTTTTTGAGACAGGGTCTTGCTCTGTTGCCCAGGCTGGAGTGCTGTGGCATGATTACAGCTCACTGCAGTGTCAACCTCCTGAGCTCAAGCCATCCTTCCACCTCACACCCTCGAGTAGCTGGGACTATAGGCACACACCACCACACCTGGCTAGATTTTTAGTTTTTTTTTTTTTTTTTTTGAGATGGTATCTCACTCTATCACCCAGGCTGGAGTGCAGTGGTGCAATCATGGCTCACTGCAACCTCCTCCTCCCAGGTGCAAGCAATTCTCTAGCCTCAGCCTCTCGAGTAGCTGGGATTACAAGGTATGTGCACCATGCCTGGCTAATTTTTGTATTTTTAGTAGAGATGGGTTTTCACCATGTTGGCCAGACTGGTCTTGAACTCCTGACCTCAAGAGATCTGCCTGCCTAGGCCTCCCAAAGTGCTGGGATTACAGGCATGAGCCACCACGTTCAGCCTAATTTTTAAATTTTTTGTAGAGACGGGGTCTCACTATATTGCCTAAGCTTGTCTCAGACTCCTGGCCTCAAGGGATCCTCCCTGTCGGCTTCCCAAAGTGCTGAGATTACAGGCATGAGCCACCATGCCCAACCTGGAGACAGGGTTTCACTGTGTTATCCAGGATGGTCTTGATCTCCTGACCTCGTGATCGGCCCGCCTCGGTCTCCCAAAGTGCTGGGATTACAGGCGTGAGCCACTGTGCCCAGCCTTCAACCAGCTTTTTAGTGCCTTGCTTGTAGAGAACCACTTCTGAGGTAATATTTATTTATTTGTTTGTTTTTTGAGACAGGGTCTCATTCTGTCACCCAGGCTGGAGTGCAGTGGCGTGATCATAGCTCACTGCACCCTCCATGAGGTAACATTTAAACTGAGACCTAGAGCCTGTTGCCTGTGATAGTCTCCTGACTGGTCTCCTCATTTCTATTCATCTGCTGTAATCCATTCTCTACTGGTAAAGTGATCTTTTCAAAGCTTACACTATGCTAATGAAGAGCACAGGCTGGGTTAGACTCTCAGCTCCACCCCTTATTATCTCAGTTTCGTTGAGAAAGTTATTTAACCTGCCAGGGCCGAGGTTTCTAAATCAGTAGGAGGGGGATAATGACACCTCCAAAGGTCATCGTAAGGCTCAAATAAGAAAAGTACACTAGGGCCGGGCGCGGTGGCTCACGCCTGTAATCCCAGCACTTTGGGAGGCTGAGGTGGGCGGATCACAAGGTCAGGAGATCGAGACCATCCTGGCTAACACGGTGTAACCCCGTCTCTACCAAAAACACAAAAAATTAGCCGGGCGTAGTGGCGGGCGCCTGTAGTCCCAGCTACTTGGGAGGCTGAGCCAGGAGAATGGCGTGAACCCGGGAGGCGGAGCTTGCAGTGAGCCGAGATGGCGCCACTGCACTCCAGCCTGGGCGACAGAGTGAGACTCTGTCTAAAAAAAAAAAAAAAAGAAAAGTACACTAAATGTACCAAATAAAAACCCACCTGATGTTAGCTAGTAGTTATATTAGCAGTAGTAACTTGGATCTTGTCACAACCCTACCTCCCTATCTGACCTAGTTTCACACCACCCTGCTCATTAGGCATTAGTGACTTGCCCTTTACCTACACAATAATCCTGTGGCTCTTGATGGGATGACCTGAGGGAGGAGGGCCTTAGGGCCTTCACACGTGCTGTTCCCTCCTGAAATGTTCTCCCTGCCCTTCCCTCCTGGGCTTGGCTAATTTCTCATCTTTTTGCTTTAGCTCAAATATCACTTACTTCACCTCCCTAATCAAAATTAAAGTCTACAGAGTCCACAGGTGTACTCCCTTCATAGCACCAGCAGTACTATTTAGTTACTTCATACCAGGTGGAATTGTTCACAGAGTCTTCATTCAAATTACACTGACATCTGTTTTTATGGGTCAGTGCTTAAGCTGTGTGCACTGCGAAACATTTTGAATATCATCCTTGCGTGGAATCTGTTATTTTCCTTTAAAGCTATTATCATGATCAGTTTTCATATATAGGCTGGGCATGGTGGTTCAAGCCTGTAATCCCAGCACTTTGGGAGGCTGGGGTGGGTAGATCACTTGAGGTCAGGAGTTCGAGACCAGCCTGGCCAACATGGTGAAACCCTGTCTCTACTAAAAAAAAATACAGTCCGAGCACAGTGGCTTGCACCTGTTATCCCAGCACTGTGGGAGGCCGAGGCAGGTGGATCACCTGAGGTCAGGAGTTTGAGACCAGCCTGACCAACATGGTTAAAGCCTGTCTCTACTAAAAAATACAAAAATTAGCCGAGCGTGGTGGCACGCACCTGTAGGCCCAGCTACTCGGGAAGCTGAGGCAGGAGAATTGCTTGAACCTGGGAGGTGGAGGTTGCAGTGAGCCGAAATCGCACCACTGTACTCCAACCTGGGCGACAGAGCAAGACTCCATCTCAAAAAAAAAAAAAAAAAATTATCCGGGCGTGGTGGCGGGTGCCTGTAATCCCAGCTACTCGGGAGGCTGAGAAAGGAGAATCGCTTGAATACAAGATGGTGGAGGTTGCAGTGAGCCGAGAGCATACCACTCCAGCCTCCAGCCTGGGTAACAGAGTAAGACTGTCTCAAAAAAAACCAAAAATTCATATATATAGACAGACATATAAATACATATATGGATATTAGAGAGAGAGAGGCAGACAGGGAGAGGGAGAGAGAGAAAGTGTGAGAGAGCTTTTTTCTCTGTATCTTTCATGATTATAGGAATATGCTGTGCTCATCAAGATATACCCAATTGTGGCTGTGCACCGTGGCTCACACCTGTAATCCTTGCACTTTGGGGGGCCAAGGAGGGCGGATCACCTGAGGTCAGGAGTTCCAGACCAGCCTAGCCAACATGATGGAATCCCATCTCCAGAAAAACAAAAATACAAAAATTAGCCGGGCATGATGGCGGGTGCCTGTAATCGCAGCTACTTGGGAGGCTGAGGTGGGAGAATAGCTTGAACACAGGAAGCAGAGGTTGCAGTGAGCCGAGATCACGCCAATGCACTCCAGCTTGGGTGTCTCTTATTAACTGTTTATTTATTATTTATTTTGAGATGGAGTCTGGCTCTGTCGCCCAGGCTGGAGGGCAGTGGCGTGATCTCGGCTCACTGCAAGCTGCTGCTCCTGGGTTCACACGGTTCTCCGGCCTCAGCCTCTCAAGTAGCTGGGACTACAGGCGCCTGCCACCACACCCAGCTATTTTTTTTTTTTGTATTTTTAGTAGAGACGGGGTTTTACCGTGTTAGCCAGGATGGTCTCGATGTCCTGACCTCGTGATCCACCCGCCTCTGCCTCCCAAAGTGCTGGGATTACAGGCGTGAGCCACCTTGCCCAGCCTTTCTTATTAACTCTTTTTTTTTTGAGATGCAGTCTCGCTCTGTCGCCCAGGCTAGAGTGCAGTGGTGCGATCTCGGCTCACTGCAAGCTCCATCTACCGGGTTCACGCCATTCTCCTGCCTCAGCCTCCTGAGTAGCTGGGACTACAGGCGCCCGCCACCACGCCCGGCTAATTCTTATTAACTTTTTTTTTAGACGGGATCTCGCACTGTCGCCTGGGCTGGAGTGCAATGGCGCGATCTCGGCTCACTGCAACTTCCGCCTCCCGGGTTCAAGCGATTCTCCTGCCTCAGCCTCCCAAGTAGCTGGAATTACAGGCGCGCCACCACGCCCGGCTAATTTTTTGTATTTTTAGGGTTTTCACCATTGTTGGTCAGGCTGCTGGTCTCGAACTCCTGACCTTCTGATCTGCCCACCTCAGCCTCCCAAAGTGCTGGGATTACAGGCGTGAGCCACCACGCCCGGCCCTCCAGGGTCTTAATACAAAACCGGGTGGCTGGTGGCGATGGTACAGTAAGAAAAGCTCCAGAGGGGAAAAGCGAATATGTGAATTATCTAATCTCAGCCACTGATCCAACTCCATAGTCTGTGACTTTTGGAGTCCTCCAATACTTCCAAGCTGCATGTTCACATTTAAAGTTTCTGGGGGAAAACGAACAGGGTAGAGTTTTAGGAAATACCAGATGTTGCTGCGATTTTCTACAGTGAAGGGGCGTGGAAGGGGACAATGGGAGTAGAAGCGGGTTTCTGAAGTTGTGTTTGTACTTGATTTTAAGCGAGCTGTGAACAACTCGTGTCCAAATAAGTGGCTGAGAGGTGGTCCTAAGTAAGCACAAGTTTAGTAGTAGAGTACTCGTAACACAGAACTGGCTGAAACCCCGCCCTCTTGTCTACGGGCGTTCTTTCAGGGCGACTTTGTCAGTACCCCAAACTGTCCCCGCATGAGGTCACTCTGCACGGTCACGTGCTCGAGCCCGCGGGAGCGCCACATCGCCAGCCGCACCCCTCCACCCCCAACCTGCCCACGTGACCCGGCCTAGTTTCTCCAGGCCCGTCCCTACGTCTCACTCGGGAAGCCCCGCCCCACGCTGAGCGCTCCGCCTGCGACCCTCCGCCACTTACCCACCCCGGCTCAAGCACGACCCGTGGATCCACGTGCTTTTTCTTGTCCAATGGGAGCCGGCTCCCGGGCGCGAAGGGGCGGGGAGGAAAGGAACGACTGTGCTACGTTGCCAGAAGGGGCGGGACCTGCAACGTCCGACAGAACGAGGGGACGTAACGGAGGCAGGTTGGAGCCGCTGCCGTCGCCATGACCCGTGAGCACCGAGCCCCCTTCTCCTTGCCCTTTTCTTTCCGTTCACCCTAAACACCACCGGCGAGGCGCCGGCTTTGACCTTCCGTAGCTTCCCTAGCAAGGCGTTTCTCTGGGCGCGCTCTGTGGCCACCCTCACACTCGGTGCCCGGAAATCGAGCCCTTTGCCCACGGCTACTTCACGGGACCACCCTCCCGGGTTAGGCATAGGCCCTCCCGGATCTTCCGCGGTGTAAGGAGAAGGCCAGCGCCCCTGTGATAGGCCCAGAGCCCCCACTCCACAAGCCAGCCCATCCCCCACGGAGACCCAAACCGTCCACACACACCTTGCCAGCTGTTTGGGCCCCACGCCGCCCCAAAACACGCCTCCAGCTGGCCCCTTGGGACCTCCCTTCTCTAGTCCGTATTTTGACCTGGCCCGTGGCAGATTCGCCACTCCCCCCTACCCCAAGCAGCCTGGGCCTCGATGGGCCGTTGTCGGGGCCCGGAGATTGAAGTGGTGTTGGATCCTGCTGCTGGCCGCGCTGGGGTAGAAGGGTCGCCGGTGTGTGGGCAGAGCGGCCCCCGCGTCTCACCTTTAATTTTCTTTCCTTAGGCGGTAACCAGCGTGAGCTCGCCCGCCAGAAGAATATGAAAAAGCAGAGCGACTCGGTTAAGGGAAAGCGCCGAGATGACGGGCTTTCTGCTGCCGCCCGCAAGCAGAGGTAGCCCCAGGGAGGGGAGGGAAAGGGACGGTGGAGACCTGGGTTAGACCAAGGGTTATAGAAGGAAAGAGAGCTACCTCAGGGCTTGAATGTGGACTAGTCGTGAGGAGCAGAGTGCATTGCTTCCTCTAGGGTTTTATTTCCTCCCCACCCTCCAAATTGTTAGCTCACAGCCTTACAGGAAAGGACGGGGGCGGGCGCCTGCCCTCAGTCTGATTTCTGAGCGTCCCTGGGTCTGACCTTAAGGGCAAGGGCAGGGAGCTTCACATTTCAAATACAGTTGTGGTTACGGCAGCCCAGTACTTTTGGCCCTCCTTGCTGTTCGGTTCTCCTCCCTTCTCCCAACCTCCTCACTGGTGTTGCTGGGTGTGGTCCTCAATACAGAATAGAGACCCTTGGGCCTGTGTCACCAGACTTCTGACCCCTTGGGCAACAGCCAGATGGAGACTGGTCGCCTTTTGAGCCTCAGCTCTCTTCCTCTTGTTCTCCTAGGGTGGGAGTACAGCAGCCAAACGCTGAACTTAGTCCCATCCACTTCCATCTTATCCTTTGTGCCCTTCATCCCCCTGCATCTTGTCCTTTTTGCCCTCTGGTACCTCCCAGTGCCCCATCATCTCTACCCCCAGGGACTCGGAGATCATGCAGCAGAAGCAGAAAAAGGCAAACGAGAAGAAGGAGGAACCCAAGTAGCTTTGTGGCTTCGTGTCCAACCCTCTTGCCCTTCGCCTGTGTGCCTGGAGCCAGTCCCACCACGCTCGCGTTTCCTCCTGTAGTGCTCACAGGTCCCAGCACCGATGGCATTCCCTTTGCCCTGAGTCTGCAGCGGGTCCCTTTTGTGCTTCCTTCCCCTCAGGTAGCCTCTCTCCCCCTGGGCCACTCCCGGGGGTGAGGGGGTTACCCCTTCCCAGTGTTTTTTATTCCTGTGGGGCTCACCCCAAAGTATTAAAAGTAGCTTTGTAATTCCTTGAGCGCCTGGTTTGACTGGGGACTTGGGGGGATGGGGTTGGAAGAATGACTGCCCTTTCCCACCAAAAAAGGGAGAACTCTTTAGATTCAGATTGTGGGTATGTAGACTTAATAAGTGAAACATCACAGAAGAAGCCTTTATTATACAATGACAACCAAACAAGTACTCCGGATATGCAGTAGAGGAATCCTCTAAGAACCATAGAGACTTCTTTTCTGTGATTTTTGTTCCCCACCCTTGAACACCATCTCTAGGATGGAGTTGGCCTAAGAGTGAATGCTGCAAGATCTGTGTTTATGCCTCTTTTCCTCATTCTTCCTCAGTTTGTTCGTCTGCTTGAAAGTTGGCCAAAAAATCCTGCTGCTCACCGACTTCCCGTGGTCAGCTGCTGTCAAGCGTTCACTTTCTCTTCTGTCATTCCTCATGGAATGAGGGTGGTTTTGTCTTCCCGCTTCCCTTGACCTCAAAATCAGGATTAAAACCTGGGGTAGCCTCTGTGCTCCTTTCTTCTATGCCCTGGTTTGTTCTGTGGTTCTGGGCTTCTTATATCCGTGTGCCCAGGGCTGAACTCCTTATTTTCCTTTCTCCAAGGGCAGAGCCGAGTCTTCAGTCCCTGTTGGTCTTTCCCCACCCCCACTTCCAGCCCAAGAGCCAGGAAAGGGCTGGTGCCACACTGTCTGCTGGGATCAGCGGTGGTTCTTTGAGCTGCTGATTTGGGTGTTAGGCTCTTGAGCTGGGATGCAGATGTAACAGTAGCTCCAGTGAGTCAGACACTCTGCCCAGCACATTAGACTGTGTTTGACCACTTCTTCCAGTTCATAGTATTGACTTCAGCCCAAACGGAGATAACTCCCTGTGTGTCCTTGAGGTATTGAGCTGGGCTGGACAGCTCCCCTTGAGCCAACTCTAGGAGTACAATGTCAGGGGAACCCCAGTTTGTGAAAAGGACTTAGACTGGAGGATATTTGTTATCTGGGGATATGATGCGGTGGCGGCGGCGCCTCAAGATAAGGGGCTGGGGTTTCTGGGTGGGGGGCCAACAGAGTGGTGCCAGTAACAGCCCCAGATAGAGGAGTACGCAGGCCCAGCATGAGGCAACCTTGACCCAGAAGGTGGCCCAGCTACCCTTGATGAAGGTCTTTTCCAGTTCTGCTCCCTCATAGCTGTGTAACCAAAGGCTCTGGTTAGAGAATATGAAGGGCCTTAGCTTTTAGACCTGTTCTACCTCCTCACCAAATATAATGGCAGACCCATGTGTGTCTGGAATGGCCTTGAATTGCTCTTTCCTTAAAATAGCTAGCTCTTCAGGAGAGTATCTAAGGCCCACTCCATCTTACCTGAACCAGTTGGTAAGGGTAACCATGACATAGAGTGAGGCAAGGAAGAAGACGAAGTGGAAGGCAGAATAGTTGTAGGAAAGATGCTGGACTTGGACTGGAGGAGCTGGAGGGGTTTCTTGGTCAGCTGGCCTCGCAGCCCCACCCCTTTGCCCTGGAGAGAGGAAATGGCTGCTGGGAGCAGAGCTGCTGAAACACCTCTTCCCCTCTCCCCCAACTACCTTTGTTAAGGCTCTTGAGGGTTCTTATGGCACTCCACAGAGATCTACCACTTCTTATGGTTCCTCACTTGGCACTCACCTTTGTCTGCCTCCACTGTTTCAGGGCAGCAGAAACACAGTGAGGGCTTCTGCAAAACAGAACGCAGGTTTTGGAATGGTCTTAAAAGATGTGAGGGTGTTAATCTAGGAAACTTCCCCCGTGAAAAGATTGGTCTAGTATTAAAAAGTGGAGGCACACCTGGGTTCAAATTCTAGCTCCAGCATATAAGTGGCTGTGCAGACTTTGGTAAGATGTTTAATCTTTTGTGCCTCGATTTCTCCATTTGTAAAATGGAGCAAATACCTACCTCACAGGGTTGTTGTGAGGGTTAAATTAAATGAGATTATGTAAAAGTATCTAGCACAGTTGCCTAGCACATTGTGGGTACTCAATAAAAGGTAACAGCAGCTATAATCTGAGCATTCTGGGTAGAGGTTGGTAGGATGTGTGTGTGTCTTTGTGTGGGGGAGGGAGGGTGTTGGGGATATGGAGCTCTTTATCCTCACCTGAAACTCATAGCTGTAAACCTTGACAATCCACAGGGGTCCAAATACCTCAGCCAGGTAGGAGGCCTCATTGCTGAGAAAGAATAGAGTTCTTAAGCTGGTTTAGTTAAATAGGGATTATCTGGGGGCATTTACTACCAATTGGTCCATACTGGTAATCCTCAAAAGGGTACCATACTCCCTGTGCCCTTTTCCACCAAAGATTTAGAATTCTATTCATGTGAGAGCCCTAAGGTCTTTGGACATATTTTAAATTCTCAAGTCATTCCCCCCACCCCCTTCATCTCATACAGATCATCTGACAAAGTACTATTCTTAGAATTTGTCCCTGTTTGTGGGGAGCTTTTCTCACTCTAGTCTTGCTCTAAACTTTAAATAATGGTCCCAGACATTGTCCTGACCATCCTTCCCTGTCTTGGGCACCCTCCTTTCATACCTCCACCCTTGACACCTTTACGCACCAAGCAAAAAGCACACAAGCATACATGATGCTAGCACTCAGCATTGCTAGAGAGATATCTGGTGTTTGGGGTTCCATTTTACTCAGGCCAGGCAGGCACAGGGTGTGATTCTGTCCTTGAAGGATTACTGGGAAGGGACAACAGAAGAGATGGGTATTAACAATGAGCTAGGTATTTGGCAGGGGCAAAAAAAGGTCTTAGCATGGAGAATCCAGGTCCTGTCCCTTACCTCTCTCTGGAGGACGGCTGGACAGTGCAGAGAAAGTCAGATACATGATATAGCAGCTGATGACAGAAGCTTGTAGGAGGCCAGAGCGGGGTTGCTCTGGGGAGTAAGTATAATTGCTTTAGTCTACAGGCTGGTAATTTCCTCCATTTCTACCCCCACTTGTACTTCTGTCTCCCCATCCTTTGGTGGGGATAGGGAAGCAGAGATTCTTTTATCAAATAATTGAGATTAGGGAGGTAATGAAACTTGCTATGCTTTTAAGGCCCCCAAAACCTGGAATGCTGTAGGACATGTACCCACTGAGGCGGATGCAAGGAGCGATGGAGAGGAAGGAGATGAGGCCACAGAAGCAAAGGTGCAGACTGAGGAGCATCTTGTTAAGCAGGCAGCCAGCTGGGTGTGTATAATAGTGGAATAGGAGCACAGCTCCCACACCTGCCATGCTGTAGAATCCTAGGGTGGCCAGCAGGACAGCCAGGAACCAGCTACAGTCTTGAGCTGCACCTGTCTGCCTAAGGGTGGAAAGTGGGCAATGGCTTGGAGCTCCAGCATTTTTTTTTTTTTTGAGTTGGGAGTCTTGCTCTGTTGCCCAGGCTGGAGTGCAATGGTGTGGTCTCAGCTCACTGCAACCTCCGCCTCTTGGGTTCAAGTGATTCTCCTACCTCAGCCTCCTGAGTAGCTGGGATTACAGGCACCTACCACCATGTCCAGCTAACTTTTATATTTTTACTAGAGATGGGGTTTCACCATGTTGGCCAGGCTGGTCTCAAACTCCTGACCTCATGATCCACCCACCTCGGCCTCCCAAAGTGCTGGGATTACAGGCATGAGCCACCGTGCCCAGCTGGAGCTCCAACTCTTTTACCCATTACCAACTACTCCCCTGCTCTCAGAAGACTGGTGTGACTAGCCATCCTACTTGGCCCACGCAGTCATCACATTCCTAAGCTTTTTTGATACTGCTCAGTGGGAAGCTGTGGGACCAGTGCTCTGCCGTGCCTTTTGCCCAGCCCTTTCCATGTAGTAATACTAGAAACCTCCCCAGGAAAAGCCTTTAGGGTTATGTGC
This sequence comes from Homo sapiens, assembly GCF_000001405.40. Lineage (NCBI taxonomy): Eukaryota > Metazoa > Chordata > Mammalia > Primates > Hominidae > Homo > Homo sapiens. Next base: position 43,797,913 of record NC_000015.10, read on the forward strand.
CCCTTACCAGTTCTTGTTCCAGGAATGGGCAAAAGCTGTAATAAGCACCAACTGCAGTAGGATGAATGCAAAGCCTCCACAGATGCCAATGTAATGCCATGCTGCAAGATGGGCACCAGTGGAAAAATGTCAAATTGTTACTTTTTTTTTTTTTTGAGACAGAGTCTTGCTCTGTCACCCAGGCTAGAGTGCAGTGGTGTGATTTCAGCTCACTGCAACCTCTGCCTCCCGGGTTCAAGTGATTCTTCTGCCTCCACCTCCTGAGCAGCTGGGATTACAGGTGCGTGCCACCATGCCCGGCTAATATTTTGTATTTTTAGTAGAGATGGGGTTTCACCATGTTAGCCAGGATTGTCTTGATCTCTTGACCTCGTGATCCGCCCGCCTCAGCCTCCCAAAGTGCTGGGATTACAGGCGTGAGCCACTGCACCCGGCCATTACTCCTCTTCTTACCCACTTGTTATCTTAGAAAACTTAGCCTACTCCTGCCAAGAGTGTGGGAGGGAGAGTACCTGGGAAGAGATGCTCATCAGGAATGCAGAAGGCAATAGCACAGAGACCTAACAGGAACAGCAGCTTGAGGAGCCAGAAGCTGGTTAGGAGGGAGAAAGAAAAACAGACTCAGGAGAAAAGGCAAAGGACAGTGAAGAGTGCCTATGGGGAAAGGCAAAAGAGAAACCAAAAATATAGGAAAGAGGACAGACGAGACAACTAAGGAGGAACCAATCCCAAATGAGAGGGGGTTGGGACAGGCCTACTGCACCTTATTCCAAATTCTAACTCAAAGATACTTAATAGCATCTGGGCAATGTTTTACAGTTTATAAAGGATTGTGTTACCAAGATAACCCCACTGTTACCTCCATTTTAGATGCTAGAAGCACAAAGTCTGGCTCAAGGTTACACAGCAAGTACACGAGAAGCAGGGACTTAAACCTGTTTTCTGTCTTTTTACAGTGCTATTACTTCATCCCGGAATTTCCTTTACCCAGCCTATGTCTACTTTCCCTCCTCTGTCCCCTCCCCACCCAGAAAGTACACACAAACCTATTATGCAGCTGTGCCCGCGGGCTGGTGGGGGAGTGGAGGTGGACCAGCAACACAGCCTGCAGCAGGTGGAAGGTGGCGGTTCCTGCACATACTCGGTACACAGCCCCAGAGCCACTGAGCACTGGACAGTCAGAGAGGCCAAACAGGTGGGCACACAACCCCGAGGGCATCTGGATCTGGGAGTGTGTGTGAGAGAAATGGCAGGACAAGTCATAATGCATGGAAAGGTACCTACTTGTCACGGGTATGACCACTCATTTGTCTCCTGCCCCCAACCGAAACCTTTTCTATCTTAGGGTTTTTCCTTTTATCTCTTCCCACCTGACAACCCGACCCCCTCTCACTTACCCTGTGTGTCTTGCCCCACACCCTTTCCACTACTGTCCTTGACAGCAGGAGGCAGCAGATTGCTGAGGCCCCCACATGGAGGAGGATGTAGAACAGGCGGCTGCAAGTGGATGCGGTGAGAGAGGGCCACCTAGAGTGGCAGCAGCTGGCACAAGGAGCAGGCCCACAGCAGCACACCTGGGAGTAGAGCAGATGCAAGGCAGCGAGGTGGAGACTTGCTGAGGAAAGGCATACGTTAATGTATGTGTGAGGTTAACCCAGGAGGTTGAATTCCAAAATTTCCCCTTCCCCTTTCTTCCTTTTACTCAGGTTCTGTTTCAAGCTGATTCCAGCCATTTGGGATTGCCGCCCACTGACAACTTAGTAGGGCTTTCATTATAAGCAGGCTTGAGATATCTGACCTTTCTCTCGACCTAAACACCTGGGGCTGGAAACATGGCGGGAGAGATTTACAGATTATACCTGGGGCAACGAACCAGAACGACATTAGAGGAGAAAAGAGGCCTGTCGTTTTTATTGGCTTCTGCACGTCTTCCTCCCCAGCTTCGGCCACTCTCCCCTTCGCACCCTCTCACCTGACAGAAGGGACTTTTCACTAGGACACTGCTGCCTCCGCTGTGCTGCTGTGCCAGGCCCAGGGAGGTGCCGGGGCTGGGGCCGGCCTTGGCACCCACCATCCTTGTCCCAGGGATTAGGCTTAGGTCCACCAGATGGAAGGCAGATGAGAGCAGCAGTTGCTTCTGTCCTCAGCCCATTGGACTGCCACTGTGTTGGGGCTGAGCACCCGGTCCCGGGCAGAATGGAGACGTCCGGAAGAGAACACTGACCTCCAGGTTGCGGTAAATGCAAATGCCCTGTGAAGGAGCTTTGTCCTTAGGGCCTCAACACTGCGGCCACTCAGGCTGTTCTCTCCAGATTAGGGGGCAGTTTGTCTATCTGGCCCCCTGTGGATTAGCATTCTTTATTGGTTTAGGATTAGACGTCATTCAGGTTGAACGGAGTTCCCTGAGGTGGGTGGGTGCGTGTTTATGTGTTGAGGGGACTATTCCTAGTTTATGAGGTGGTTAAGGATATCGGTGGGGTGGGCTGGAGCGGTGTCGGGTTAGGTCTGAGAGAAGGCCTCGCACAAAACACTGTACAAACCCGAAAGGAAGTCTGAGAGACGAACCGCCTTCCTCCCTGAAGCTTCTAGAACTGGAGCAGAAAGAAGGTGTGGCCCAGGGCCAGCCCCGCCTCCTCCCCGGGCGGAAGCTGTGTCAGTTGCCGGAAGTCGGCGTGAGGTGGGGCTTATGCGGCGGCGTGGTGAAATAGATATGGCGACCGAGGGGGATGTGGAGCTGGAGTTGGAGACTGAGACCAGTGGACCAGAGCGGCCTCCGGAGAAGCCACGGAAACATGACAGCGGTGCGGCGGACTTGGAGCGGGTCACCGACTATGCAGAGGAGAAGGAGATCCAGAGTTCCAATCTGGAGACGGTAAGGTTGGCCAAGAGCATGTCGGGGCGGGCTGAGAGCAGAGGGGGGCTCTGAGGCTGTAGCTGGAAGCCAGCGCTCCAAGACGGGGTTCTGATCCCGTTGGCAGGAGGAGGCAATAGGGTAGAGCCGAGGGAAACAGCGGTCACCGGAGCGCGCCGCTTGCCTAAAGGAGCTTGATAGTGGGCTTAAGGGGACCTCAGGTGCATAGAATGGAATTAAACATAGTCCTTGCTACCTGGTAACACTTGTCATCGTGAATCCATGCATGAACCGCTTGTTTTGTTGGCCTTTTAGATTATTGGGAATTGTGGGTAGCGGTGCAGTAACTAGACCTGCCTTTCCCATAGGCCATGTCTGTGATTGGAGACAGAAGGTCCCGGGAGCAGAAAGCCAAACAGGAGCGGTAAGTCTTCAGGGGCAGCCAACTTTAACAGTTCTTCCCTCCCCGGTCCCCAGACAAAAATAAAAACCATTATTAAGCCTTTATACCGTTCTTCAAATTTATCACCAATTCCTGCAGATCTAGGCGCCACAACTTTACTCTTGTTAGCAGAAGGCCTCCTGGCAACACCTGCTGCCAAGACTCCAGGGGAAAGGAGTATTAGTGGGAGTTTTTATTTTCAATCAAGGGTTTATCAAGATTTATTTACAGGGCACTTCTGGGAATGACCCTTCCTGGGAGTTTATGGTGTTGGTTGAGAATGAGGACTAATATATTTAAATATTTTTGCAGGGAGAAAGAACTGGCAAAAGTCACTATCAAGAAGGAAGATCTGGAGCTAATAGTGAGTGGTAGTGCCTAACTAGTGTATGCGGAGGGGAGGCTATTCTGCTTAATTTGGGTTGTTTCCTGAAACAAGCGGAGTCAGTATATTTGGTGGCACATTAATGCCTGGGAACCTATGTAACATGATTTTTTTCTGCAGATGACTGAGATGGAGATATCTCGAGCAGCAGCAGAACGCAGTTTGCGGGAACACATGGGCAACGTGGTAGAGGCGCTTATTGCCCTAACCAACTGATGCGTGCTTTCTCAAATATACCTACTGGATTAATTTATGGCAATAAAATTTTTTTTTGTCTTTTTCAGTTTTATCATCTTGGGTCAAGTAGAGTGTATACTATATCCTATGTTGTGGAGAATTTATATGTTGGAGACTAACTGAATTTAAGTGACCCATTAAAATCTAGCACACCTGTATGAAAAATCAGTGTAGAAGAATACCTCATGTGCAGATGCTAGGTGGCAGGCCAGTCTCATTCATCTGACTAGCTCTCAACAGTATTCAAGGTACATCTGGAGTCTCAGCAGAGTTACTGTACTCAAATGGCATGTGTCTCCAAGACAGCTTATGAATATCTAAAAGGCCAGCTACCTGCCTAGGAGCCACTATATATATAGATAGATGTAGGTTATGAACCCAGTTCATAGGCCACCTTGAGTTAGAATTTTGGTACCTACAACATGCTTGATTTTGAGTGATTAAAAAAAAATAATTTGGCTGGGTGCTGTGGCTCACACCTCTAATCCCAGCACTTTGGGAGGTCGAGGCAGGTAGATCACGAGGTCAGGAATTCAAGACCAGCCTGGCCAACATGTGAAACCCCGTCTCCACTGAAAATAGAAAAATTAGCTGGGCATGGTGGTGGGCGCCTATAATCCCAGCTATTCTGGAGGCTGAGGCAGGAATCGCTTGAAATTGGAAAGCAGAGGTTGCAGTGAGCTGAGATCACACTACTGTACTACTGTACTCCAGCCTGGGGGAAAGAGTGAAACTCCATCTCAAAAAAAAAAAAAAAAAAAAAAGCCCGGGCACAGTGGCTCACACCTGTAATCCCAGCACTTTGGGAGGCTGAGGCAGTCGGATCATGAGGTCAGGAGTTGAAGACAAGCCTGGCCAACATGGTGAAACCCTGTCTCTACTAAAAATACAAAAAAAATAAAATTAGCCAGGCGTGGTGGTGCATGCCTGTAGTCCCAGCTACTCAGGAGGCTGAAGCAGAAGAATTGCTTGAACCAGGGAGGCGGAAGTTGCAGTGAGCTGAGATTGTGCCACTGTACTCCAGCCTGGGTGACAGAGCGAGACTGTCTCAAAAACAAAACAACAAAAAAGAATTTAGGGGCCAGGCATGGTGGCTCATGCCTGTAATCCCAACACCTTGGGAAGCTGAGGCAAGACGATCACTTGAGCCCAGCAGTTTGAGACCAGCTTGGGCAACACAGTGAGATTTCGTCTCTACCGCGCTCCCCCCACCACCAAAAAAAGAATTTAGGTACCTGAGGGTTAGAACATGGTAAGACTAGAAGATATCAAAGGTTGGGCCAGGTGTGGTGACTCATGCCTGTAACCCCAGCACTTTGGGGAGGCTGGGCTGGGAGGACTGTGTCAGGTCAGGATTTCCAGACCAGCCTGGGCAACATAGCATGACCTTGTCTCTACTAAAATTAAAAAAAAAAAAAGCCAGGCATGGTGGCATGTGCCTGTCTGTGGTCCCAGATACTCTGGAGGCTGAGATGGATTTGCTTGAGCCTGGGAGGTTGAGGCTGCAGTGAGCTGAGATTGTGCTACTGCACTCCAGCCTGGGCGACAGAGCAAGACTGTCTCAAAACGAAAAAAACCTATGAAAGGTTTTGATTGGTATTCAAATTCTAAGCCATAATACATTCTACATGCCATTTCCTATCCTAGAGAGAAGGTAATTTTACTTTAAAGGTTAATCAGGGCCGGGCGTGGTGGCGCATGCCTATAATCCCAGCACTCTGGGAGGCCGAGGCAGGTGGATCACCTGGGATCAGGAGTTTGAGACGAGCCTGGCCAAAATGGTGAAACCCCATCTCTACTAAAAGTACAAAAAAAAATTAGCTGGGTGTGGTGGTGGACGCCTGTAATTCCAGCTACTAGGGAGGCTGAGGCAGGAGAATCTCTTGAACCCAGGAGGTTGCAGTGAGCAGAGATCGCGCCACTGCACTCCAGACTGGGCAACAAGAGTGAAACTCCATCTCAAAAAAAAAAAAAAAAAAAATCAGCTTGGACCAACTCACACATGTTGAACTAGTTTCCTCAACTATAAAACTGTGACGGCCCCAGCTAGGCACAGTGGCTCAACGCCTGTAATCTCAGCACTTTGGGAGGCTGAGGCGGGCGGATCGCGAAGTGAAGATCAAGACCATCCTGGCTAACATGGTGAAACCCCGTCTCTACTAAAAATACAAAAATTAGCCAGGCATGGTGGCAGGCGCCTGTAGTCCCAGCTACTCGGGAGGCTGAGGCACTCTAGCCTGGGCAACAGAGCCGTCTCTTTAAAACAAACAAACAAACAAAAAAAAAACCCTGCAACGGCCCCTGAGTCTGCTGTAAGGACACTCAAATGGCAATTACAGACATTTCTCCAAGAGTTTCAAGGCCTTACCCTCATTCTGACTCTAGGATAATTCTTAGATTGTATCCCACACAACAGTGACTTGTACCTGTGTTCATCTTTATGTATTTACCACCTCATAGTAATTATTTGCATTCATTTTTATCGTACGACACTAAACTATTTGATTCTTCCAGTGGGACATTTAAAGGATGTGAGAAGACCTTGGTCTTCTCAAAAACATCTGTATTTGGTCATGGAATAAATCCAGATGCTACCTAAAGCCAAGCTAGTACCTGAGCTTGTTTCTGAGATCAAAGGGAATTATCAAAATGTGAAACACCTTCTGCCTGACAATTGTTATCTTTTACTTTAATAGGCAATTAATACTTGTCAGCTTGGACATTTTATTTCCAGTATCATGCTAAAAATCTCCTTGTTGTGTGATTCTTTTATTTCTTGACATGCACACATATATGGATCAAAAAGTATGTACAACTAGAAAAACGGACTCCAAGCAAAAATGGAAAACATGTTTCCATGAGCTTAGATTTCCGGGTATATTACTCCTAAACCTAAGGTAGAAGTAATGCATTGTTCACTTACATGTCCACTTTTCTAACCCAAGCTAAGGGCTGGAAAAAGAAAGTCAGAACAGTCCCAAGTAAATATGGGAAACCATAGCAGTGATAAAACCTAAGATTTCTCAGAAATAGTTTTAAGTGGGAAGCCTCTAATCCTACCTGGACAGTGCTTTCCTGTGGGTTTCTCAGCATGAGTCCAAACCTCACAAAGCACCTTCAAAGTCTGGGCTACCCAGTATCACAAGTATAGCAGTAAGTCCAATATCTGGATACAGGGGCCAAGGAAACAATGAAAAAACCAAATCAAGGACCAGATGCTGAGACTCCCCTTGTGTTCCACAGTTGGAAGAATAAGCAGTTGGACCCTAGGTAGTTTTCCGCTTCTTGGCAGATGGCCGCTCAAATACATCTCGTACCCCAGCTGCCTTTTGTTTGAAGAACTTTGTGTTCTGGGCACTCTCTTGGCCCCAAGCTGAGTCAAAGGAGGTGGTATCTTGATCCACAAGGTGAGTGTATTTGGTGCGACCTGAGCGTCCAAAGTTCTTGACCTGAGGGAAGGATGGATGATGAGTTATACCACCAAACAAACCATGCCTCAGCTATCAATACATCACTTTTCTCTGTCATGTTATTAAGGTTCCCCATACCTGCATGACTTTAGGAAGAATGGTTTTATTGAAATGATCCTCCAGGGTAGGAGCGCTGAAATCTCTCTTGTATACTTCTTCATCCTCATCCTGTATAAAAAAAATCTTATCAATCTTGTGGCTTTATTTCCTATATATTCAAACCACAAATTTATTAAACTCTACAATAAGGGATACAGAGAAAGCAGAGGGTATTGAGCCTTTCTTCAAGAGCTTACATCTAGTTGAAGAGATGACATTCTTTTTTTTTTTTCTGAGACGGACTCTCGCTCTGTTGCCCAGGCTGGAGTGCACTGCCGCGATCTTGGCTCACTGCAACCTCCGTCTCCCAGGTTCAAGCAGTTCTCCTGCCTCAGCCTCCCGAGTAGCTGAGGCTACAGGTGCATGCCACCACACTCGGCTAATTTTTTGTATTTTTAATAGAGACGGAGTTTCACCGTGTTAGCCCAGATGGTCTCGATATCCCGACCTTGCGATCTGCCCACCTTGGCCTCCCAAAGTGCTGGGATTACAGGTGTGAACCACTGCGCCCGGCCGAGATGATATTCTTTTTCCTTTGTTGTATTTCTCCTTTTTTTTTTTTTTTTTCCCTGAGACAGCGTCTCATTCTGATGTCCTGATGTCCAGGCTGGAGTGCAGTGGGGTCACTACTGCTCACTGAAGCCTTGACCTCCCAGGATCAAACGATGCTCTCACCTCAGCCTCCTGAGTGGCTGGGACTACAGGTGCATGCAACTATGCCTAATTTTCTCCTTGAGTGTAGACGTGTCTTGAAGGTTGGCTTATTCTCTGCACTCAATGTGTTTGTTTACTCATGTGACTTCAACTCTGCATAGGCCTCTCAAATCTGCAATCCTGGATTTTTTACTGGCTTTCATATATCATAAGTTGGATATTTTATTGGGACTTGAAATGCACGTCTAAAGTGAAAACCATTTATTAATACCTAACCTTTCCATATCAACCTCTTCTCTTTAACTTTTCTGTTAGTAGGACCAGCGTACTCTTCGATTACCTAGATTCAAAACTGAGTAACCTCTGTGTGCATTCAATCAGTTGCCACATCTTACAAACTCTTACCACCTGGGTTATTAGTTTTCCTCTACTATCAGTCTCACATACTGTCATGGCACTGATGTTTCTAGACTGTAACTCATTATAATCTTTGCCTTGCTCAAAAACTTCAATGGTTGTCTATTAAATGAATACAACACCTAGGCTGGGCGCAGTGGCTCACGCCCGTAATCCCAGCACTTTGGGAGGCCAAGGCGGGCGGATCACGAGGTCACGAGTTCAAGACCCACCTGACCAACATGGTGAAACTCTGTCTCTACTAAAAATACAAAAAACACTAGGCCTGGTGGCGCGCACCTGTAATCTCAGCTACACAGGAGGCCAAGGCAGGAGAATCACTTGAACTCAGGAGGTGGAGGTTGCAGTGAGCTGAGATCGCACCACTGCACTCCAGCCTGGGTGACAGAGCGAGATTCCATCTCAAAAATAAATAAATAAATAAATAAATGAATACAACTCCTCTGTGTAGTAATCAAGGCCAAATATTATACAGCCTTAATCCACCTTTTCAGTTCTCTTTGCCGCTTCCCTTCACAGCTGATGCTTTCTGCCTCCACTCCTGCTGGTCTCCACCTGGAATGTCTTCCCAGCACCGAATGTCAAAAAGTCTATACATCTTGGCCGGGCATAGTAGCTCACGCCTGTAATCCCAGCACTTTGGGATACTGAGGTGGGCACATCGCCTAAGGTCAGGAGTTCAAGACCAGCCTGGCCAACATGGAGAAACCCCGTCTCTACTAAAAATACAAAAACTAGTTGGGCGTGGTGGTACACGCCTGTATTCCCAGCTACTTGGGGGACTGGGGCAGGAGAATTGCTTGAACCCGGGAGGCGGAGGTTGCAGTGAGCCAAGATCGCACCACTGCACTCAAGCCTAGGTGACAAAAAAAAAAATTATATATTTAATTTTTTTTTTTTTGATACAGTCTCACTCTGTCGCCCAGGCTAGAGTGCAGTGGCGTGATCTCGGCTCACTGCAAGTTCCGCCTCCCAGGTTCACGCCATTCTCCTGCCTCAGCCTCCCAAGTAGCTGTGACTACAGGCGCCCGCCACCACGCCTAGCTAATTTTTTGTATTTTTAGTAGAGATGGGTTTTCACCATGTTAGCCAGGATGGTCTCAATCTCCTGACCTCATGATCCGCCTGCCTTGGCCTCCCAAAGTGCTGGGATTACAGGCGTGAGCCACCGCGCCCGGCCCAAAATTATACATCTTAAATGCTTAAATGTTACAACCTTTACGTCAACCCTTTCAATCTTCTACCAAATATAACATCTCTCTCGTCAGAACCCCTACAGTACTTTACTTTTACTTATGTTATAGTGATTATGTATTCTCGCTAACAGTGCTAAACAGTGACCTTTGCATAGTATATGCACTAAAGCTTACTTACTCAATGAAATAAACAACATTAGTAAGGCTGGATGCAGTTGCTCTTGCCTGTAATCCCAGCACTTTGGGAGGCCAAGGTGGAAGGAGAGTTTGAGCCCAGGAGTTTGAGACCAGCCTGGGCTACATAGCAAAACCCATCTCTACAAAATAGAAATTAGGTGTGGTGGCACACACCTGTAGTCCCAATTACTCAGGAGGCTGAGGCAGGAGGACTGCTTGAGCCCAGGAGAATGAGGCAGCAGTGAGCCATGACTGCACCACTGCACTCTAGCCTGAGTGATAATATTACAATGCTGTGATACATATTTATAAACACATATGCTGAAGGAATTAAAAATAGCACTATCTTGTTTAAGAAAGACTTTTTAAAAACAATTTATTTTGAGACAAAGTCTTGGTCAGCCACCCAGGCTGCAGTGCAGTGGCACGATCACGGCTGACTGCAGCCTCAACCTCTCGGGCTGAAGCAATCCTTCCACCTCAGCCCCTTGATAGGTGACACTACAGGCACGGACCACCACGCCTAATTTTTGTATTTTTTGTAGAGATGGGGTTTTGCCATGTTGCCCGGGCTGAACTCCTGGGCTCAACTGATCTGCTGGCCTTGCCTCCCAAAATGTTAAGATTACAGGCATTAGCCAATGTACCTGGCCCACCAAAGGACTTTCACATACACTTTTCTTATGTATCTTAACTAGCAATGAACTGCTTCTCTAAGAAACTTGATTATTAAAGCTGCGAACTGCTTAAGCAAACAAACTTTATGACCGAAGCAGTACAAGAAGTAGTTCATAATCTCCACTGAATAGTAAGCTACATCTGCTGGAAAACTACCTAAGTAAACACTTCCTGCTAATCAGATAGACCTGAAACTGATTTTGGAGGGTGGCAGGGAAGCCGCCACTGAAGTTTTAACAGCATCTGCAGTGAAAGGCAGGAATTTAGTTGCAGTGGGGATATTTAGAATTTGCCACACGGCACTTGAAAAAGCTAGTCTAGTTTTTGGTGCAAACTGCTTTAACATTAGGAAATAAACCATACAGGGTTAACAGATTGCTATTTTGATCTTAGTCTTTATATGAAAAACAAAGATGACGGCATTCCATCTAATGGTTAGATAATAAACCATTTTTTTTGGTTAGTTACTCTTGGGTACTGTCAGTTCAGAATGAAGTGAACTAACTTTCTGCCACCCAAAAGTGAATTAATGTAAAGCTATTTGCAGAGTTTGGTTTTCACATAACCAAAACTTCTCATTCAGCTATGAAAGAATGACAACTATGTCATGTGGAGGACCTAATTAGTCCACTATCTGTACAGATCACTTCTCTATTTCATTTCCTCAATTTATCTAAGGCTGGGGATGATGGCTCATGCCTGTATTCCTAATACTTTGGGAGGCTGAGGTGGGAGGATTGCTTGAGGCCAGAAGGTCAACACCAGCCTGGGCAACATAGTGAAACCTGGTCTTTACGAAAAATTAAAAAAAAAATAACCAAAAAAAAAAAAAAAGCCAGGCATGGTTGTTGCATGCCTGTAGTCCCAGCTACTCTGGAGGCTGAAGCAGGTGTAAAGCGCAGGACGTCAAGGTTGCAGTGAACTATAATCGCACCACCGTACCCCAGCCTGGGTGACAGCGAGACTCTGTCTCTTAAAAAAAAAAAAAAAGTCTATTACATCATTTCCTATTTTTGAGAGTTGGGGCCAAAAGAGAGAACAGTTGATGCTACTTCTGTCATCCAATTGCTGATGCTTTTCTCTGAGTTTATATTGTTCAGAAGGAAAAAGCAAATGAGAAAGCTGACCACTGGCAAGTGGAAATTACATTCCAGAATATTCTTGAAGAGAAAAATAATTCAAAGTTTCTGAGTTATTCCTACTGCCCAATTTTCTGACTCTCTTTTCACTTCTTACCATGAAGAAGGCACCCCGGTGATAATACTTCTGTAAGAACTTGTATTTGCCCTTAACAGCTTTGTTGGTAATGACTTTGCCGTTTGCCCGAAGTTCAGCTCTCCTCTCTTCCTCAGTCAGGTTTCGCATGCGTTCAATTTCTGCTTTCTCCTTCTCAAGCCTGTCCAGGGAGCAAAACAATTTATTGGTACTGTTACAGCTTCAGAAAGACCAAATTATCTGAAAATAACAGTCCCATGTCATTTCAAGTATTAGTCACCTTCTTTAATTCTAGTCATTGCCTATTAGGAATCAAGATAAGGAGCTCAATAAACAAATGGGTGAGTTAGTCTTCATTATGTTTGCTAGACTAGGTATTGCCAACTTTCAAAAGTTGATTCTAGCCCTTCTGACGTTCAGACATACTATTACTGCTGGGTTTTCCAACATTACAAATTCTCTTTCCCTAAAAGGTCTTCTTAGCTTTAAAAAAAAAAAAAAATCAGTGAATTTAAAATAAGTGTCTGAGGCTTTGCTGGTATTCCTTTATGTAAGTGTATCATAATCATATAGGTGCTTGCATGTCATAAACCAAAGATTACCATCATTAATTAGATTGCAGTAACTTTTTTTTTTTTTTTTCTTTTTGGTGAGATGGAGTCTTGCTCTGTCGCCCAGGCTGGAGTGCAGTGGTGTGATCTTGGCTCACTGCAAGCTCCGCCTCCTGGGTTCATGCCATTCTCCTGCCTCAGCCTCCCGATTAGCTGGGACTACAGGTGCCCGCCACCATGCCCAGCTAATCTTTTTGAATTTTTAGTAGAGACGGGGTTTCACCGTGTTAGCCAGGATGGTCTCAATCTCCTGACCTCGTGATCCGCCCGCCTTGGCCTTCCAAAGTGTTGGGATTATAGGCGTGAGCCACTGCGCCCAGCCAGATTGCAGTAACTTTTTAGCCAGTGTTGGGGAGAGGGAGTGATATCCCTTGTCTCCAAATAAAATGCATACATACACACAATTTTGTGTACAATTTTATATTTTTTTGAGATGGAATCTTGCTCTGTTGCCCAGGCTGGAGTGCAGTGGCATGATCTTGGCTCACTGCAACCTCTGCCTCCCAGGTTCAAGCTATTCTCCTGCTTCAGCCTCCTGAGTAGCTGGGATTACAGGTGTGTGCCACCATGCCCGACTAATTTTTGTATTTTTAGTACAGACAGGGTTTCACCATGTTGGACAGGCGGGTGTCAAACTCCTGACCTTGTGAGCCGCCCACCTCGGCCTCCCAAATTGTTGGGATTACAGGCGTGAGCCACCACGCCCGGCCTTGTGTACAATTTTAAAGGGCACTTAGACTCCTACTCCTACAGGTCCAGGATAAAAATCTTAGAAACTACAGGCTGAGGGCCAGGCGTGGTGGCTCATGCCTGTAATCCCAGCACTTTGGGAGGCCGAGGTGGGTGGATCACCTGAAGTCAGGAGTTCAAGGCCAGCCTGGCCGACATGGTGAAAACCCACCTCTACTAAAAATACAAAAATTAGCTGGGCGTGGTGGCATATACCTGTAGTCCCAGCTACGCAGGAGGCTGAGGCAGGAGAACCGCTTGACTCCCAGGGGGTGGAGGTTGTAGTGAGCCAAGATTGCGCCACTGCACTCCAGCCTGGGCGACAGAGTGAGACTGTGTCTCAAAAAAAAAAAAAAAACCAAAAACAAAAAATTACAGGCTGAGTATGGAGTTATCTACTGTGTGTAGCTCATACTCAGGCAAGTTTTCTTTTTTTCTTTTTTTTTTTTTTCCAGATAGAGTCTCACTCTGTCACCTAGGCTGGAGTGCAGTGGCACGATCTCAGCTCACCGCAACCTCTGCCTGCCGGGTTCAAGCGATTCTCTTGCCTCCGCCTCCCGAGTAGCTGGGAATAACAGGCACACACCACCACACCCAGCTAATTTTTGTATTTTAGTAGAGATAGGTTTTCACCATGTTGGCCAAGCTGGTCTTGAACTCTCAGCCTGAAGTGATTCGCCTGCCTCAGCCACCCAAAGTGCTGGGATTATGGGTGTGAGCCATCACGCCCAGCCTAGAGTTATCTATTGATGGTTTCCTTTGTAATCTGGGATTACCCTCTCATACCTAGTAATTTACAGGAATGAGTGATGCAGCTCAGAAATGATTCTGCTGGGGCCGGGCATGATGGCTCATGCCATAATCCCAGCACTTTGGGAGGCCGAGTTGGGTGGACAACCTGAGATCATGAGTTCGAGACCAGCCTGACCAACATGGTGAAACCCTGTCTGTACTAAAAATACGAAAATTAGCCAGGCATGGTGGCGCATGCCTGTAATCCCAGCTACTTGGGAGGCTGAGGCAGGAAAATCACTTGAACCTGGCAGGCGGAGGCTGCAGTGAGCTGAGATTGTGACACTTCACTGCAGCCTGGGTGAAAAGTGAAACTTCATGTCAAAAAAAAAAAAAAAAGATTCTGCTCTAACACAGTGTAGATTATTTAAGTGCCACAAATTCTTCCCCTCACAGTATGTATGCCCCTTTTCAAAAAGTATGACTTTGCTGCTCCTCCTCTGCAGAGGTGGAGTCTGTTTCTCCACCTGCTTAAAGCTAGGTTGGCCTTGTGACTTGCTTTGACCAGTATGTGGCAAGATCGATGTATGAGTTCTGGAACCGACATGTCAGAAGACCTTGCCCTCTTAGAATGGTGCCCTGAGACTGCTATGTAAGGAAGCCAGTCTAATCCAGTGAAGGATAAGTGAGGTATCCTAACTGATAGCCACCACCTACTACTAACATGTGAGTGAAGCCCTTTTAAGTTTCCAGCCCAGTCAACCTTCCAGCTGGATGCAACTACATAAGTAAGCCCAGGTGAAATCAGTAGAGGAACTGTTCAGCCAACCTCCAAAGTTGTGAAAAGTAATAAATTATAGTTTCAAGTCACTCAATTGTGGGTTGGGTTGTACACAAGAAGAGATAACTACTAACAGTTACTAATTTTTGTGTCTACTAGGAAACTAAAGGGAGCACTGGCTGGCACTCTATTATGGACACACATCGACAAAGTGTTTTTCTCTTCCCTGATTTCACTGTAGCAAGTGAAACTCATATTCCAATTATAGGAAACTCACAAAGCAACAAGAACTCTGAAGGTGGCTAGAATGGAACTCACAGTAGGTAATGAGTCTCAGAGCTATCCTGCTAGAAACCTGTTCCATTAGCAGCATTAACTCTAGGCTCATCTTTTTACTCACGCTTCTCGATCTTCTCTGTCCCTCTTGATTCTTTTTAGCTCTCGAACTTTCCATGCCTCATATTCCTCCTCATCATTTTCATCATCAGTATTGAGTGCATCCAATGCAGCCAGGGATCGCTTGTTCTCTTCCAGCTCTTTTTTGGTTTCCTCTTCGACAATCTGGATAGGGAGAACAATTCAGCTTGGACTTCCTTACTCTCCTCAGACAAACCTGATTACACTATTTCTTGTACTCATTCCTTGCAACCACTCCCCAGTACCTTGAGTGTGTACTTGCGCCTTTCCTCAGCCATGCGTTTTGCTTCCTGCTCCAGCTCCTTCTGTTTCAATGCTTCGGCTTCACGTTCTTGAACTGTCACTCGGTCCTTCCTGCATCACAGAGATCCTGTTAATTGCCCAAAGTCCTTAGAGTGGAGTGCTTTGTTCCCCTAGACCTAGTCCCATCCAAATCAGACAAAAACCAAACAATCTTTGGCTCTATTATTTTCAAAGAGCAAAAAACGCTGAGTCATCCCAGGTCTTTTTTTTTTTTTTTTTTTTTGAGACGGAGTCTCACTTGTCGCCTAGGCTGCAGTGCAGTGGTGTGATCTTGGCTCACTGCAACCTCCGCCTCCTGGGTTCAAGCAATTCTCTGCCTCAGCCTCCTGAGTAGCTGGGATTACAAGAGTCTGCCACCACACCTGATTAATTTCTTTGTATTTTTAGTAGAGATGGGGTTTCACCATCTTGGCTAGGCTGGTCTTGAACTCCTGACCTCCTGATCCACCTACCTCAGCCTCCCAAAGTGCTGGGATTACAGTCGTGAGCCACCGTGCCCAGCCATCATCCCAGGTCTTTAGAGGACTAAAATCATGTTCATCTTTGAGAACTGCCTAGACAGCAAAGAACCTGCTGGCCTCTAAGCAGTAGGATTTCTAGCCATCAGGAAAGGAATAGGAATTTGCTCGTTGAGTTTAATTTTGTGCTTAAAAATATATGGCCTTGGCTTGGTGCCGTGGCTCATGCCTGTAATCCTAGCACTTTGGGAGGCTGAGGAGGACGGATCACCTGAGGTTGGGAGTTCGAGACCAGCCTGACCAACATGGAAAAACCCCCTCTCTACTAAAAATACAAAATTAGCCAGGCGTGGTGGCGCATGCCTGTAATCCCAGCTACTCGGGAGACAGAGGCAGAACTGCTTGAAACCAGGAGGTGGAGGTTGTGGTGAGCCGAGATCATGCCATTGCACTCCAGCCTGGGCAACAAGAGCGAAACTCTGTCTCAAACAAACAAAAAAAGGCCTTGGACAGATATATGCTCTATTACTGAAAAAAGAGATGTGAAAACAAACTCAGGTTCTCTGCTAACGCCAAGATATTCCTCAGCAGCTAGTCTGCCAAGGGTAGAGCACTAGCAAAAGCACTTTCACTCAGCGTTTAGATTTCAGAATAGCAAGACAGAAAACAGACTTTTGTCTCCAGGCCTGGAAAGTGGTAATTAAGTGGATTCAGATCTGGCTTGTGAGATACTTACTTTCGAATGAAGACTGGCTTAAGGCGAGGCTCCATCTCATCTTCACTGTCTGTGTACTCTTCATACTCAGACTCTGATTCTGACTCCTCTCCAGAACGACCCTCATCTTCCACTTCCATGACTTCCATCTCTTCATTTTTTCTCTCCTGTGCTCGCTGACGCATCATGCCACGCCGCCGCTCTATTTCCTATCAAGTCATATATATAAGCCAGTCAGTCAAATGGCCTATGGCTTTTTGTTCGTCTCATCAAACACAACAAATTCAAATGTAAAAAGATACAACTTAGTATCATTCTATTTTTAATCCTATCCCCACAAACAAGGAACATGATCAGAGTCCTGCCAAAGCAGTGATCTCATGTTTTTAAGGCTTCAACAAATGAGCACTGGCATGAACTTTTTCTTATATCCAGAAAAAAACTTCCCATGTTCCTTTATCATACCTCATCATCAATTTCCTCCTCCTCTTCTTCACTGCTGTCTTCTCGTTCCATGCGCCAAGCATCTCCTTCTACTTCTGAGTCACTCTCTCCTACCACTTCAGGTTCCACTATTTTTCGATGTCGAGCCAATCTGAAAAACAGTATCTCCAAATGTAACACCAATGTCATAAAAATGAAGTAGCATCAACTGCATTTCCATAGCCACAGAGCACATTATGTTTGCCTTCATTAATACTGAAGTTTTTTTTTTTTTGAGGCAGGGTCTTGCTCTGTCGCCCAGGCTGCAGTGCAGTGGTGCGATCTTGGCTCACTGCCACCTCTGCCTCCCAGACTCAAGTGATCCTCCCACCTCAGCCTCCTGAGTAGCTGGGACTATAGGCGTGCCACCACACCTGGCTAATATTTGTATTTTTTGTAGAGACGGGGTTTTACCATGTTGCCCAGGCTGGTCTTGAACTCCTGGACTTAGGCAATCTGCCCACCTCAGCCTCTCAAAGTGCTGGGATTATAGGTGTGAGCCACCATGTCCATCCAGTATTAAAGTATTGAGGTGGAGGAAACTGAGGTGCAGATTAAAGAAACTAAACTAGGATGTCAGAGCGAATAGTCAAGTTGGGCCTGAAATACTAAATGTATGTTGAGGCATCCTGGGGCACCACAGCAAGCCAGCAAACTCATAGGGATGCATTGGGATTTTTTTTTTTTTGAGACAGAATCTCACTCTGTCACCCAGGCTGAAGTGCAAGGGCATGATCTTGGCTCACCACAACCTCCACCTCCCAGGTTCAAGTGATAATCCCTGCCTCAGCCTCCCGAGTAGCTGGGATTACAGGCATGCACCACCACACCCAGCTAATTTTTTTATTTTTAGTAGAGATGGAGTTTCGCCATATTGGCCAGGCTAGTCTTGAACTCCTGACCTCAGGTGATCCGCCTGCCTAGGCCTCCCAAAGTGCTGGGATTACAGGCATGAGTCACTGAGCCTGGCCTGCATTGGAATATTTTTAATAGCTCAAGATAATTCACTTTCAACATTAAGTCACACTACATTCCTTTCGAGAATATCGTGTCTTTGTGAAACTGGGTTTTGGTGGCTGCTGTGATAAAAAGTAAAAGAAAGTATAGTATGAAAATCAATATAAAACAAGACATGAAAAAGTGACAGTGCTGATTCCAAGGTTTGAAAGGCTGTCAGTGTCCAACAGGCAAACAAATTCCACTAGTAACTATGGTTATGTGAGAATGAATAAAAGTGTTTTTTCCCCCCTGGGCACTGTAATTTTATTTTTTTTTCTTTTTTCTTTTCTTTTTTTTTTTTTGAGATGGAGTCTCGCTTTGTCACCCAGGCTGGAGTGCAGTGGCGTGATCTCGGCTCACTG
This sequence comes from Homo sapiens, assembly GCF_000001405.40. NCBI lineage: Eukaryota > Metazoa > Chordata > Mammalia > Primates > Hominidae > Homo > Homo sapiens. The sequence goes on from NC_000015.10 coordinate 43,816,324, forward strand.
CAATCTCTGCCTGCCAGGTTCAAGCAATTCTCTGCCTCAGCCTCCCAAGTAGCTGGGATTACAGGTGCCCGCCACCAGGCCTGGCTAATTTTTTTGTATTTTTAGTAGAGATGGGGTTTTACCAAGTTGGCCAGGCTGGTCTTGAACTCCTGACCTCGTGATCCACCCGCCTCAGCCTCCCAAAGTGCTAGGATTACAGGCGTGAGCCACCGCACCTGGCCATGGGCACTGTTAATCTTCAAGTGGCAAAGTTATTAGGACATAAATACTTATTAAGTTACTTGGCTCTAACTACTTAATAACTAAAATAAACAGAACTGTTTTGGCCCAGGAGCTCTGTGAAAAAACTCCTGGGACAATTATGAACGGTGAAAGTTCAGGACTCCTGGCCTACTCTATAAAGTAATGTCTCCATCAATATATAACATACAAAATCCCTCACTGGGAGGCTCTCTTTCTACCATGAGACCTTTATAAGGTCTTTTCTCCTACTTCAGTGTCATTTCCCCTTATTAGCATTTAGAATAAGTAGATGTATAAAATCAATTTACCAAAGTTTATAAAACATCTTTGTGCTAAAAAGACTCCTCTCAACAGCCAACAAATGGTCTGTGTTTTCTATTCCCATAAGGAGTTGAGTAGGTCCTTTAGGCCAGAAGTAACCTGCTGTTTCCTGAAGCTGCCACTTTGTAGCTTTGGTCATGTAACTTTCTTAGCCCCTTTGTGCTCTTAGTTTCCTCCTTTTGTGAAATGGGGATAATAGCACCTATTTCATAAAGTTATTGTATGGATTACAAGAATTAGCAAATGTAATCTACTTGGTAGTACTATTCAAGTATTAGCTATTATTATTATTATTAAGCTGTAGAGGTTCATGTTCAAGTAAACACAATCACAGACATTACCTCTCTTCCACATCTTCACTAATACGGTTCTGTAAACGCCGTAGCCGGGGGTCACTGGATGAATCCTCCTCCTGTTCCTCAGGCTCTGCTTCTTGTTCTTTGGCTTTCTTAATGAACTGAAATTCTTCATCCTCCTCATCTGAGGACTCCATAGGGGCATAGTCTGGCCTTTTTCCGGACACATAACGCTTTACCTTCACTTTTTCCATTGAAATCTCACCTGGGCGAGAAAGGTAACTTATGTTTCAGTAGCCTCTTTCTCAATGTGCTTCAACCCATCACGGCCTTTGCAAATAGAGCCCTTTATTCATAGTAGACAAGAGTCTAAGCAGAAGAAGAAGAGAGCCACTACCCAACCATCTACTCTTCTAATGGTGTTTTCCTACAAAGGCCAAGTCATGAGACTGCATCCTTGTGAAAGCCAACACTGATGATAATGAGGCTTACCTTGAGTACAATGAAGTAGAGGAAGGTAGGCAGTGAAACAGTAGAAAAAAGTCCCCCCCCAAAAAGGCAGACTGCATCCATCACAAATTCATGGTATCCCACCTCAACTATACCCTTAAACAAATTATTTGTAACAGTGCCCAGCACATAGTAAGGGTAATTTCTGCAGGAACATAAAACTGCTCAGGCATTCTTGTAGTTCCCTCTGGAATTTCCATGGCAGCCTTTATAACATACTGCCACATGACTCAATATTCTAATCTTACCTATTTCTACCTTCTTTTCCTTTACCTTATGTGTTATCAAACATGCAAGAGTATGTAATCTCTTACAAATACAATTCTTTTTTTTTTTTTTTTTTTGAGACGGAGTCTCGCTCTGTCGCCCAGGCTGGAGTGCAGTGGCGTGGTCTCGGCTCACTGCAACCTCCGCCTCCCGGGTTCAAGTGATTCTTCTGCCTCAGCTTCCTGAGTAGCTGGGACTACAGACGCATGCCACCATGCCCAGCTAATTTTTTGTATTTTTAGTAGAGATGGGGTTTCACCGTATTAGCCATGATGGTCTCGATCTCCTGACCTCATGATCCGCCCACCTCAGCCTCCCAAAGTGCTGGGATTACAGGCGTGAGCCACAGCACCCAGCCTACAAATACAAACAATTCTAGTGAACAAAGACAGTGAAAACTAACCAACTTATTTTATGAGTATAACCTTGATAACCAAATTGGACAGTTCAAAGGAAAACTTTAGGTGGATTTCACTTACAAACACAAATACAAAAATACTAAATAACGTAAGAGCAAATTTATCCCAGCAATATAAAAACTACCAAAAAAAAAAAAAGAAACAAAAAAAAAAAACCCCTAGACCAACACAACTTATTAGAATTTAGCCCAAGACTAGAAGGATAGTTTGACCTTAGAAAATTAATGAGGGGGCCAGGTGCAGTGGCTCATGCCTATAATCGCAGCATTTTGGAAGGTTGAGGCAGGAGGATTGCTTAAACCCAGGAGTTCGAGACCAGCCTGGGTTTAGACCTCATCTCTACTAAAAACAAAAAAAATTACCCGGACATAGTGGTATATGCCTGTGGTCCCAAGCTACATGGGAGGCTGAGGTGGGAGAATCACTGGAGCCCAGGAGGTTGAGGCTGCGGCAAGCCATGACCACACCAAGGCACTCACTTTAGCCTGAGTGATAGAGTGAGACCCTGTGTCAAACACAAAAATATATATAGCTGGGCACAGTGGCTCATGCTTGTAATCCCAGCACTTTGGAAAGCCAAGGTGGGCAGATCAGTTGAGGCTAGGAGTTCGAGACCAGCCTGCCCAACATGGCAAAACTCCGTCTCTACTAAAAATACAAAAATTAGCCAGACATGGTGGCACAGACTTTTTAATCCAAGCTACTCAGGTGGCTGAGGCAGGAGAATAACTTGAACCTGGAAGGTGGAGGTTGCAGTGAGCTGAGATCGTGCTACTGCACTCCAGCCTGGGCAACACAGTAAGACTCTGTCTTTAAAAACAAAACAAAACAAAACAAAATTCCAAAAAAAAATGTACATAGATAGATAGATGAACAATGGGAGGGAAGCAATATACTATTTTTACTTTTTAAAATTTTATTTTTGTTTGTTATTTTTTAAAAGGTAGAGAAAGGGTCTTGCTATGTTGCCCAAGCTGGCCTTGGACTCCTGGCCTCAAGTGATCCTCCAGCCTCAGTCTCCCAAAGTGCTAGGATTACAGGTGTGAGCCATCTCTCCTAGCCTACTATTTTTTAAAGTCACATTTTTAAAAAATAATAGATACAGCAGACTTTATACTTAATGATAAAACAATAGAAACATTCTATTTATTTATTTATTTATTTTTTTTGAGATGGAGTCTCGCTCTGTTGCCCAGGCTGCAGTGCAGTGGCATGATCTCCGCTCACTGCAACCTCCGCCCCCTGGGTTCAAGCAATTCTCCCTGCCTCAGGCTCCTGAGTAGCTGGGATTACAGGTGCCCACCACCATGCCTGGCTAATTTGTGTATTTTTTAGTAAAGACAGGGTTTCAACATGTAGGCCAGGCTGGTCTTGAACTCCTGACCTCAGGTGATCTGCCAGCCTCAGTATCATAAAGTGCTGGGATTTCAGGTGTGAGCCACTGTGACTGGCCAGAAGCATTCTCTTTAAAAATCAGTGGGCATCCAGCTGGGTGTGGTGGCTCACGCCTGTAATCCCAGCACTCTGGGAGGCCAAGGCGGACGGATCACAACGTCAGGAAATTGAGAACATCCTGGCTAACACAGTGAAACCCCATCTCCACTAAAAAGACAAAAAAATTAGCCAGGCATGGTGGCGAGTGCCTGTAGTCCCAGCTACTTGGGAGGCTGAGGCAGGAGAATGGCGTGAACCCGGGACACAGAGCTTGCAGTGAGCGAGATAGCACCACTGCACTCCAGCTTGGGCAAGAGAGCGAGACTCCGTCTCAAAAAAACAAAAAACCAAAAAATTAGCCGGGTGTGGTGGCACGCACCTGTAGTCCCAGCTACTCAAGAGGCTGAGGCAGGAGAATGGTGTGAACCCAGGGGCGGAGCTTGCAGTGAGCCGAGATCGCGCCACTGCACTCCAGCCTAGGCGACAGGGTAAGACTCCATCTCAAAAAAAACAAACAACAACAACAAAAAAAACCAGTGAGCATCCTAATGTTGTACCTATCACACCTTCTAGTCAACACTGTATTATGGTTCTAATTTGGGCAATAAGGAAAAGTTATAAGGATTTAAAAGGAAGAAACTGCCATAATTTGCAGATTATATGGTTGTCTTTGTAGAAAACACAAGATAACAAATAGATAAAAGAGTTCAGAAAAAATGCTAGATAAAAAACTTATTTATAAAAATAAGCATACCTGTACATTAGCTACATATAATTAGAAAGTACAATTTTATTTTTATTTATTTTCTTGAGACAGGGTCTCACTCTGTTGCCTAGGGTGGAGTGCGGTGGCGCAATCATGGCTCACCGCAGCGTCAGCCTCCTAGGCTCAAACCATTCTCCTGCCTCAGCCTCCCAAGTAGCTGGGACTACAGGCGTGCAACACCATGCCGGTCTAATTTTTAAAATTTTTTTGTACAGACGAGGTCTCACTATGCTGCCCATGCTGGTCTTGAACTCCTGGACTCAAGTGATCCTCTTGCCTAGGGCCTCCCAAAGTGCTGGGATTACAGGCGTGAGCCACCATGCCTGGCTTATTTTCTACTGTTTGAGAAAGGGTCTCATTCTGTTACCCAGGCTGGTGTGCAGTGGCATGATCACAGCTCACTGCAGTCTCAACCTCCTGGGCTAAAGTGAGCCTCCCTCTTCAGCCTCTCAGTAGCTGGGACTACAGACAGGTACCACCCAGGTAATTTTGTTTTTTTGTAGAGCACTGTATTTTTTGGGGTCTCGCTATGTTGCCCAGGCTGAAGAAAATATAGTTTTAAAATACCATTAACGGTCACAAGTAATCTATAAGATACTGTGGAATAAATCCAACAAACAATGTACAAGGCTTTTAGGAGGAAAAATATGTAATTTTATTGAAAGATAAAAAAGATGTAAATAGAGAAATATTTCATGTTCAAGGATGAGAAGATGGCAACTGCACCTGAATTAACCTATAAATGTATAATCTATCATTTTAATGCAATTCCATTAAAAGTTGTCTCCAGGCTTATTCCAAAATCATATGGAAGAACAGGAGGCCCCAAAATGCCAAGACAATGCTGAAGAAGAATAAAGCTGATGGGGGCGGGGAAGGAGGGGTGGGGCATAGTTTACCAGATATGTCAGTGACCCAGGAAGTACACAGAGATCAATGTAACAGAGAAAAGAAAAACAAACTTATATGAGAACTCGAGTATATTATAGGGATGGCATTAAAAATCAGTAGAAAATGGATGGGGTGAGAAGGGACAATTGGCCAACCATATAGTAAAATTAGACCTCTAACTTCCACCACAGACACAAAAATTCCAGATGGATTAAAGACGCAACTATGAAAAACTTATCTTAAATATTTACATTCCCTACTGGACTGTAAGCTAACTTATAATCTGTCTTGTATAAGTGTGTATTCAACTCAATTTAATATATACAAACACTCAGAAGATAGAAAACCTTTACAATATGAGTATCTGTGATCTCAGTGCAGGGAAGGATTATTTCTTAAACGATATACAAAAAAAAGCTAAAACCATACAAGATAAAGTTGATAAATCTGATAATACTAAAACTAGAAACGTGTGTAAGAGAAGACTCCATAATTAAAAGACAAGCCAAAAAATGGGGAAACGTATACTATAGATTTGGAATATATAAAAACAAAGCAAACAGAAAGTGGGTAACTGACAGAAACAGGTAATTCATGGAAAAGAAAATCTAGAGAGCTTATTAGACACATGAACAAGATGCCCAGCATCGGCCGGACGCAGTAGCTCTATGGTGAGCCGAGATGGAGCCATTGCACTCCAGCTTGGTCAACAAGAGTGAAACTCTTTCTCAAAAAAAAAAAAAAAAAAAGCCCAGCATCACTAGTAATCAGGGGAATGCAAATTAGAATAATGAGATACCATTTCACACCTGTTAGATTGGGCAAAAAATGTAAAAATCTGATACAACCAAGTGTGTAGATGATGAATATATGGGAAATAAAGCTCTTAGGTTCTCAAAGTTTGTTTTCTTTTTTTTCTTTGAGACAGAGTCTTGCTCTGTTGGCCAGGCTGGAGTGCAGTGGCATGATCTTGGCTCCATGAAACCTCCACCTGCCGGGTTCAAGTGATTCTCCTGCCTCAGCCTTCCAAACAGCTGGGATTACAGGCGTGCGCCATCACACCCGGCTAATTTTTGTATTTTTAGTAGAGACGGGGTTTCACCATGTTGGCCAGGCTGGTCTCAAACTCCTGACCTCAGGTGATCCACCCATCTCGGCCTCCCAAAGTGCTGGGATTACAGGCCTGAGGCATCACGCCCAGCCTTTGTTTTAACAGACAGGGTCTTGATCTGTTGCTTAGGTTGGAGTGTAATGGCACAATCATAGCTCATTGCATCTTTGAACTTTCGAGCATAAGTGATCCTCCTGCTTTGGCTTCCCCCAAGTAGCAGGAGCACATCACTACATCCCGCTAATTTTTAATTATTATTATTATTATTATTTTTGAGACGAAGTCTTGCTCTTGTCCCCCAGGCTGGAGTGCAATGGTGCGATCTCGGCTCACTGCAACCTCTGCCCCCTGAGTTCAAGTGATTCTCCTGCCTCAGCCTACCGAGTAGCTGGGATTACAGGCGCCTGCCACCACACCTGGCTAATTTTTGTATTTTTAGTAGAGACGGTTTCACCACGTTGGCCAGGTTGGTCTCGAACTCTTGACCTCAGGTGATCCACCAGCCTCAGCCTCCCAAAGTGCTGGGATTACAGGCGTGAGCCACCGCGCCGGGCCCTAATTTTTATTTTTGCAGAGATTGGCGGGGGTGGGGGGTGGTCTCGCTATGTTGCCCAAGCTGGTCTTGAACTCCTGGCCTCAAGCGATCCTCCTGCCTCAGCCTCCCGAAGTGCTGAGATTACAGGTGTAAGCCACTGTGCTCCACAAATTCTTATGTTCTTATAACTTACTTTGGGGAGCAATTGGCAACAGGTACTAAATAAAGCTAGTATTGGCTAGAGAATGACAATTGCAGAACTTTCTTTTTTTTTTTTTGAGAGAGTGTCTCACACTGTGGCCCAGGCTGGAGTGCAATGGTGCGATCTCTGCTCACTGCGACCTCCACCTCCCGGGTTCAAGCAATTCTCCTGCCTCAGATTCCCAAGTAGCTGGGATTACAGGTACCCACCACCATGCATGGCTAATTTTTTGTATTTTTAGTAGAGACGGGGTTTCGCCATGATCGCCAGGCTGTCTTGAACTCCTGACCTCAGGTGTTCAGCCCGCCTCAGCCTCCCAAAGTGCTGGGTTTATGGGCATAAGACACCGTGCCTGGCCGCAGCACTTTTTTGAACAAGGGGACAACCACCTGCCTCTCAGTAGGGAATAAAGTGTGGATTACAGTTTATTTTATACAATGGAATTCATAAGCTGTTAAGATGAATGAATTAGATGTATAGGGATCCAAAGATAATTCTCAAAAGCCATGTTGAGACTAGATACGGCGGCATCTACTCGGGAGGCTGAGGCAGGAGGACAGCCTGAGCCCCAGGAATTCGAGTCCAGCCTGGGCAGCATAAGCAGACTTCTATGGACAGCAAAAGAGGGACTGTATCCCGCACAATGCCCTGCCAACAGGCATTCTCTATCTATCTATCTAGTCTGATATTATATACATATTCTGATATATACTTAAGTTCCTAATTATTAGATTAATAATATACTTAAGTTCCTAAGTAATTACACTAATAATACATAAATTCTTGTAATTATATGTAATTAGTGATATTATATTCTAATCATAATATATATTAGACTAATACATATATTCTAGCATATATATATTAGACATATATATTCTGATATATACTTAAGTTCCTAATGTTTTTATATGTGTAATATATATTATATATATGTAACATTAGTCTAAGGAATTTGTGGAGGCTAACAGAAGAGAGGTGCTTGCTGAATACGAGAGCAGGCCACAGGAACAAGATCGGATGCAAGTGGGTGGGGGTGGAAAGATCGAAGAATCTGGCAGCCAGATCTCAAGAGCTGGCGGGGTTGGAGTGGTCTGTCCGGGAGAGGTCTGGAGGTTGCTGGGGCCGGAAGGGGTTAAAATTCGACTGGGAAGAGGGTGTTAGCACCGTACCTTTCTCATTGCGAACTGGGACGGCCCCAGCCGTAGACTGAATGGGCGGTTGCTTCATGAGAGCGCTTGGGACCGACATGTTGATGGCAGCGACGGTGATTCCCGAAACTTGACTAATTCCAAACAGTGAACACCAGCAACGTCAACGAAGAGAAGAAATTCCTTCCACCTGAGTCCGCGAACACAGCTGCGCGACTGATAGAGAAACTACTTACGGCTGAGCTAGATAAACCGGAAATACGTGACGAGAGGATTGTGGGATGGTGGACGACGTTTGGGCGCCCACAGCTAGGAAGTCGAGTCGGTTTCTGCGCATGCTCATTGGCTGCCCGCATGTCCTCTACGTCGCAGAATTTGGAAGCAGCTTTTGGCGGGAAATTTTGCTTCCTTTGGGCTTTGCTGTTAGGACTCTGCGGTGAGGAAGGTTCGAATGAAAGATTTTACGTGTTAGCTTGGTTTGAAGCCAAGAACGGTATAGTGAATAAGAAACTCAGGCGACAGTGAGTTACTGTTTGAATGGCTTGTTGAAAGCTCAGAAGAAGTAGAGTTTGATGGAATAAAAATCTTGCCAGTAGTATCCGATTAGCTTAGTTCATAAGGCCAGGGTGGGCTGTGGTGCGGTATTTGGTTTCACAGGGCAGGTGGTGCTGATTTAGGCCAGTGACCGAAAAAAAAAAAAAAAAAACTCCCGAGGTGCCTGGGACATTGCCCACCTGAAATCCCAAAACTCCACTTTTTTAGGCTTTCAGGTTTTTCCAGTTTCTGGAAACTACCTATTAAAATACATTCCTGGCTAGAAAATGTTTGTATTTAAATATCTAAGTAATTATTATTCTTTTGAGACTGTCTTTTTCTGTCACCCAGGCTGGAGTGCAGTGGCTCGATCTCAGCTCACTGCAGTCTCCACCTCCCGGGTTTAAGCAATTCTCGTGCCTCAGCCTTCTGATTAGCTGGGATTACAGGCGCCTGCCACCACTCCCTGCTGATTTTTGTATTTTTAGTAGAGACGAGGTTTCACCATGTTGGCCAGGCTTAAGTGATCCGCCCACTCCGGCCTCCCACAGTGCTGAGTGTTGGCGTGGGCCACCACTCCCGGCTAATTTTTGTATTTTTAGTAGAGGCAGGGTTTCGCCATGTTGCCCAGGCTGGTCTTGAACTCCTGACCTCAGATGATCCACCTACCTCGGCCTCCCCAAAGTGCTGGGATTACAGAGGTGAGCCACCGCACCCGGCCTATTTAAGAACTCTTTAAGGACTTACAGGATAATAACAGAAGCAGCTCCAATTTACAAGCTGAGTCGTGTTAAAAAATATATATAATATTGGCTAATTGGAAAGTCAGGACACATTTCACAGTAGAAAGGACTTTATAACTGCGGGGGAGACAAGGGACAGTAGGAACAAAGTCTTAAAGTCCAGAAACAGTATGTTTTATACAGGACACCATGAAAAGTTTGGTTTTATCAGTAATTTTTGAGTCATGAGGGGCCTTGAAGTTGCTATTAATATGATTAACCCAAATTACTTCACCTGTGTTCTACAATTGGGCCTTGAGTGGGAGAAGAAATGAAACTGGACAAATCTCAGGCAAGGAACAGTGTGGGACCCAACTAAGCAACCAAGGAAACAGTTTTGGGCTAGAAGGAACCTTAAAGAGAATAGCCAGAATCTTATTTTATTATTTATAGAAGAGGGTCTTGCTCTGTCGCTCAGGCTGGAGTTCCGCGCAATCACGGCTCACTGTGGCCTCATCCTTCTAGGTTCAAGCCATTTTCCCACCCCTGCCTTCTGAGTAGCTGGGACTACAGACGTACAACACCACGCTGGGCTAATTTTTGTATTTTTTATAGAGATGGGGTCTCACTATGTTGCCCAGGCTGGTTTGGAACTCCTGGGCCCAAGTGATCCACTCCTCTCGGCCTCTCAAAGTGTTGGGATTACAGGCGTTAGCCACCGCTCCCGGCCTGTTAGTGTTTTTCAAAGCGACATCCCAGTACCACCAGAATCAAAATCACCAGTCAAAGGTAAAAATGTCAGTTCAGCCCCAGGACATCCCTAAAGAATTTGAGTCTAGGGCTTTAAGACAGCATTTTTTTTTTTTTGAGACGGAGTCTCACTCTTGTTGCCCAGACTGGAGTGCAATGGCGCGATCTCAGCTCACTGCAACCTCTGCCCCCTGGGTTCAAGCAATTCTGCCTCAGCCTCCTGAGTAACTGGGATTACAGGCACGCGCCACCAAGCCCGGCTAATTTTTGTAATTTTAGTAGAGACGGGGTTTCGTCATGTTGGCCAGGCTGGTCTCAAACTCCTGACCTCAGGTGATCCGCCGCCTCAGCCTCCCAAAGTGCTTAGGATTACAGGCGGGAGCCACCGCGCCTGGCCAAGGCGGCCTTCTTAAGAAGCGCGCGTAAAACCCCAACTTCCTGCTCTGGCGCTGCGGCCGCTGGGGATCTGAGTGGGCTCCGCCCCGCCTCGGACCCGCCCCTCCCGGCCTCCCGCCGCAATCTTGGCGGGAAGGCGCCGGCCGCTAAGAAGCCGAAAGATGTCCAGGTCGGGCGCGGCGGCTGAGAAGGCGGACTCCAGACAGCGACCCCAGATGAAGGTGAGAAACGGACTGGTGCTTCCAAGGTGTGCTCCTGCCTCGGTTTTTGTGAGGGTTATGCGGGACACAGGCCCAGGAGGTCGAGGGCACCTGGCACCGGGGGTAGGCGGGGGATCCCTGCCCTTAGGCCTTCAGCTTTGACGAAAGGTTCTTATCAATAACCCGAGAAATAGTGGGAGAGTCACATCTGGGATTCCCTTTCTTCAACCTTCTGCGTTTTCTTCTGCCACAGTTATGATCGGCTTCACACTCTTTAAATAATTCCAGACAATCCGCAGCTGACAGTTGGGGTATTTGCCCCAGTCACAAATGCTAGTCATTATTATTATTGGTCTGGAAAACTTATGGGCAAATGTGCCCAGTAAGTGAATTCTACTGAGGTTAAGGTTAGTGAATTACATATCTAGGATTTTGGAGGGGAAAATAAGTTTTCTTACGAAGGGTGTCAATTTGGATTTATTTATTTTTTTGAGCTTAAGTCTCACTCTGTTGCCCAGGCTGGAGGGCAGTGGTGTGATCTCGGCTCACTGCAACCTCCGTCTCCCGGGTTCAAGTGATTCTTCTGCCTCAGCCTCCTGAGTAGCTGGGACTACAGGCGTGTGCCACTATGCCCAGCTAATTTTTGTATTTTTAGTAGAGACAGGTGGTTTCATTATGTTAGCCAGGATGGTCTCGATCTCCTGACCTCGCGATCTGCCCGATTGGGCCTCCCAAAGTGCTGGGATTACAGGCGTGAGCCACTGCACCTGGCCTCAATTTGGATTTATATTGTCTTTGGGAAATGGGAATTATTAGATCTGTTAGGGATCCTGTAAGAAAAGGCACAGGACTTGGAGTTCTAATATTCTGTTTTCTTTTATTGATCTGAATAGGTAAATGAATATAAAGAAAATCAAAACATCGCTTATGTGTCTCTGAGACCAGCACAGACTACAGTTTTAATAAAAACAGCTAAGGTCTATCTTGCCCCCTTTTCACTCAGTAATTACCAGCTAGACCAGCTTATGTGCCCCAAATCCCTATCAGAAAAGAATTCTAACAATGAAGTGGCGTGTAAGAAGACTAAAATAAAGAAAACTTGCAGAAGGATTATACCTCCAAAGATGAAAAACACATCTTCCAAGGCAGAATCCACGCTGCAAAATTCATCCTCAGCTGTTCATACTGAAAGTAACAAGCTACAACCCAAGAGAACGGCAGATGCGATGAATCTCAGTGTTGATGTGGAAAGTAGTCAGGATGGAGACAGTGATGAAGATACCACACCATCCCTGGTAAGAACTTAATTAGTAGCTTGTTCTGGTTTCTCTTTTTTGAAATTTGAAGTTCTGATAAATCGAAGTTTTTCGAGGATCTCTCTGGTACAAACAAGTTATTTCATCATCTAATGTAAGTATAAATGTAATAATACATTTTTATTATTTTTAAGGTTTAACAAATAACTTCCTTGGGTTATTTTTGCTCTTGCTGTTGATGTGTCAATGAAAGGATTGACTTAATCTTTACTCTGCTTCCTTTTTTCTTTCTCTAAACTAACTGCATATATTTTTGGGTTTAGTCATACTTTATGGTGCCTTTCTCACCTTTACATGTTTATGTACAGTATATCAGAAGTCATCAGTTTGTGGGACATGGTATTGACTGACCTTTGATATCAGGGTAGGGAAACATAAATTGATTCTATGGTTGTGTTGAATAATATTTCCTTTAAATGCAAAACGAGACAAATGACAGAGTAGGTAAGATACATGAGAAACACATTTGTTCTGTGTAATTCCAATCAATTTAAGGAATTTGGTGTGTAATTTTTTTCTTTTTTTTTTTTTTGGAGACAGAGTCTCGCTCTGTCGCCCAGGCCAGAGTGCAGTGACGCTATCTCGGCTCACTGCAACCTCGGCCTCCCAGTTTTAATAGATTGTCCTGCTTCAGCCTCCTGAGTAGCTGGGATTACAGGCGCGTGCCACCACACCTGGTTAATTTTGTGTTTTTAGTAGAGACGGGGTTTCACCATGTTTGTCAGGCTGGTCTCTAACTCCTGACCTTGTGATCCACCCGCCTCAGCCTCCCAAAGTGCTGGGATTACAGGGGTGAGCCACTGCGCCCAGCCTGGTCTGTAATTCTTTTGGCTTCTGCTGCCTACCAGGAGCGCCGTGCTCCATTCAAAGTGACAAATTTTAACTGGACAAGATAAAACATACATAGCACATGACACAATGTTGATGGAACTCAGAAAACAGAAAATGATCCTAGGGAAAGGGAGATACTATAATTGAAGGCTTGTTGTTATGAAATAGAAGTTTGCTTTATGCTTTCTCGTCCCAGAGTTAAGAACCAGGACTCATAGTGGGACAGCATGGGGTAAGTATTAAATGAATTGGACTTGGGGTTGAGAGCCTAGCATGGCCACTTTTTTTTTTTTTTTTTTTTTTTTTTGAGACGAGTCTTGTTCTGTTGCCCAGGATGGAGCGCAGTGGCATGATCTCGGCTTACTGCAAGCTCCTCCTCCCGGGTTCACACCATTCTCCTGCCTCAGCCTCCTGAGTAGCTGGGATTACAGGCGCCCGCCACCATGCCCGGCTAATTTTTTATATTTTCAGTAGAGACAGGGTTCCACCATGTTCGCCAGGATGGTCTCGATCTCCTGACCTCATGATCCGCCCGCCTCGGCCTCCCAAAGTGCTGGAATTACAGGCGTGAGCCACCGCGCCTGGCCTAGCACGGGTACTTCTAAGAAACCTTGTTCCTTTAAGCAAATGACCTTAGGGGATTGGATAAAATCTGTGGTTCTCAAACTTTAGGCTATATCAGAATTACATGGAGAGTTTGTTAAAACTCCATTGCAGGGCCCCACCAACAGTTTCTGATTCAGAAGTTGGGGCATACAATTTGCATATCTTTTTTCTTTTTCTTTCTTTCTTTTCTTTTTTTTTTTTTAATGGAGATGTTGGGATGTTTGTGGGGTGGAGGTTGGGAGGTGTTGCCCAAGCTGGTCTTAAGCTCCTGAGCTCAACCAGTCCTCCAACCTCAGACTCCCAAAGTGCTAGGATTATAGGCTTGAGCCACCACACCCAGCCCAATTTGCATATTTAACAGTTTCCTAGAGACGCTGATGTTAGTCCAGGACTGCACTTTGATAACCACTGGATTAGGTTATCCCTTTGGCCTCTTAGACTGTAAGATTCTGAAGAAGTCAGGCTCGGTGGCTCACGCCTGTAATCCCAGCACCTTGGGAGGCTGAAGCAGGTGGATCACCTGAGGTGGGGAGTTTGAGACCAGCCTGACCAACATGGAGAAACCCCGTCTCTACCAAAAATACAAAATTAGCTGGGCGTGGTGGCACAGGCCTGTAATCCCAGCTACTAGGGAGGCCGAGGCAGGAGAATCTCTTGAACCTGGAAGGTGGAGGTTGCGGTGAGCCGAGATCGTGCTGTTGCACTCCAGCCTGGGCAACAAGAGTGAAACTCCGTCTCAAAAAAAAAAAAAAAAAAAGATTCTGAAGAATACAAGGTAAATATAAAGCAGATTTTAGTTTGATGTAATGAAATAGGTCCATTAATAGAGTTGCTCCTAAAGAAAAAAAAAAGGAGGTGGACAGATCACCTGAGATGAGGAGTTCCAGACCAGCCTGCCCAAAATGGTGAAACCCTATTTCTACTAAAAATACAAAAATTAGGCCGGCCATGGTGGTTCATGCCTGCACTCCCGGCACTTTGGGAGGCCACGGTGGGTGGATCACTTGAGGTCAGGAGTTGGAGACCAGCCTGGCCAACATGGTGAAAGCCTGTCTCTCCTAAATATAACAAATATTAGCCAGGCATGGTGGTGGGCACCTGTAGTCCCAGCTACTCAGGAGGCTGAGTCAGGATAATTGCTTGAACTGAGGAGGTAGAGGTTGCAGTGAGCCGAGATCATACCACTGCACACCAGCCTGGGCGACAGAGCGAGACTCTGTCCCCACTTCCCCACCAAAAAAAAAGAAAATATAAAAATTAGCCAGGCGTGGTGGCAGGTGCCTGTAATCTGAGCTACTCGGGAGGCTGAGATGGGAGAATCGCTTGAACCTAGGTGGTGGAGGTTGCAGTGAGCTGAGATCAGGCCACTGCACTCCAGCCTGGGTGACAGAGCAAGACTCTTGTTTTAAAAAAGTAAAAAATAAAGCCTCCCAAATAGCTGGGACTACAGGCATGTGCCACCTTGCCAGGCTAATTTTGACTTTTTATTTTGTAGAGATGTGGGTGTGCCATATTTATTGCCCAGGCTGGTCTAAAACTCCTGGGCTCAAGCAGGCTGCCCACCTCGGCCTCCCAAAGTGCTGGGATTACAGATGTGAGCCACTGAGCCCAGCCAAGATACTTTTTTTTTTTGAGACAGGGTCTCACTCTATTACCCAGGATGGAGTGCAGAGGCACGATCTCAGCTCACTGCAACCTTCACCTCCCAGGTTCAAGCGATTCTCCCATCTCAGCGTCCCGAGTAGCTGGGATTACTGGCGTGTGCCACCATGCCTAGCTAATTTTTTGTATTTTTAGTGGAGAAGGGGTTTCTCCATGTTGGCCAGGCTGGTTTTTAACTCCTGACCTCAAGTGATCTGCCTGCCTCAGCCTCTCACAGTGCTGGGATTACAGGCGTGAGCCACCGCGCATGCCATGTCTTTCTTTCTTGGTTTATTCTTTCATTTTGGTGAAGTACAGCTTTCTGAGAAAAAGTGTATACGAGGCAAATACTTTGCATATCAGAGAAATTTTTTTGTTTTTTTTTTTGAGACGGAGTCTCACCTGTCGCCCAGGCTGGAATGTAGTGGTGCGATCTCAGCTTACTGTAACTTTTTGTTTTTTTAATAGAGATGGGGTTTTACCATATTGGCCAGGCTGGTCTCAAACTCCTGACCTCGTGATCTGCCGGCTTCAGTCTCCCAAAGTGCTAGGATTATAGGCGTGAGCCACTGCACCTGGCCCAGAAAAAGTCTTTAGCTTTATATTTGATTGATGACCTAATTGGATTTAGAATTGTAAGTTGAAAATAATCTTTCCTTAGAATTTTTAATGCATTGTTCCATTGTCTTCCAGCTTCCTTCAATGTTGAAAGTTTGTGCCATTCTGATTCTGGATTCTTTGTGATCTTTTTTTCCCCTCTGCATGCTTTTAAGATCTTTTCTGGCTGGGTGTGGTAAGGCAGGCCTGTAGTTTCAGCTTCTTGGGAGGCTAAGGCTGGAGCCCAGGAGTGCAAGGCTGCAGTAAGTTATAATCAAGCCAATGCACTTCAGCCTGGGTGACAGAGTGAGACGCTATCACTTTAAAAAAAAAAATTGTGATAACATGCCGAGGCCTGGGTTCATCTTTGTTTTTTTTTTGTTTTTTTGTTTTTTTTTCTTGAGGTGGGGTCTCACCCTGTCGCCCAGGCTGGAGAGCAGTGGCACAGTCTTGCCTCACTGCAACCTCTGCCTTCTAGGTTCAAGCGATTCTCCTGTCTCAGCTTCCTGAGTAGCTAGGACTACAGGCATGCGCCACCATGCCTGGGTAATTTTTGTATTTTTAGTAGAGATTAGGTTTCACCATGGTGGCTAGGCTGGTCTCGAACTCCTGATCTCAGGTGATCTGCCCACCCAAAGTGCTTGGATTACAGGCATGAGCCATTGCACCCGGCTTGCTTTGTTTTTTTTTTTTTTTTTTTTTTTTTTTGAGACAGTCTCGGCTCTTGCCCTGGCAGCTAGAATGCAGTGGTGTGATCTCGGCTCACTGCAACCACTGCCTCCCAGGTTCAAGCAACTCTTGTGCCTCAGCCTCCCAAGTAGCTGGGATTACAGGTGTGCACTACCACACCCAGCTAGTTTTTTTGTATTTTTAGTAGAGACGGGGTTTCGACACGTTGGCCAGGCTGGTTTCAAGTTCCTGGCCTCTAGTGATCTGCCTGGTGGCCTCCCAAAGTGCTGGGATTACATGCATGAGCCACTGAGCTTGCTTGCCTGGGTCCTTTTTCATTCATTATGCATCCAAAGGCTGCATACTCATTGGGCCTTTTTAATCTGGAAGCTCATGTCTTTAGTTTTGAGAAACTTTAAAATAATATTTGTTTTCAAACTATTATTTTTTAGAGATGGGGTCTCACTCTGTTGCCCAGGCTAGAACACAGTGGTGTCATCATAGCTTACTACAAACTTGAACTTCTGGGCTCCAGTGATCCTCCTGCTTTGGTCTCCCACTTAACGTTATTTTTCTTTCTTTTCTTTTCTTTTTTTTTTTTTTTTGAGATGGAGTCTGGCTCTGTTGCCCAGAGTGGAGTGCAGTGGCGCCATCTCGGCTCACTGCAAGCTCCGCCTCCCGGGTTCATGCCATTCTCCTGCCTCAGCCTCCTGTGTAGCTGGGACTACAGGCGCCCACCACCATGCCCGGCTAATTTTTTGTATTTTTTAGTAGAGATGGGCTTTCACTGTGTTAGCTAGGATGGTCTCGATCTCCTGACCTTGTGATCTGCCTGCCTCTGCCTCCCAAAGTGCTGGGATTACAGGCGTGAGCCACTGCTCCCAGCCCTTTCTTTTTTTTTTTTGTTTGTTTGTTTTTTGAGACGGAGTCTTGCTCTGTGGCCCAGGCTGGATGGAGTGCAGTGGCATGATCTGGGTTCACTGCAACCTCCATCTCCCGGGTTCAAGCAATTCTTCTGTCTCAGCCTCCCGAGTAGCTGGGACTACAGGCGTGTGTCACCACACCCGGCTAATTTTTGTATTTTTAGTAGAGACTGGGTTTTGCCATGCTGGCCAGGATGGTCCTGATTTCCTGACCTGGTGATCTGCCTGCCTCGGCCTCTCAAAGTGCTAGGATTACAGGCGTGAGCCACCACACCCGGCCTGCCATTTATATTATTTTTTAATAATTGATTCTCTTCCAATTTCTCAGCAGTTTCTCGAACAATGAATTGGATATTGGACCTCTAAGACTGAGTATTTTTTTGTCTTTTCTGTTCATGTGTTTATCTTTTTGTTCTACTTTCTAAATTTAAGCCTTTTCATGGATTTAAAAACTATTGAGTTCTTATTTTTTGAATTTTCTTTTCTTACAGTATTTTGCTATTTCCTGAATATACTGCCTTATATCTCAGGGTTTTAAAAAATTAGCTTACTGTTACATTAGTGGCTTTTTAGGAGAAAGTAGAGACATGTACTTACTCACTCTACTGCGTTTAAGGGAAGTTTTTTTGTTGGAAAAAAATAACTTTTTTTTTTTTTTTTTTTGAGACGGAGTTTCGCTCTTATTGTCCAGGCTAGAGTGCAATGGTGCGATCTCGGCTTGCTGCAACCCCCACCTCCCAGGTTCAAGCGATTTTCCTGCCCCGGCCTCCTGAGTAGCTGGGATTACAGGCTCCTGCCACTATACCTGGCTAATTTTTTTTTTTTTTTTGTATTTTTAGTTGAGACAGGATTTCACCATGTTGGCCAGGCTGGTCTCGAACTCCTGACTTCAGGTGATCTGCCCACTTCGGCCTCCCAAAGTGCTGGGATTACAGGTGTGAGCCACCACGTCTGACCAACTTTTATATTTTTAGTAGAGATGAGGTTTCACCATTTTGGCCAGGTTGGTCTTGAACTCCAGACCTCAGGTGTTCCATCCACTTCAGCTTCCCAAATTGATGGGATTACAGGCGTGAGCCACTGCCCCTGGCCAAAAATAACTTTTGTGTAATAGTACAATTAATTGCCACTAGGAAATAATTTGCTACTAGATCATACTACTTGATTTCTAATATCAGATCACTTCTTAACTGGGAAGCCATACAGATATTTTGGGGGTATCCCAAATCCAGACTTACTGAAATATCCAATTCAGCAAACGTCTGTTTTGGTAAGATGATGAAATGAATAGAGATAGTACAATTTGAAGTAAAGTATTCATGTAGAAAATGAAACATGTAGTTTTGTGAAGTGCTTTTCCTGTAGATTATATAAAGTAATGGAATCTTTTTGGTGTAATTTTATAGGATTTTTCGGGATTGTCACCCTACGAAAGGAAGAGACTGAAGAACATATCAGAAAACGCAGACTTTTTTGCTTCTCTTCAGTTGTCTGAGGTTTGTGTGGAGTCTATTTAAAAGCAAGATGCAGGGCCGGGAACAGTGGGTAGCGCCTGTAATCCTGTCACTTGGGGAGGCTGACATGGGAGAATCGCTTGAGGCCAGGAGTTCGAGATCAGCCTGGGTAACATACGGAGACCCGCCCCCCGCCCCCCGCCCCCCACCCCAATCTCTATAAAAAGTAAATTAGTTGAGCATAGTGATGCATGTCTGGAGTCCTAGCTACTGGGGTGGCTGAGGTGGAAGGATGGCTTGAGTTTGGAAAGTCAAGGCTGCCGTGAGCTATGATCATGCCACTGCATTCCAGCTTGGGCAACAGAGCCAGACCCTGTCTCAAAACAGCAACAACAAGAGCCGTAAAACCCAAGATGTCATAACTCCCACCAGGTCAATAACATATCAGGTTTCATAGTGTCATATGAGGGAGGGTAAAATTGGAGCAGGTTTTGTGCTTAATAGGAAGAGGTTACTGTACTCTGTTGATTCTAAGGCATTATTTTTTTTGTCTTTTTTTTTTTTTTTGAGACGGAGTTTTGCTCTTGTTGCCCAGGCTGGAGTGCAATGGCACGATCTTGGCTCACTGCAACCTCTGCCTCCCGGGTTCAAGTGATTCTCCTACCTTAGCTTCCCAAGTAGCTGGGATTACAGGCGCCCGCCACCACGCCTGTAATTTTTGTATTTTTAGTAGGAATGGGGTTTCACCATGTTGGTAAGGCTGGTCTCGAACTGCTGACCTCGGGTGATCTACTTGCCTTGACCTCCCAAAGTGCTGGGATTACAGTTGTGATCCACCATGCCTGGCCTGTCTTTTTTTTTTTTGAGACAGGGTCTCGCTGCGTTGCCCAGGCTGGAGTACAGTGGCGCTGATCATGACTCATGGCCTATCTTAAGGATCTTTAGTTCCTGAATAGACCTTAGTTTAGTGTGGGTATAGTAGCAGATGCTTAATATTTTAAAAGGTAAGATACGTAGTTATAACATTTTTACATGATTTTTATACTTTACAGTCTGCTGCAAGACTCCGTGAAATGATAGAGAAGAGACAGCCTCCTAAATCCAAAAGGTAAAATATCTAGTTTGCAATGCCTGAACCATGATACATTGCTCAACTGTTTTATAATTTGAAAAAAATGGTTTGGTGTGGTAAGCTTAACAGATCATAAAGTGCTATTTAATCTCAGTCCCTCTAGGATCTCTGAGGGAATGCTACCCTTTAATAACTTTACAATTCTCATCTTCATCAAAGGAATATGGAGCAAATAAAATGGAGAGCTGAATTTTGTTTATATTTATTGTTGCTACTAATGAAGGGAAATCTTTATTTCCACTAAATTACTGTCACTTAGAAAACTATTAAAGATTCTTCTACTTACTTTTAATTTTTCTGGCTATCTTTTTGCGTCTCAATTTGTTTTTGCTTTCTTAGTCCTAGAATAAAGGAAAGGAATTAACATTTATTGAATATCTCTGAAACATACTGCAGTGATCTAGCAATTTTGTCCTATATTATCTCATTTAACTCTGACAACCACTGCATGTGGTAGGTAATATATTCATTTTGTGAGTTAGAAATCAGGCTCAAAAGATAAAATTGTTGGCTGGGTGCAGTGGCTCATGCCTATAATCCCAGCACTTTGGGAGGTTGAGTCAGGGGGTCACCTGAGGTCGAGAGTTCAAGACTGGCCTGACCAACATGGAGAAACCCCATCGCTACTAAAAAAAAAAAAAAAATTAAAAATTAGCCGGGTGTGGTGGCACATGTCTGAATCCCAGCTACTCAAGAGGCTAAAGCAGGAGAATCGCTTGAACCCGGGAGGCAGAGGTCATGGTGAGCCAAGATTGCACCATTGCACTCCAGCCTGGGCAATAAGAGTGAGACTCCATCTCACAAAAAAAAAAAAAACAAAAAAAAACAACTATTTGCTGAAAGTCAAAACAGCTTATAAGTGGTAGCTTTAGGATTTGAACTCAAGGGTGTTTAAATTTTGAATTATCTCCATTGCATTTTAGCAGTGCTTACATATAAATGAAGAAACTAAAATCTTGGTATCATTAGCTCATTTGTTTAGTGCCAGTTCCTAATGAAATGTAGCTTCATTTACTTGGTTTGATTCTGTTACAGGACAATTAGCTTGAGAAAAGCTGGACCTTTAATCATGGCCAGGTATTTTCAAGTGTGAAAAGTTACTATAAGAGGAACATCATTAACACTGGAAAAACAGTAGCACTGGTCCTGTTGCCCGCTGATTAGTAGCTTTACATTTGCATTTTTTTATTAGCCAAGATTGGTGATTTCTTCCTAAATCACAAAATTCTAGCCCTTAATAGTTGTATAGGCAGTAGCAAGTTGATAGTATGGAAGTTGTGTAATGTAGCGCAGAAGTGTAGCCTTTGAGATTTAGCAAATTTGGGTTCAAGTTTTGATTCAGTCACTTACAGCTATGACAGTAACCTTGGATACTTTATATAATTTTTCTTTCTGTAAAGCTGGCATTATGCTAATCTAGAAGGATTTAAATTTTTTGAAAATTATTAAATATACATATAAAAAGGTACATATAATGTATTTGTGTAGTTGAAAAATTATACAGGTCCCATCCATGTACCTGCCATCCAGGTTAATAGAAATTACGAATACCCCTGAAGGCCCATATATACCCCTCCCTCCCGATACAACCACTATGCTGAATTTTGTGGTAATATTTCCTTGCATTTATTTATTGCTTTTTTTTTTTTTTTTGAGATGGAGTCTCGCTCTGTTGCCCAGTCTGGAGTGCAGTGGCGCGATCTCGGCTCACTGCAACCTCCACCTCCCAGGTTCATGCCATTCTCCTGCCTCAGCCTCCCGAGTAACTGGGACTATAGGCGCCCGCCACCACGCCCGGCTAATTTTTTGGATTTTTAGTAGACGGGGTTTCACCGTGTTAGCCAGGATGGTCTCAATCTCCTGACCTCGTGATCCGCCTGCCTCGGCCTCCCAAAGTGCTGGGATTACAGGCGTGAGCCACTGTGCCCAGCCTATAGTTTCATTTTTATTTATTTATTTTTTTGAGACAGAGTCTTGCTCTGTTGCCCAGGCTGGAGTACAGTGGTGTAATCTTGGCTCACTGCAGCCTCTGCCTCCCAGGTTCAAGCAATTCTCATGCCTCAGCCTTCTGAGTAGCTGGGATTACAGGTGCTCATGACCATGCTCTGCTAAATTTTGTATTTTTAGTAGATACGGGGTTTCGCCATGTTGGCAAGGCTGGTCTGGAACTCTGGACCTCAAGTGATCCACCCACCTCAGCCTCCCAAAGTGCTGGGATTACAGGTGTGAGCCACTGTGCCTGGCTATTGATTTATAGTTTTACTACCAGTGAGTGTATCCTTAAACACTATATTGTTTAGCTTTGTCTTTTTTTGGTGTTCACATACAATATGCCTTTTTTATATTCTGAGATTTTCTTATTTTGCTCATCTTTACATATTTATGCTTTTAAATTTACCCATGTTGATGCGCACAGCTTTATTTCGTTCTTTTTTTCTGCTATATGATATTCCACTGTATGAATGTACTACATTTTATTCTACTGTTGATGAACAATTGAGTTGTTATTTTTATTATGAAAAGTGCTGCTCCAAACATTCTTAAGTCTCTTAGTGCTTATGTATGGGAGTTTCTCTAGGAGTAGATTTCTAGGATTGTATGACAGCCCATATTATTCCATATACTCAGGTGTCTTTTTTGAGGATTAAATATGAGATGGAATGTTGACTACAGTTTTTAGTATATAGTATACTTTCAATCAGTAGGTTTTACTAATTCTCGAAGTAATGTGGACTATAACTGATAATTTTTTATGTGAATTTTTGGAAATAATTTCAGAGGCTTCTCTTTCCCCAACATTTTAAAATGAATTACTTTTTTAAAAATGAAAAAATAGTGCATAAAAAAATAGAGAATGTATATTATTTAAAAAGTAAACTACAGTGTATGGAAGGGAATGCAGTGAAACGTTTTAAGTTTCCTTCCTATTTTAGACCTTAGTTTTCCAGGCCTTTTCCCTAGAAGTAGTAGTTTTATGTGTATTCCTCCAAAGGTAACCTCAGCATGTACAAATGTATGTGTATATGTAACCTTTTTGTATACATGTACTGGACTTTGTTTTTGCTTTTTATAACCAAGGGTTCCTTTCAGCAGTGCATAAAGATCTATATCATTCTTTTTATGGCTGCGTATTATTCTATTAGATATGTATACCATAATTTAACAGACCTCACCTCTTTTTGATGAACATTTAGGTTTGTTTTTTCCATACTTCTTATTAAGATAATTGTGGCCATGTATATATATATCTATGCAGTTTATAAATATATCTGTGGTATATATTCCTAGAAGTTATCTCTTTAGTATTAGTAAATACATTTTATTGTTTTGTGAGTATAACATGAGTTTTTCCCCACTCCTTTAGAAAGAAGCCTAAGAGAGAAAATGGGATTGGATGTAGAAGGTCAATGCGATTACTAAAAGTTGATCCTTCGGGAGTTTCATTACCAGCAGCTCCAACACCGCCGACATTAGTAGCAGATGAAACTGTAAGGAAATGTGCAAATATAATATTTTAATGTAATAAAATACTGAAAAATTTGAAGTGTTGAAACTAGACTAAAAGTTCATTAAATTATGTTTAATTTTATATTTCATTAATACTTGAATGTTGTATGGTTTTGTTTTGTTTTTTTGAGATGGAGTCTCACTCTGTCGCCCAGACTGGAGTGCAGTGGCATGATCTTGCCTCACTGCAACCCCCTCCTCCCGTGTTCAAGCGATTCTCCTGCCTCAGCCTCCCGAATAGCTGGGATTACAGGCACATGCCACCATACCTGGCTGATTTTTTTTATTTTTGGTAGAGACGGGGTTTCACCATGCTGGCCAGGCTGGTCTTGAACTCCTGACCTGAAGTGGTCTGCCTGCCTCGGCCTCCCAAAGTGCTGGGATTACAGGTGTGAGCCACTGTGCCCGGCCCATTTGTACGCTTTAATGAGTAAGATTTCGAAGTCGTAAAGACTGTATTGGATTCTGTATTTCTGCAGGACTTACCTGCTTAGGATTGTGGGTGAGTTAATTAACCTTTCTGATTGTTTCTCCATTAAAAAAAAGTCAGCAATAATAGAACCCTCAGTAAATATGTACAATTTTATGTCAGTTTAAAAAAAAAACCTCAAAGAGCTACTGTAAAGATAAATGAAATCATATCTATAAAGTTTCTCACATATTAGGGGCTTAGTAATCAATAGAATATAGTTATTAATGTTAATAAATACGTGATAATGTGTAGTTTTAGTGAGTAGAGTTTTATTTAGCAAACATTTTCTAAATATTTTTTATTCAAGAACACCTATTTTTAATACTTTATATGTAAGTGTTTAATTGTAAATAGGAAGATAGCACTAATTAGGCTGGTGTTTTGGGAGCAAATTGCAAATCTAGGTGTTATGGGAAGCAGCATAGAAGAGTAGCTTCAAATTTTTTTGAAGCCTCAGCCCACAAGAAATATATTTGTGGCCAGGTGTAGTGGTTCATGCCTGTAATCCCAGCACTTTGGGAGGCTGAGGCAGGAGGATCGCTTGAACCCAGAAGTTTGAGACCAGCCTAGGCAACATCAAGAGACCCTGTTCTTACAAAAAAAATACAAAAATCAGCTGGGTGTGGTGGCATGTGCCTGTAGTCCCAGCTCCTCAGGAGGCTGAGGTGGGAGCATCACTTGAGACGTTAATTTAAAAATATATATATATATTTATTTACATTGTAACTATCACACATATATGCAACTGAAACCACAGTTTGTCAAACGACACTTAATACATGTGGTGCACTTTGGTATTTCTTTTTTTTTTTTCTTTCTGAGACAGAGTCTCCCTCTGTCACCCAGGCTGGAGTGCAGTGGCACAATCTCAGTTCACTGCAACCTCCGCCTCCCGGGTTCAAGTGATTCTCATGCCTGAGCCTCCAGAGTAGCTGGGACTGTAGGTGTGTGCTACCACGCCTGGCTAAGTTTTGTTTTTTTGTTTTTTTTTTTTTTTTTTTGAGACGGAGTCTCAATCTGTTGCCCAGGCTGGAGTGCGGTGCTGTGATTTTGGCTCACTGTAAGCTCTGCATCCCAGGTTCATGCCATTCTCCTGGCTCAGCCTCCGCTGGGACTATAGGCACCTGCCACCACGCCCGGCTAATTTTTTTGTATTTTTAGTAGAGATGGGGTTTCACTGCGTTAGCCAGGATGGTCTCAATCTGACCTCATGATCTGCCCGCCTCGGCCTCCCAAAATGCTAGGATTACAGGTATGAGCCACCGCACCCGGCCCACGCATGGCTAATTTTTGTATTTTTAGTAGAAATGGGGTTTCGCCATGTTGGCCAGGCTGGTCTGGAACTTCTGGCCTCAAGCTATTTGCCTGCCTCAGCCTCCCAAAGTGCAGGGATCACAGGTGTGAGCCATGTACCTGGCCTGGTATTTCTATTCTATTCTCATTCACTACAACAAATTGCTAGTTGTGACATACTAACATGATTTCTCACCCACTAATTGGTTACAAACTGTTTAAAAAAATACTGATGTAGGTATAATACTGAGTAATGAGTTAAGATAATCTGAGTCAATTCTCAGCTTCTCCAGTTATTGGCTGTGTGACTTTGGGCAAGTTAACTCCTCTTAAGTTTCTGGGGTTTTTTTGTTTTTGTTTTTTGTTTTTTTTTGAGATGGAGTCTTGCCCTGTCACCCAGGCTGGAGTGCAATAGTGCAGTCTTGGCTCACTGCAACCTCCAACACCTGGGTTCACACGATTCTCCTGCCTCAGCCTCCTGAGCTGCTGGGATTACAGGTGCCTGCCACCACGCCCAGCAAATTTTTGTATTTTTAGTAGAGATGGGATTTCACCATATTGGCCAGGCTGGTCTCGAACTCCTGACCTTGTGATCCGCCTGCCTCGGCCTGCCAAAGTGCTGGGATTACAGTCTCTAAGTTTCAATCCACTGTCTTTAAAATGTGATACCTCATTTGCTAGGTTGTTGAGAGGATTAAATGAGATAATACATGTTATTATTACTTTATAGGGTACCTGGCATTCATTTATTGAACAATTATTTTGAATGTCCATGATATGCCACCATTACTGTTGATGTTGAAAGTGAAGTTGTGGGGAAAACAGACAAATACCCTTGCCCTCCTTGTGTTTATATTCTAGGGCAGGGAGCCCAACAAATAACTTTTTATTTTTTATAACAGCCTTTGTTACCTCCTGGGCCTTTAGAAATGACTTCTGAAAATCAAGAAGACAACAATGAACGATTTAAAGGATTTCTGCACACATGGGCAGGAATGAGCAAGGTATCACTTGGGAAGGCCAATAGCCTTTAGAATCATCTGTTAAGGAAATATATATATATGTAAAAATATATACATACTAACTTAGTTCTTTCATCTCTCCCAATGTTTCAGCCAAGTAGTAAGAACACTGAGAAGGGATTATCTAGCATTAAAAGGTAAGTTGAAATTCCTTGTGTTTCTTTTATATTTTTTGAGATGTTTGAGTTATAAAGACTATACGCCATTTTAGGGAATTTTGAAAGTGAGATGAAATGTTTCCACCCTAACAACTGTTGTTTTTGTGTATTTCCTCACAAGTGTTGCCATATACAATACCACTAGGATATAAGCTTCATATACAATACCACTAGGATATAAGCAAGAATTCTATTTCAATAACCAGAACAGTGCCTGGCACATAATATATGTTCAGTGTTGAATAAATGAGTGAATCCACATACATTTTTACTATATGTTGTAATGTATATACAATTTTGCATTACACTTTTTTCTTTTTCTTTTTTTTTTTTTTTTTTTTTGTTTTTTGAGACAAGGTCTCCCTCTATCGCTTAGGCTGCAGTGCAGTGGCACTATCTTGGCTCATTGCAACCTTCGCTTCCTGGGCTCAAATGATCCTCCCACCTCAGCCTCCCAAGTAGCTTGGACTACAGGCGTGCACCATCACATCTCACTAATTTTTGTATTTGTAGAGATGAGATTTTGCTGTGTTGCCCAGGTTGGTCTTGAATACCTGGGCTCAAGTGAGCTGTCTGCCTTGGACTCCCAAAGTGCTGGGATTACAGGTGTGAGCCAGTGTGCCTGGCCTGCGTTATGTTTTTTTTCATTTGCGGTTGCATGTTACTAGAGTCTTTAAAATTATTGAATAATTATAAAATATTCCATTGAGTAGAAGGAGTTCACTTCTCCTCCTACCTGCTTGGTATTTGCGGTTGTTTTCCATTTAGCTTTGTGTGTTTGTGTATGTGTTTGTTGAAGTATATGGATATGATAGTGGATTATTTCTTTAGGTTAGATTTCCAGAAGTGAGATTAATGCATCAAATATTGTGAACATTTTTATGGCTTTTAGTACACATTGCCGAATTGTTGCTCAAAGGTCTTTTTTTTTCTTCTGAACATTTTATATGAACTTACTCTTCCACTAGCAATATGTGTGAGTATGTGTATTTAACTGCAGCCTACCAGCTTTTGGTGTTATTAAAATTATCAAGGGTAATTTAAAAAGTGAAAGAATATTGCTTAATTTGATTTCCTTGGTTACCAGGAGATTGAATAGTTCCCATATTTATTTGCTAATTGTGATTTTTCTTTTTGAATAATCTTTTACTTATTTTGACTATTGAGATTGGTTTTACTTACAAAATTTAACTTTGTAATTTTCTTAGCTACAAAGCCAATTTAAATGGCATGGTCATTAGTGAAGATACCGTTTACAAAGTTACCACAGGCCCAATATTCTCTATGGCTCTCCATCCATCAGAAACTAGAACTTTGGTAGCAGTTGGGGCCAAATTTGGGCAAGTTGGACTTTGTGATTTGGTAAGTTATTAAATTTCTTGAATATATTATAGTTTGACTAAAGCAAATAGGCTGGAAGAGAATAGGCTAGAGCCATGTGTTTATAAATGTTGCGTGAGACTTACAATTTTGGGCTTTATGATGCTTTATGATTCCAAATTTTAGAAATCTGGAAGAATTTAAATTTGCTTTATAGAACTTTAATATTTTTAGCTTGAATATCATTAACCATCTGGTCATAAATTAACTGCCAGAAAACTTTGTTACACTTTGTGTGATCTTTTCACATATACATTTAAAGTGGCCGGGTGCGGTGGGTCACGCCTGTAATGCCAGCACTTTGAGAGGCTGAGGCGGTCGGATCACCTGAGGTCAGGAGTTCGAGACCAGCCTGGCCAACATGGTGAAACCCCGTCTGTAGTAAAAAAATACAAAAATTAGCTGGGCGTGGTGGTAGGTGCCTGTAATCCCAGCTACTCAGGAGGCTGAGGCAGGAGAATTGCTTGAACCCAGGAGACGGAGGTTGGAGTGAGTCGACACTGTGCCATCCAGCCTGGGTGATAGAGTAAGACTCCGTCTCAAAAAAAAAAAAAGGGCTGGGAGCGGTGGCTCACGCCTGTAATCCCAGCACTTTGGGAGGCCGAGGCGGGTGGATCACGAAGTCAGGAGATCGAGACCGTCCTGGCTAACACAGTGAAACCGCGTCTCTACTAAAAAACCCCATCGCTACTAAAAATGGAACAAATTAGCTAGGCGTGGTGGCAGGTGCCTGTAGTCCCAGCTACTCGGGAGGCTGAAGCAGGAGAATGGCGTGAACCTGGGAGGGGGAGCTTGCAGTGAGCCGAGATCGCACCACTGCACTCCAGCCTGGGCGACAGAGCGAGACTCTGTGTAAAAAAAAAAAAAAAAAAAAAAAAAAAGATCAAAGTTTAGTTTTCTTTTTTTGGAGAGGGAGTCTTGCTCTGTCGCCCAGGCTGGAGTGCAGTGGTGTGATCTCGGCTCACTGCAAGCTCCGCCTCTCAGGTTCACGCCATTCTCTTGCCTCAACCTCCCGAGTAGCTGGGACTACAGGCGCCTGCCACCATGCCTGGCTAATTTTTTCTATTTTTAGTAGAGGTGGGGTTTCCCCATGGTCTTGATCTCCTGACCTCGTGATCTGCCTGCCTTGGCCTCCCAAAGTGCTGGGATTACAGGCATGAGCCACGGCGCCCAGCCCGAAGTTTAGTTTTCTAGTTGTGTTTAAAATATGGTCTGCTATGGTCTGAATGTTTTTGTCTTCCCCAAAATTCATATGTTGAAATACTAATCCCTATGGTATTAGGAGGTAGGACCTTTGGGAGGTGATTAGGTCATGAATAAGATTAGTGCCCTTATAAAAGAAACCCAGGAGAGACCACTGTCCCTTCTACCATATGAGGACACAGCTAGAAGGCACCAACTATGAACCAGAAAGTAGGCCCTTACCAGACACTGAATGAACTGGAAGCTTGATCTTGGTCTTCCTAGTCACCAGGACTGTGAGAAATAAAATGCTGCTGTTGATAAGCCACTCAGTTTATGGTATGTTGTTTTAGCATCCCAAATGGACTAAGAAACAGTTTCTAAGCTGTATCAAAATATCTTCCCAGGGACCTGCTTTGGAATGATTTTAGTTATCTTTGATGAGTCAGAAATAGATACTGAATTCCATTCATTGTGCATATAATTCTGCATGAAATACTGTCTGTTATTACAAAATTGAGAAAAGTCAAGTTAATGTTCTCTGAATTTATTTTCTTATTGGGGAAGAAGACCAAAGACATGAAAAATGCCATAAGGACAATTAATGAAGGTGAAGAAATAGTGGTGACTTGAAGTTGGTTGGGGTTTATAAACAAAATTTGCAAGTTTGAAGACAGAAACCAAGTTCTTATTTTGGGATCATAGATTCTCCCTTATTTTGATAAGATGTGAGTGGGGATAGGAGGTGATAGGATTTAGCAAAGAAAACTGAAGCAAAAAAGTGGGAAGAAGATCAGAATAGTATGTTTTGGAAGCCAAGAGATGAGTTTCAAGGATGGGAGGTTGACAGAGCCTTTTGCAGAGAAGTTAAAAGAATGGAGAAAAGGCCATTGATTTTGAAAATAGGGTACCATGTAGTGAGTTGAGAGAATAGCTTTGACAATGAGGTAAGTAAGGAACAAAGGCTTTAGGAGATTAAGGAAGTATGGGGGTAATGAAAGAACTGGAGAAGCATTGGATAGAGACTTTTTTTTTTTTTTCCCGCCCCTGAGATACGGTCCCACTCTGTTGCCCAGGCTGGAGTGCAGTGGCATGATCATAGCTCACTGCAGCCTCAACTTCCCACGGTCAAGCAATTCTCCACCTCAGCTTCCTGCGTAGCTGGGACTACGGTCATGTGCCACCACACCTGGCTAATTTTTTAACTTTTTGTAGAGATGGGTCTCACTATGTTGCCTAGGCTCATCTCAAACTCCTGAGCTCAAGCACTCCACCTGCTTCAGCCTCCCAAAGTGCTGGGATTACAGGTGTGAGCCACCACACCCATCTGAGACTACTTTTTGAAGAATTTTGCAAAGGAAAAATTGAAAATTAGCATGATTAAATGAAGGTTTTTTTTTGGATGAGTTGATCTGTATAGATTTAAGACATACATAAAAATCCTTTTTTCATATCTTTCATGATGACTCCAAAAATCTGTATTACAGCCGGACGCGGTGGCTCACACCTGTGATCCCAGCACTTTGGGATGCCAAGGTTTGGCGGATCACCTGAGGTCTGGAGTTCAAGACCAGCCTGAACAACATGATGAAATCCCATCTCTACTAAAGATACAAAATTAGCCGGGCATGGTGGCACATG
The DNA here is from genome assembly GCF_000001405.40 of Homo sapiens. Taxonomy (NCBI): domain Eukaryota; kingdom Metazoa; phylum Chordata; class Mammalia; order Primates; family Hominidae; genus Homo; species Homo sapiens. The sequence continues at coordinate 43,846,896 of NC_000015.10, forward strand.
CCTGTAATCCCAGCTACTTGGGAGGCTGAGGCAGGAGATTTGCTTGAACACAGGAGACGGAGGTTGCAGTGAGCCGAGATGGCGCCATTGCACTCCAGCCTGGGAAACAAGAGCAAAACACCACCTCAAAAAAAAAAAAAAAAAAAAAAAATCTGTATTACTAGGTCTCTGTAGTCCAGTATCTCCATCAACCTAATTTTCCAGGACATTTGGCAATCTCATTAACAGATTTAACAAGTCTAAAAGCAATATTACCTTGTCTATCCTGTGCTCACAATTTCCCCAGTTTTTTTAAAAAATGGCTTCATTGAGGTAATAATTTACCTATCATAAAATCCTATTTAAAAAATGTAAAATTCAATGCTTTTTTTTCTTTTTTTTTGAGATGGGAATCTTGCTCTGTCACCCAGGCTGGAGTGCTGTGGTGTGATCCTGGCTCACTGCAATCTCTGCCTCCTGGGTTCAGGTGATTCTCGTGCCTCAGCCTCCTGAGTAGCTGGGATTATAGGCGCTCGCTGCCACACCTGGCTAATTTTTTTTTTTTTGAGACGAGTCTTGCTCTGTTGCCCAGGCTGGCATGCAGTGGCGTGATCTCTGCTCACTGCAGCCTCCGCCTCCTGGGTTCAAGCAGTTCTCTGCCTCAGCCTCCCAAGTGGCTGGGATTACAGGCGTCCGCTACCACACCTGGCTAATTTTTTTGTTTTTTTAGTAGAGATGGGGTTTCACCATCTTGGCCAGGCTGGTCTTGAACTCCTGACCTTGTAATCCACCCGCCTCGGCCTCCCAAAGTGCTGGGTTTACACGAATGAGTCACCGTGCCCAGCCTAATTTTTGTATTTTTTGTAGAGATGAGGCTTCTCCATGTTGGCCAGGCTGATCTGGAACTCCTGACCTCAAGTGATTTTCACCTGCTTCGGCCTCCCAGAGCTGCGATTACAGGCGTGAGCCACTGCACCTGGCCTCAGTGGTTTTTAATAAGTTTACTTAGTTGTTTAATTATCATAGTCTGGTTTTAGAACATTTTCATCATCCCTATAAGATCCCTCATGCTGGCTGGGTGCAGTGGCTCATGCTTGTAATTCCAGGGCTTTGGGAAGTCAAGGCAGGAGGATGGCTTAAGCCCACTAATTTGAGACCTGCCTAGGTGACATAGTGAGATGCCTGTCTCTTAAAAAAAACAAACAAACAAAAAAAAAACTGGATGTAGTGGTGTGTGCCATTAGTCCCAGCTACTCAGGAAGTTGAGCTGGGAATATCACCTGAGCTCAAGGCGGTTGAGGCTGCAGTGAGCCATGATTGTGTCACTGTACTCCAGGCTGGATTGACAGAGTGAGACCCTATCTCAAAAAAAGAAAAAAAATTCACTTACTGCAATAAGAAAGAAGCAGAACCTAATGTAGTATACTTCAAAAACTAGCTACCAAGGAGAGAAACAAATCTGTAGCAGAGCTAGGAGACAGCATAATTTAGCTTCTGCCCTGCCCCGTGTGCAGAATCTATACTGGTAAATTGACCAAATCCTGAGAATTTTCTATATTATCAAAAGTAGAGAGAAGCACATTGGGTATTCCGATTTTTCCTCTTTTCAATGAGGAATGGGGAAATAGTTGCTGGGGTGAAATCAGGAAAAATAGAAGAAGTAGGGACAGTGAGTAGTAGAACTGATTGTCTTCAAAGGAAGTTTTCTTGGCCCACGGGAGTGGTAACACCCTCCACCGCCATACAAGTAGGTGGTATGAATCCTGGTATAAAATAATGAACAAGGCCGGGCGCAGTGGCTCATGCCTGTAATCCCAACACTTTGGGAGGCTGAGGCAGGTGAATCACCTGAGGTCGAGTTCAAGATCAGCCTGACTAACATGGTGAAACCCTGTCTCTACTAAAAATACAAAATTAGCTGGGTATGGTGATGTGCACCTGTAATCCCAGCCACTTGGGAAACTAAGGCAGGAGAATTGCTTGAACCCGGGAGGCAGAGGTTGCAGTGAGCCGGCATTGCACCACTGCACTCCAGCCTGGGCGACAGAGTTGAGACTTTTTTTTTTTTTTTTTTGAGGCCAAAAAAACTGCATTTCAGATTACCTGCTGTCTCAACATGGTGAAACCCCGTCTCCACTAAAAATACAAAAATTAGCCAAGCATGGTGGTGGGTGCCTGTAATCCCAGCGACTCAGGAGGCTGAGACAGGAGAATCGCTTGAACCTGGGAGGTGGAGGTTGCAGTGAGCTGAGATCGTGCCACTGCACTCAAGCCTGGGTGACAGAGTGAGACTTCATCTCAAAAAAAAAAAAAAAAAGACTGTTGGAGGAAGGGTGAGAATAATATTCTCAAATCAATATAAATTATCTAAAATTAACAGTTTAAAAAATAAAAAGCATAATGACTACAATTGCTTTTTGTTTTATACTTTTGCCATTGTAGAAGATAATGTCTCTGTAAATACTTGAAATTCAAAAATTCCTTTAGCTTCATTTTCTTATATTATTTTGACAGATTTATGTGTACCTATACAGATAGAATGATAGCGAAGAAATTTTAAAAAAGGACCATGCTGTATATGCCGTTTTAAATCACATTAAATTTAACTATAAAGATGTCTATAATCTCAGTGTTTCAATGATAATTTTGGTTAATTTTAGATTTGGAATGATTTTTTTTTTTGAGACGGAGTCTCGCTTTGTCGCCCAGGCTGGAGTTCAGTGGTGCAATCTTGGCTCACTGCAACCTCTGCCTCCCCGGTTCAAGCAATTCTCTGCCTCAGCCTCCTGAGTAGCTGGAATTACAGGTGTCTGCCACCACGCCCGGCTAATTTTTGTATTTTTAGTAGAGACGGGGTTTCACCATCTTGGCCAGGCTGGTCTTGAATTCCTGACCTCGTGATCCACCCACCTCAGCCTCCCAAAGTGCTGGGATTACAGGTGAGCCACCGCGCCTGGCCTGGAGTGATTTTTTTAAAACTTCCATCTTTGTACATTTCTGCATTGTTTGAGTTCTTTATACCAAGAGAAAATTTTATTTTTCTAGAAAACAAATGCTATAAACAAATATGTCAGTAGTTTCTAACTCTGGTAACAGGAAGAGTATGTGTGATTATAATAATTTTTTCTCTTATTTTTTCTTTTAAAGAATACTTCTCTCCATTTTAAAATTTAAAATAAAAAAGAAAACAAAAATGCTTGACCATTTCAGAGTAGAGTAAGCCAGATTTAGAGGTGATTCTTTGGTTCATAATATGCCATATGGCATAGAAACATAACTTGTTCTGAAAAGCGACTTCTCAGGAGCTGGCAATCCAGTTGTGGAAAGGATAGTCCTTAGGAGTAGGTATATTAATATGGAAATTCAAATACATGCATTTTTATGGTGTTATTTTTTTATTTTATTTTATTTTATTTTATTTTATTTTATTTTATTTTTTGAGACGGAGTCTTGCTCTGTCACCCAGGCTGGAGTGCAGTGGTGAGATGTCGGCTCACTGCAAGCTCCACCTCCCGGATTCATGCCATTCTCCTGCCTCAGCCTCCCGAGTAGATGGGACTACAGGTGCCGGCCACCACGCCCGGCTAGTTTTTTGTATTTTTAGTAGAGATGGGGTTTCACCATGTTAGCCAGGATGGTCTCGATCTCCTGACCTCGTGATCCGCCCGCCTTGGCCTCCCAAAGTGCTAGGATTACAGGCGTGAGCCACCGCGCCCGGCCATTTTTATGGTGCATTTAGAGGACAAAGTATGTTTAAAACCATTATCTTTGTCCCAGGACCAAATACCTTACGAAAATTACACTGAGAATGAGTAAGTTAATATTATACAGAAGAAGCCTGCTGCAGAAGCAAAGTGGTAAGGTACTGATACTGTTTTAGTTAGCAATTATACCATGTGTGAAATAGAGTAGATTTATCATTTCCTGAGGATTTTATAAACTGACAGTAATATATAAACTATTTTGTTAGTTACAGAAAGCTGGTCACTGTTAATGTGACTTGGTATTGTTGGATTGAAAACTAGAAAAAAGTTAATGACAAGATAAAGTTTCTCATTCTGACTTTGTGAAGGGGAGAGTGGTTACAATTATAGACTAAGAAAAGACTGAATATAATCCAGTGTAAATTCTTTAATGACATAATAGCATAGCAAAAATCACTATTTTTCACTAGTTTTTTTCTCTCTCCCCTTTCCCGCAACTCTCTTCCAGACCCAGCAACCTAAAGAAGATGGAGTTTATGTTTTTCATCCCCATAGTCAGCCAGTTAGCTGTCTTTACTTCTCACCCGCCAATCCGGCCCACATACTGTCACTGAGCTATGATGGCACGTTACGCTGTGGGGATTTTTCCAGGGCTATTTTTGAAGAGGTAAATGTTAATGTGTTTACATGCTGACTTCAGATGATATTCTAGATTCTTCGAAATGCCACATGAATAATTATTATACCAATTGGGAGAAGTGGTATAGCAGAAGGACTTTGAGAACTACGCTGCCTAAGTTCAAATCCCAGATCATCTGTTACTAGTTGTATGACCTTGACAAGTTGCTTAACCTTGTTGTGCCTCACTTTCCTTAGCTGTGAAATGGGATTTAACAGGACTGACCTTACAGGGTTGTCATGAGAATTTAATGAGCTTATGCAGATAAAGTACTTAGAAGAGAGCCTGGCACATAGTATGTGTTTGCGCTTGTTAAATTTCTTTTTTTTTTCTCTCCCAAAGCTTTTAACTAAAATAACTTACTCTTCTGTTTTTAGGCATAAGACTTGTATTTAGCTGGGTGTGGTGGCTCATGCTTGTAATCTCAGCACTTTGGGAAGCCAAGGTGGGAGACTCACTTCAGGCCAGGAGTTCCAGACCAGCCTGGGCAACATGGCGAGACCTTGTCTCTACAGAAAATAAAAAATATTAGCTGAGCTTGGTGGTGTGTGCCTGTAGTCTCAGCTACTCAGGAGGCTGAGGTGGGAGAATCACTTGAGCCCAGGAGTTCAAGATCAGCCTGGGCAACATAGTAAGACCTTGTCTCTAAAAAAAATTAGCTTGGTGTGGTGGCATGTGCCTGTAGTCACAGCTACTCAGGAGGCTGAGGTGTGAGGATTGCTTGAGCCCAGGAGATTGAGGCTGTAGTAAAGCCGTGATCACATACATCATTGCACTTCAGCCTGGGTGACAGAGTGAGACCCTCTCTCAAAATAAGACATCTTCTACTTAATGTTTAAAACAAACATATCATTTGAAATGAACTTTCAGATTTGCTTAACTGTATCAGATTGCCTCAATAAGATAAGTCTTATAAGTTGAACTTTTTTATTTTATTTTTTTTGAGACGGAGTTTTACTCTCGTCACCTAGGCTGGAGTGCAGTGGCGAGATCTCGGCTCACTGCAACTTCTGCCTCCCAGGTTCAAGCAATTCTTCTGCCTCAGCCTCCTGAGTAGCAGGGATTACAGGCACCCATCATCACGCCCGGGTAATTTGTTGTTGTTGTTGTTGTCGTCGTTGTTGTTGTTGTAGAGATGGAGTCTCACTCTGTCGCCCAGGCTGGAGTGCAGTGGTGCGATCTTGGCTCACTGCAAGCTCCGCCTCCCAGGTTCAAGTGATTCTCCTGTCTCAGCCTCCTGAGTAGCTGGGACTACAGGCGCATGCCACCATGCCAAGCTAATTTTTGTATTTTTAGTAGGGACGGGGTTTCACCATGTTGACCAGGCTGGTCTCGAACTCCTGACCTTGTAATCCACCTGCCTCAGCCTCCCAAAGTGCTGGGATTACAGCGTGAGCCACTGTGTGTGGTCAGATTTGCCTCTTCTGGACATTTCATATAAATGAAATCATACAATTTGTGGTCTTTTGTGACTGGTTTCTTTAACAAAATGTATTCAAAGTTCATCCATGTTGTAGCCGTGTATCAGTACTTCATTCCTTTTTATGGCTGCATAATATGCCATTGTATGGGTATTCCACATTTTATTCATCTGTTCATCAGTTGATGAACATTTGTGTTTCTATTCTTTCTTTATATATTTATTTTTGAAACAGAGTCTCGCTCTTGTTGCCCAGGCTGCAGTGCAGCAGTGCAATCTTGGCTCACTGCAACTTCCACCTCCCGGGTTCAAGCAATTCTCCTGCCTCATCCTCCTGAGTAGCTGGGATTACAGGCACGTGCCACCACACCTGGCTAATTTTTGTATTTTTAGTAGAGACAGGGTTTCCCCATGTTGGCCAGGCTGGTCTTGAACTCCTGACCTCAGGTGATCCACCCACCTTGGCCTCCCAAAGTCTTGGGATTACAGGTGTGAGCCACCACGCCTGGCCTTACTTATTTTTATTTTTTGAGATGGGGGTCTCACTCTGTCACTCCAGCTGGAGTGAAGTGGCTTGATCTCGGCTCACCGCAGCCTCTGCCTCCCAGGCTCACGTGATCCTCCCACCTAAGCCTCCTGAGTAGCTGGAACTATAGTCATGTGTCACCATGCTTGGCTAATTTTTGTATTTTTAGTAGAGACGGTGTTTTGCCATGTTGCCCAGGCTGGTCTCAAACTCCTGAGCTCAAGTGATCTGCCCACCTTGGCCTTCCAAAGTGCTGGTATTACAGGCATGAGCCACCGCGCCTGGCTGTAACTTACATTTCAATAAGCTTGACTTTAAAACAATAGGTGGAGAACTCCTATAGCTTAATTAAAAAAGCTAACCCAATTAAAAAATGGGCAAAGGATCTGAATAAACATTTCTTTAAAGAAACACAAATGGCACCGGGTGCGGTGGCTCACCCCTGTAATCCCAGAACTTTGGGAGGCTGAGGCGGGTGGATCACCTGAGGTCAGGAATTTGAGACCAGCCTGGCCAACATGGTGAAACCCCATCTCTACTAAAAATACAAAAATTAGCCAGGCGCGGTGGCAGGCACCTGTAGTCCCAGCTACTGGGGACGCTGAGGCAGGAGAATCGCTTGAACCCGGGAGGTGGAGTTTGCAGTGAGGTGAGATTGCACCACTGCACTCCAGCCTGGGCGACAGAGCGAGACTGTCTCAAAAAAAAAAAACAAAAAAAAACAAAAAAACCCCACAAATGGCAAATAAGCACATGAAAAGATTCTAAGCATCATTATTCATTAGGGAAATGCAAATCACAATGAGATACCCCTTTACACTCACTAGGATAACGATACTTGCCAGTAATAAGTGTTGACAATGATGTGGAAAAATTGAAACCCTCATATTTTGAGAATTGGTATGTGAAATGGTAAAGTTGGTTGGGGAAAGTTTGACAGTTCCTTAAATGTTAAACAGAGTTACCATATGACCTAGCAATATCCCTCCTAGGTATACACCCAAGAGAAATGAAAGCACATGTCCACACAAAAACTTGTACGGGAATGTTCATACAAGCATTATTTGCAATAATACAAAGAATAGGTTGGGCATGGTAGCTCACACCTGTAATCTCAGCACTGACAGAGGCCGAGGAGGGTGGATCACTAGAGCTCAGGAGTTCAAGACCAGCCTGGCCAACATAGTGAAACCGCACCTCTAAAAGAATACAAAAATTAGCTGGGCGTGGTAGCATGCGCCTGTGGTCCCAGCTACTTGGGAGGCCTGAGGCATGAGAATCACTTGAACCTGGAAGGGTGAGGCTCCAGTAAGCCGAGATTGCATCACTGCGCTCCAGTCTGGGTGACAGAGGGAGACTCTCAAAAAAAGTTACATATGGTACAATTTACCACTTTAGGTATATAATTCTCTGAGTTTTGGTGAATTGTGTACACATGTGTAACTATCGTAATCAAGATATAGAGCTGGGCGCAGTGGCTCACGCCTGTAATCCCAGCGCTTTGGGAGGCCGAGGCAGGTGGATCACTTGAGGTGAGGAGTTCGAGACCAGCCTGGCCAACATGGTGAAACCCCATCTCTACTAAAAACACAAAAAATTAGATGGGCATGGTGGCTCACGCCTGTAGTCCCAGCTACTCAGAAGGCTAGGCCACGGAGAATCGCTTGAACCCAGGAGGCAGAGGTTGCAGTGAGCCAAGATTGTGCCATTGTACTCTAGTCTGTGTGACAGAGTGAGACTCCATCTCAAAAAAAAAAAAAAAAGAAATTTTCCATTTCCCTCAAGATTACGTCATGACCTTTTGTAGTCATTCTCCTCCCATTGCCTGCAATCCCTGGCAACTACTGAAGTGATTACTGTCCCCATAGTTTTGCCTTTTTCTGAATGTCAGGCAGTTGGAATTATATGATTTGTAGACTTTTGTTTCTGGCTTTTACCTAGAGTAACAGTTTTAAGATGCGTTCATGCTATTGCATATATTCGTAATTTGTTTCAGATACCACTGACTAAACAGTTACCTTATACTAGGCACTATCTTGAGTGTGCTTTATATACATCATTAAGCCTTATAACACCCTAGAAAATGAGTAATGTTATTGCATTTAACAGGTGAAAAAACTGAGGCAGAGAGGTTTATGAGGTTGCTCAAGGACATAGATGGCAGAACAAGAATTTACACCAGGATTTGTGTGACTCCAAAGCCCCTGCTCTTAATCATTTAAATATATTGAGTATGCCAAGTTTTCATTTGTATATATTGGTCTTTTTGTGGGGTGTGAAGGTTGTGATGCCTTTAGCATATTAATTTATTCTTAGTTTATAACACTTGTTTTTAAAACTAAAAATCAGTTCATGATTCAACAATAAGAATTGTGGTCATCCCCTCTTAATTGACAGGAAGATTTATTTTTTATTCTTTATGTGCATGAGTCCTAAACCCAAAGTGATTGCATTGTAGATTACATGTGATTAAAAACTTAATAACGTGCTCATGATATAGTCGGGCATGGTGGCACGCACCAGTAATCTTAGCTACTTGGGAGGCTGAGGCAGGAGAATCACTTGAAGCCAGGAGGCGGAGATTGCATTGAGCCGAGATCGTGCCACTGTACTCCAGCCTGGGCAACAGAGTGAGACTCTGTCTCAAAAAAAAAAAAAACACGCTCATGATAAAATATTTACAGTAAATCAGATATGAAAGTAAATCTGCCTGTTGTTCATTCCCATTATCACAAGTAACCGTTGTTGCATATCTTGAGTATGCTTCCACAAAGTACACCTATGCTTACAAGCATATAGTTATACATTTTTTTCTCCTCTTCTTTATACTAATGGCTTCATACTAATATACATAGCCTTTTGCAACTCTTTTCACTTAATAGTATATCTTGGACAGTTAATACTATAAAACTACCTTATTCTTTTTAGCATTGCATGGTATTTCAAAATAGAGGTGGATCATCATTTATTTAACCAGATCTCTCTTGGTGGATATTTATGTTGCTTCTTATTGCTATTATAAGCAATCTTGCAGCAGACATTTTTATAGATCTCTTAGTGAAATTACTGGGTCAAAAAGTATAAGCATTAAACATTTTGATAGATGTAGCCTGATTAACTGTCAAAAATGTATATATTTACTCTTCTACTGAGAGTAGGTGAGCATTCAGCTGTGTGTCTTGGACTTGGTTGGCAAAGTTACTTTGCATATTAAAATATAATTTCAATTGGGTAGAATTCACATTCAGTTCTTTTCTGTTAAGTTTCACAGGGTAGATCTGGAACTGAGGTTTATTGGATTGAGAGATTTGGGATGTAGCCCTGACATGGGTAGATGGGCCATTTAATTGTAGACACAGCTGATCAGTGCCTTTGTTTCTTTTTTGTTTTGTTTTGTTTCTTTTTTTTTTTTTTAATTTTCAGTTAGAAGGAATAAGTTCTAATGTTCAGTAGCAGAATAGGGTAACTATAGTTAACAACAGTGTATTGTATATTTTAAAATAGCCAGAAGAGAGGACTTGAAATGTTCCCAACACATAGAAATGATAAATATTGAAGGTAATGGAACCCCAAATACCCTGACTGTGTTTCCATTATGTCCTGTGCATCTGATGGGGATGATGAGAGGATAAATGAGGTTATTTGGGTAAAGTGTTTTATAACCCTTTTACCAAAGAATTTATGCTTTGGCTTTCTTTACAAGAAGAGTGTGATATAAGCTGATTGTTACTTATATTCTTAGGTGTATAGAAATGAAAGAAGTAGCTTTTCCTCCTTCGACTTCTTGGCAGAAGATGCCTCCACTTTAATAGTAGGACACTGGGATGGAAATATGTCACTGGTGGATAGACGGACACCTGGAACTTCTTATGAGAAACTTACCAGTTCTTCTATGGGAAAAATAAGAACTGTTCATGTCCACCCAGTGCATAGACAGTATTTTATCACTGCCGGATTGAGGTATGGTCTTTATAAGACTTTATGACTTAGACCTTTTAATGTCACAATTACATGGTTTAGTTTGGTTGTCAAAGATATTGTAATACAATATTACAAAAGGTATTACTTTTGTAATACCCAAAGGCCAAGTAATTTTCCTTTCTATACTGATTGAGACTTGAGTGATTTTTTTTGAAAATGAAAAATTCTTTTAGATTTGATAAATAGTGAAAAAGCTGAAAGAAATTTTTGTTTTCCTTGGCATTATATGCATTCGCCTCTTATGAGAAGAAAATTTAAATTTCACAGAAAAAAAAGTTACATGTGACCTATAACTTGTTGGCCTGTGTTAACTTTTTTCTAGGAAGGATTGAAAAACCAACTAGAAACTTGACAGCTGGGCGTGGTGGCTCATGCCTGTAATCCCAGCCCTTTGGGAGGCTGAGGCAGGCAGATCACTTGAGGTCAGGAGTTCGAGACCAGCCTGGCCAATATGGTGAGACCCTGTCTCTACTAAAAATACAAAAACTAACCAGGTGTGGTGGCATGCACCTGTAATCCCAGGTACTTGGGAGGCTGAGGCACAGAATCACTTGAACACAGGAGGCGGAAGTTGCAGTGAGCCAAGATTGCACCATTGCATTCCAGCCTGGATGACAGAGCGAGACTCTTGTCTCCAAAAAAAAAAAAAAAAAAAAAAAAGTCTTTCTGTACACACTGGATCCAAGTATCTGCTATAGTTTTGAGATGTGTCTAGTATTGTACTTGTTATCTATACCAGTTTTGGGGAAATTAATAAGAGTATTAGAGGGTTCTGTCTTTTTTTTTTTTTTTTTTTTTGAGATGGAATCTTACTCTCAGCTCACTGCAACCTCCGCCTCCCAGGTTCAAGCGATTCTTCTGCTTCAGCCTCCTGAGTAGCTGGGATTATAGGCGTGCACTACCATACCTAGCTAATGTTTGTATTTTTAGTAGAGACAGGGTCTCACTGTCTTGGCCAGGCTGGTCTTGAACTCCTGACCCTGTGATCCACCCGCCTTGGCCTCCCAAAGTGCTGGGATTACAGGCGTGAGCCACCATGCCTGGCCTTAGAGAGTTCTGTTTTTTTTTTTTGTTTGTTTGTTTGTTTGAAATGGAGTTTTGCTCTTGTTGCCCAGGCTGGAGTGCAATGGCGCGATCTCGGCTCACTGCAACCTCCGCCTCCCAGGTTCAAGCAATTCTCCTGCCTCAGCCTCCCAAGTAGCTGGGATTACAGGCATGCACCACCACATTAATCTTGTATTTTTAGTAGAGACGGGGTTTCTCCATGTTGAGGCTGGTTTCGAACTCCTGATCTCAGATGATCCACCTGCCTCCACCTCCCAAAGTGCTGGGATTACAGACTTGAGCCACCGCACCTGGCTGAGAGTTCTGTCTTAAATGTTCTTCAGTATAGCAAGTATGTGAGTGTCTAACTTATGTTTAGCCCTGTTGTAGAGGTTCATTACATGTACTATGGCAACATTGATCATTGTTTCTCCCATTACAGGGATACTCATATTTATGATGCAAGGCGATTGAATTCCAGGAGAAGTCAGCCTTTGATTTCTTTGACTGAACATACAAAGAGCATTGCTTCCGCCTATTTTTCACCTCTTACTGGTAACAGAGTGGTGACCACATGTGCTGATTGTAATCTGAGGTAAATTGGGAAGGCAGAAATGTTTTTAGGGAATCTAAAGAGTCTATAGCTACTGTGTCAGTAAACCAAAAGCTTTGTTTACTGCTGTTCCCTATTAAATTGCTAGTGTTATTGTTTAGTAGTCATATGTAGGTTCCTAAAGACTGGTGACCTGTATTTAATGGCTTTTCAGCGGTTTTTGGGTCCTGGAAATTTCCTTGAGACTGGCAAAGGTCCGTAGGTACCCTGGGGGGTTTATGGTCTGGCTTCCCTTTAAGCACTGAAGAATCCCAGAAACCAGGCTGTGTAGTATCCTGAAAAGGAGATAATTTTAGCATACTTTGGGGTCAGTGGGATCTATTCTGCAAGTGAAGTGCTGAATGGAAATTGCAGAGCCCCAGACCATGGGCAGACAGAAAAGAGCAAAAACTGGGATTCTATACAAACTATTGGATATGGTTTTATAGTTCTAGGGTTTTAGCTTTAGTACCTTCCTATAGCTACTTCCTAAAAATGGATTTAAAGTGTAATATAAACCAATCGAACAAAAAACAGAAAACAGTGTCAATAAAGATGTCGGGAACATTAGTGTAATCACAAAGGAAAATTATTTTGTTCTCTTTTAGAATCCCTGATTTTGCTTAAAATTTCAAGCATTTTCAGTTTATGAGAGTTTTACCTTAAGTGATTTTGGAATTCATATATTATTCAGTTGAATGTATACTGTTCACCAGGCTCCAGAATGGCACCCAGTTTCTGTTTAAACCCACCTGATGGGAAGAGCGTGGTCTGCAGTGTGTGACAGGTGTCTAGTTAGTTTCTAGCAAAGTCTGTGAGTATTAACCAGGTGTTGTAGGAAGAGAGTCACCCGGGAATGGTAGGCCAGGATCCCGTTTCCACTCATGTAGTTTCCTTTGTCTCAAAAGCTGCTTATTCTGTTCCTGTTCGTTTACACTGCAGTTTACTCTTGTTACATTAACTATTAGTGGTTTGGCTTTCTACTAATCTATTTAGGCAATAAACTCTAGTGCCAGCAAACCACACTAGAAAAGCTAGGCACAAGGAGAAGAGAAGGAGGTGGTGATGCTGTTAGTTTCCTTCTGCTGTAGTGCTCAGTGGAGGCTTCTAGACTCCTCTCCAACTGCTGTATAAAAATTCCTCTCTTTGGCCAGGTGCAGTGGCTTAGGCCTATAATCCCAGCATTTCGGGAGGCTGAGGTGGGAGGATCACTTGAGCCCAGGAGTTCGAGACCAGCCTGGGCACCAAGGAGAGACCCTGTCTCTACAGAAAAAATTAGCCAGATATGGTAGTGTGTACTTGTAGTCCCAGCTACTTGGGAGGCTGAGGCGGGAGGATCACTTGAGCCTAGGAGGTTGAGGCTTTAGTGAGCTGTGACGGTGCCATTGCACTTCAGCCTGGGCATCAGAATGAGACGTTGTCTCTTGAAAACCAAAACACAACTCCTCTCCTTTGTTGCTGGTTGGTCTTAGTCTGGAAATGACACTATCAGGCCTTCAGCTGATGAGTCTCAGGGAAACTGCTCTTGATACACAGATGTACTTTTAGGTGATTTGTACATTTTCAGGCCACATCCTTTATGTCCCATATTTTTGTGAATTTTGTATATAGTTTTACAGTTCAGATGATCGCTTTAGAATGGGCATTTTATTTCTATTCATTTATCATTATTGATGTTTTTTTAGAGACAGTATCTCTTTGTTGCCCAGGCTGGAGTGCAGTGGCATGATCATGGCTCACTACAACCCTGACGTGCTGGGCTCCAGCCAACTTACGGGCTCTAGCAATCTTACGGCCTCAGCTTCCCAAGTAGCTGGGTCTAGAGGCATGTGCCACCATACCTAGCTATTTTTTTTTAAATTTTTTTTTGTAGTGATAGGGTCTCACTATATTGCCCAGGCTGGTCTCAAACTCCTGGCTTCAAGTGATCCTCCCACCTTGGCCTCAAAGTGCTGAGATTACAGGCATGAGCCACAACACTCAGCCAAATGATTTCTACGCTAAACTATAAGCACTGACTTATTTTATAAAACGTCTTGTAACTTTTGTTTAGTATCTTGACCAAGATTTGTTAGCGCCTGATCTTACTCTTTTTTTTTTTTTTTTTTTTTTTTTTGTAGACAAGGTTCTCGCTCTGTTGCTCAGGCTGGAGTGCAGTAGAGTGATCATAGCTTAGTGTAATCTCAAACTCCTGGGCTCAAGTGATCTTCTCACCTCAGCCTCCTGAGTAGCTCGGACTACAGGCATGTGCCCCATGCCCAGCTAATTTTTAAATTTTTTGTACAGATGGGTCTCACTGTATTGCCCAGGTTGGTCTCAAACTCTTGGCCTCAGGTGATCCTCCTGTGGATTACAGGCATGGGCCTCTAAACCCGGCCTGATCCTACATATTTTTAAGTGACAGTTATATATTTCATACCATGAATTAATGAGAAGCTTGTTAAATACACTGATATTTATTTCAGAAAGTTTTTAAGTAACAAAAGAATGTCTTACTCTCTTTATTTTGCAGAATTTTTGACAGCAGCTGTATATCTTCTAAGATTCCGCTCCTCACCACCATCAGGTAGGCTTCTATATGCCAAATAATGTAGATGTGGATTACTATGAACTATTTGTTGCAGTGCATACATTAGACATCTGATTGTCAAAGAGATGTAATAGTCCTGATTTTTGAATACAAAAATTATAAGTGTCCCAGTTTGCTAGTTCCTATCCAGAAGGGTTCTTGCTTCCAGGTTCCCTGTGTCTGTAGAGGTTCAGTCTCTTGTAGTCAGTAGCTGTTCTCTGCAGGTGGGAGGTTATTTTTGGTTAAGGTTAATGACTTTATTCTGAACTGAATTACTCATGTTATCTTATTAAAGAAGACTGTAACTACTCACTTGCTGATGAGGCTGTCTGAAGGTCTGTTTATTTGTGTCTGTTTATTCTGGGCCTTGAGGGCTTCCCCATCTTCCCACTTCATTTCTTTGATTATACTCTTGCATCAACTACTTTGAATGTATTTGTGTATTTTTTTTTTTTTTTTTTTTTTGAGATGGAGTGTCACTCTGTTGCCTAGGCTGGAGTGCAGTGGCGTGATCTCTGCTCACTGCAATCTTCACCTCTTAGGTTCAAGCTATTCTCCTGCCTCAGCCTCCTGAGTAGCTGGGATTACAGGCATGCACCACTATGCCCAGCTAATTTTTTGTATCTTTAGTAGCGACGGGGTTTCATCATGTTGGTCAGGCTGGTCTCGAACTCCTGATCTTGTGATCCACCCGCCTCGGCCTCCCAAAGTGCTGGGATTACAGGCGTAAGCCACGGCGCCTGGCCTTGTATGTGTGTATTTTACATCAAACTTTACTCAATGCCTTCTCCTTGATATTCCTCTTTGTCACTATTTATGAAGTTGCGAATAGTGTGTGATATACATTGATTGTTGCTTCATACATTTTGTTCCATTTTATCAGTTTCTTTTTTTTTTTTTTTTTTTTTCAGGTCCACAATTTTTTTTTTTTTTTAATTTTTTTTTAAAGATAGAGTCTCACTTTGTAGCCCAGGCTGGAGTGCAGTGGCATGATCTTGGCTCACTGCAGCCTCCGCCTCCTGGGTGCAAGCAATTCTCCTGCCTCAGCCTCCCAAGAAGCTGGGATTACAGGTGCACGCCACCCTGCCTGGCTAATTTCTGTTTTTTTTTTTGTTTTTTGTTTTTTTGTTTTTTTTTGAGACAGAGTCTCACTCTGTTGTCCAGGCTGGAGTGCAGGCTCGCGATCTCGGCTCACTACAAGCTCCACCTCCCTGGTTCATGCCATTCTCCTGCCTCAGCCTCCTGAGTAGCTGGGACTACAGGCGCCTGCCACCATGCCCGGCGAATTTTTTGTATTTTTAGTAGAGATGGGGTTTCACTGTGTTAGCCAGGATGGTCTCCATCTCCTGACCTCGTGACCCACCTGCCTCGGCCTCCCAAAGTGCTGGGATTACAGGCGTGAGCCACCACACCCAGCCTAATTTCTGTATTTTTAGTAGAGATGAGGTTTCTCCACATTGGTTAGGCTGGTCTCTAACTTTTGACCTCAAGCGGCCACCCACCTTGGCCTCCCAAAGTGCTGGGATTACAAGTGTGAGCCACTGTGCCCAGCCTATTTTATTTAGAGACAGAGTCTCGCTCTGTTGTCCAGGCTGGAGTGCACTGGCACGATCTCGGCTCACTGCAGCCTCCGCCTCCTGGGTTCAGGCGATTCTCCTGCCTCAACCTCTTGAGTAGCTGGGACTACAGGCATGCACCACTATGCCCCACTAATTTTTGTATTTTTTTTAGTAGAGACAGGGTTTCCCATGTTGGCCAGGCTGGTTTTGAACTTCTGGCCTCAAGTGATCCGCTTGCCTTGGCCTCCTAAAGTGCTGAGATTACAGACATGAGCCACTGCATCCAGTCTTATTTTTTAATTGACTAATAAAATTGTGTGTATTTATCATGTACAACATGTTTTGAAATATATACATTGTGGAATGGCTAAATCAAGCTAATTAACATATGTATTACCTCACGTACTTACCATTTTTTTGTGATGAGAACACTTAAAATCTGTCAGCAATCTTCAAGAATATAATATATTGTTATTGACTATAGTCATCCTGATGTACAATAGACCTCTTGAATGTATTTCTCCTATTAACTGAAATTTAATAGTTTTTGACCAACATCTCCCCAAACCTTTCCCTCTCTGCCCAGCAGTTTGTTAACTACTCTCTTTTTTAAAAAAAAAAAAAAAAAAGAAACAGGGTCTCGCTCCCTTGCCCAGTATGGAGTGTGGTGGCATGATCATGGCTCACTTCAGCCTCAATCTCCTGGACTTGAGCAGTCCTCTTGCCTCAGCCTCCCAAGTAGATGGGACTTCAGACACACAGAACCATGCCCTGCTAGTTAAAAAAATTATTTGTAGAGATGAGGACTTGCTGTTGCCCAGGCTGGTCTGGAAGTCCTGGCCTCAGCCGATCCTCCCACGTGGGCCTCCCGAAGTGTTGGCATTACAGGCATGAGCCATCATGCCCGGCCTTACAACTTTGTTATTTTTTATTTATTATTATTTTTTAGACTAGTCAAGTGTAGTAGTGAGAAGGTGGGAAAGAGTAGAACAAAGAGTTTTATCTGTAACTGACTGTGAACAATCAATTAAGATAAGTTACTACCTTTGAACCAGCCTCAGCTTTTTAATATTCCCCATATGAGTGAGGTCATGTGGTATATGTCTTTCTGTACCTGGCTTGTTTTACTTAACATAATGTCTCCAGGTTCATCCACGACAGGATTTTCTTGTTTTAAGTGAAATAGTATTCCGTTATGTGTATATACTACGTTTTCTTTATTCATTTATCCATTGATTTGTTGATTCCATATCTTAGATGTGACAGTGAATGTGGGAGTACAGGTATCTCATAGATAGTTCATTTCCTTTGGATATATTCTCAGTAGTGGGATTGCTGGATCATATGGTAGTGCCATTGTTACTTTTTTGAGGAACCTCATACTGTTTTCCATTATGGCTGCACCAATTTACATTTCCACCAACAATGTACAAGGGGTCCTTCTTCTCCATATCTTTACCAATACTTGCTATCTTTTGCTGTTTTCATAATGGCCATTCTACTAGATGTAAGGTGATATCTCATTGTGGTTTTACCTTGCATTTCACTGATTAGTGATACTGAACGTATTTTCATATAATTGGCCATTTGTATATCGTCTTTTGAGAAGTGTGTATTCAGATCTTTTGCCCATTTTTTAATTATTTGTTTTCTTTTTTTTTTTTAAACGGAGTCTTGCTCTTGTTGCCCAAGCTGGAGTGCAGTGGCATGATCTGGGCTCACTGCAACCTCCGCCTCCTGGGTTCAAGCAGTTCTCGTGCCTCAGCCTCCTGAGTAGCTGGATTACAGGCATGAGCCACAATGCCTGGCTAACTTTCCTATTTTTAGTGGAGATGGGATTTCACCATGTTGGTCAGGCTGGTCTTGAACTCCTGACCTCAGATGATCCACCTTCCTCAGCCCCGCAAAGTGCTGGGATTATAGGCATGAGCCACTGTGCCCAGCCAGTATTATGTATATTTATTTTATTTTTTAATTTTTAATTTTAATTTTTTGAAATGGAGTCTCCCTCTGACACGGGGGCTGGAGTGCAGTGGCGCGATCTCAGCTCGCTGCAACCTCCACCTCCCGGGTTCAAGCAATTCTGCCTCAGCCTCCCCAGTAGCTGGGATTACAGGCAAGCACCACCATGCCTGGCTAATTTTTGTATTTTTATTTTTTTTTTTGAGACAGAATCTCACTCTGTTGCCCAGGCTGGAATGCAGTGGTGCAATCTCGGCTCACTGTAGCCTCCATCTCCTGGGTTCAAGCAATTCTCCTGCCTCAGCCTCCCCAGTAGCTGGGATTACAGGCAAGCACCACCATGCCTGGCTACTTTTTGTATTTTTATTTTTATTTTTTTTGAGACAGAGTCTCACTCTGTTGCCCAGGCTGGAATGCAGTGGTGCAATCTTGGCTCACTGTAGCCTCCATCTCCTGGGTTCAAGTGATTCTCCGGCCTCAGCCTCCCTAGGAGCTGGGATTACAGGCACCCGCCACCATGGCCAGCTAATTTTCCTATTTTTAGTAGAGACGGGGTTTCACCATGTTGGCCAGGCTGTCTCGAACTCCTGACCTTGAATGATCCACCCTCTTGGCCTCCCAAAGTGCTGGGATTACAGGTGTGAGCCACTGTACCTGGCCAATTTTTGTGTTTTTAGTAGACTGGGTTTCGCCGTGTTGGACAGGCTGGTCTCGAACTCCTGACCTCAGGTGTTCCACCTGCCTCGGCCTCCCAAAGTGCTGGGATGACAGGCTTGGGCCACTGTGCCTGGCCATATTATGTATATTTTTAAAAAATTTATGTAGGGTGACTATTCTAGGGGGTAAGAATTTTCATTAATGATGGGGTCATTTAAGTGGCAGTGGGAAATGTGTAGTCCATACTTTAATGAAAAAGGATTGTTAGTGATATTAAGGCAAAAAGACTAAAAGGGCAGTACTTCTGTTTTTGCTTTTGGGAACTATAAAGGGCTCCATATGTTTTATTTTGGGAGATTTTTAGATGAGGAGGATATCGTCTCTGTCCAGAGGTTCAGTCCTGTAAGGATGAGGTAAGGTTGGTGGTAACTCAGTAACTTAATGAGAAGAAACTTGGCAGAGAAAACTAGCATTTAGGAGCAATGCCGTCTTTACCCTCTGCCCAATGCTACCTTATTTAACCTTACTTCATTTAAAAAATATATTGTTTTCCTCACTAGGCACAACACTTTCACTGGGCGATGGCTGACCAGGTTCCAAGCCATGTGGGATCCTAAACAAGAAGACTGTGTCATAGTTGGCAGCATGGCCCATCCACGACGGGTAGAAATCTTCCATGAGACAGGAAAGAGGGTGCATTCGTTTGGTGGAGAATACCTTGTCTCTGTGTGTTCCATCAATGCCATGCACCCAACTCGGTATATTTTGGCTGGAGGTAATTCCAGCGGGAAGATACATGTTTTTATGAATGAAAAAAGCTGCTGAGTTTTTGGTTTAGGAACATCAATTTGTTCAAATTGACCACTGTCTAAGGAGCCTAGTAATCGGCGTGCCTTAGTGTGTTTATGTGGTAATGTGTTACATTTAGCAATTATAACATTGTTTTATTAATAAGACTATAAGAAGAGTGTACTTTTAGTAAGGGAGAAGTCTTGGAGGGTTGCTTCTGCAGGACGGGGAGGGAATTTGAGGGGAGGCTGAGGTGCCGTCAGGACTTTTTTTTTTTTTTTTTTTTTGAGATGGAGTTTTGCTCTTGTTGCCCAGGCTGGAGTGCAATAGCGCGATCTTGGCTCACCGCAACCTCCGCCTCCCAGGTTCAAGCGATTCTCCTGCCTCAGACTCCTAAGTAGCTGGGATTACAGGCACCTGCCACCACGCCTGGCTATTTTTTTGTATTTTTAGTAGAGATGGGGTTTCATCATGTTGGCCAGGCTGGTCTCGAGCTCCTGACCTCAGGTGATCTGCCCGCCTCGGCCTCCAAAAGTGCTGGAATTACAGGCGTGAGCCACCATGCCTGGCCATCAGAACTTGTAATCAAGACAGTATGTTGAGAAATTCTAACATTATAAATTACAAAGCTTTGACTATTAAAGTTTTTGTGATCTAATGATACAGTTTTGATTCTATAGTAATTTGTGGCTTATTTTATAGTTTATAATGAATACTTATTTCTAGACTCATACACTGGAAGGGGACCCGGAAAGGTAATGTAACTCAGTGATTTTAAAACTTGATTTTTTTAACTGAGAACTTTTTTTGCCCCCTGCCTGTAGGTTAAGTCTTACGTGAAATGCCAAGATAATTGCTGAGCAGCTTTGGTTACCCAGGGCGGGGTCTGGGTCTGTCTGTACTTTGCCTTTACTCTAGATGGCTCCTGAGACACAGGCAGGACTCCCAAGCACCGGGTTGGGATCTGCCCTGGTCCCGGCATTCCAGTATAAGATTGCCTCAGACCTGTGTTTTTCAGACTGGGTTTTTGCTCTTCACATGAAATCAAGTTAGATGACAATGACTGGTGTTGAAAAAAATGAAAAGGAAAGAATTTGTAAAGAACAGAAAATATATTTGAGTAAGTATTGTTTGGTAAAACTTAGTTACATATGCATATATATTTGTTAGGTATATATGTTTATGTGTATTCTGATGTAAAATATATATATATATATATTTTATTACTATAGTACCATGGGTAATGGATAAAGAAGTTAAAGCTACTGCTTAGAATGAAGAAGGCCCCAGGCTTACCTGTCCCGATCTTTAAACTGTCCGAAGGAAATTCAATAGCCTGTTAAGTGAATACCTTCATTCTTACTTGTATTTGGGGGAATATTATGAAATACTCACCACTTTTGGTATTTTATGAAAATGTTTTCTTTTCAGAAGTTATGGTAATTTCAATGTGTTTGTTGTTGGGAGGGGAGCTGCCAAATCAGTTACTAATATTACTGTGTGACATCTATCCAACTTTTTTCATTATTCTTCATTGCCAAATACTGAAAGACTTGTAAATGGCTTTGGCAATATGTTTGAATTCTAAGAGGAAATATTTTCCCATAATTGTATATCAGAGAAATATAGTGATATACAATTTCCTTGAAAACCAATTTCTAAATAATTTTCTTCTCTGTAATCTAAGTGTAAAAAGGTTTAGTTTTTTAATAGGTTTAGGTGTTTATAAGCAATAGTTCTCTATTTTCTAGTTGATATAAGTAGAAGAATTGACAAGTGAGATGGAAATGTTAATTTATAAAGGGAAAGAAAAGCTAGGTGAGGTTGAGTTATAATTAAACTGTTCAGGAAACATCGTAAAGGCTTTAGGCTCCCTTTTTCATTTCTATACCAATTAATCTCATGGGTTCTAGAGTGGTTAGTTCTACGGGAATTGTTTTTGTTTTTGTTTTTAAAGATGCTGAAAACTACTCTCAATCAAATTAGTACCATCATTTAAGCTTTGAATACTTGGCAGTAATTGCCTGGGCTCGTCAATAAATGTTAGCAAATTCTTGATGTTCCTCACTTTTGTGGTTTCTTTTGCCATTGTGGCTTCATAAACAGTGCTATTTATATTCAGTTATACTTTATAGAGTTATATCTTCAGGCAGTGCAGGAAGGAAGGAGAATGAGTAGGGACTTTTTTTTTTTTTTATTGGTGATAAGCTTTCTAATGGAGTAATTGTTTAAATCTAGACAGCACATAAAAGAAAATTGTCTCCCTTGGGACATTCTTACACTGTAATCTGTAGTGAAAGGTACTTCTCCCACAGACTTGCCTACAGCTGTGTGGCTTCTGTAATTATGTGTGTATTATGATTGCCTCCTTCGGGATAAGCCTTTTCTGTAAGTTTGGCCTTTATGATATCTCTTAAGCTCTGAATTCCGCTTGAGTTTTTTTTTTTTTTTTTTTTTAAGATACCCAGGCTTTTGTTATGTAACTTTTAAGGAAGGAGCAGACAATTCTCATTTTTGGTTGTCAGAGACTTTGTCAGACTAGGAGAGACCACAAATGATTAGGAATTAATAGAATCTGAGTTGCTTAAGTCCTATTTTAGTATTCTGGTCTTTGAGCTTCCTTTCCACCAAGAAGATTTTGCAAGGGGAGTTCTCCAGGAAAACAGGGAGCCTTAGGGCTATGGATACAAGGATTTAAATCCTTTCAGCTAATGTACAGTACATGGGGTAGGGTGGGGGAGAAGACACACATGCCTTCTGAATCAATCTGAGAAGAGGAAATATATGCCCTCTAACTTCAGATTCCAAAAACTTCAATGTCCTATTGGGCGGTCCTTTCTGACTTAGTACATTTCCCCCTGCTTTTTAGTAGGGTGTTGATGGCTAGAAATAACAAGACAGCAGATTGTATTTTGACTTATTTGGCTGTAAATACTTGGATTTTCAAATGAAAAGGTAGAATTTATGAGGAAGATAACATTTAGTACACTTACACGGAGCTGAAGAACAAAACATTTTATGATACATTTTCCCCAAAATGGAAACTGGGCAAGAGGAAATTTATTAAAAGGGTGCTTTGCTTGTTTTACTCCATTCCATCAGCAGGTCGTAGGGGTCTGAAGAGGAAGCCTGTTCATGAGCTAAAACCAAAAGTGTGTTCAGGTGCAGAGGAGCTAGATTGTGCTAGAGGAACCCAAAGCAGAGGGAGTAGGGACTAGAGTCCTACAGGGGTGTGTGCACAGGTAGTTCTTGATAAGCTGTCAGCAGAAGGGAGGCTGCTGTGAATCGGCAGGGCCACGGGAAGCCACCCAGGTCCAGTGTTTCTTGTGCTTTTTACTCTTTGGATCACTTCAAGCAAAATCTTATGTCATAAAAACAAAAAATTCCGCTGGGGATAGGGTGCTAGATAGCATTTTTTAGGTAGTGGGTACCTCTGAAATTTGGAGGTAACATAGCCTGATTGGTGTTTAGGAGGATGATCTGGCAACAGAAATGGGAGAGTGGAGGGCAGGCAGAATTGAAAAGACAAAGATTAGGTAAGAAGCTAGCACAGTGGACCAAGCCCCCATTATCACCTCTTATCCTCATGGAATTTAGAAGACCATTTCCAATTCCGTAGCCACAGAGTGATGGTTACATAATCAGATGAGATAATGCTATAGGGATATATTTTGTAAATATGTGGTGGTGGTATCATTGTAGTTCCTTCTTAGAAAGTATTTTCTGTGCTCCCACTTACTCCAGGCTTGAGTAAGAACAGCAGACCAGAAGGTGGACAATCTGGGTTCTAGTTTGGACTCTACCACTATGTAATCTTGGGAAAATCACTTAGTCTTCTTGGTTTTCCTCATCAGAAAAATACCCAATTCACTTTAAAATTATTACATATATAGCTTCTCAGTTTTTTTTTTTTTTTTTTTTTTTGATGTGGAGTCTTGCTCTGTCACCCAGGCTGGAGTGTAGTGGTGTGATCTCAGCTCACTGCAACCTCCGCCTCCCAGGTTCAAGCGATTCTCCTACCTTAGCCTCCTGAGTAGCTGGAATTATAGGCGCCCGCCACCACACCTGGCTAATTTTTGTATTTTTAGTAGAGACGGGGGTTTCACCACGTTGGTCGGGCTGGTCTTGAACTCCTGACCTCGTGATCCTCCCGACTTGGCCTCCCAAAGGGCTGGGATTACAGGCGTGAGCCACTGTGCCTGGCCGCTTCTCAGTTTCTAACAGTATTTATCTGGGGGTAAGGACAAGGATAATAGGTGGATACAAGCAAAATAATTATGTTATATGATCCAAGTGAATAGTAGTCAGCTGTGTAAATCCCACCAGTATCCTTTTATCTATGTGTTAGTAACTTTAAGGGAGGAAAAGTAAGACAGGCTATTATTAAAGAAAGAGCCCACTCTTCCATGATATTTAAATATTTATTTAAGTTTAAAAATAATCTTCATGGCACCAATGATTTTATGCTAACTACATACTGCATATGTAGAAAAAAGTACATTGCTTTGAAGGAAAATGTAACTTAAGAGTTTTTGGCACACAGAAGGTTAACAACTATATATTTTTAAATGTATCTAAGAAATTCACATTTGCAGGTAGTTTACCCTCTACTGCTTAAAGATGCAGTATGCTATTCTTTAGTAAGAGTTTTATTTCCTGATAGATGAAGCTATGAAAACCATTGCTTTTTCTACAATGAGATAAACTAATTTTGAGAGAAAATGAGAGACATGTTAGAACACAGTATAACCAGGTTAAAAACTTGAACAATTTTTAAAGGTGGAGATATACCAAAAAAGACTAGTCACCAATCAAAGGAGGTTTATTATTCAAGCACTATTTGAAAAGCAAACTGAAGGAAACTTTTCTATCCATATTTTCTGGGATGAGCCCTGGAAAAAAACAACCCTAAAGTTTCTGTTTACAGAGCAAAATTTAGCTGTTAGAAATGGCATAGACTACTGTACTGTTAGAACTCTAGACACAAGGAACATACTAGGATATGGAATACTGCATCTGTCTCTAATGTGAATATGAAAGGTCAGAGTTGAGGCTATCACTCACTGCATAGAAACACCAGATTCTACAAACTGAGGTAGGAGCACTACACTAAAAGGTAATCTTCTATGTTGCATAAGACAGTAGATACCAGGTGGACACCAGCCCCCTGTCTCCTGACAGCCTTTTCATCTCTGGGTCTACTTTTCACGTTAGTCCTGTGCTAAATAAAGCCTTTGCTATGTAGATGACAAGTGGCAGTGGCTAGTTGATTTTAACTGACCCCTAATCTCTACTAGGATCTCCTTCGGTTTGTATTGTCACTCGATAAATAGATGTTTATAATTCTGCCTAAATTGTTGCTGGTATGAAAATGGTCAGAGAAGCCCTCTTCCCTTCTTAGATTCCAGCTGTGTTTTAGCATTCCAGTATTTGATCTTGCCCATTTGGCATCAGACATCTCTTTGCTGGTTAGTTGTTCAAGCACCCTTTAAACAAGCAACCCTAGTGCCTCCACTGGGAAGAGGTCCCAGATCTTTGATACATGTCAGGCATGGAAACAGAGCTGACTGACCCTCTTCTGCTAACATACTGGTAAGGATCAGTTTTATTGTCTAGAGCAGGATTGGCGTATTATGGCCTGTAGGCTAAATTCAGCTCACTGTTTTCATAAAGTTTTATTGGAACACAGCCATGTTCCTTCATTTACAAATTATCTGTGGCTGTTTTTGTGCTGTGATGGCAGAATTGAGCAGTTGTGACACAGTATGGCGTGCTAAACCAAAATATTTACTGTGTAGCACTTGACATAAGTTGATTGACCTCTGGTCCAGATGAAAGGATGTCTTTAAAATTATGCAAATCTCTCCCTAAGAACCCCAATTATTCCACAGTTGTCATATTGTAAACATGGACATGGTTCTACCATCTCGGGGGACAAAATAGGGGAGGTCAAGTCTACAAGTGACTTGTTCTGTTCTGCGTTTGGGGCTGTCCAATTAGGGTATCAGCAGCTGCTCTACTTTTGTGTGGGTCCAGGAATATGTCCATTGACCACCCTTAAATAAGCCCTCAAGCCCCAGATGACTTAGAAATCTCTCCCTGAGATGAAAACAGGATCTTGTGTGTGATTGGTTTTAGAGTTGAAGAGCTTGGGCCTAGGATCCCACACTCGCCCTTCATATGCCTGTGCTGCGTGCTTCGAGGACTTCCCTCTGCAAGGATGGTGATGCTTTCCTAGAACTTATGCAGAGGATGACCCTAGGGGGCAGCATTTCTACATCTAAGTGTTGGTCTCTGCCACGGTCACATTCTGTGTTTTGTAGGCATCTCTTAGAAATCTATTTTAAAAGATTCTTTTCCTGGTCCCTTCTAAGGCTGTTGATCTTGGAATTCTATTTTCTGAAGCTTTTCATTCTCAGGATCAGTTTCTTTCTTGCATCGTTTAGTTCATCAGGCTCTATTTTCTTAATCCATAAAGTAAAAACAAAATATGAATTGTTAAGAAAATAACATTTCGTTGTTAAAATATAAATTGAAATAGTCTTTGGGTCAAGGGGGTGTATATAAAATAAGCACTGCTATCCAAATCTCAACAGTCTCTCAGGTAACTTAACTCTGCTTTCTCTTAACTACACTTTGTCCAACATTTCTGACAGAACTATCTATCTCTGGTACCACTGAATTCGTTTAACGCCCCTGGAGCACTATAAAAGTCTTGAGGTTCTTCGGAAAAAAAAAATCACGTTAAGTCTAGTTTCATTATACAAAACTATGGTGATGCCCACTAGGCTCTAGACTAAGGGGACAGACTTACCCCACCCCTGATGCTGCTGTTGCTGTAGCGGTGGTCCCTTCAGATGCCCACTCTGCTCAGATTTGAAAAAACAAAAGGAAAAGAAAATCCAACTCAGACCATCATAAGAAGCAACTTTCCATTTAATCATTCTACATGGATGTTTACTTTTTTAAAAGTTCTGGCTGGCAAAAAAAACAAACAAAAAACTAAACAGTCCCCATTGTCCAGATCCCTGGCCTGCCCTGCTGAGGCTGCAGTGATGAGTCTACTGGAACCCAGTGGCACCAGCAGGAAAAGCTCCTGCAGAATACAGAGGACAGCAGCTCTCTAGTTTTCAACTAGTGTCCCCTCTGCTAGGTGATACTACTGCAATAATCAGTAATAGTAAAATAAATTATTTTTATTTGATACTTCAAAATAATATACATCTATGAAAAATCAAAATTCAAAACCAAAAATTATCCTGCAAATTGGAAAGATGAGAAACAGAGTCGCTGAGCCTTTCTTGAAATAACTTCTGAAGAAAATGAGTTTTCCCAGTTTGTTTAGACAGGGCATGAGCCTATCCCTTTCTTCTTCTGGGAAACACCCTCCTAGGCTGCAGTGGACTTTGAGTCATGAGAGGAGGACTTGGTATATGTGCCGATGGTTCCGCGATGGGTCCCATTGCTGGGAATGGGTAGCCGGGTTCCTTGGTCCACCTGGCTAGTTTTTGGGAGGAGTCATGCCTTCTCAGGTGTCAATGAGCAGGCTCACCACTGAGCGGATTTTGCAGGCAAACCATCGCCTGAGGGGACAAAAGTATTGATAGTGGAATTGTTCAAACTCGGGGGTCTGGCGGATATCACGGAAAAAGGCAATGTCAAGGTCAGACTCGGTAAGGATGATCAGGAGGAGGAGCAAAACAAAGAGGAGTCCCATGGTCACAAGGAGCAAACGGAGGACACTTAGAACAAACTTATTCACCTGTTCCTCCTCGGGCCCGCTGTGCCCCTGACACAGGGCCCTCAGCTCTCCCCCAAGGGCCTCCACCTCTGTAGCAGTTGGGGTGCTGGCTTCAGATTCCTTCTCCTCCTCAATGCTGCAGGTGGCTCCATTGATCTGCCGGGAAAGCAACATCAGCTCCAGGCTGTGCTCAGCCACAGGGGTGGGCAGCACGCTGTCTGCAGGGCTGTAGGCCTCGTCTGCAATCACAGCTACTCGCTCATTGCTATCTGTCCGGCTGCTTCTCACGTGAGGCAGGAAGGTGTCCCCATGGGAAGTGGAACGCACTGGTGTGGAATGGGCACTGTCCCGTAAGGACTCTAGGCCTAGAAAGGCAAAAGGAACATGAGTAGGCTGTGTCCCAATGCACCCTTTGCTTTCCAGTAGCACCCATTGTGTTTTATTGGGTACCATTCTGCACACCCACATGACCAGCAGCAGTAGCCACTGCACTCTATTTTGATATATCGAGAAGACGACAGGCCGGGTATGGTGGCTTACACCTGTCATCTCAGCACTTTGGGAGGCCGAGATGGGTGGATCGCTTGAGGTCAGGAGTTCCAGACCAGCCTGGCCAACGTGGTGAAACCCCATCTCAACTAAAAATACAAAAATCAGCCGGGCCTGGTGGCACATGCCTGTAATCCCAGTTACTTGGTGGGCTGAGGCAGGAGAATCGCTTGAACCCGGGAGGCGGAGGTTGCAGTGAGCTGAGATCGCACTATTACACTCCATCCTCGGCAACAGAGTGAGTAAGATTCCATCTTAAAAAAAAGAAAAAGGCTGGGCGTGGTGCCTCATGCCTGTAATCCCAGCACTTTGGGAGGCCAAGGCGGGCGGATCATGAGGTAAGGAGTTCGAGACCAGCCTGGCCAACATGGTGAAACCCCGTCTGTACTAAAAATACAAAAATCAGCCACGTGTGGTGGCGGGCATCTGTAATCCCAGCTACTCAGGAGGGGAGGCAGGAGAACTGCTTGAACTTGGGAGGCAGAGGTTATAGTTAGCAGAGATCGTGCCACTGCACTCCAGCCTGGGTGACAGAGCAAGACTCTGCCTCGGGGCGAGGAGGAAGCCAGGTGTGGTAGTGCATGCCTGTTGTCCCAGCTACTTTGTAGGGGGGCAGATTGCTTGAGCCTGGGAGGTCAAAGCTGCAGTAAACCAAGATCACACCACTGCATTCCAACCTGAGCAACAGAGAAAGACTGTCTCAAAAAAAAAAAAAAAATATATATATATATATATATATATATATATGTATGTATGAAACAAGAGAAGGCACAGAAATCACAGTGGCCATTTTAGAAGAGTTTTTCTTTGCTTTTTGCTTACGGTTTTGGCCTAGTTTGTGTGTGTTTTGAGATGGAGTCTTACTCTGTCGCCCAGGTTGGAATGCAGTGGTGCAATCTCAGCTCACTACAACTTCTGCCTCCCGGGTTCCAGCGATTCTTGTGTCTCAGCCTTCTGAGTAGCTGGGAATACAGGTGTCTGCCACCACACCCAGCTAATTTTTTTATTTTGAGTAGAGACGGGGTTTTGCCATTTTGGCCAGGCTGGTCTAGAACTCCTGGCCTCCCAAAGTGCTGGGATTATAGGTGTGAGCCACCGCACCCAGCCCCTAATTTGTTAAAGATTCTGCCTTTCTTGCCTTTGGTGTCCTGGGCCTAGTTTTTTTTTTTTTTTTTTTTTTTCTTTCAGTCTTTCATATGATTTTATTTTCTTCCTTCAACCATAATAATATGATATCCAAATTTTGTCTTAACTGCTGGGTCTGTAAACACAGGCTTATCCATCACACTTATAGGCAAGGCAAATGCTGCTTCTTGAAATGGTCCCACCATGGACCCTCTGGTCATCCAACCCAAGACGCCCCCTTGCCTGGCTTTATCTTCACTATATTGTGTGGCCACTTCATTGAATCTCATCCCAGACTTTAACTTTTCCATGGCTTCCATGATTTTGCCATGTTTTTCCCATAGAATGTGTCTGACCTTTACTGCATTGCCACCACCTTTGGGACCTTGAGCCTTCTTGTCAGCACTGTCACTCCCAGAGGCTGCACCCCCTTTCCCCGCTTTTCCAGAACCACTTTTTCCTTTGGGCGGCATCTTGGAAGCTTGTTGTTGAACTCTGAACTCTGGGCCTGGTTTTTACCCCAGTTTGAAAGAATCTGAATTCCAAACTACCCCTGATGCAGAGCTGGGACCACGGTTTGAGTCTCAAGTCTGCCTGTTGGGTGGAGGGCTTTAAGAGGCAGGAATGGGCCAGACACGATGGCTCCCATCTGTAATCCCAGCACTTTGGGAGGCCAAGGCAGGTGGATCACTTGAGCCAAAGGGTTCAAGACCAGGCTGGGCAACATAGACACTGTAACTATAAAATTTTTAATAAAAGAGAGGTAGGAATGGGGAGAAGGGGAATATGTCATGCCTAACTGGGTTTCATCAAATACCGAATATCCTTGTAAAAACCCAGCATACAGCATCTTGAGCTTATAAGGTCAATATTTTTGGATTTCTGCAGCTGCTCTCAGTCTCTTCAGCCTCCGTTCTAGCTGTTCTGACTTTGTGGAATGATGGGGTAGAAACTCTCTCTGCTCTTCTTGAGGGGGCATGGGAGTAGTCCCTGGCCAGCTCCCTCTCTTTTCCTCTGAGAAGGAGCTGGGTCTAGAATAGGCTGAAAAGCTCCCCTATCTTTAGACACTTCAGAGCACAAAACAGTTTGAGAAGATCTTGTTGCGGGGGTGGATTTCTCTTACATTTGGTAGGAGGAAGGGGTATTCTATCCCCTAAAACTACCCATTATCTCTTCTCTCTTCCCAAGGTTCTCACAGGACTCAAGCCCTGGCAGGGAAAACAGGAGCTGGTTACACTCTCAACTGAACAGCAGCCACCCAGGCCAGAGGCTTTGGGCATATAGTGAGTGAGCGCGGCCCCCATCACAGTGCTCCCAAGGAAATGGCTTCTTGTTTTAGGCTCAATGTCTGCATTTTCCACTCCTGGCCATCTTGGTGATGCTGGTGTGGTTCTCTCTGCCTTTGTGACCTATGACAAGAAAAGCCAGTCCCCTTCTGTTGCCCTGAAATAGTCCCTGACAATCCCAGACTGAACCAGATTCCCAGCTCAGTAAAGGTTTTACCTAAGTCAGGTTGATTAGGGAGTTTTTTGGTTCAGGGCTAGCTCCAGAAGCCCAAAGGGTCTCTTTTTTCCCCTTCTTCCAGGACATGAAGCAGTCCAAAGGTCTCTCTTAAAAAGGTGTTAGTAACCTTTCAGAAGCAGTGTGTCCCATCTTCCTTGGCTCCCTCATGGCTTGGCCGTTTGCACCCAGGCAGCCTGCCTGACCAGCCTTGTGGAGCCTGTCTTGGCACAGGCACAGTTAAGGATTCTCCAGAGGAATGAGCCCTGGAATCTGGGTTATGAATGAGTAGGACAATGGGGAGAGAGGGTGGGGGCAAAGGCAGGGCACCTGCCATCTAGTTACGCTCCCCATTGCGTCACGGCTCATATATTTGCCACAGCTCTCAATCTCTGCTTTCAGAAGCTCCTCATAGTCTTAGCTGTATTTTTTGTCCCTGTGCTAAAATCTTAAATTTGTATAATGCTTTCATCTTTTTAAAGCACTTTGATTTTATCTTTCAGTAACTCCACAAGGTAGTGAGGGCAAGAGGTTATCTGAAGTCATGTGGTTGGCAGTTAATGGCAAAACCAAGGATAGAATCCAAGCCGCTTTCTAGTTCATGATCCTGCTGATCATATCTATTAAGTCCTCATGTTGTCAACAGGTTCCTGGAAACCATGACTTTAAGCCAAATGATGTTACAGCAGGTCCTCCAATGTTTTCTTCAGCATCATTTTGTTATAATTTTTTTAAAGTTCTTTAGTTTTTTGAGACAGTCTTACTCCATTGCCTAGACTGGAGTGCAGTGGTACAATCACGGCTCACTGCAGCCTCGACCTCCCAGGCTCAGGTGATCCTCCCACCTCAGCCTCCTGAGTAGCTGGGACTACAGGCATGTGCCACCACGCCTAGCTAATTTTCGTATTTTTTGTAGAGACAGGTTTTTGTGCTGGGATTACAGATGTGAGCCACCACGCCCAGCCCCATTTTGTTATAATGTTGATGAGAAAAAAAAAAGTTTAATTGTACATCATTTTGCTTAAAGTTGCAGTTTCTAAAGACCCTGTCAACGCTGTTAAGTGATGACTTAACTGTAGTCGGATTCCATGGAATGGAACCATGGGCCAGGACGGATTAAATCAACAGCCAGCATCTACCTTAGATTTAGGTCTTAATTGCTCGAGAAACTGTTTTGAAATAACCTGAAATTAAGAGTCTCTGTCCCTTGTTCTAGAGCTCTTGCTGTTCCTCTGATCTCTCTTCCACAGTATTCCTCCCTGATGTCCCCATTTGCACATGCAGCTTGAGGAATATGTACCTTGGGACAGGTTATGGGTCACTGATAAAGCAGAAACCTTAAGGCCCTGGTTGCAGCATATTGCTTGCTTGGCTCCTTTCCCAGGCAGTCCTCAGCCCCATTGCATAGGGCGCCTGCCACCCTTTCAAAGGCCTGCCCCTTCATGAAGACAGCTCTGACTGCAGGATCTTTCAAAGTATGAAAAGCTTAGCTTAACCTACGATTACACCCCTCAGCTTGTGGGGAAGGAGAGGCAGATGCTGTGACATCAGAAGAGGAAAATGTCAGAGGACCACCTGGAGCCACATCATACTGGGAGCTGTTGGTGCTCTCATTAAACAAGATAATGGATAGATAGGCATTTCTTTTTTTTTTTCTTTTCTTTTTTTTTTTTTTTTTTGAGATGGAATCTCACTCCATCTCATTGCCCAGGCTGGAGTGCAATGGTGCAATCTCGGCTCACTGCAGCCTCCGACCCCCGGGTTCAAGTGATTCTCCCACCTCAGCCCTGCGAGTAGCTGGGATTACAGGCGCCCACCACCATGCCCGGCTAATTTTTGTATTTTTAGTAGAGATGGGGTTTCGCCATGTTGGCCAGGCTGGTCTGAGCTCCTGACCTCAAGTGATCTGCCCATCTCAGCCTCCCAAAGTGCTGGGATTACAGGCATGAGCCACCACATCCAATTAGATGTGCATTTCTAGTAGAATGCCTGACAAATACAGTTGCTCAGTAAATATCAGTTGGTCTCCTCCCTTAACAGAAGATCTCACCTGTAAGGTGACCCTCCCACATCAGGTTAGTCCTATATTAGAAACTGTTTTCACTGCTGTAAAAGCCACCACCTGTCCTGCCATTTCATCGAACCTGTTATTTTGGGATAGATGGGATGGGTGCCGTGGGAAGGATCTGCGCTAACTGGCACAGCAAAACAGGAGAGCCTTTTTTACCTTGGAAATGCTCCAGCTGATTCCCTTGCCCGGGGGTCACAGCAGTCAGGACCCTACCCTGGAGCCGGGGCCCCATCCTCAGGATGCGCACACTTAGGGGCCGAAAGCAGTGATTAGTCAGCCGGAGCTGGACCCGGACTCTGGTGTGAATCTTAATCAGACTCTTCCCCATGGTGGCCCAGGAAGGCAAATACTTCTTCAGTGGAAACCAGCTGATCTCTTCAGAGAAACCAGCCAGGCAGGGAGAGATACAGAGAGGCAAAGATGGAAAGCCAACTAGGAACAAAGGATTTCTGCAGATCCCACATCATAGCAGCCCCTTGGCAGTGCCTCGCGTGTTGCAGGGAGAAGGTCACCTCCCCAAGCTTCACATCAGGCTGAACTGCAGGGAAGGAGCAGCTCTGAGAGGCCACCGTTATCAGGGGACTGGATTTAGTCAGAAGCACTTAGAGCCATAAAAAGTAATGCTTCCTTGGCCTGCAGCTCTTTCCCTGAGGCCTGGATAAGGGCTCCAACCTCTCAGAGGGCAAGGGACAGAGGGGGCAGAGAACAATCCCAGAGGGTAAGGGGAATCAAGACCGTCCCAGAAAATCCAGGATGTAAAGTGACAAGGCCATTGGCCTTTATCCAGGCCATATATAGTCCAGGCCTGCCCTGGTGCCAGCCAAGTTGCATGGTCAGCCTAGCTTTGGGGCTGGGTGGCTCTGAAGTGGGAGGAGGTAGTCTCTGTGATACTAAATGGGCCAAATGGACTATAGAAAAGAAAGTCTTTGGTGGAGCATGAACCAATTTAAATGCCTCTAAATTCCTTGGGGTTTTTGTTGGTTGCGCCCTTCTTCTGAGGCCCTCATCGCATCCCTCGCAGCCCCTCCCTCCCTGGTTGGGGTGGGCAGTTAGTTAGGGTCAGCAGTGCCTGTCAGGACCTTTAAAGGCAAGCCCTCCTCTTGAAAGACGTTGCACCTGAACTCTCGCCTCCTGGAAACTAACCCATTCTTTACTTCCACAGGCTTGGTAGCCCCTGTACTGATAAAGCCATTTAATTGCTACAATCTTTTATTTATTTCCACATCCAAACCTGATGTCCATCTCCCTCTCCTCACCCTGAGCCTGTGAGGTTCATTTGGGCCAGGTCAGTTTTACCTGCGCTGTCCTGCATCTAATGGGTCCTGGGCTGGGGGCCATGACCAGGGCCACTTGCAGCCTTGGGCACAGGGTGTGAGAAGCACCTGGAAGTCTGCTGAGCTGTAACCTACCAAGTGTGCCATTCTATGAGGCTGGTTTTGAGGAAGTGCCCTGGCCCTAGGGGGCCTATACTCCTCAGCAGCCTCTCCCCACTGTACGTCTCTTTGCATTTGGCAGCAAGGGGGAATAGTTTGGACAAGGAACCTGCTGCTGCAATGGGAGGAGGAGGCTGGAGGTAAAGCCAGAGCTGAATGGGGACCTGACTCAGCCTCAGCATGTCTCAGGATCACAAGGACTGTTTTCCCCGCCTCTGAGTTGTTCTACTAACCCTACTTGGCAGCAACTCTCAGTGAGTTTTGTCTCTACACAGAGAGCCTCAGCCCTCCCTCTTTTGGGAATGCTGGTTTCCTGGACATTCTTCCCTGTTCTGGGAAGTAGGCATGCACAAGGCTCCTCTCCTGTTTTACATCCTGCATGGTGCTAGCTTCCCTAGGGTGAGCCTTTTGTTTGGGAGGACAGCTGTCCCAGCTCTCTGTGGAGGATGGGGATGGACCCTCTAGCTTCAGCCTCAGAGGGATGGAAAGAAAGGCCACAGAGGGGAGAAAGTTATGTTTCCTCAGAGAATTTCATTCTACTTCCTGAGATGTACACCCCAAAAGAGGGACGGAGAGAGCCAAGGGACAGTGAGAGCCAAGCTCAGTTCTCCGGGTCAGCCTAAGATGGGAGGAAACACCAGGAGGCTGTGTCTCATGATGGTCATATATCCATAATTCCATTCTTTGCATAACAATTCTACTTGGTAGTCCACAGGCACTCTCCCACACCCAGCTCTGTTCTGCAGTGGGGGAACTAGGCTCAGAGATAAAACAACCTGTTACAGAAAGTGCATGGCAGAGCTCCTAGTCAGACCTTGGCTTCCTGATCAGAACTCTGCACTGTGCTTGCTGCCGGCCTGTAAACGCTTTAGTCTCTTTCAAGTACTTCCGCACATATTAGCTTCCTTGCAACCAATGGGGTGGGCAAGGAAGATGTCCCTATTTTACAAATGGAGCAATGAAGATACTCAAGTAACTTGATGGTGTTTGTCTAGCCGGGGTTCTCAACCTCTAGACCATAGGGAGTTACATACTAGACTTTGGTAACATGGAATCTCACACTCACAGTGACACATCCTAAAATCCTAAACACAAATTAGATCTCAGGGAAACAGCAGAGTGATAGCCTTCCTAACGTGAGCAATTCATTTTCATTCCCAAGCAGCATTCTTACAGAAAGGACAAAGGGCTGTCCTGCCAGCTTCCACACCATTAATCCCAGGAGAGAGACAGGTATGAACCAATTCTGCTGTTTCCCGCTGTGTGAGATTTCTGAGGTCCTAAAAAAACACCATCTTCGGGAATGAAAGCACTCAACTTTACACCTGTATCCAGCCTGCGGGTGACCTGGGCCAGTGACAGCAGCTAGAGGGCAGTATTCCAAGAGCGCCTCCTAACAGCATTAACTACCCAGAGAATAGATTGTTGGCCTCAGCTATTGGGGTATCTAGTTCAGTGGAGATACGTAGAATTTCTCTCTCTTCCCACCTCGGCCTGCTCCAAAGGAAGGGAGTCTGGAGGGAGATGGGTCGTATTGAATTTCCTGAGACAGTGGTAAGATATGCAGATAGCAACAGGACAAATTTCTTTCTTTTTTTTTTGAGATGGAGTCTTACTCTGTTGCCCAGGCTGGAGTGCAGTGGCACGATCTCAGCTCACTGCAACCTCCGCCTCCTGGGTTCAAGCAATCCTCTTGCCTCAACCCCCCAAGTAGCTGGGATTACAGGCGTGCATCACCACACCTGGTTAATTTTTGTATTTTTAGTAGAGACGGGGTTTCACCATGTTGGCCAGGCTGGTCTCAAACTACTGACCTTAGGTGATCCACCCACCTCAGCCTCCCAGAGTGCTGGGACTACAGGCGTGAGCCACTGCCCAGCCAACGGGACAGATTTCTATAGCTGAAGCAAAACATGGTGGCAGCTACTAGAAATGCTTCGGAACCAAGAAGTGAAAATTCTTGGTTAACAGTCTCAGCCATCCTGATAATTTTACTGTGGAGATTGGTCAGATTTAGCAAACAAGTGGAATCCTCTTTTTTTTCTTGAGACAGAGTCTCTGTCACCCAGGCTGGAGTGCAGTGGTGCAATCTGGGCTCACTGCAGCCTCCACCTCTGCCTTCCGGGTTCAAGCAGTTCTCCCACCTCAGCCTCCCTAGTAGCTGGGATTACAGGCTCCCACGACCATGCCCTGCTAATTTTTTGTATTTTTGGTAGAGAAGGGGTTTCACCATGTTGGCCAGGCTGCTCTCAAACTCCTGAGACCTGAATTGAACCTCCCAAAGTGTTGGGATTACAGGCGTGAGCCACTGCGCCAGCCCCTTTTTTTAAAAAATTCTTTTTTTTTTTTGGACAGTCTCCTTTACCCAGGCTGGAGAGCAGTGGCACGAACTCAGCTCACTGCAACCTCTGCATCCCAGGCTCAAGCGAGTCTCCTACCTCAGCCCCCCGAGTAGCTGGGATTAGTCATGTGCCACCACGCCCAGCTAGTTTTTGTATTTTTAGTAGAGACAGGGTTTCACCATTTTGGCCGGGCTGGTCTTGAACTCCTGACCTCAAGTGATCCACCCATCTAGGCCTCCCAAAGTATTGAGATTACAGGTGTGAGCCACCGCACAGGGCGTGAAAATCCTCTTGATGGAAAGCAATTTCAGAACTGCATGGAACCTATAGATCCCACATATGCAAGTCCCCCAAAGGGCTAACCCAGCACCCTCAAATCCACAACCCTCCTGCTTAGATACCCACACCCCTTTACCCTGTACCCAGCTAATATTCCCATCCACTGGATAAAACCTCCTACTTGCCACTGGAGGCCCTTTTCCCCAAGAGACATGCTGCCATCACTAATGCAAATTAGCCTCTTTTCAAGGTCCCAGATCACAACTTGGAGGACCCCAGTGGTCACCTCAAGAAGCTCATGCTCACCTTCCATGATGGAGATGTGAACAGCTCTTCTGCGGGTCCTGGGGACGCTGCTCAGCCTTGGGCCATGGGTTATGGAGGGACAGCTCCGGCTGGGAACCATCCCTGCTCTGAGGTTAAAGAAAAAGAACCTTGTTAATTCAGTGCATGGACACATTTGGTAGGCACTTAAGAATTGAGTACTGGCTACTAGAATTGCCTGGCTATATTAAGTCTTGGTCTCTCTCTTTTTTAAAATCTTTAATACCTTCTCTTTGCCTTTGGTCTCTGGATTCCAGTCAGAGATAGTGCTTCAAACTCCTCCACCTCTTTGTAACCCTAGACTCATCTGAACCTTTTTTTTAGTGTGGCAGCAGTGCCACTGGTCTCTGGGGTGGGGGCAAGACTGTCAGAGAGTAGAGCCCCAGGATGAGCAGTACTCCTGAAAATATGCCTGGACCAATACTGGCAGCCTCCCCTGACTTCCAATAGAGGCTGCTGATGACAGGGCTCCATGTGAAGGGGCAGGCAGTAATGCTCCCCTTCCCAGAGGCAAAGGCTGGTTGGCAAATCCTACCCTTCTTGGTCAGTCATATTCTTTCTGGGTCTTAGATTCTAGGAGATAGGCTTCTGGAAACACAATTTGTGGATCTACATGAAGCATGGATCCTGAAATTATTTTAGAGCCAGTGTGGCAGGGCTGTGGGACTATCCTTGGCTTCATATGATCGACTGGTTCCAGAACCACTGAAATTGTGTGACACATCTATGATCAGTGTCAAGACTAGGGAGGGCAGAAGAGAATTGCCAAGTGAAGTGGCACCTGGATCTGATGTACTATCTGCAGTAGCCCTTCCTCCCTCCCCAGCTCTCTTATTAAGGGTCAAAGACTTCTCCCCATCCCTCTGAGAAGTTTCTTCAGCCTTCTGCTCCATTTTGGACTTTTTGGTAGCCACTGGAGCCAGGGGCTTCACAGTACTCAAACTGCTGGATTGAGATTCTGGGATCTGAGCTACAACTGTTTGGGGGGAAGCCCCTGGCAGCCTACCTGTGTATTTCCGGTGGCTCCCGTTTGATCTTAGCACTTGATTCCATGACTTCCTTTGCAACTCGGCCACTGTAAGTAGTGTAATAAAAACAAGCAGCAAGAAATGAGACTGTGTTGTAGGACAGCTCCTCTCCAAGATCTTAGGTGCTTTCCCTGAATCAGGAAATGGCATCTGTGGCCCACCCTTTCCCTGATGTTTTGGTCATGGAGAAAGGCTTGCTTGGTGGGGTAGACTTCTAAACTGTCATGACAGCCTATCTGAGAGAACTCTCTCCATCTCTAGAGTCTTTAGGATCTTCCATTCTCATTTAGGAGTAATTCCTCATTTTCCAGCATGTTCCAATTACATCACAAAAAAACACATAAGAACAACCTTTAGACAGTGAGACATGAATCACTGTTATAGTTCTTATTTTGCTATTGTAAGGGAAAGAGAAGATACATATTTATTTTTCATTTTCTTGGAGACAGGGTCTTGCTCTGTCTCCTGGGCTGGAGTGCAGTGGTGCAATCATGGCTCACTGCAGCCTCGACCTCCTGAGCTTAAGCAATTCTCCCACCTCAGCCTCCCAAGTAGCTGGGACTACAGGTGTGTGCCACCACACCCAGATAATTTTTTTTGTATTTTTAGTAGAGATGGGGTTTCATCATGTTGCCCAGGCTGATTTCAAACTCCTGGCCTCAAGTGATCCACCTGCCTCAGCCTCCCAGAGTGCTGGGATTATAGGCATGAGCCACTATGGCCGGCCAATATACATTTAAAACCCTACAGACAAATTGCTGTAGGGAAGGAAGGAAATAGTAAAAGGGTCATAAGATGGGAGAATTAGATGGAGACCTCAGACTTTTCTGAGTCCTCCCTGGTTTCTCTGTTCTAAAGGATAAGGACCACTGAGTTCTCCAGAGAAGGGTCTGAAAATAGATCCATAATGGTTACTTACTGTCACTATTTACCTGTATCGGAACCGGCTCCCTTTAAAGAATAAATTGCTGCTGGACACTGTGCGGACTTGGCTTGACTTCTCCAGCCTGTAGCAAGGCAAAGTCCAGTGTGATAGACAGCCTGAACTGCCTCACACAGGTTAAGGCAGCACATCCCCAGCTTCTTCCAAAGGCTACTTGAAACTTCAGGAAAAAAGCCCTTCATAGTCCACATTTGTCTCTGACTCTCATTTAGGATCTGGGGGCTGTGCTCACAGCCAGCTGCTCTCCTGCCTCAGTGCCCAGGACTGTCAACATGGAAACCCATTTTAGTGTCAGGAGAGTGAAGGCTCCCCCAAAATGCTTCATAGGTTTTACCAGGGGGACTGAGAGAATACATGCTCGGGTGGATGGTCTTGGGGAATAATAGAATGCCCATCTAATCTCAGCCACGTCACTTATTAGCAGTGTGACCTCGGGCAAATTTCCTTCTCTCTTAGCCTCACCCTTTTTATAAAATGATAGAGCTGGGACTACTGGACCTTAGGGGTCTCCTTTCCAGTCCCAGTATTTGATTTTGTGTCTATGTCTGGGTAATTGTGGGTGGAGAAGAGGGTGGGGGCTGTCTTTCCTGTTCCATCTCCCTTTTGGAGGGTCCTAAAATACATGACCACAGTAAAGACAGAAATCCTGCGATGAAGAAACTAGCTTAACTTTAATAAAAGTCCGTCATGTATTTGAATTTGGAGCCTTTCTCCCTCCCCCAGGATATCTATTTTATATCTCGTTTGAAGCTGCAGACAGCCGATGTGGAGCTCTGTAATACTTTCTCCTGGGTGACTTCACTGAGCCCATTAGCTCTCTCAGCTTGGGCACAGCAGCTCAGAGAGAAGCCTCCTAAGATGGGATCCACCTGTAACATGCCCAGGTGCCTATGGTACTGATCCAACCAGTAACCTATGTGAGTCTGAAACCTGTGCTATGAGCAGTGAGTAGGAGCTGTTTCCACAATCCATGAACAGTTCTTGGGAGACACCATCCCTGCCCGTCTCAGGGCTCCAGGACATCCGAGCTGCTTACTGGAGCCTGGGCATGTTCTTGCATCTGACTGGGCTCCTGCCATGGCACTAGGCCAAAGGCAGGACTAGGGATCTGTATGTGAGAGACACTGAGGGCAAGGCCAAAGCGCTGCTGCCAGAGACTTGACATACCTGGGGATCTCACCCAGGCTTTTACCGTTT
Source organism: Homo sapiens (assembly GCF_000001405.40). Taxonomy (NCBI): domain Eukaryota; kingdom Metazoa; phylum Chordata; class Mammalia; order Primates; family Hominidae; genus Homo; species Homo sapiens. The sequence continues at coordinate 43,886,889 of NC_000015.10, forward strand.
GATGAGAACATTAAGGAGGCAATGGAAAACTGAAAAATGACCTCCATTTCCAGTGTGGGTGCAGGCAGGGCTGGGTGGGTAGGGAGATCTACTCGTGGGAAGACTCAGAAACTGAGTGAGGTCACAGGTTCAGAAGCAACACTTCTGTTTCCGTGACACAGATGGGAAAACCAAGCCCTTAAGAAATGCTGCTGAAGGCATGAAAAGACAAGAGGCAAGGAGATTGCTTCTGTTTGCTTCTTCTCTACCCTTTGGTAGAGAGAAAGGGAAAGCTTCCACATATGCCATTCCCAGGGCAGGGATAGTTCAGTGTGGAGCAGGCCCCTGTCGGCTAGTGCCTTCCTCTCTCTGCTGCGGAGACCCGTGGGACCCCAGTTCTTGGGCTGCTCCTCAGTCCCACAGGCAGGAGCTTGCATCTCAAGTTGCTTCTCTCTAGGTTCAGGTAACTGGCCAAACCTGGATTACATCCTCACAGGCAAAGGGAGGGTGGTAGCAAAAGAAAATAAATGTTTTCTTGACTTTCTATGGACAGTAGGGACTGAACAGGAGGGAAGTGTGACCATGCCAAAGTCTCCCGAGTATATTCAGGAGAAGAAAGGCTGCCGATTCAGTGAATCCTTGGTTCTGGTATAAACACATAATGGGAATTAAGTAATTCAGAATGCCTGTCTAAGAAACAGCTTCTGGGGCTGTGGCCCTGGCAACTGGGAGGACCCAGTTCTGCCAGCCAGCATCCCATAGCAGCCAGCAGGCAGCAGAATCTTCCCTGGAGAGAAGTATGGTGCCACTCATCCCAGAGCAGTTCTCATCTCTCCAGGATCCTTCAGGTTACTGGAACTGGGACCTGGCCAATCAGGGGCATTTGGTGAGAGCAGGGCTCACCCCAGGTAGAATATACCACACTCTGTCTTGCCTTGACCTCATTCAGATACATCTTAGTAAAGCATAAATCATTACGGTATATTTTTAAAACAAGACCAAAGGGCTTAGTGAGACATATTTTACCTGGCATCATGCCCTCAGTGGGCCATTTCTTCACTACCTAATGCTTTTATAACCACTTTCTTAACCGAAGAAAACAACACAAAAGCCCCACATTCTTTACAAAATCCCTTTGGTAGGCAAAGCTCTTGCCTTTGGCCTCAACCTGGCTTCTCAGTAACTGTCAAGCTCTTGCCCACTTCCAGCTACCCCGCCCCAAGTTCCTGGGCACTTGGCCTCCTGTCACCGACTCTCTCTGACTCTGGCTCTAAGAAAGACAGTCCCCATCACATGTATCCACTCACTTGTAGAAGGCTTGGTTCTCGATTCCACATTTCCAGAGGTGCTTACACGCTTCAGGAGTTGGAGCAAAATATGTAAGAATAATTTTCTTTTCCTGCAAAAAATTCCACATTGATATGGCTGAGTGTGGATGGAGAAGCAAAGGGTGAAGTAGGCGAGGACCCTGACCCCAGAGCTGTTAGAGGCCCTGGCAGCTGGCTAGTTAGAGGGGAGGGCCTGTGGGACCCACTGAGGCAGAGCTCAGTTAAGTGCATCACATCATACTTGGCAAGTCCAATCAGGGTAAGTCTCAGCTGGCACAAAAGTGGCACAAATTGAACCAGGAGAGCTCTTGGTGAGAAAGTTGCCCTTGCCTCTGGAATTCCCATATACACGAAAGAAAAAGAGCCTTCCTTTGCATTTCCTGGAGGTAAAGATCTCTTGAGTGGAAGCTCTGGGTGTCAATAGCATCCCTGAGGAAGTCCTGTGCTCCAGGGCCTTCCCGCTCCTTCATATTGTACCTCCAGGTCCTGACCTTGGTCTTGGCTTAGTATGTGGGTAGCTTGGCTCTACTGGGGTCCCTCAAGCTTGGCTCTGGCCACCAGGAAGCATCCCATCACCCCAGCCCTCCTTGAAGAGAAGGAAGCCAGCACTCACCTCTTTCTGACTTACGTATAAATAGAAAGTCTTTCCTTCAAATTTCAGCTTGGTCACCTCATTCCTAGAAGCACAAAGATAGTGCCTGTCACCTCATTGTGGGCTGCTTGTTCACAGCTAAATCTTGTAGATGCACAGCCCACCCCAACTGGAAGGGGCTCCAGGCACAGACACAATTTTAGCCAAAATCAGAACTGAAACAAGACAGCAGCGCAGTGGCCTTAGAGAATGTTGTTGAAACAGTTCAATCCACAGTTTTCTGGTCAATCACACTATAGTAATAGGGTGACAGGAGGATTTCGGGCTTATCAACAGTGGCTGTAAAAGGGAAACATTTGCATGGAAAGTGAGTCTAGGTAGAGTATCTGGGGTCATTTCAGGATTGGGTTCATAACACAGGTGCATTATCTGGATGGGACTGTCAAACGTAAGATGCCACAGGTAGCTGATGAGGCCAAAGTTCAAGATACAGCAAATAATGAGAAACAATGCAACCAGGTTCTGAGGGAGTTGAGTCTTTCAGGTGACTGTGCCACTGGATGGAAAATGCAGTTTAATGCAGACAAATATCAAACAATCTCAGGGAGCGGGGCAGGGCAACATACCAAAGAGAGAGAACAGATTACATGGAACAGTCATGCAGCGTACTGACCAGGAAAGGGGCTTAGGGGTTATTGTAGAAAAATCCTTGAAGCCACCAGCCCAGTGAATGGCTGCAGTAAAAGAGGCAAACAGGATACTGGGGTACATCACCCGTGGGACAGACACAAATCAGAAGAAGTGACATGGTTACTGTACATGGCACGGCCTAGACCTCACCTCCACATCCACCTCCTGCTCTCAGCCTTGGTTACATTTGCAAAACGGAAAAACTACTGGGTCTTAGGTGAATGTCCCTGAGAGCCATGGAACTAGGCCTCAGCACTGGTTGCTCCTCACTTCCCTTCTATCTGCCCAACATAGCTGCCCTCTGGAGTCTCTCAGCCCTCTCCATGTCACTGGAGGCCCCATTTTTCAACCCAACTGGGACCCCCAAGGCGGTCTTGTCATGCACATTCACCTCCACTTGGCTGCTGCTTTTTTTTGTAATTTCTAAGGAGATTTCCTTCATCTCCTAGGAAATAGTAGAAAGGTAGCGAGAATCATGTACCCAACTTACTGCTGGAAAAAGTTCAGGGGACAGAGGAAAATCACTTGTTCTCCATGCTCCTGAAAATCATGGCTGGGTCAGGATGAGATTTCACAACTTCTGACCACCAGTTCTGAGCTAACACAAGTCACACGGTATTCCTTCCCTGTTTGATTCCCTCTCAAACTCCCTCTCAATCAACCATCAATCTCATACACACACAGTACAATAATGCCAATTGGTTAATATATAGACAAGCACACAGATCACCTAGGTTCCAACAAGCAAGCTAGGAAAGTAAGGAGTTTTATTTTGAGAGTGAGATTGGGTTTACATCTATTATTACAGAGTTGACACATGGTGAAGAGGAGACTTCTAGAAGAAGTGGTGCATGAGAGAAGCCGTGGAAAGAAAAGTGTCTGTGAGAACCAAGAGCCATCATGGTTTCTGGAAGGGTGGGTATAATTTAGGGACTGCAGGTGTCTGTGACAGGTGTGTCCTACTTGTTTCTAGCCAAACATTCCCTCTAACAGGGACCTCACCCAACAGCTACTCTGGTTGGAATGTGGATCTGGGCCCTCTAAAGAATATCAAATAGCCCAGATGTATCCAGGCAGCAGAGACCCCACACTAGGAGGGCTGAGGCCTGATCCTGCTCATTGCCTTTTTCTGAAAAGCATTTTGTTGGACAGGAGATTGCAAATCCTCACATCTTCACCCAGAGAGCACAGTGAAGTGGGCCGACTTGAGGATGCCTAGGAAACAGGTATGTTGGGGTGTATTCTGGTAACTCCAGGGCAGCAGCTGCCTTGTGGCACGGCTGTTGTCCTGGGGAGTCGAGTTTCCTGTCCTGTGTGAGGAGCAGTTTCACCAGCACTCTGGCTGACGATCGTAATGCCCTCCTTCACAAAATCAAGGTGGGCTGGAAAGGCGGTATCTGTCCTCAAGCTCAAACTCAGTGGGGGAGCTGAAGAGGGCACAGCGGGATAGATGGTCTGCAGTGTCCCCAGCAGAACGCTGACTAGGAAGCAACTGTACTCAAGATTCCTCATGAGCTCTCCTGGAGAAGACAAACCAAACAGACTTCCCCCCACTGAGCTCTGCTGGACCAAGGGAAGCCACTTATCTAAGCCCCTAGAAGGAGCTGGCCAGCTTAGACTTGGCAGTCTGAGGCCCAGGAAGGTACAGAAATCACAAGAGCTTAGTAGAATATGCAAAATGTTTTGATGACGCTGACAGATGTTTGTATGGGCTGGCCAGCTAAAGGGTCTCCAGGAAAGCCAAATGTCAATCAACAAACCAGAGTCTGCCCAGAGGCATGCAGCAGAACAGACCCCAAATAAAACAGAGAGGGGCAGGAGAGGAAGCAGCTCAGAGTAGCTGCAGCTGAGGCAGTGGCTCTTGCCTGTTAGATGGGAGTGGAGAAGGGAGGGAAGGAAGAAAGAGTGGGAATATGACTCCTGGAAGCTGAGGACACTTAAATGCCCAAGAGGGATAGGAGTGAGACAGCAGCAACTGAGCTTTTGCAGACACGATGCCCACAGGGAGGGCTGGTCTGAGGAGGGTGTTTTGCCAAAGTAGCAAAGGACTTATATCTGCCCCAGAGGTCACTGTCTGTGAGCCCCTCCCTTGTTAGTAGAGCAGGTAAGGGCACTAAGCCATCCACAGAGATGCTCCAGAACAGCCGGCTCAACAGGGCTAACTATGACCCTCAGTGGGTGACGGCCCCAAGGATTCAGTTCTCACAGGAACTTTGCTCCGCTAACACTGGCTCCAGCCCCAGGCCTCTCACCCTCCCCAGAAATCAAACCTCTGTATCCCTTTTCCTTTCTGGAGAGGCTGTTGGCTCTCAGGGACACCCCTTTAGAAGAAAAGGATCCCTAGGAAGAGACCACTCCCTTCGTCAGTTACCACCATCAACGCAAGGCTTTGGAGAGGGCTCTGAACCAGAACTGCCCAATCACAGACAAAGGACACGGGAACCGTCGCCCCTCCCCAGTTGGTGAGATATAAAGAGCCTATTTTGGAAATGAAGATGCTCACCATTTAATGAAGTGGACCCTCTTGTTTCCTTGAAGAACAACAAACCCAAAAGGAGTGAAGGCCAGAAATGCAGCATTTCCTGACACGTCCTGCAACACAGAAAGACTTCTCATCGGGTGATGCAGGCACAGAGGTGAAAGGGTAAGAAACACAGCTGTTCATAGGTGATGCAGGGTTAATACTTGGCAGTAGGTCACAGAGGGAAAAGCATATCATCTGGAATCACAAGACCATAGTTTGAGTCTCAGCCTTGCCACTTGCCAGCCGCATGACTACAGGCAAGTTACTTGCTGAGCCTCAGTGTCCTGATCTGTAAGTTGTAGGTTATAATGATACCAACCTTAGAAGGTTGCTGTGAACATCCAAAGAGAATGGCAACACCTCATGCATTGCTGATGGGGTTGTTAAATGGTACAGTCACTTTGAGAAAGAGTTTGAAAGTCATTTAAATTGTTAAAAATAGAGTTACCATATGACCCAGCAATTCCACTCCTCAGTATGTGCTCAGAGATTTAAAAATGCATGTCCACACAGAAACTGGTACATGTATGTTAATAGCAGCAGTATGTGTTAAGAGCTAAACAGCAGAAACAACCCAATCCATTTTCCAGTGTAAAGTTTCCATTAACTGATAAATGAATAAACAAGTAGTATCATGATACAGTAGAATCTTATTCACCGGTAAAAAGGGATGAAGGACTGATAGACGCTACAACACAGGCGAACCTTGAAAACATTATGCCAAGTGAAAGAAGCCAGTCACAAAAAATCAGGTTGTGATCTTTTAACCCTGTGAATATACTAAAAACCACTGAATTGTACACTTTAAAAGGGCACATATCGCCAGGAGCAGTGGCTCGTGCTTATAATCCCAGCACTTTGGGAGGCCGAGGCAGGTGGATCATCTGAGGTCAGGAGTTCGAGACCAGCCTGGCCAACATGGTGAAACCCCATCTCTACTAAAAAGACAAACATTAGCCAGGCGTGGTGATGCGTGCCTGTAATCCCAGCTACTCAGGAGGCTGAGACAGGAGAATTGCTTGAACCCAGGAGGTGGAGGTTGCAGTGAGCCAAGATTGTACCACCACACTCCAGCCTGGGTGACGGAGTGAGACTCCATCTCAAAAAAACAAAACAAACGAAAAAACAAAAAAAAAAAAAAACATTTTATGGTATGTGAATTACATCTTAAAAGGCTGTTATTAAAGAGTGGGGGAGTTGTTATCCACTTTCATAATAGTCCTATAACACTGGGCCCCTCAGGAAAGTTTAGCTGAAGAAAAAAACAAGAAGCAACTGGCAAAATAGAACAGTTGCCACCAGCCCTGAGGTGCCTGAACCAACAGAGAGGGCCTCCTGGTCACTGGCACCATCAGTCAGTAAACACCAGGCTTGAGGCTCTGTTGAACATAGTGGGGAGCGGGCGGAGCAGAAGCTGTAGGTCTCGCTTCCTCACTTGCGAAAGTGAGCTCCCTGAGGTCTAGGCTGGGTGGAGGATTTTGCCCTCCCAGAGGGGCTTCCTTTGTGACAGGGGCGTCAGGTGAGATTTGGCACCGTCAGGCTGCATGAATGGTGATGGAGAGGGTGTAAGTGTGTTGAGGTGACCAGAAACTTATGCTGTGATGCTGGTCAAATGTGCCTGCAGGAGAGTCTTCTGGGCCACAGCTCAGGTGGTGCCATGGAGTTAGGGCCAGACACCGGGCGTGAGGCATGGGTGTGGGGGCTGAGGCTGCTGGGCCAGGTCAGCCTGAGGTTTGGCTCTCCTGGCCTCTCTGCTTTCAGGGCTCACCTCCCTGACACAGATTCTCAGCCTGATTGGTCGCAAGAACAGTGGGGCCTCTGCAGGGCCTCATGAGTCCTGCCTCAAGAAGCAGTCCAGTTTTGCCTTAAAACTATCTCTCAGAGTCAGGGTTACAAGTATGAGCATCTGGGTCCAGGGAATAAACTAAGTGTATGTTTGGCAAACATTTGCAATTAATGTATTGTTGTTATTATCCTTTCCTCAGGGTCTGTCATGATCCAGACACTTGGCTACAAGCACAATGTCATGGGCAGAACAAAAAGCTGTTTAAAAATAACTGGAATGCAGACACTATGAAGCCACAGGGCTGATTTTCCTCCTGCTTATAATCAGTGCCTGGTGGTGGTTATTAATATCTGAGTACCAGGCACTACACACAAACACTGTTCCTGTCAGGAGGCACCAGGGCTAATCTGGCAGGCTTGGCAGAGGTATGGGTCAGGGAAGGGTGGCCTTGAGGTAAGAATGACTGGGAGAGGTTGGGGAGGGAGGCAGCCTGCCTGTTCTGTCTCTTCTGCTCACTGTGCAAGCAGGACCCGGGGAAGTCCTACAACTGCAGGCTTAGAAAGAAAGAGACTGGGAGTGGAGACCTTATTGTGTGAATGGTGGTATAGAAAGGGTCTCAGAAAATGTTGAGCAGATGAAGGTGTTAGACAGTGGGGTGGGTCAGAGGGGCCAGTCTGGCTGCAGTGGGGAACGTCCGTATGTGCGTAAAAATGAGAGGGGAGGCAGAGGTGAGGCAGAGGCACGGAAGGGGTCATAATGCCCGCTGAGATAAAGGAAAGGCCTAGGAAGGAGAGGTGGAGGGATGGAAATGAAGCCTTGGGCCTGCAGGAGGCTACTGGACAGCTTGAAATAACGGAAGGAAGTAGGGAAGGGAGTTGGGAGGGAAGGCAGGGGAGGGAGGCAGCGGAGGGCCCCCCTCTGCTTCTTCCACTCTGGCTCATATGGGCAGTGACAGGCAGAAGAGCACCCCCACTAGAACCACAGTGGTGCGGGCTCTTGGTCAAACCGCTCGGGTCCAGGTCCAGCTCTGCCACTCATTGTGTGGCTGTGGCCAGGTCCTTAATTTCTCCATGGTCAGACTCCTTGTCTTAGAATGAGGGTTGATCGTGTTACCTACCTCATAGGTTATGTTTAGGAGGCACCTCACAAATGCTAGTGGCCATGTTTTTTGTTTGTTTTAGAGACAAGGTCTCACCATATGGCCAAGGTGGGTCTTGAACTCCTGGGCTCAAGTGATCCACCCACCTCAGCCTCCCAAAGTGCTGGCATTACAGACATGAGCCACCACACCCGGCCTGTGTTTGTTGTTAATATTATTATAGCTGCTACTAGTTAGCTGAGTTTGTTGAACTTAATACAAATCCTTTTGTAAAATCTAACATTTTACTATTTTTCCTGATGTTGACAGATTTAAATTTTGCTAGTTAGGAAACGAAAATGTGGGAAGTTAGAATGAAAAAAGGAGAAGTAATTCACTGTTAGGGGACCATGGAAGAGTGGGGTGATCCATGAATCTGAAGTGAGAATGGGAAGGGAACAGAGGCCATGACACAGTCAGAGATCCGCCAGAGTCCTCTCAGTGACCTCTGTCCCTCTGCAGAGCAAAGGGAATACACAGTCCCACAAGATGGGTGGTGCTGGCCAGGTTGCCCTGCATCCTGCAGATACCTCAGAGCTGGCCTCTGAGTGAAGGCAGGTGTTAGAGTTAGAGGAGCACAGCCTCTCCTAACCAGACTGGCTGCTTTAGAGCAGAGAGCTGGGAATAAAACCCAATGAAAATGAGATGCCACATCATTTCATAAGCAATAATAGCACCTTGAACAATCCCAATTGTTCCCAATCTCATATGAAGAGAGCAGTTCTCCAAACTGCTTCAAATGCAACAGATGCAGATGAAGGCCACCGCAAGACCCTGACACCCGGTATCCGCAGGGGCAGATGACAGCTGGGATGTTTGCAACTTGCCTCTGGCACATGAGGCTCAGCAATCAGTGTGGAAGGGACTCGAATTACAGTGGGAAATCTCACATCTGTACTGGCATGAAAATACAAGCAGGCAGCCACACTGACACCTTCCCTGGAACTTCTCCAGATTCTTCTATCTGACTTGTCATTCTTGTTGTGAGCCTGCCGTTGGAGTTTGTGTGCAAAATAACAAGTTGCATGACAAAAAGAGGAGGGAATGAGGACAAGGTGAGAAGTGAAGAGTCAACAGTCACCTGTTCTTCAGATCTCCCATTTTATCAAGCTGGATTCTCTTTCTTCTCTGTCCCCTTCCCATCCCTATGAAATCAGTGCCCACAGGACTGAGCCATTAATGGAGTCGGGAGGTGGAAAACAAACTAGGGTCCTGATAGCTATGCCGTGGATATCGCCAGCTACACTCTGCAGCAGGTAACAGTCGAAATAATCTAGTTCACTTCTTCAGTTGTGAGGTTAAAAAGAATTGTTTTCAATTTCTCATCCTTGTGAAAAGAGCTTCTGTCTCAGTTTAGGACCCCAGCTCTCCTCCTTCTTTCCTCTGTGACTTCACTTCTCCAAACCTCGGTTTCCTCATTTGCTAAATAAGGACAATAATATATACCTGGAGAAATACTACTTCCATCTGATTTTAGGGAGATAGACCAAATATCTTACTGCTAGGATGTGGCCAACGGTATTCTCCTTGGAGAGGGGATGAACATGCATTCCTTGTCATTCATGTGTTTACATGGCCCCTGCCATCAAACTTCACCTGTGTCAGTCAACACCAGCAAAGTTCACCCTAGGATGATCACTCTGCCCAGGAAAGGATTCTTGCAAATCAAAGCATTGACTGGTTCAGAAGCAGGAACATCTGGCCACCATTTCTAGTCCCCACCAGTTCCATTTCCAGATTCAAAGTAGCCTTCTGTCTCCTGCCACCCTAGAGGACACACTGGGTGTGACTGAGTAGGCAACACAGCATTCTTGGTTGTTAGGCCTCTAGGGTCATACTGTGCCCTCTCTGGGCCATGACTCAAACTAATTCAATTTTGATGAATGAAGCCACTATTTCTTATAAAACCCTCTGGAAGATGATTCCACATGCTGTACCAGATACGCCCATTTCTGAAAGAGCTCACAGTTGGGAAGCTGAAGTCAGTCATGAAAATCACCCAGTTTGAATATACTACACTTAAACTTGGCCACAATAAACTAGAATGGAAATGAAGAGGAGAAGGAGGAGGAGGAGGAGGCACCCTGTAAGAGATTTGGTGTTACTCCATGACAGCTCAGAAAGGAATTCCTGGTGGAAACTGCACCAGGTGGCTTTGGTGAAGTTCTTCATTTCAGCAGTAAATCTAACACCCTACCTGCCACACAGCCAAGATGGGCCCACCCAAGGGTGGGACAGCCATCATTGATCCTTCTTGTTCTGTTTCTCAGAAGTGAGGGGTGCTGGGCATGGTGGCTCACACCTGTAATCCCAGCACTTTGGGAGGCCGAGGCGGGCAGATCACCTGAGGTCAGGAGTTTGAGACAAGCCTGGCCAACATGGTGAAATTCCATCTCTACTAAAAATACAAAATTAGCTGGGCGTGGTAGTGTGCACCTGTAATCTCAGCTACTTGGGAGGCTGAGGCAGAAGAATCACTTGAACCCGGGAGGCAGAGGTTGCAGTGAGCTGAGATTACACCATTGCACTCCAGTCTGGGCAACAAGAGTGACACTCCATCTCAAAAAAAAAAAAAAAAAAAAAAAAAAAAGTGAGGGGCAACTCGTCAAGATGGGGGATGGGGTTCTTCTTTAGAGAGCTGGCTAGGTGGCTGGATTATGAAAGTAATGATTCCATTTTAAGGGCAGAGGGACAGTGTAATTTTATTTTTGTGGTTGATCTAACCTAGATCCTGTTGAAATCAATTTTATCCTGGTCTATACAAAGCAGACATAAAGACACTGGTGAACTTACATTAAATTTTTATAGGATGATGATATGGTTTGGCTCTGTGTCCCCACCCAAATCTGATGTGGAATTTTAACCCCCATGTGACAGGGGAGGGACCTGGTGGGAGGTGATTGGACCATGGGGCAGTTTCCCCATGCTGTTCTCATGATAGTGAGGGAGTTCTCACAAGATCTGATGGTTTAAAAGTATGGCATCTCCCCCCTCATTCTCTCTTTCCTGCTGCCATGTAAGACATGCCTGCTTCCCCTTCCGCTATGATTGTAAGTTTCCTGAGGCCTCCCTAGCCATTTGGAACTATGAGTCAATTAAACCTCTTTTCTTTATAAATTACTCAGTCTCAGGTAGTTCTTTATAGCAGTGTGAAAATGGACTAAGACAGATGATATCAATAATCTTGTAGGTCAGTGTCCTTTCTGTGTCAGAATTGGCAATGAGTTGTGCTTAGTTCCTAAATTCCATCTCTCCAGAGGGAAGACCATGAATAATAATTGAAAAAGCACAGCACTGAGACTCAGATAACCCTGGGTTCGAGCCTCAGTATTGTGTTACCCAGTACCTTTGGGCATTACTGTGTTACCCAGTACCTTTGGGCATGTTAGTTGGTTCCTTAGAGGGGACTTATCTCCCTCATATCCCTTCTTGTCTGCATCTTCAGAGGCTCAGTATTCTTATCTTAAAATAAGGACAAGAATATCTTCTTAGCAGTGATGTTGTAAAGATTCAATGAGATAATGTACAAAGCTGGCACAGACAGACTCTCAATAAATGGTATCTTCAAGACTCTTAACAACAAGGCTGGGCATCTGTAACAGGCCTCACTACTCCATGAACCGTAACAGGACATCTCCGTAAGTTGGGCCCAGGAGGCCAAAGTACAGTGCTGCAGGAGACCCAGGCCAAACCACCAGTCTCAGGGCTACCTGGATGGAGCAAGATGGTGGCTCCTGAAGTTGGAGTGCTGTCAGGGCCAGGGAACAGATATAGCAATGGACTGCCAGTGGTTTGCTTCATTCTCCTCCTCCAGCAGCTGTAGGCTTGGGCTGCTGGGGCTCCCGCCAGGAGTTGAGGGCTGAGGGTCAAGGCAGAAAATGCAGGACAGCCTTGTCCTGCACTTTTGGAATTTGGGTATTAGCTAATAGAGCTCTCTGGCTGTCCCATCCAGCATTTGTAGAATCTCCTCTTCCTGGTCCCAGGGCCAGACAAGGACATTCTGGGCAGAAAGAAACCATCAGTGTGCACAGGAAGAACAGCAGCTTCTTAATCAGTCCAGGGGACAGAGCCTAAGCTAGAGCGTTGTTCTGCTCTCATTTAATTATCAAAATGATTCCTCTTCTGTCCTCCCTAGGGCTGCATGCCCCAGATTCCCTGGGCCCAGTAATTGCCTCTCTGTTAATAGAAATCATCAGTATTTATTACACCAAGTGTGCCAGCTTATTTCAGCTCTTCTTGTAGCAGCATTAAGGCGAGCACTTGATAGCATATCACTAAAGTGACTCCACTTAATAACAAGAGTAAAGGCCCCTAAACTGTTCTCTTTGCTGGGAGAGCTGAGGAATCATGGCCAGAGCCTAATGAGAGGAGCTGAGGGGCTATGTGTGGGGTCTGCAATAGGGCCCTGACATGGCCCTGGGTGAGGAAGAGGCACAGGGCTCAGGAACAAGGGACCTGAGCACTCCCCCAAAAGAAGTCTCCTGGGGGGTTTCTGTTCTTCCATAGGGTACATAACAACGGGTAGTGACTTGAGTTCAAATTCTTGCTCTACCGCTGAGGGCTTGTGAATTTTGGCCTCCTGGAATGCCAGTCTTCTTATCTATAAAACAGGGAGAATAACATCTACCTCCCAGGGCTGGTGTGAGGATTAAATGAGAACATAATGTGAAAAGACTCCACTGAGGCCGCCATGGGAGGCATACCACAAACATCTCTTCTTCCCTCCCTCCCTCTTTCCTTCCAGGAGTTGATGCTATGGGATTGAGATGGCATGACATAAGTGACTGGGTGGCAACAGTGCCTGGTATGAATGCTGGTTCCTCCCTGCAGCCTCTTCAGCCTCTCTGCGTCCAATGATGGACAAACTCACCCAAGACGAGGCTGAGACAGGAGCCTCACAGTCCTGGGGTGCATGTGTATTTGGGTTGGAAACCAGGCTGGCTGCCACTACAGCTTCCAGAATCCCGTGGGCAACGGTGGAGAATCCCTTTCCCCGCTCTAGTCAGTGTAGTGCTCGGGCTCACTGTCTGCCCATCTCTGTGTCTTTTCAACTCTGCTCAGGGACCCGTCTCTGAAGAGGTGGGTGCTATGTGTGGCCTCAAGGGGACTGGGCAGGTTTGGGGTCAAACGCAGAGGTAACCTGGCCCTTTCTGATGAACATATCTTCAGGCAGCCGTCTTTAAGGTCCTAGAGTGACTCAGCAGTTCAGGGAGCAGTTATTGAACACAGACTGTGTACTTTCAAGTGAGGCTCAGAGAAGCTCCCAAAGGCCCCAGTAAACAGGGGATGGGAACCGGAGCCCAGGGCCAGCTTATCCAAAGCTCTCTTCACTCCTGTGTGGGTGCCCTGCTAACAGTATTGGAGCAATTTATGGAGGGGTTTAAACTGCATCTGTTACACAGAGGGCATTGTTTGGAAGTTTTGCTAATGTGTAAATATCCAAATGTCAATTCTCTGGTATAACAGGCATGAATGTGTTTTCTGACAGTGTGGCCCCAAGAACACAGGGGTTACTTTGCAGCAGGCTGTGCTAGTGGATAGGGAACTGTGGGGTAGGGAAGATGACCAGGGTTTCTGAATATCAGGATGTTCTCAAGGTTCATAACTCCTAGGCAAGAATAAATCACCATCTTCTCACCAAGGGACCAAAGGACACTGCTTTGTCCCTATGTCACTGTGCTCATTCATTCCTGGTTTTTTTTTTTTTTTTGAGACAGAGTCTCGCTCTGTCACCCAGGCTGGAGTGCAATGGCATGATCTCAGCTCACTGCAACCTCCACTTCCCGAGTTCATGCGATTCTCCTGCCTCAGCCTCTTGAGTAGCTGGGATTACAGTCATGTGTCACCATGTCTGGCTAGCTTTTTATATTTTTAGTAGAGACAGGGTTTCATCATGTTGTCCAGGATGGTCTTGAACTCCTGACCTTGTGATCCGCCCACCTTGGCCTCCCAAAGTGCTGGGATAACAGGTGTGAGCCACTGCGCCCGGCATTCCTATTTGTTATGCGCTATACACTGTGTCTTCAAAAATTCATATGTTGACATTGTAACCCTCAGTACCTCAGAATGTGACCTTCTTTGAAGACAGGATCTTTACAGAGGTAATTAAGTTAAACTGAGGTCATTAGGATGGGCCCTAATCCAATATGACTGGTGTCTTTGGAGAAATCTGGACAGAGACATGTACAGAGGGAAGAAAGCGTGAAGACACAGGCAGATGACAGCCATCCACAGGCCAAGGAGAGGGGCCTGGAAAGGATCCTTCTCTCAAAGCCCACAGGAAGAACCAACCCTGCTGACACCTTATCTCAGATCTCCAGCCTCCAGAACTGTGAGACAATAGACTTCTGTTCTTTAAGCCACCCAGTCTGTGATACTTGTTACAGAAACCCTAGGAACTAATATACTATTCTTTTAATTTTTGCTTGAAGCTTAGTATCCCCTCTCCAGTTAGGAAGAAAAGGTTGATGTCTTCCTGTTCCTGGCTGATACTGCTTCCTTCAGATCAGCTTGCCAGTTGGTTTTACTGGTGATACTGGACCCTCTCCAGTAATGGAAAGAGAGAGGCAGAAATGTGGAGAAACTGAGGTAGAGACCAGGAGTGTCAAAGCAACAGGGACAGGAGGTAACGTGAAGGGCCACAGCCACAGAGAGAGACTGGAAGGGGCCATGGGTCTGCACAGGCCTCGGCAGTGACTGGCTGCCCCCGCTCATCTCCAAAATGCCAGATGTGCATGAGTAATTACAGAGGTTTTCTCTGGGCAGCCTCCCCGGCTGGTTCTCGTCTATCCCTCACAGGCGCATAATGGCATTAAATGTGACTCCACTGCAGTTCCGTGCAGTGACTTATGCCACTGCAGTCAATAAAACCCACTCTCGGAAAGAAACTAGATTACAGGTCAGGAAAGGGTGGGCAGGCACTGAGCCGCCTCTGATCGTTCTCTGTGGG